>NC_000008.11:128839222-129464222 GCF_000001405.40 Homo sapiens
AAAATCACTTATCCAAAAATGAAGAAAAATTTTGGTTTGCCCTCTTGCCAAATCCAAAGAAATCTCTGTATTCTATTGAATCTGGATATAAAGAATTTCCTGTAGTGTTTGACACACGGTAAGCTCTTTTAATAAAAGATTACCATCTCATATAAAGCTAATTGTATCTGTAAATTCCTGAAGAAAAGTGGCTTTTCTTTTTCTGCTTTTATTCTTATTATTGCCTCCTAAATACCAGGAGGTCAAGCGCAAATACTTGCCCAGTTGATGAGATTTTGTTGCGACTCACCTCCGAAATGGTCAAAAGTACATATTTCATGTTGCCTTTGTGTATTAAGTAGTCAATTCTGGAGTGGATAACAGCTATGATATGTTCTTACTAACTTTTTTCTTTTTTTTTTTTTTTTGAGACGGAGTTTCACTCTTGATGCCCAGGCTGGAGTGCAATGGCACGATCTCGGCTCACCTCAACTTCCGCCTCCTAGTTCAAGCGATTCTCCTGCCTCAGCCTCCCGAGTAGCTGGGATTACAGGCATGCACCACCACTCCAGGCTAATTTTGTATTTTTAGTAGAGACGGGGTTTCTCCATGTTGGTCAGGCTGGTCTCGAAATCCCGACCTCAGGTGATCCGCCCGCCTCGGCCTCCCAAACTGCTGGGATTACAGGCGTGAGCCACCTCGCCCAGCCGTTCTTACTAATTTAATCAGTAGGAAACAAGAGAAAAACCTTGCTCAGGTTTGCAAGATTTGATACCCACTAAGTTTTCCAGAACTCAGAGTTGAGGTGCAATAAAGGAGTAACTAAAACAAAACTTAAAGAGTAAAATAAATTACTGACTGAATATTTAGGGAGTCTGAGATAGTTAATTTAGCAAACTTCCCCAACTGTGATGTAAGTCTTGCTCACAAAGATTAAATAAATATGTTCTCACGTTATGTTTTGCATCAGTTTGCTGAACTTGCACAGAAGTTAATAACAAAAATAAAATCAAAAGTGACAACAAGGCAATCTAAGCAATGTTCCATGGGTTTCTTTGCCCTGTTGGGGAGCCTTCTTGCATAGGAGATATAAAGTCTTTTCCTAGCCATATGTACTACAAGTTTTGTCCTTGGCCTTTGTTATATATGCCAAATAGAATTAATGTGAGAAAGTGAACCAGTTTAGAAAGAGAGAAAGTCAGCTTGGAAGATATTAGGTTAGTTGGATCCTGCATCTTCCATGGATTATTTATGTTGTTTGATCCTAGTTTTAAAAGAGAAAAATCTGAACATCTTTCTGTTTTGTTGCTTTGCTTTTATTAGGGTGATCCAATAACTTAATTCTGAAGAGGAAAAAGGAACTATTTTTGGATGTTTTCAAATGGTACTTCTTTGTGCTGAAAAGAAACCTCTGTGTAGGCTGATTAAATAAAGCAAATATGTATTCAGATTTAGCCTAGAGTAATCAGAACCATCCCTAGTGTGATGCTGACTCATCACCACTGAGTAGAAGAAAAGGGAGCATGAGTTTTGGATTTATTATGAACCTGAGATTTCTTTCTTCCCTTGTCCCTAACCCACTGTGTGACCTTAAGAATCTTGTGTAACTTACCTGAATCTTAGTTCCTATTTTGGTAAAATAGAATAAATACCAGTCACCTTGCAATGGTTGTGAGGATTATGACTGAATGCCCACATTTTAGGTGCTCATTAAATGGAACTAAGTTCTTATGCTTTTGCTCACCAGACACTAGCGTCTACATAGAGTTATGCTATTGCTATACTATGCAGTATTCTGTTACTGCATGCTGGAAGAAACCAATGGAACTGAGCAAGCACCAGACCAATGGCCACATACACATTGAAGATCATCATCATACTGGCACAGAGATTTCTGTCAGATCTAGTTCCCTTTCTATTCTCTCTTCACACCACACATTTCCTTGGAATTAATTCATACCAATTACTTGATATGACCAAAAAGTGAGTCTGATGGTGACAGAGCCCACATTCTGCCTCCCTCAATGTATCCATGGGCAGTGCATCCACTGATGGGCACTTAAGATGAAGAGCCTCATGAGGCCAGGGATGTGGGATAATGACTTGAACTATATTCAGTTTTGGGAGTTCAAACTTTTTTAAATCTGCCAACCTCACAATTGGGACTAAAAGGCCAGAAGATCTATCATAAAAGAAACTGAGCCTGCTAGAACTTTATCAATTCACCAACAGGGCCTGAAGACTGGTTGGGAGCAAAGGGGAGGTGTGATATAGGGAATAGTATAACAGCTAGCACCTGAATATGGGTTGATCAGCTCTCCTAGTGGTGTTTGTAAGTAGTTAAAGAACAACATGGATGAAACTGGAAACCATCATTCTCAGCAAACTATCGCAAGGACAAAAAACCAAACACTGCATGTTCTCACTCATAGGTGGGAATTGAAAAATGAGAATACATGGACACAGGAAGGGGAACATCACACACCGGGGACTGTGGTGGGGTGGGGGGAGGGGGGAGGGAGAGCATTAGGAGATATACCTAATGCTAAATGACGAGTTAATGGGTGCAGCACACCAACATGGAACACATATACATATGTAACAAACCTGCACGTTGTGCACATGCACCCTAAAACTTAAAGTATAATAATAATAAAATTTTTAAAAAAAAAGAACAAGGTGTGATAGTTAATTTTATATGTCAACTTGGCTGGGCCGTGGGATGCCCAGATTAAACATTATTTCTGGGAGTGTCTGCAAGGGTGTTTTGAATGATATTAGCATTTAAGTTGGTGGATTCAGTAATGTAAATTGCCCTCTTCAATGCAGATGGGCATCATCCAATCCCTTGAGGAAGTGAATAGAACAAAAGAACTGCTTCAGCTCAGTCATCTCATCTCACATTCTGCTGACATCTGACTGGAATTTATATACCATCAGCTCTCCTGGCCCTCAACCTTCAGTCTCAGACTGAAATACACCCGTAGCTTTCCTAGATCTCTAGCTAGCAGACAGCAAATCATTGGATTTCTCACCATCCATAATCATATAAGCTAATTCCTCTCAATAAAATATGTGTGTGTATATATATATAATCTCCTATTGGTTCTGCTTCTCTGGAGAGCCCTGCCTGATACACAGGGTATGCCACTAGATACACTAATACTTGGGTAATGCACCCACCATGGGGATAACAGAGGGTGGGAACTTGTCCCTTCCCACTCTGCAGGGAGGCTGATTGGGAAATGAGAAGCAGAGAGGCCAAAGTGAGAAATAGAAATCTACCTCTGCTTAGGTGGAAATTTCTGCAGTTGATGCTGTCACCAGCTAAGTGAGCTCCTCAGGACAGAGGATGGCAGAGACACTACATCAGTATCTGAGAAGTAAAGGCAATGCTGAGCCCCAGAGCCCAGCAAATAGCAGGAGCACATGCTTCACATTCTGATACCAGAATAACCTACATCTGGTTAGAAGATAAATACCACCTTTTTACCTTTGTGGAAAACAAAATTAAATCATTTTAGCTAAATACTAACCATAGTAATCACAGCTATACAGCTATAGTTTATTGAGCATTAAACAATATTGAGTTTATTGTGCTATGTGGCAAATACCACGTCAGACACTCCATGTAAAGCATTTTTAAGTCGTTTGGGGTTTTTTGTTTTGTTTTGTTTTGTTTTGTTTTTTGTTATTTTTTGAGATGGAGTCTCGCTCTGTTGCCCAGGCTGGAGTGCAGTGGCGTGATCTCAGCTCATTGCAACCTCTACCTCCCAGGTTCAAGCAATTCTCCTGCCTCAACCTCCCGAGTAGCTGGCACTACAGGCATGCACAACCATGCCTGGCTAACTTTTGTATTTTTGATAGTGATGGGGTTTCACCATGTTGGCCAGGCTGGTCTCAAACTCCTGACCTCAGGTGATCCATCTGCCTCAGCCTCCCAAAGTGCTGGGATTACAGACGTGAGCCACTGTGCCCAGCTTATAAGGCACTTCTAATTCTCATAACAACTCAAGTGTTGCCAATCCAATTTGAAAGATGAGGAAACCACAACTTTGGGAGATCTAACTCTTTACCCATCACATGGCTAGAACTCAAATACAGATCCAACGTGTCTTGAATTCTCACCCTTTCCACTATGATACGGCAGCAAGAAGAAGGAAACACCCCATGCATAATAGACATTTCCTGGCCGCCATTGTCACCCTTGATCCAATTCTTTCACCTAGGAGTGTTACTACCACATGCCTACAAGCAAGGAATGCCATTTCAGCTCGTGAGACTATTTGATGTTGGGAAGTCTGTTTGCTTTGGCCTATAACACTGGAAATGAAAGACTGGTCTGGATAAACCAATGACTGATATTTCTTGTTTGTAAAAGATGTGACTTACAGGCCAGATTCGCCACTAAATCAACCAACCAGAGAGCAAGCCCTTCACGTTAATCATGACTAAATAGAAGACTTGTTTGTCTAATACAGATTTAGAGATATATGAATTAGAGGCAGGCTGGTTGCATTCAAGAGTAATTAATGAATGAGAAAATGGGGTATTTGTCTCAGTCTAGTATAGCACCCCTGCCACTTCCGAGATGGCATAATGATTGGAAATAACCTAGAAACATATCTCTTCTGACTCTCAGTTCAGCAAAATCAAGAAGGCTAGAAAGTGGTATAGCTGGAACTAGAATTCCAAACCCATTATGTATTTCACTATATCACTATATAGCAGTAATAGTAGCAATATAATAACAACAATAAAAGTAGTAATAATAATGAGAAAATGAGGAGGAGAAGCAGATAAGGGGGAGGAAAATGAAAAAAAGAAACTATGACTGTCATTTAATGAGCACTTTCTACATGCACCGGGCTAAACCCTTTATGTGTATGATCCCACTGAATCCTCACAGGAGAACTGAGAAGTAATCACATTAAGCCCTGTTCAGTGAATGACAAACTTGACTCTGGGAGTTTATGTGATTTGTCCAAAGACACACAGTGAGTGAGTGCAGGGCTGGATTTGAAACTTAAAACAAGGATATGCTGACCCCCAGAACCTCTCATGCTAACCTCTTCTGAGTATTGCTCAGAATGATCACAGCCCCTGACCTCAACCGTGGCTCAATCTAGTGGGGAAAAGGTTTTAACTCCATTACATTCTAAAGAGAGTGTGTCTCTGGAAAATTCTTCTAGTTTCTCGGGACCATTTCTTCATCAATAAATGGAAATAATGCATAATTTGGCTGTCACTTCTTGTTGTCGGTAATGTGAATTACATTACACAAATACAAAGCTACTTCATCATTACTGTAGTAGTATTAGTAGTATTATTCCTCTTATTCTTATTCCTACAGCTCTCTTGCTGAGCCAAGACTGGAGTTATGTAGCAACGTCACAATATCCCCCTCTACTTTTCTTCTTTTCAGGGAACTAGAATGCTACTGTCACTTATGTATATCACCTTTTCTGTACGTGCACAATGTGGCTCAACTACCAGATAAGTTTACGGTGGAAATGCTGGCCTGCTGTTTGCACCCTGAAGAAGTTCCTTGCTGATGATGAGCAGGTGAGCGCACCCCTGTTTCGTTGCTTTCTCACCCTTAATCACTTTATGCTGCATTTATTCTTTTGAAAAAGATATACCATGGACACTGGCCAATAATAAGGATTTAATGTATGTACCTATGTCCTCTGTTTTATCTTCCCCTCATGAATGGGCAGTAGCCATGAGAATGAGACACAAGGAGGTGGAAGTGACAAGACACAGGAAGATTGTGGTTTGTCCATGTCACTAACCAACTAAAGGAACTCTAATGACCTAGTGAGCAGGGGCTACATCAGTCTTGTACATCACTTTATATTTAGTGTCTGGCCTAGTACCTGGTGTAAGGGGTGTGGAGAGAGATCTTAATAAATAATTGATGAACTCATGAATCAAAATAAAAATAGTCAACACTTAGGGAGTGTATGTGTTCAGTGGGTAAGGCACTGCCCTAAGCATTTTACATGTGGTTTCTTATTTAATTCTTTCTGTGATTATTCTTCCATTTTACAGATCAAAAGTGGAAACTTAAAGAAGTCAAATAACTTAGTGAAGGTTAGCTAATGTCAGACAGAAATTTAAATCAAGACTGAGTGACTCTAGTGGGGGCTTTTAACGACTGTGCTCTACCACCTCTCTCATCCAACTCTCTATAACTTTATAGAGGAAAGGGAGAACTGAAGACATGTTGTGACTCACCAGAGAAATTTCATGGCTTCAAATAATGCCTATGTGTAGGAGTTTCCTGGAACTGCAGAAATCTATGCCATGAAAAGGGAGAAAGAAGAAAAGCACAGTTCCATAAGGGAAATACATAGGAAAAACTTTTCCTTGGAATCAATGGGTGCATTACTGAATTTTCTAAGTTATCAGAGGCTTTGGCAAATGGAAAGGAAAGTCTAAAAGGAGCCTTGGAGGAGGAGAAGTCAGATTCCAGAAGTTTCAGAGATGATTCATTACTTGTACAACCCAAAAGGGATGTCAGAAAGTGCCCACAGGGATTAAGTTGTGGGAACACTGATTCCAAGAGCGCTGGGCTGACTTGAAGACAGACGTTTTTACAGCAATTTAAGGCTAAGGATGAGTGAATACATTGAAAGTTTTAAGAGCAGGGTCATGTATGATGTATTCAGGAGGTGGGGGAAAGGCCAAGAACAGCCAAGTTTCACTTGGTTGTAATTCCACTCTACGGTCCAGGAAGAATTAATGTTTCCATATAATTTATAAATAAATGGTGGCTGGAGACAATATAGCTAGATGGAGTTAGTGAGATTATGTCCTACACAGGACAAACTTGAAACACGTATGAGACAACTTAAAAATCATGTGCAACTGTGGTGGTAGAGGTGGAGGTTTATCCCTGAACAGTTTTGTCAATATGTAAACATTTTTTAAGAGGAGAAGAACGATTGACTAAATTATCCAATTTCCCGTTGGTAACCTAGAGTCCCATTTCTTCAGGGCCCAGTTAAACATCTGAGGCCCTCTATGGAGTTTTTTTTTAATCCACTCAATATCCAATGTCATGTGGCTCTTCTGACTCCAGTCACTCTAAGAACCTGTGTCTCTAATTGAACATTTCACACTGATGGCATTAGATCATGCATCTAATGGACGTGACTCTCCCTTCCCACCAATCAGTTGTGATGCTTTAAGAATAGAAGCTGTATCTTGCATGTCTTTTTAATTATACAAGAAGGAAATAATGGCATTGCTAAATGAGCATGGAATCTAGATGCACACAGAGCAATTCTCAAATAATGTTCTGTCCTATTGTTGCATAATTTTGAGCAAGTGAAAAAGAGAATACTTGTAGATACCCTAATGTATGACTACGTGTCTATGCCCAATGTCACCTTCTAGAAATCTAGGGCCTCAAGCCACTATGTTTAGGCCAAGTACAATTTCTCTGACCCCAAGCATGACCAGGAATGAGTGTCATTTGCATGTGGGATATATGATTTCAAACTGAGAGGGCCATCATAGAAGCAGCATGTTAGGGAAAAGCTAAATCACAACTCAGGAAGATTAGAAAAGCTAATCTACTTTCGAAGAATGTAGATGGGTCAGAGGGAAGGAAATCTTGGCTCAATCAAGAGGAAAGTCAGGAGAGAGCCTGAAATAATGCTCTGAATCTATCAGTTTTGTATCAGCGATTTTTTGAGTGACAGCACAAATGAGTCCTCTACTCTGGGTGCATCATACTTGTGTTGTCATCTACTGGGGAGCTTCAGCTTCCTCATATGCAAAAGAGAATGAGAAAGAATATCTGCCTCACCAGATGGCTGTGGGCATTGTGTAAAGTAACATAAGTGGCAGCATCGAGCAGAACCTGAGTCTCTTTCTTTTGCTTACTATCTAATAAAGTGTTTATGCTCAAAACATGTTAATTGAATGCACGACTATGTGAATAAAAGAGCTAATTAATCCTTGCTAGGGTCTTGGACACTGTCTCCTCTTCTGCCTTAAAATTCCTTTTCCCAGATTGTAGATTTAGGAATTGATGTATTTCTTAATTGCCTGTCAGTAACACAAAAGGTTAATTTTGTGTCCCTGCCAGCTCTGGTGATTGAAACATAGAGAAAGTGGCAAGGAGTATCTTGAAAGAGCAGGGCTTGAAGGTTTGCCACATTCTGTTTAGTTATAATGAGTATTTCTTTGGCAGGGATTATCTGGAAGGCCATTGGTAAATGGAGAAATGATGTCAATAAAGTATAGAAGTTGTGCTGATCCCTGCACAGTTTTTTCAATATGTGGGTATTTTTGAAGCAATCAAGGACAACAAGTAAAAAGAAAGATCAGAAGTAAAAATTGAAAATCTATGGAAGGGACTTTCTTTAGTGCAAGTGGTAGCTAATTTATTGGCTTCCAGAGCTGCAGGCTTTCCACTATGTTAACCTAACAGGGAGGGACATTTGTGCAGACAAAGAACTACGACGACATCTCCTTCTGAATTGAAACAATGAATGAATGGAGAAAGCTACATCTTGGATCAGACTTTTAAGATTGATCATTGTGCGCTCTAATAGAAGCAAATGACCTTCAAAGACCTACATTGCTAAGAAAGAGGATTAAGCCCCATATTTAAGGGGACAAATATTGACTGTAATGTAGGAAGAAGCCAGTAGCAATCTAACTGTGTATTATGTTTCCAGTTAGAATAGTTATTGTTTTTATTAGGGTTCTAGCTAGAGTCTCTTATAAATTTTGAGTCATCTTCCTCTAATCTGATTTTTCTCATAAGGTTTGTGATTTTTCGTAAGCATTTTCGTAGAACATGAGTTTTTTGGGGAAATACATAGTGTCATGGAAGAAATGTTACGAATACTGTAAGAGAGACATCAGAGGATCCCAGGGCTGGTGTCCTCTGTGGGGTTCTACCTGGTTAGGATTCTATCTAAGGACTTTTCCAATTAATGACTAGGAATGGCAAGCTGAGGAACGAACCAAGGGGTGAGAGAATGTGAGATCAGACCATGGGAGCAGGAGGAATAATGGGACTAGAAGTCCATGCAGAACCTATGGTGAAGATGAGGTGAGCAGAGAATTTCAGGAGCCAAGGGAACTTGAAAAAGAGGCTCAGCCAATGTTGCTGTTATAAATATAATTTTGTCCTCCACACCCCAAATTTATTTGTTGAAGCTGTAGCCCTTAATGAGACTATATTTGGAGACAGGGCTTTTAAGGGGCTAATTAGTGCTAAATGAGATTATAAAAGTAGGGCCATGATCCCACAGGACTACTGGCATTGTAAAAAGACGAAGAGATACTAGAGACCCCTCCTCTCTGCAGCACACACAGAAGAAAGGCCATGGAGGACAAAAGGTGGTCATCTGCAAGTCAGCAAGAGGACCTTCACCAGAAACCCATCCTGGAGACGTCATGATATTAAAATTCCAGTCTCCAGAACACTGAGAAAATAATATTTCTATTGTGTAAGCCACATAGTCTGTGATATTCTTTTATGGCAGTCTAAGCAGATTAATACAGTAGCTCCCCCAGGTTAAGTGGCATGGATTAGGTATCAAATTTAATACACCCATGTAGGCTGTCCCTACAGGGGGACCTGGACACTGTGGCAATGTTACATGGAGGGAGGAGGGGGACAAGAATGAGTCTGATGTGACCTCTGCATCTCTGCATTCCAAGATCCCCTATCTTGTGGAATAGAGTGGGGGCATAACATAACACACCTATAGGTGAGAAAGAAGAATAAATAGGTCCCATGTGAAGAACACTCACATAGTGCTATGGGGTCTCAAAAAAAGAGGAGCACCCTTCCAATAGCAGTGTTAATAAAGGATCTATAGAGAAAATTGCATTTAAAGGCTCTATGCCTTTCTTTATAAGGCCATAGGCCTAGTAGTCAATTTTCCACATATTTACCTAAAATATATGATTCATGCATGTACTTTATTTCACTTTTTATTGAGGTATAATTTACATATCATAATGTGCTATGAATATATACCTCAATGGATTTTTACATGTGTATATCCTCACATAACTACCAGCCAGAATAGATATAGAACATTTGCAGCATGCTGAAAACCTCCTTCACAGATCCTCCCAAGGAACATGACCTCAATCGTCAGAGACCTCAATCATTTATCATAGATTAGTTTTTAACTTCATTTTGTTTCAGACTTTTACATAATAATTTTATGTCTGTGACTCTCGACTATGTTGGTGTCTACTGTAATAGCTTGTTCTTCATTCTTATGCAGTTTTCCGTGTGTGTGTGTGTGTGTGTGTGTGTGTGTGTGTGTGATCACATTAATTCATTCTACTTTTCATGGAAATAGGAGTTATTTCTACTTTGGGACTATTATCAATAAAGCCATATACAAAAATTATTTGGACAGAAATGAATGCATCTTTTGGTGAAAAACCCAGCATATTTATATGTGTAAAACCAAGGAGTATTCACACGTGGACACAAACATATACCACGAAGGAGCTGAATTGCTGAATCCTAAGATGTATGCCTGTTTAGCTTTAGCAAATCCTGTCATTACATCTTCAAACTGAATGTACAAATTTATAATCTCATTCTCAGTGCATAAACATTCCAGTTGCTCCATGTCCTTAACATTATCGTTATAATTCTAGCCATTCTGGAAGAGGTTTAAAAAGTGTTTCAAATATTGAATATTTAGCATAATTGTCACATTTCATATGTGTTATGATAGATACTGTTTCAAGCATTAAATGGATTCATATATTTTCCTGGTTTGCTTATGTGCAGGATATTTTCAGGCAAATTTGTCAAAGGGCACTTTGGTCCTAAATGACTAAAAATATTCCATAGTATTAAAAAGCCATCCAAAAAGAAAAAGATCCCGAGAAGACTAAAAAAATTTTTAAAAGAGACTTTAGCCTGTACTTGTGGAGTACTACATACATGATATATTTGAATTTTAGATAAATGTTGTATTATGTGGATTGAACATTTGCTAGTCCTATGATATCCAAATATACACCACCCAGGGACAAAAACAATGTTTGTTACTTAGTAAGTGTGAGTCATTCAGAAAATATGTGCTAATTGCCTTAAGAGTATTACTTTTAGGCAGAGTGGTGCACCTCTGCAAGATAAATGAGTTTCAAATGAAATTGGGAGAGAGGGGTTAAATTAAAGCACTCCAGCAAAAGGGCTTCATTTTCCATTTTGCCTCCCAAGTGTCTCAGTAGATAAATACCAGCTGATTACCAATGAGTAGAGTTGCTTCCTCAGTGGAATTTTGAGGATTGATTAATATGTCTCAGAAAGCCAAATCAAATATCACGGGAATGGCTTATGAAGAAAAAATTATCCTGAGCCAATTTTCCACCAGTACCAAAGTTGATGTTGTCTTTCCAAAAATGGGTTTTTCTGTAGGTTGGTGCAGTTAAGACACTCATACCAGTGTCCTAGTTGAGCCACACTTTCCTAAAATAAGCAAATGTTGCTGAAGCTTGACTACACACCAGGCACAAGACTAGAAGCAGGAGACAAATGAAAGAATCGTGGTTCAGATTTCCAACAGCTCTCATTCTAGGATAGATTGTAAACCAAGCACTGTGATGTACAACCAGCGTAAGTGTGTGCAGGGGAGGCTTGGAGAAGCTGGAAAACTATTTGCTGTTAGAATGATAATCACTGTGATTTGACTCCTGCCTCTGATGCTACTTACAAGCTGAATGTCCTATGAGTTATTTAGTCCCTTTAAAATTTATTTTTATTTGTTTCACAATGATGGTGATGATACTTAGAGATGTTGCATATAAAGCGCTTGGCACAGGAAAGCCATATGATCCACAGTTGTTCATATTTTCCCATCCGGATGGGACAATTCAAAGCTGGTCATGACTTGCATGGGATGCAGCTCCTTCCACTGTCAGGGCGAGCTTCACAGCCACTAAATCCTCTGACATTTTTATTTCACCCCTAAGCTTTCCTGACTTTGCAGGAAATTAGATGTGGGTTTTGAAGGATGCTGTAAACACTGGGCCTTTTTAGGTGGCTTTCAAAGAAGCAGGAAAATACAGGAAGTCAGAACAATATTAAAAAGACATAAAATTTAAGCCATTGTCAATTTCTGCTGTTGTATCAGACTGGGCTGGATTTCGTGATAGTTCACGACCCTCCCAGAAACAAAGACTATCTTGTAGAATAGCTATATCTAAGAATGCATTCTGGTAGGAAAACAGGGCCATATGAAAACAGGGCCTGGGGCCATAGGAAGTATCAGTTCAAAATCTGAAATCAGAATCAAAACCTACATCTTTCCTAATTTCAGATTCAGAGCAGATAATTGTCTTCTAACCTAGTATTATTTGGAGCTATGTGGGAGGCTGAGTAATGCCTCCCACTTCCACCCCAAGGATGTCCATGTCCTAACCTCTGAAATTTGTGACTACGTCAGGCTACATGGAAAAGAGAAATCAAATGCAGATGGAATTCATGTTGCCAGTCAGCTGACCTCAAAGTAGGATTAGCCTGGATTGTATGAGTATGTCTAATATCATTGCAAAGGTGCTTAAAAGTAGAAGAGGGAGGTAGGAAAAAAAATCAGAGGGGAAGATGACTATGGAAGAAATGCACAGAAAGATGTGGCATTGCTGACTGAAGATGTCAGAGGGCCATGAGCCAAGCAATGTAGGTGGTGTCTAGAAAGGAAAAAGGATTCTGACCAGGACCCTCCAGAAAGGAACACACTGCCACACTGCTGCATTCATTCCTTGATTTTAGCCCAGCAAGACTCATTGTACACTATTTTTTTTTTTTTTGAGACGGAGTTTCACTCTGCTGCCTAGGCTGGAGGTCAGCACTGAAGCCTCTGCCTTCTAGGTTCAAGCGATTCTCCTGCCTCAGTCTCCCAAGTAACTGGGATTACAAGCACTCACCACCATGTACGGCTAATTTTTTGTATTTTTAGTAGGGTTTCACCATGTTGGCCAGGCTGGTCTCGAACTCCTGACCTAAGGTGATCCACCCACCTCGGCCCCCCCAAAGTGTTGGGATTACAGGCGTGAGCCACTGTGCCTGGCCCCCATTTTACACTTCTAACTCCAGAACTGTATATGCGGTGGCTTTTGACAGCAGCCATGAAAAACAGATACCAACTGCAACCACAGAATGGAACAAAATGCTGTCATTTACCAGCCCCTAAACTGATCTTACTTGTGAATTATTCACTGGCCTGGAAGTCATACCAAAGCATGGTCACTGGTTTTCCTAACAACAAAACCACCCCTACATTTACTATTATTAGTGTAAAAGTATTTTATTAATAACTATGATTCATTTATACAACATAGTTATTAGAAACAGTGAAACGTGTTATTTGTTAGGCATTTGCTATTTGCTGAGCCCAGTGTTAAATTCTTCACCAGCATTATTTCATGTAGTCCTCAAAATCACTTTAGGAGCTATTACAGGCTTTTTCTCTGTTTTACAGATAAGGATTCTTTTTTTTTTTTTTTTTTTTTTTTAAGACAGAGTCTCTCTCTGTCACCCAGGCTGGAGTGCAGTGGCGCAATCTCGGCTCACTGCAAGCTCCGCCTCCCGGGTTCACGCCATTCTCCTGCCTCAGCCTCCTGAGTAGCTGGGACGACAGGCGCCCGCCACCGCGCCCGGCTAATTTTTTTGTATTTTTAGTAGAGACGGGGTTTCACCGTGTTAGCCAGGATGGTCTCTATCTCCTGACCTCGTGATCCGCCCGCCTCGGCCTCCCAAAGTGCTGGGATTACAGGCGTGAGCCACCGCGCCCGGCTCAGATAAGGATTCTTATATGCACATGGCCATGAGAGAAATGAGACACAAGTATATATCCAACTCCTAATCTGCACTCACTCTCAACATTTATTTTATTTTATACTCTTTTAAAACAAATAAATATATCAATTTTCAAAATTTCTTTTTTTTTTTTTTTTTTGCAACAGAGTTTTGCTCTTGTTGCCCAGGCTGGAGTGCAGTGGCGCGATCTCGACTCACCACAATCTCTGCCTCCCAGGTTCAAGCAATTCTCCTGACTCACCCTCCCAAGTAGCTGGGATTACAGGCATGCACCACCACGCCTGGCTAATTTTGTATTTTTAGTAGAGATGGGGTTTCTCCATGTTAGTCAGGCTAGTCTCAAACTACCGATCTCAGATGGTCCGCCTGCCTCGGCCTCCCAAAGGGCTGGGATTACAGGCACAACTCACTGCTCCCAGCCTCAAAATTTCTAAACCATGATATGTACAGGAAATGTTCTATCTGAAGAGTTCTCTGATACTGAGGGAAAAAAAATGTTCATATTCAGACCCAGGTAAATGCAACGTGTGAAACATCCAAACTTTTGTGAGAAAAAAAAAAAAAAAAACAGATTATTTTTATTAGGCAAGAATTACTCTAAAAATATTTTGAAAACAAGCATCTCTCAATGAATGTAAAACATACTTTTTTATTCCCAAAATGTTCATTAAAACAGGAACTTTGGAGAAACTGGCATAGTAATGCCTTTCTATAAATCAAGGTGTCAGCCAGAATTAAATTGGTCATTGGATATGAAAATGCTTTGTAAATCGTGCCTTTTGTGTGTATTGGTTACTTGCTATTTTTCAGAAAACACTAATAGTAATAGCATAAATTTCTGTAGCCTTTGGAATATTTAAAGGTCTTCAAAGGAAGCACTCTCACTAATTAATTAATCAAGATCTCAAAGATGGGCTGGGCAGGCATCTTCATAAATAAAGAATAGAGGCTTTGCATTTAGTTCCCTTTGAAAGACTCTTACCCAAAGGCAGCCATGCGCCATTACTGTGTGAAACACAGGACACTAAAGATGGATGAGACATGGATTCTTCCCCAAGGAGTTTGTCTACTGGGAACAACTAGAGCATAAATAATTCCAATATGGTGGAGAAAATGATAGTATTAAATGACTTTGCCCAATGCCACACAGAGAGAATTAACCCCAATTTCCTGGCTTCTAATCCAATCTCTCTCTCTCTCTCTCTCCACACACACACACACACACACACTCACACGCGCCACATAAACACACACACAATCTGTCTCTCTCTCTGCCTCTCCCCTGCACACACACACTCTCTCACTCGCTCGCTTTCTGTTTCCCTCTCTCTTTCCCCTACTCTCTCTCTCTTTCTCTCTCTTTCTCTCTTCAGCCCTTTCTTTCCTCCTTAGGATCATCTTGCTTCTGTGCACACAGAAGAAGGCAAGCACCTCTTTGTCTTCTCACAACTCTCCAGACTGAAGTTCACCCCAGTAAGGGACGGTTCTTGGTTCTTTTCTTCAGATGTCCTCAAACTGCTTAATGCAGTTATAAGCAATGACAAAAATGGGTTGAGGTGCAGCTGAGTCACATTCCTCTCTGCACTTATCAGTATGCTAGGCAGTTAGCAGCCCATATGAGCTGATCCACTAATTCATTCAGTAAACAGTTATTCAACATCTACTATGTTGTAGGAAATGTGGTAAGAGCTGATGTTATAGAAATAACTCCACTAATTATAATAGCTATTGCCTAGAGTGTATTTATTATGCACTAAGCATTCTTGTAAATATTTTGCATTAACTGATTTTATTCTGATGAGAAACATACCATTATGATTGTCATTGTACAGACAAGAGAACTGAGAGAGAGGTTAGGTGATTTGCACAAGACACCACTGGTAAGTGAGTGAGCCTCAATTCAAACTTGAGAACTTGGCCTGATCTCACATACTTAACCATTACACCAGTTCCTGACTTTGAGAATATTTGTGTGCCTGGTGATTTCCAGGGTATTATCTGTGGCCCACTGGTGGGTCTCCAGGATCTTTTGGATAAGAAAGGAATGGATACAATTCTTTGTTATTGCAGAGTCCTTAATCCGTTACCAAATAACAGTGGGAGAAGCATGCTGTGAAGCATTTTGCCCCTTGTAATTGAGTGAAATCCAAAATGCTAGAGAAACACGGGTTTAGAGAGGGAGGGATGGCATTGAGACATCACTAATGTGTTGTCTTAAGCGCTCTGACAGAGATCTGTAGAAACTTGGAAGGGCTGCTCAGGGCTGCTAGAAGAAGATGACTTGTGGACAGAGATTTAAAGATTTGTAAGAGCTAGACTAGCTTGGGGAAAAGTAGTTGAGGGGGAAGTGTGTTTCGGGGGGAAAATAGCAGATATAAATACAAGTAAGACATGAGATAGTATGACAAGATCAGAGATCTACTTTCAACTTTTAGTTCAATGTTGCTAAAATATTAGGTGGAAGAAAGACAACAGTAAAGACAAAGTTGGAGGGAGAGTAACAGCCACATCGTGAAACACCTTCTGTATTGTCATCAGCATAAATTTACTAACAAACTATCAAAACCTCTACTGTTTGGCATTTTCGCCTCCAGAAGCAAACAAGAAGAATGAGGCAAGAAAAGAAATAAAGACTTCTCAATAGTCACAGGGGTCTGCTGGTACTTTGGGTTATTTCGCAAGGTGATTTTATTCAGCAGCTCTTAATTAAACCAAAAAGTTGTTGTCTAGTCCCAGTTGGAAAGTGAGAGTTGTGTGCATTTAGTATTCAAATACTGTAACAACTCAAGAAATTACAACAGAAGATCTTTGCTGTTAGATCTTATTTTTTTAAAAATCTGTTTCAAATTTTCTGCAATGTATTTTATACACTGTTGTGTAATAGGTTAGTTGAACACTGCCCATGGAATCATAGTTACTGCTCACTTACTATGAGTCCCACACTGGGCCCAGTGTCTTGTAGACATTCTTTCATTTATGTCCTAAAACAAGCTTGTGACATATGTAATATTAGCTGAAGAAAAAGAAATTATCCCAATTTTAAGATTCAAAATGACGGTGTTGAGCACCATTTCATACTTACTGGCTGTTTAGATATTCTCTTTTTAGAAATGCCTAAAGTTTTTGTCTATTTAGTTAAAATTCAGTTATTTGCTGTTCTTGTCAATTTTTAGGAGTTTTTAAAAGTATATTCAGGTTAATGAACCTAACTTTTTACTTTATAATTTTTATAATGTCCAGTTTATCGATTTTTAAAATTTATAGTGGGTTCCTTTTGTGCTTTTCTTTTTCTTTTATTTTATTTTAAATTCCAGGATACACGTGCAGGATGTGTAGGTGTGTTACATAGGTAATCATGTGCCATGGTGGTTTGCTGCACCTATCAACCCATCACCTAGGTATTAAGCCCCACATGCATTAGCTGTCTATCCTGATCCTTTTGTGCTTTTCAAGCAATCTTTGCCAACAATGAGATTATGAAGATAATTCTCCTATATCTATGTTTTATTCTAGGAACTTTAGAGTTTTACTTTTCACATTTAAGTCTATGACTCATCTTAAAGTTTTGTGTCTGGTGTCAGTTAGGAGATCATATTCATTTCCTAGGGTTGCAATCACAAATTATTACAAACAGAATGGCTTAAAACAAAGGAAACTTATTTTTCACAGCTATGGAGGCCAGAAGACCCTAAACAAGGTGTTGATAGGACACACTACCCCTGAAGGCACTAGGCCAGGATCACTTGTTATCTTTTTTTAGTTTCCTGCTGGCTCCAGGTACTGTGTGGCTTCTGGAAGTATAACTCCAATCTCAGCCTCTACCTGTACATGGCTGTCTCTTCCATTTTCTCCCTTTGAAATCTCTTATAAAGACAGTTGCCATCCAGAATGATTTCTTCTCAAGACCCTTCACTTAATTACATCTACAAAGACCCTTTTCCAACAGAAGTCACATTCAGAGGTTCTGGATAAACTTATCTTTTAGGGGTCTAGTACTGAACCCACTGCAAAGGTTACACAAAGCTTTCAGAAAAATGGAGAACAGGAATATGCCCCAATTCATTTTATGAAGATGATACAATTCTAATACCAAAAGCAGAAAAGAATATGACCTCTCATCCTCCGCAAAAAATGTAGACCCATATTTCTCATAAACATATAAGCAAAATCCTAAATAAACTATTATCAAATGAAATTTAGAGATATAGTAAAAAATATTACATCGTGACCAAATGGGACTTATCCTGTGATTATTATACAGTTTTATCTTTTAAAAAATTAATCAAGATAACTAACCACAAGATAAGCAACTTTGATAATCATCAAAATAGATGAGAAAAACAACATGATATAAGTATACATAGAAAGGCATTTAATAAAATTTGGCACGTTTTCAAGATGAAATTCTCAGGAAACTGGGGATAGAAGAAAGCCTCCTTAATCTGACGCAGGGTAACTACCAAACAAAACAAAATAAAAACCTAGCATGACACTTTGTAGGGAAAATCTGAACGCTTTCACCCTAAGATTGGGAACATACTAAAGATTTCTATTATTGCTATCTCTAACATTATAGAGGAGATTCTAGCCATTTCAGTAAGGCAAGAAAAAGGGGGAAACACGTACAGATTGGGAAAAAATAAAAGTAAAAATATCTTCACTCACATATAATGCACATATACGTTTATTTTATAGTATATTTAAAATGCTCAAAAGAATCTACAACAGATAAAAATTGTTAAGAGAATTTAGGAAGGTTGCTGAATGAAAGATCTGTGTACAAGTATTGATCATATTTCTGTATATTAATAATTAACGATTAGAAAATTACTTAACTTTTACATGCTTATAAGACTATAACAATGAAATAATTTGAACCAAAACTTTTCCTCTCCTACTTTGGTCTTTTGGCTTCCTTTTCTTTTTTCTTTTTCTAATTATAGATTTTATTTGTATTTTTTAGTAGAGATGGGGTTTCACCGTGTTAGCCAGGATGGTCTTGATCTCCTGACCTCGTGATCCGCATGCCTTGGCCTCCCAAAGTGCTGGGATTACAGGCGTGAGCCACCGCACCCGGCCCAGGCAAGCAATTTATTAACCTGCCAGCTGCCCCCTTAACAGTCAAGGGAAACAGCCCCAAGTTTACAGAATGAGGGGTTTATGCTGGGGAGAGGAGTTTGAGGGAGTTCTTTGGTATGGCCGCATCCCGGGGTTGTTTGCTGGTTAATTTTGCCACATAGCACCTTGTGATGTTTATTACAGGAGGTGTAGGTAAAAGTTTGTTTATGCTTCCCACCACTTCACCCTGTGCGGCCTAGATGGTTTGTAATTGGGGTTTGCTTATTGAAGCACGGTCTGATAAGTGGTCTGGGGGCTTCACCATGGTGCCTAGATAACGGCTTAGAAATGTAAAGAGGCTTGGGGAAATGGTGGGCGGCATGGTGAAGAGTTGCAGAGCATTAGGGGGAGGGGGGCCGCACCAAGAAGCTTTCTTGGGGCAGTTTGTCCCTAACAATAATGTTTGGAGATGGGACTTTCAGGAGGTAATTAGAATTAGATAAGGTCATGAGGGTAGGGTCCCCATGATGGAACTAGAGGCTTTATAGGACAGGAAAAGAAACCTGAACTGACCCACATGATCTTGCCCTCTCACCATGAGATGCCCTTCACCATGTTATGATCAACAAAAAGGCCCTCATCAGATATCCATACCATGCTTTTGGACTTCCCAGCCTCCAGAACTGGTTGCTAATATATTTATTTAAAAAAAAAAATTACCCAGTCTGTGGTATTTTGTTACAGCAACAGAAAATGAACTAAGACAAAAGGTTTACGTAACTCAGGAAATTATACTGCCAGATTCAACTCAGATATTCTGGGTCTACAGCTCTTACTTTAAATCATTAACACAAAACTACAACCCACCCCCGCCACCACCCCGCCATTTGAAAGGAATATCATCACAGGGCATATTATTTTAAAAGTATTTATATCAGTTTATAAAATCATTATGACAGTTATAGAAACAGGAAGGCTTACAGGATACCCCCAACTTTTTATGAATTTTGTCAGAGTTAAAAACTTCTTATGATGTATGTCAGAGTTTAAAACATTGACCTACAATCGTTTATTTATGTTCTATTCCCTAAAAGGTTCCTCAATCATACCAATCTACTGGGCGAGGTGTGATAGCCCCAAAACAGGAAGTGGTCAACTCGCGTGTTGGTAAAAAGAATTTACCAACAACAGTGTAGGTTTGAAAAAGGAAAGTTTATTAGAAAGGAGGAAAGCTACAAGAGTGTAGCGGGATGCCTCGGCGAGAGGACTGAGCGCCCCCTGGTGGATATATCATCGGGGTATTTATGGAGCTTAAGGCGGGAGCTTAGGGTTGTAAAATGAGTTTCAGGGATACATCGAGACTTTAGTTACTTATAAAAGCTGAAAGAGGCCTGGAACCAGATGCGACCAGGTGGTCTTTGTTCCCTTCTATTAAATACCTAAGATAAGGAGTTTTGCCTCCGAATAGTCTGACCAGGTGATTTTCACTCTCCTTATTTATGTTCTTTCCTTATCAGAAGATCAAAGGAACTTTTATTTGTTTATTATTTGATTGTTGATCCTTCACTTGTGCCAAGATTGTGTTTCATCAAACACCTCTTTCTCTCCCTTGCATATTCAACCAAGGCCAAAGTATTAGTTTCCAAGGGCTGTTGTAACTCAGTACTACAAACTGGATGGCTTAAACCACAGAAATTTACTGTCTCACAGTTCTGGAGGCAAGAAGTCCAAAATCAAGATGTTGGCAGGATTTGTTTTTTCCGAGGACTGTGAAGGAGAATCTGGTCCATGGCCCTCTGGCTTCTGTTGGTTTGCTGGCAACCTTTGGTGCTGCTTGGCTTCTGCTGTATCACCCCAGTCTTTGCATCATCTTCACGCAGTGTGCTTCCCTGTGTGCACCTGCACACAAACTTTCTCTTTAAAAGGACACTAGTCATATGGGATTTGGGCCCCACCCTTACTATAGCGTGACCTCATCATAACGAATTACATCTACAACAAACTTATTTCCAAATAATGTCATGTTTTTGAGGTACTGGGTATTAGGATTTCAACACAGGAATTTGGGAAGAGATACAATTCAACTCACAACAGCGACCATAGTATTTATTTATTCAGTTAACAAAACTAGCATTTTTCCCACCCTATATAATTAATAACTTCTGGCAGAGGAAGGACATCTGGAGTCAGTTACTCCAGAACTACAAATGAGAAAGAGAAATGGGTTTCAAAGGAGAAATCAGATTCTGTTACCAGATAAAATATGGAATAAATGTTGGGCAGGCATTGACAACAGAATTTTTATACTCTTGAACATTTTCTCGTGTGTCTTTCACTTTCTAATTGAGAGAAGGCTGGATTCCCCTCTTATCACGTCACTTAGCTTCTGCTAAGCTCATAAATATTTTTTATTGATGAGGTTAGTAGTATTTTGTCTAAAATATCCACTGCTCTTTCTTGCAGAAGGCTAATATTTGTTCCCTTCTAGGAAGTGAGGCTTGTGCACGTGACTTGCTTTGGCCAATGGAATTGGAAGTATCATGTGCAACTTCTGGCCAGAGGTTTTAAAAGACACTGGTTCTTTTCCATTTTTCCTCTGCAATAAACATGGCTACATCCAGATAGAGCCTGGACGTTTAAATGAAGACATGGAGCACAGCTGCCATCAACCCATAGTGAAAAAACAGAGACTTTGAGCTTTGAGGTAAGTGACTTCACTTTGATCACTGTCAGGATTTGGTGAACTTTTTTATAAGAATTTACACCTTATTAGATCTTGTGGGTGCCCCTTCCAGTTCCAGGGTCCCAAATTCAAATGCCTCTGGGAACTGAACAGGTAATTTCACATGATTCTAAGGCCAATGGTAATTGTACTAGGGACAGCTAGGATCAGAGGTGAAAAGAGTGCATACCCCTGGCTAAAAGCATGTCAACTTAAATCCTTTTCAAAAACTCCGCCAAACCAAACCTACTTTCTGCAAGAAATCAGTCCTGGGACCACCAGTTGACCTCTCCAGCTACACCGGGCAGTTCTCTCAGTGCAGCCCAGGGTGGCAATTCCTACAAGCTTATAGGGATTAGTTCTTAACAGACTGGAGCCTGAATTGGAGCCTGAATTCCAAGTAACTACCAAGGATCTTTCTATAGGGAGATCAACGCTAATGAAGGGCATTGTATAGAGCTACAAAGAATGGAATTTAAGCCATCACAGTACAGTTGCATGAATAAACTTTAATTTTTTTAAATTATCTGTTGTAAGACAAGGAAACAAACAAACAGGTTTTCCTCAAGGAGAGAACATGCCCCAATAGCTGGCTTCCTTTCATTTCATCCTGAAATCCTTGTTTAAAATAACTTAAATCATCGGAGAAGCACTAAACTTCTCCTTACAGCTAATCTGTTCAGCAATGCCACAGAAGAATGCAGACTGAATAGCAAGTCTGAGCAGATTCCCTGGGACAGGACCTCTTGAAAGGACAGGGGAACTGTTTTCCTCAACATAAAAGGGAATAGAACACATTTGCTCCGTTTTTTACTTTTCTGTTCTGAAATATGAGAAACACTTTCAAAGAGTTCCTTAGGAATCCCTAAGAATAAACTATTTCTGTCCCCACACACCCATTTCTCTTTGTGGAAATCAGATTACACCCTCCCAGTGATTTCTCAGAAGAAAATCAAAGCATACAACTCCGGAAACATTCAAAATAGTCTCCCTTCCTCAGAGCGCGCTGGTAGCTGTGTGGATCCAACGGCACTGTGGGAGTCTGAGTTCATATCCTGGTATTGCTAGGCAGATGACATCACTCTTATTTTCCATAAAGAGTTGTTCCATATGTGCTGCTTGCTGAGAAAAACACACATATGTGGCAACTGTAGATGAAATATACGTGCAATGTGAGCCCAGTCCAATTCGCCTCTTAAAAGAAACAGCGACACTATTTAAGCTCTGTTTAAGCAATACTGATAAAATAGCATTTTCTCTTCTGACTTTAAAAACAATTCCCAAGCCTGCATGGAATCAATTTCCTCAAATAGTTATAAACCTTTTGTTAAGTCTTCTTAACATAATAGGTTAGCTTTACATTTGGGAGTCACTAGATATAACAGAAATAATAGGTTATGTTTACCAAGAGCTTGTAGCATGCTGGGGTAGCCTCCTCAAATGGTGTGCTTCCCACTTTAGAGGTGACAGAAACTCAGCCTCAGAGAGGTTATATAAATTGTGCAGTTATGCTGCTGATACTGGGGTCTGAGTTTCCATCCCTGGCAAATCTGAAAGCAAACCTAGAGCTCCTTCCACCTGGGTGTGTTCAGAAAACAATGAAAAGGTGAAAGGCAAAGAGTTGTTTCTGATAATATTGTTTTGGAATGGGATTATGTGCCGAACCTCTTCTCTCTGGAATGCTTCAGAGTCAATCTGTTCCCTCAATTTTTTTTTTTTTTCATTTCATTCTGAAGGCAGGCTGGAGTAAGAGAAGCAGACACTTTGAAGCCCTTTAGAAGCAAAATAGCACATAAAGTGAAGAAGTCACAGTGACTGCTGTCGTTCCGAAAGCGCAGACTGCATTTCCAAAAGGATTTGATCTTGTCTGAGTTTAACCCGGAAGATTACAAATCTGTGTCACTGGCAATACTATTAATTCCTAGAGAGTTTTACTAATATCTTTTCTCTATCTTGTCTGCCTTAAAACTTTCCCCAAGGTACCGGGTGAACAGAATTCTTTTCCTTTATAATTGTTGTAATCTCCCATTTTCTCACTGACCTCCCCTATCCCCCCAAAACCTTTCTAAATCTTCCTAAGTGGCAAATTAAAGGATTTGCCCCTGGTGCTGCCTCTGACCCTTTAGAAGCTGAATGACAATTGTTTCCTCTCTTTTCTTCCTGACTCCTCCCCTTATCCCTGTCTTGGGAAGTTGAGCTTCTTCCAGTGAAGTCTTTCCCATCAATCCCAGGGACCTCCTCTGCTCTGTTTGTCTACAATCATGAGATTGGGCATTTCTTCAGAGTTTAAAATCAGGCTTTGCAATTTGACTTTTGGGGACTGGGAACAGAGTGTGGTATGGGGATAATTTTTTAATAATGCCTTGGTCTCTTACCCAGAGAACTGTCAGCCAACCCCACTCTCCAATCCCCAGGGGAAACTGCCAATATTACCATAGGAAGGATCAATAGAGTTGCCTCAGCAACAGTAATCAGCCATGAAACCATTTTTCCTGGCTGTTTGGATACACTGAGTGGACTGGGAGCAGAGGTGTGTCCTTCCTGTCTTTCACGGAGTCCATGGATATGAGTTGATTGTATTCACTGGATCCAGTCCCCTGCAATGGGCACTAGGTGAGGTCACAGCCTGAAGAGGATCTGTGAGAAGCCTGATTTCACTTGAGATTTCCTAAGAGAGCCTTTGAAATATGCCGCCACATCCTAAAAGTTTTCAAGAACATTTGTCAGGAGCCAAATTTCTAGGAGTCAGAAATGTATATTTAACAGCCGACTCCACTCTGGTCATTTGCTGAGATCTGCACCCCTTGTTCTGGCATAGAAAAGAAAAGAATCAGTTGGAATCAGGGTGGAAGAATAAGACTTGGCTGTTAGCTGCAAAGACAAGGAGCAGGCAGAGTAGATTGTGGGGTTTTTTTCCCCGCTCATTGATTCCAGCTTTAGCCCAGCACAAGTTTATTTTTAAAAATGTGGATGCTCCATTTTCAGAGAGTGATCTAAAAATATATGCCTGCATGCCTGTGGCTGTAATGTGTATATAAATCCAAAGCCACAAAAGAAAGTGATTATATTATACTCAGGAGCTCAGATGCATTACAAAGCAGAACTGGAGGAGCCCTCCCTACCTTCCTCATCAGGAAAGAACATATGTGCACATTATGTCCATGTATATATTTTCAGAGTGAGTTTCATGAATGAGTAAGATAGGTTTTCTATGCAGAGTAATTTAAGGACACCAAGAAAGGCTGTTTTTCAAGTATGATGCCATATTGGCCCTCTATGCTGTCTAAAATGACACCCTTGGCAAAAATAAAACTATAAGAATGAAAGCAAACGTTGATTAGGGGTGCTGTTTCCACATGTTAGGCATCATGCTTAGTCTTTTCAGGTTTCACTCCCTTTACTCCACATTAGAACAAAGTAAATCAGGTACTGATATTATTATGATGTAACAGATGAAGAAACTGAAGTTAATGAGATTGAGTAAGTTGTCCAAAGCCATGCCCAGAAGGAAAATGTTTTCTGATTCCACAACCCATGTCGTTAACAACCACATGATGAGAGGCAGTGTGCACGGTGGTTAAGAATGGGCCCAGCTTCTAGCGCCAGGCTGCCTGGATTTGAAACTGAAGTCTGCCTAATACCAGCTTTTTCATTATAAGCAAGCTATTTAACCTCTCTGTGCCTCAGTTTCCTTCTCGGTAAAAAATAAGGATAATAATTTGACTCTTAGAGTTGCTGAAAGGAATCAATAGGTTAATTGATGTAAAGCTCTTAGAGAATGAAAGTCATCAGGGACTGGCAAAGTTTTACTTTTTGCATTGCACGGCCACCCAAAGCCTATACTGCATAGTGAATGTGTTTTCTTTTACAAACGAGTAGAGTACTAAAAGCTACAGACTCAGACAATCTGCTGTTGAGGCTCAGAAAAGCCAATACTCCAAAATGAAAGTCTCATAAGCAAAATTTCTCTTGGAACTTCTGCCCTCCTGTCTCTCGCCTCTTATTCTCTCCTGAGGAATAGTAATTAGAATACCTCTTCCCCAGGATGGGTCAGAGAAACCAGAACCCCTTTCCCCCAAAGCCAGTTAGAAAGCCTGAAAATATTACTCTAACCTTCCCTCATCTTTCTGTGTAACAGCAGGCCATTAAGAAATTGAGACCTTTATTCCAGAGAAGTCCTATCCCATACCTGGGAGGAAAAAAAATAAAAAGCTACAACAGAGAGGCCAAGAAGAATCTGGACAGACAGGCCTTGGTGGGTTTCCTCACTCAACTACCATTAGCTCATAACCTTTTTGTCCAATCGCATTTCTACATGACTGTCCTGGCTTCATTGAACCTAAGCATAAAATCATACAGCTTCTCCTGTATCTTTGGGTCTTCAATCTGAAAGCCATTGTTGAATAAAAGTCTAATCAAATAAATTTGTTATCCATTTCTCTTGTTAAACTGTCTTTTGTTATAAGAGTGTCAGCTGCAACTTTAATGATGGGAAGGAAAGGGATAATCCTCTTTCTGCCCCTACACAGCCATTCATGTTAATATAGATTGCTTCATTTAACTAGCTCAGATGAGGACAATGAAAGATTGGGCATATGGTTTGGGGCTGGGGAAAATTAACTCCAGTGTTTGGAGTAGTGATAACGGAGGTTGGGGGGAAAATGGAGTGGTATGGCTAACTAAAGGGCTGTGATATCGTTTGGATATTTGTCCCAACCCAAATCGCATGTTGAAATGTAATCCTCGATATTGAAGGTGGGGCCTGGTGGAAGGTGTTTGGATCATGGGGGCAGATGCCTCATGAAGGGTTTAGGCCATCCCCTTGGTGATAAGTGAGCTGTGGGTCTGAGCTTCCCACAAGATCCGGTCCAGATGTTTCTCGTCTCTCTCTCTCCTCTCTCTCACTCCCATTTTTACCATATGATGTCCCTCTTCTTCATTCACCTTCTGCCATGACTGAAAACTCCCTGAGGCCTCCCTAGAATCCAAGCAGGTGCCAGCACCATGCTTCCTGAAAAGCCTGCAGAACTGCGAGCCAATTAAATCTCTTTATAAATTACCCAGTCTCAGGTATTTCTTTATAGCGTGCAAGCATGGCCTATCACAGGCAGCACAAAGGCCCTGGGCCCTTAAAAGGAAGGAGAAAGAGAGTAAGAATTAGTATAGGAAGGCATCGGCAAAATTCTGTAAACAGCCAGATGTTTTCTACCCTGCAGGCTGAAATAAAACATCATACACTTAAACATTTTTGAAATCTGCTTTTTGAACCAATCTTTAATCTGCCATTGAAAAGGAACCATTTTTTATTTTCATAATTTTTTTTTTTACCTGGGAGCTGAAAGGGAGACTTAGTGTAGACAAAGAAGTCACTGGGCTGAGTAAGATGGAATCTGCTGCTGCCCTACTCCTCTCCACCCAGGCAACCTGAACTTTCTGGGGAATCCAAGAGCCAAACAGGGAGATTCTGACCACCCAGAAAGGGACAAGATTCGTGCTTTACCTGAAAGAAGGACCAGGAAAGACTTCCTATGGGCCATTTCCATTGATTTTTGGGGAGACTATCTCTGATACAATGGAAATATTTTTAGTGGTTAATTTCATTTATTGCGCATATATGTTGGTAATCCTAGTGCTGGATAAACCTTGCTTTTAATAGCAATTTTCTCTTGAGCAAGCAGCTCACCATGTTTGAGCCTCGGTTTCTTTAGCTGCCAAATGAGGACACAATGATGATGTCATTATTAGAAATACATAACCAATTTTTTTTTTTTAAAAAGACATAATTGCTGATAGAGAGGAGGAGCTCAATAAATGACAGTTCTTTCTGTTTGGCACACCAAGTCTCTGCCCTTGACTGAAGAGGTTACAGATACATTATTCCAATAGTTAAGCCAATTATTGCCAATATTTATTGAGCCACCACAAAAAACCCAAGAGTGAACTGGGCACTAAGGAAGCAGAATTTAATCTCTGCATTTAGGAAGCTAGTAGTCTAGTGGAATATGGTTCAAGTACAATGCAAGGTATTTTTGGAAGTAAATGTAGAATTGTATGCTACAAACATCTAGTACTTTAGATTTTAGGAAACAGTGAATTCAAATGGAGCTGAGATCAGCACAGAATCCTTCAGGGAGGCGATGCTAGTGCCTAAGTCCTAAAGGGTGAGCATGATCTGGGTGGGTGGGAAGGTGAAAGAAGGCAATGTTCATCTTTAACCCACCATTACATGAGAAATGACTCACAAAATAACCTTGCCTCACCTCAAAGGAGGCCACAGTGTTATTCATTTTCTTGGAAAGAGAGCTAAAGTTTCCAAGGCATTTTGAAAAGAGAATTGGATGCTACACCTTTTTATGATTCAACCATTTCCAGATATGATTCCATTAAGTGCCTTTTTAAGACTTCTGCTATCATTCTCTGAAGCTCAGGGAAAAGATTCTTTGTGGTTTGACATTCCTTTTCATTTACTCTGGAGGAAAACTCACCATGAAAATTTCCATATGTTCATCTTCTCCTGTACATATTTATATCAACAGTTTCCCTTTTAACAACTTTCAAAACGTATGCTCTTTCCAAAGTTATTTTCCCTAAAAGTAATTCACCAGTAACATAATTCATAGATTACGGGGACTGCACAAAGTTATAGAGGCAGGTGTGACATTTCTACTTGGTAAAAGTCATTGTCCCAGAGCATAACAAGGGGCAAGATTTACCCACTGGCTTGAGGTATTCACATTGTTCTATTATGATCTGTGATAAACTTATCACTGCTGAAGCAGGCTGTTGGTTTTAGCAAGAGATTGTTACCATATATATTTGTGATATAAAATCCATCTTAATGAAAAAACATAGCATGTGGGTGGGCAAGAGAGGCAGTCAGTAAATGCAAAATCATGAGATTGGAAGCTATTGATTTCCGTACTCCCTCCACCCCCAGGTTCTGTGAAACTGAAATAAGAAGCAAAAGTTAAATAACATGAGAATATTTGAACTTGCAAATATCAAGCCAGGAATTTCCTAAAGAAGCATTACAGGCTTTTTATAATGAGATAGTCAATCCCATTATCCCAAAGAGTCCAGTTTAGTTTTGGCATTTACATACACTGCCTTAATAGCCTGGTGTAATTCTGAATATATGTTTTAATAGGTACATGTATGTAGGCTAAAGAAGAGACAGCATTTAACAAAAGTATGGTTTGGCCATGTTCATACTCCCTAATAGCCATAATCAAATATCTCCTCATTCTGTTGTGTGATTCTTTATATATATATATATATATATATATATATATATATATATATATATATATACTTTAAGTTCTGGGGTACATGTGCATAACTTGCAGGTTTGTTACATAGGTATACACGTGCCACAGTGGTTTGCTGCACCCATCAGCCAGTCATCTACATTAGGTATTTTTCCTAATGCTATCCCTCCCCTAACCCCTCACCCCCAACAGGTTCCAGTTTGTGATGTTCCTCTCCCTGTGTCCGTGTGTTCTCATTATTCAACTCCTAGTTATGAGTGAGAACACGCAGTGTTTGGTTTTCTGTTCTTGTGTTTGCTAAGAATGATGGTTTCCAGCTTCATCCCTGTCCCTGCAAAGGACATGAACTCATCCTTTTTTATGGCTGCATAGTATTCTATGATGTATATGTGCCACATTTTCTTTATCCAGTCTATCATTGATGGGCATTTGGGTTGGTTCCAAGTATTTGCTAATGGGCCACATACATGCTTAACCAAGGAGACTCTTCCAGAGCATCCTATGTCTTTATGCCTTTAGACCAAAGTAAATGTGTATTGGAAATAGAGATGGACCAACACCAGAAAAGCCACACTGTGATCTGAGAACATCATTTATGATCTAGAACATCATTTATCCCTCTGCCATGTTTTCATGCTTGAAATGAAGAGGTAGACTAGAAAACCTCTAAGGTTCCACCATCACTGATTTCTTGCTAAGATTAAGAAGAATCAATGGAAATTAGCATGGACCATCTACAAAGGAGAGCTCTTGATGTGCTCCTCACTGCATGAAGCACAGCTCAAGCATTTTCCCACTTTCAACTCTTGGGCTGTTGGCCAAGATAAATGAGTTGCTATGTGGAAAGCACTGAACACATAGCTCTCTAAAATTTAAAAGAAAAAAAAAAGGAAAAGAGAAAGGGGCCCTATTAAGCAGGTACTGTTATTTTCCCTATTTTATAAAAGAGGAAATTGAGGTTGTAGATAGGTAAAATATTCCGCCCAAGGCCACCCAAATAACATGGCATGAAGCCATGACTCAAATTTAGGGCCCTCAAATCCAAAGTTCACATTGAATTGCTGTTTATAAATCTGAAAGTAAGAGAGTTGCATAACCATAGAGCAAAGAAGATGCCCAACTCTTCCTGAACAACAGTATAGGTGGTCAAAAATTTTAAAGGTATTGTGTTTTGGTGATGCAAGTGGAAGAAGAACCAAAAGTAATGGTAAGCTAGAACTATTAGAGATGGATTTGGGATTTGAATTTTCAAGATGGATGTGTTCCAGGTTCATGTACTGCTGAGCAGTTAGTTACATTTAATGCTTGTTTCTCATTTTAGTTCACATACCTTTCAAATAAGAAGTATATGAAGTAAAAGCTTGGATTTGCTATGTTTATAGTCTTATTACAACTTTTAATAAAGTTGTTTCCTATGCAAAAACAAAATGGCCAAGATTCTGATCTCACAAATATAGGTTTCCTCCCTTGCTTTATTTCTTGATCCATTCGTCTTTCCATTTATTTATTCAAAAGCACAACTATTAAACAAAGCTTTAGGGATACTCAGAAGAGAAAGGGGGATGTATTGCTGGGGAATTAAGGAAGGTTTTTCAAAGGAAATGCAGGTTGAATTTGGTATTGATGAAGGAGAAGGAGTTCACTGAATATCCAAAAGGGAAGCGAGTCAGGGGTTGGCATTTCAGACAGTGTTCCGGGGATGATTACAGATAAGATGGCTTTTTTGAGATGGTGAAAAGTTCAGGAGGTGGTTGAAGGCTACGGGGATAGGATGAGAATTTCTTGCTATGTAGGAGTGAGAGAAGGACACCGTGCGATGACAGACAAAGTAAGTTTTGAACCATACACTAAAGGGTTTGAGTTGAATGGAGAATTTACGTTAGAAAGTAAATTGAAAGGGATTTTCAAAGGAAGGATGGAATCATTCCACTGGGTTCGGATGAGGGGAGTTCAGACTGGTTTCCTGGTTGTAAGAAAAGGAATTCATTCTACGCTGTAAAATGTTATTCCAATGATAAATTCTCTCACTAGCATATCCACTTTGAAAAACAACGTTATGAACTTCCCTGCCCTGTAATTCAGGAACCATAGAGATTTAGATCATGCATCTTTGAAGTGTTCCCTACAGTGTAATACTGGCCACCCAGCCTGCAGCATCTGCTCCGTCTGTGTCCAGTTTCCTTCTCTTGCACCACGACCGATGCAGCTCTTCTTTTTTGGTGTACCTCAAATTCAGAAGCACACCACTTCTGCCTCCTTTTCAGGCTGGCTTTCTCCATTCTTCTCATTCTTGCTCCTTCCCCTCTTTCCTTCTTTCTTTGTACTCATTTTCCTCCCACCCTCTGTTCTTCCCACTTTCCCTCCCTCCTTTTCTTCCTTCCTTCCTTTCTTTTAAAATCAAGTGAACACAATTATCCCCGTTTTCCAGATGAGGAAACATAAAGAAATGAAGTGACTTGCCCAGGGTTGCTGATCTCTATTCTATCTGCATTCTCCTGAACTGCCTTTACCCTATATTTTAGAAATGGATTTTAAGGGCAATATTTAGAAATCAAAAATAAAACTAAATTTTAAAAAAACTAAAATTTCTCAAAGAACTTACACTATTTCACGGGTAGGACAAAACTATAGGCCAAAAAGAAAGCTTCAGATTTCCATATAACATGCCAATTGTATATTTTGCCATATAATTATTATTGATCAGAAAATATTGAGTTTTTTGCTACTTTTTAAAATTAAAAACTGTGATTTCCTTGTAATATTGTGACTCATAAGATAATACTGAATTTAAAAAAAAGTCTACCACTATATGACAAATACACAGTTTTCATTTTCTCATATTCCCATTTTATTCCATTCAAATATGTTTTACATGAATAAAATCATACTATTTATAAAATCCTGCTTAATATTTTTATGCTGATATCTACATTGTGCAGTGTTCACATTTATCATATTTAAAACATATATTTTACTACCTAATAAACTTATGGATTTAATTATCCTCCTATTGTTGCATATTAGGTAGACATAATAGTTTTTGCTCCTAGAAGTAGCACTGTAGTGAAAATTTCTTACGTATGCCATTCAGTCTTGCTAAATTGTTTTATTAAAATAAATCTCTCACTAGACTATAAACTTTTTCAAACAGTTTTTGCCTTGTTTGTTTTTGCAGATCAAGTGCTCAACTGGGGCACACAATTAGGACTTTTTGAATAAAATAAATAAAATAATTCTAAGATTCATAATCATTGGGGCAAAAGATATGAATAGCTATCTGGCTTTTAATATTTGTTAAATATTACCTAAAGAGTCATACAGTTTCCAATGACTTTAGCAATGTACAGGTTTCATCACAATAGGACAGTACTGGCTGTTAAAATTTTAAAAAATTTTATGAATGTCGTTGTTAGTAAAAGAAGTTGCTTTAATTTAGAAGCCTCTGATTAGTTTTTTTCTTTCAACTATTTTTTTGTTGTTTACTAATTTTTCTTTTAAGAAATTATGTCCTTATAAGTGAGAATCTCCTTAAAGTATTTTTCATTAGCCAACATTTTTGTCTGTGAAGAGGAAGGAGAAAGAAAAGAAGGAGGAAGAAGAGAAACTTCTAGCCCAACTTTTCCACTTCAGGGAGTAGATTTTAAATGTGTTTCATTCAGGACTGCCATCTTAACTAGACCCAACGGCATGAAATTTGAAAGCATATCAAGTTTACCTTTTCAAAGGAGATGCTGCTAAGTGAAGTTAGGATATTCATGTATATTCAGAACTTTCAAACTGTGCCCCAGCATCAAATGCCAAAATACTATACAGCACATAAACATCTTTGTTCTGCTGAAAATGATATTGCTCGGGTCAAAATGTCTCTATGGCAATATTTCTAACTCAGGAAATTGTTCAGGGAATTAATGTGAACTACACTTCCAGAAGCTAAAATGAAGTGCCTTTGCTTTGGAAAAGCACAGAGTTTCCCTTTGTTTATAGGTACCCTAATTTTACATTTTACTTAAGCATCTTATGAGGAACTTAAGAGATATATTTAGACATGGAAGCTCTTAAGTGTATATCAACTTCGTTATTTATAAGAATAAAACTTCTCTAAGAGGAAGGAAACAAACATGAATTTAGAATGTCCCTTGCAGGAATCACTAGGCGCTTTCACTGTTATTTAATCTTTACAACATTTGAGGTATATATTATTGTCACACAGAGAGATTAAATAAATTGACTAGGTCACACGATTATTATATGAAAAAGCTAGACAAACTCTCTCTGACACCAGAGGTTTATACTTTTTCATTGACTGCCGTGTTGGACACAGTTTTAGCTTCTAAGGCAAAATGATCTGAAAATGTTCAAAGATGACTGATTAAAAGCAGTAGAATAGGTTACTCAGTCAGATGAACTATGCCATTTTTATCTGTCTATACGGCATAAACTATGAAACTGTCCAAGGAAATCCCATTACATTCCACCCTCAAAATATATTTTTCTGTTCTGCTTACATTGTTTTTTGCCAACCATTTTGTTTTTAACAATCAACATCATAGAATGTTAAATTAGAAGAGGTTTTAAGCGTCATCTATTCCAACCACCACATTTTAGATATTGCAAAATGATGGTTTACAAACTTGCTCATAGTTACATATTCTTATGATAATTGAATTTGAGACTAATATTGGTAGAAATAATTTCTTTGTGTAATATTTTGAACCACAGAAAATTAAGTTCATAACCATTTTTCTAACGAGTGAGTGAATAAATGAAAGAACACTTATTTTCCCTGTTCCTTTTTTGTTTTGTTTTAAGCTAAATAGGGCAGGACTGTGGTGCCAGACATATACATAGATTTTTTAAGGCACTAGACCCTGTGACTTTAGCTACTCAAGGAGAAATGCCCCTTTTGTAATTTTGTCTTTTTCTCATCCTGATCGGATGTTAAAAGAAACAATGCAAAAATCTTTCTTCTGTTTAACATGAAGACTTTATTATAGAAATCTGACTTAGGTACGTCATCTCCATGAGGACCTGTGGGAGGCATTGCCTTTAAAACCACCTATATAGAATAACTGTAGTTCTTCTGAGCAATTGACTTACTTTTACCTAATAAGAGCTATGATTTTCACACTTAAACTATTTGCATCTTTATATTGACTGCCAAACAATGTGTTAATGGTAAAGGTATTTACAAAGTTTTTATCACAAAATTAATTATGATAAAATATGAAAAGTAGAAAAAAACACATTGTTTGGCAGATTTCTTAAAACAAAGTTTCTGAGGTCAAAGAGATGATGTGAGTCTGGAACTTAAAAAGTGTCTAACTATTTTTTACCTCTCTAAGGCAAAGTATAGGAAAATGTATTATCTCTTGAAAATTAGTAATAAAATATTTTCCAGAAGCATTGCAGCAATTCACATTTGTGAGAGCATCATTTATACTAGAGAGCTAGGAATCTTTATTGTCATTATTACTGTATTATTTTTAGTATTGTTATTACTAAGACGCAATAACATATGTCATTATTTACATTGATTTATTTTAGGCTTCAAGATAATTGACCAAAATACCAAAAGATATTCAGTAAATAAGTATTTTGTGAAGGCTTTCTTTTGCGTCAGGCAAAGTTCTAAGGTCTCTGCTTAGTCCAGCAACCCAGTCATCATTCGTAGGGTAATTTAAAAATTCTGATCAAATGAGGGTGAGTGCTTTCAGTGGATTCACCAATTTGGTCAACAGGCAGTTAATAAAAGCTTCCCATGTGACAAGCACTAAGACAGGGACCAGGGCTACGGTAGTGAGTAGTGGTTTTATTGGGATTCAGTATGACTCATAACGGACATTGGTTTTAGTCCTATAGCTTTTTATTGTTTTCCTTCTCCTTCATCATGTAAAAATAGACATTTCTCAATACAATATTTCCAAGTTTGATTGATTATGATATGGAAGCTGCATAGTACAAAAACATAATTATTAAAATTTGGAATGAAACACTTGCTTTATTTTTTATGTTTGTTCTGTTTGACCTTGGGAAACTACCGTTATGTGCCAAGCACAGTGCCAGTTTTTGCCAGCTTGCTTGTATTTTTCTGCTAATAACCTTATAAGAAAAAGCTACAGACATCAACAAGGAGTTTAGAGGCATTTGTAAAACTGGCTAACACAATGGTACCTACATCAAATGGTTGTTGCAGTGATTGAATAAGATACAGGCATTGACAAGAAGTATAAAGGTTTCAATACGTTTTTCCTGTAGTTGCTGATCCTTAAATGGGAAAAAGATTGTCTCATTAACTTCCTGTAATAACAAGGCATAAGGAGAGGCTGATGAACTATCGCCCACCTGCCTCCCTTACTGAGTTCTCCTGTAACAGCTAAGGAGTCTGGTACTGCCAACTCGGTTCCTACTGCCTGCAACCATGACAAAAAATCACAAGCTGCTTTCCTATGTAAACGCCTGCTTTCACTCCCTGACTCCAGCATATTTAGGAGACAAACCTCCCGCCCCGTTTAAGAAGCCTCCATTCAGCATGACCTGCAATCAGAGACTGGAAACAGGCAGAGGAAGCCTCATAGCAAAAGATGTTTTTCCTAGGGGGAATCTATTGAAGCCAGGGTTTTGTCGCTTTTGACAGAGAGCTTAATTAGCCTTTAACTCTTTAACCACAATGTGATCTTAAAGTATGGAGAGGAAATTAACCACCACTGCTCTGAGTCACATGGAAGAAATTAAAGTAACGTCCTCCTTCACTAATCCTCTTTCAAGGCACAATAGTAAACATGCATTATATTTAACAATCATGCTCCCCTGGAGCTAAGCATGGGTCTCAGTGAAAATAAATACTCTCTAATGTGTCTCAGAATGCTACCCTAGAATCACAAACAAAAAGTCTTGTGACTGCATCCCCAGCAGAATGCACTGCCTAATGACAAGGACTGGGATCAATATATAGGCTTTGAGGGTTGATTTGTTATCTAGGATTTATAATTCATTTTTGGTTGCAAAACAGAAGCTCAGTTAGGTGTGATGGTCACTTCCCAAGTCTGATGCTCTTCCAGTCTTGGAGATAGTTGTAGAGAGAAGTGTTGGGAGTGCTGGGTTCTAAGGCACAGAGATGACATTGATGAGTGTCCTGGCTATATCATTTACCTACTGCACATCTGATTTCTGTAATATGACAACACGCATTTAGTTAATTATATATATTTTTTCATTATACATATACTTTTTCATATAGATTTGTAATATATATTCATTCAGATACATAAATGTATAAACATAAAATATATGACTATATAAACTCATATATAAATACAGAAATATGTAAATGTATACATCTATCTAAACATACACATACATAAATATATACACAAATATATAAAAATATCTTTGCATAAATAAAGCGTGGATGTATCTATTTCCTTGGATGTGGAAAAGGATTGCAGGGGTTAGTGTCTTATTTATTTCCTCATGAAATCACATTGCAAATATATATCTCATTGCAGTGAGATATATTTGCATCTACTATGGTTTGGATCTGTGTCCTTGCCAAATCTCATGTGGAACTGTCATCCCTAATGCTGGAGGTGGGGCCTGGTGGGAAGTGATTGGATCATGGGAGCAGTTTCTAATGGGTCTGTGAAACAATGAGCCAATTAAACCTCTTTTCTTTATAAATTACCCAGTCTCAGGTATTTCTTTATAGCAATGTGAGAACGGACTAATACAGCATCTAGCTCTGCATCCTAAACACGTTATTCACTAGCTTTGTGACCTTGAGCCAGGTATCTGTGTAATAGGGATAGAAATAGCCATTAGATTATAGGGTCTTCACGAGTCTTATACATTATAGCGTTGTCGTGAGCTGATGTGCGTAAAGCATTTAGCACAGAGCTGGGAATATATTAAGTGCAAAATAAATGTTAGCTATTACTATATGTCTATATCGCTATTTCTCTGTATATATAAAGCCATAATTAAATATTAGAATCCTCTGAATATTGTGCTTGAAAAGGGACTCTACTGCTTTTCTAAAGGACTCTTTAAACATATTGATGTAGTCCAATATAAGGGAGATAAAATCCAGAAATGATGTGACTGTGTCAAGGTCACAAGGGGCTGTGGTCTCTTGGTAAAAGGAAGGTCTCAGGAAAAAATTTGGGACGGTTGGTTTAAGAAAAACTCATTGGAATCGGTTAATAGGTTGTTGAATGAAAGGGAATTGATTTAATCCTTCTACTGACACTATTGCCTCTATTGTCTCCCCGACTCACACATGGATGCCCACACATGCAACTGCCCCAAAAAACTCACCCCCACAACACACACAAACACATACCTGTTCACTCACATATTCACGTGAAAACACATACACACCCGGAGTCTGCTGGGTGCAGAAGCTTCACAGACTGTTATTTTTCATTTCCACCTTGCACGCTACACACTGAGTCATCAAGAATTACCTTGTTTTGAATGGTAGGTCAATCCTACCAAATCAGGGTGCCTTGGATGCTCCTTTTTCCTACTCTTTGCCTGACCCATCTATTGAGCTTTCACTATATTAAGCTGTTTACAGGTATTGTTTCCTTTAAAAATTATAACCACCTAATCAGGTAGAGAGTAGCCACTTACCAATTTTTTTTTTTTTTTTTTTTTACTCATAGAAGTTAAGCGAATTGGCCCTATCCCAGAGCTATTTGTTGGCAATATCATGATTCAAAACCAGTTCTGTGTCACCCCAAAGTCCATGCTGTATTCCAGGGTTTCCTAAGCTGGGGGTCTCAATTCATGAATATATTTAAGAAACTCGATTAAATAAGTTTCAGCTAGCATCTAAAGTAATTGAAACAGAATGGAAGAAAAAAAGTGAGTATATTACACACAGTAAGTGTTGGTTAGTGCAGTTTTGTAAAAGTTGTCTAAATATGCACGTGTTTGTGTGTTCTGGAGAGCTACATAAAATAGATTTTGTATTATAGGACTCAATCAGAAAAATGTTGAAAACTACAACTCTGCTCTATACAGCTGGGTTCAGTCCAGTCTTTCAGCACTAGAACTTTACTGGAGCCCATCAGCCAGAATAAATTGCTTCCGCATGTGTGTTCCCCAAGCACAGCGAACATTCCTATCCTATAACCCTAATCAAATTGCACTTTGGTTTCCTCCTCGAATAGTGTCTATGTATATGTGACTCCTTCCTCCTGTGCCTTTCATCTCTGCTTCTCCTGGTCTAGCGCAGCAACGGGGAGAAAATGAGCACTCAGTGAGTGATTATTGCCTTCGCCTTGATGAAATTAAAAACTCATTTAAGAGCTGATTTCTCCAATTTTTGTATCTACTGGATTTCTCTCTATTATAGCCTAACCTGAGACAATTTTACTTTTCCTTAGCATCTACAGCAATGACAGGCTAAAGAAGAAAAGAACAAGGAGGAGGAGAAGAAGAAGGAGAAGGAGGAGGAGAAGAAAGAAGAGGAGGTGGAGAGGAAGGTGGAGGAGAGGCAGGAGGAGGGGGAGGAGGAGGAAAAGAAGAAGATGACAGAGGAATGGAAAAAAGAATAGCATATGCAAAATTATTAATTTGGGTAAGACTTCAAAAAGAAGATAAACTTAGTACTATTTATTTAATATAAGTTTTGATATTAAAAATATAAGAATTTATCCATAGGCCCACAAAGTCCCAAGAGCTGATAATTAATAGCTGGAGGAATTTGGTTATATCCAGAGCAAGGACCCTTTGGGCTATTAACCAAGGAAGAGAACATCAGAAGAGAAAGAAATGAGAACTTTCCACCCCCTCTTCCTGAACTATCCTTTTGCTAGCACACAAAACCAGGCCAAGAATTGCCTCCTGAGGCTAGAGAGGGTTTGATTGTACTTTTTTGGCTGTTTATGTGGTTTTACTGCTTTATATTTTCACATGCCTTTGTGGAAGGGAAGAGGAAATATAGTCCTGAGAGTCTGTTCTCACGAAGAGGAAGCCACAGCAAATCCTGATAGAGGCAGAAACCCCTTGGGTCATATTTTCCCTTGCTCTGTTGTAGGAGGAAAATACTTGAGTGACTGGGTTCATCTTCTCACATAAATAAAGAGTTCTTTATTTGGAATCAGTGTTGACCAACTAGGGCATTGGAAAGCACAGTATATTCTCACTTAAGGGCTAATATAATCCAGTGGAGTGACATGAATTAGTTAGTGGTACACAATTCTCAGAGAAAGTCACTTTATGAGTTCTTCTATTTATATTTTTCTATTATTATTATGATTATTACACGATTGTCTTATTCTATAGTGTTACTTTTTAAGGGCCTCTTATCCTACTCTCTAAGATTAGACCTATAAGCCTTGCCAGAACGTAGAGCTTAACATGGAGACAGGATACAGGGTACATGGAGGCTGGCACTGTTGTAGATCCCATGACTTTTTGTAAACTATGATCAAAAACAGAGAAATTGACACTGCAAAATATGATCCTACACGTTTAAATAATTCACTTGGCCAGGCATGGCGGCTTACACCTATAATCCCAGCACTTTGGGAGGCCTAGGTGGGCAGATCACTTGAGGTCAGGAGTTCGAGACCAGCCTGGCCAACATGCTGAAACCCCATCTCTACTAAAAACACAAAAAATTAGCTGAGTGTGGTGGTGGATGCCTGTAATCCCAGCTGCTTGGGAGGCTGAGGCAGGAGAATCGCTTGAATCCAGGAGGTGGAGGTTGCAGTGAGTCAAGATCTCACCACTGAACTCTAGCCTGGGCAACAGAGCGAGGCTCCATCTAATTAATAAATAAATAAATAAATAAATAAATAAATAAATAAATAGTTTACTTAAATAAAATATAAGATAACAAAATTAAGTGGAAAGTATTTCTATTCAAGTCTCAAACCCTAAGTTATCTTAACCTATTTGGTTAGACAAGAAAAATATACTGGTCGAAATTAAGCCATTTCTTTGATAAGAAAAATATACTGGTCGAAATTAAACCGAGAGAACCTTGGGAATGTAAGTGTGCCACAGCACACCCCTTCTTCCCATCTCCCACTGCGATGAGTTACTACCTCCTAATTCAGGGTGAGTCTTCTTCTTTCCATCTTGACCATTACTTTCTTAGTTCCGACTCTGTCACCTAATTACATCAGCTCTTGAAAAGCAGAGGATGTTCTCTGATTGGTGGTAGAAGTAGAAGTAAGAGAGATTCAACCATAAGAAAAATTTTACATGCCATTGCTGATGTTGAAGATGGAAGGGCCATGTGCAAGGACTGGAGCTGGGAGAGGCCCCCAGCTGACAACCAACAAGGAAGACCTCAGTCTTACAACCATGAGGAACTGAATTCTGCCAATAACAGGAATTGAAAGAAGAGCCCAAGGTCCAGATGATAATGCAGCTAGCCACCACATTGATTTCAGCCTATTGAGACCTTGAGAACCTAGTTATACCACCTAGACTTCTGACCTCCAGAGCGGTGAGATAATAAATGGGTATTGTTTTAAGTTGCTAAGTTTGTGGTACTTTATTATAACTAATACACTAGCACATAGAACTCTGTGCACGGTAGTCATTCCTCTTTTAGGAACAAGAAAATTTCAGCTAATTGAAGATTTACTATCTAACCAAAATATACAACTACTGGATAACTAAGAAAATGCTAGATGGGCTGGATGCAGTGGCTCACGCCTGTAATCTTAGCACTTTTGGAGGCTGAGGCGGGCAGATTGACTGAGCTCAGGAGTTCAAGACCAGCCTGGGCAACACAGTGAAACCCTGTCTTTACTAAAATACAAAAGAAATAAGACGGGCATGGCAGCAAGTGCCTGTAGTCCCAGCTACTCAGGAGGCTGAGGCAGGAGAATTGCTTGAACCCAGGAGGCAGAGGTTGCAGTGAGCCAAGATCACACCACTGCACTCCAGCCTGAGCGACAGAGCAAGACTCTGTCTCAAAAAAAAAAAAAGAAAAAGAAAAAGAGAGAGAGAGAAAGAAAATCCTAGATCATAGCAAAGTTTACTAAATTAATATGTTTATATTTCTTTTCTTTTCTTTCTTTCTTTTTTTTTTTAGACTGAGTCTCCCTGTGTTACCCAGGCTGGAGTACAGTGGCACTATCTCAGCTCACTGCAACCTGTGCCTCTGGATTCAAGCGATTCTTCAGCCTCAGCCTCCCGAGTATCTGGGATTACAGGCACCCACCACCATGCCCGGCTAATTTTTTTCTTTTTTTAGTAGAGACAGGGTTTCACCATGTTGACCAAGCTGGTCTCAAACTCCTAGCCTCAGTTGATCATCTGCCTCGACTTCCCAAAGTGTTGGGATTACAGGCGTGAGCCACTGTGCCCGGCCTATGTTTGTATTTCTAAAGCCTGAAGTTCAAAACCACATACTAGTTGGAAGAGGCTAGATCCTAGGCCAGGTATACAACTCAAAACCAAAGACTCTTCATTCTCTACTGTACCAGGAGATTTGGCCACTTTTACAGATCTGGAAGTTAGTCTCATATTAAGATTAAGTCATTATCTCTCAATTCATCTATCACAAACATATACACAAATAATAATAAATAACATCCTCTTATAGAACTTCAAATTTTGCAAAGTACTTTAATTATCTTCATGTTCTATGCCCACAATTGTCAGAGGTGGTGTTCAATTCCCATATTTTAGGTAGACTAGGAGACCAGGATCTCCACTATTAACTTCCTCAACCACCTCCGTCCTCACCTGTAATGGCTTTAATTCCCAAGGACTCTTATTCAAGAACCACATTTCCTACGTATCTGTGTGATCTTGGCCAACAAGAGTAGGTAACACTTGCTAAGCCCTTACTATGTGCCAAGAATGAGTCTAAATACTCTACTTCTATTAACTCATTTATTGCCTTCTTTCATTTTGCTAATTGCCTAAGAGTTAGCTATATTTTTGCAGAGTAAAATAATATATAACATTAATGGAGTGCTTACTATTCTAAGTATATAATTGTATTAACTTAGTTTATGCTCACAACATTGTTAGATAGATCTCATTGTGCTTCTCAGCTTTTAAGATGAGTAAACTAAATCACAGAGTAATTATGTAATTCGCTTAAGATCATGGAGCAAAAGCCAGAATTCAAACCCAGGCACTGGGGTCCCAGAGGTCTCATACTTACTTTTCAGGTCATGTTGCCTGAGCTTTATTCTCTTTATTTGTAAAACTGGCTAACGCAAAGGTATCTACATCAAATGGTTGTTGGAATAATTGCATAAGATATTCGCTTGAAAATATTTTGGCCAGGCACGGTGGCTCATGCCTGTAATCCCAGCACTTTGGGAGGCCAAGGTGGGCGGATCGCCTGAGGTCGGGGGTTCGAGACCAGCCGACCAACATGGAGAAACCTTATCTCTACTAAAAATACAAAATTATCCGGGCATGGTGGCGCATGCCTATAATCCCAGCTACTCGGGAAGACTGAGGCAGGAGAATTGCTTGAACCTGGGGGGCAGAGGTTGTGGTGAGCCGAGATTGCACTATTGTACTCCAGCATGGGCAACAAGAGTGAAACTCCATCTCAAAAAAAAAACAAACAAAAAAAGAAAATGTTTTGTAAGTGCTAGAAAATAACATGTAAGTACTAGATATTATTGAAACTATGGGGAACAGTTAAACTAGAAACCAATATTGACTGTTGAGTACCCAGTGAGTTCACCTGAAAAGACAGGATTAACATTTGTTGAATGCCTACTAGCTGACAGTGGGGTTTTTAAAAACTCCTATTGCCTTATTTTGAGATTTTTGATGGCCAATGTATAAAAGAGCAAACAAAAGTTCGGAGAAGATTTAGTAATATGTCTATATGACTCATCTGGAAAACAACACAGGCAGAATTAAAAGCCGAGTGTGACCATGTCTGAGACCTACTTTCTTTCTATTTCACCATGATGATTTATGAGAACAAAGGAGATTGTCTCCCTATGGAATGTGGTCATGAGATGCTCATTTTGCTTCTCTTCTTTAATGATGAATAAAGTTATCATATGGAGTATTGTACTATTGAAAATAAAATATTTCTCTGTTTTCTGAGTTTTCTCATCCTGAAAGCCAAATTTCTCAACTAGAAAATTTCCATTTTAAGATTTAAGTTTTAGTTTATCTAGATCATTTATTTAAAAACTGCTGGACCCATTTTACATACTTGGGTTTCAGGCCTTGTGCTGACAAATTTCCAAGGAAGGGAAATGAGTCTCAAATGTAGCCAGATTCCAAGGATGGGCAGAGTAACACATAGGAAATGCCTTCAGAAGTTCTTTGTCCTAAATTTAAACATGAGCTTCCCATCAAAACTTGGATTCAAGTCCTCACTCTTGTTTTTACTGTGTGATTATAAACAAATAATGTAATTTTCAGAACTTCATTTCAGAAAATGGGATTATTACATCTGCCTCATATGCCTCTATGCAATACATAGTATTAAATAAAATGTGGCTGTCACACAGTAAATGTCCAATAAATGTTCATTTTCTTTCTACCAGTTCCTTTCTAGAATAAAGCTTTGGATAACTAGAAGTGAAATCAAATTCATTGCCATATTCCTGGAAGTCAGGAGTGGCAGATAAAGATAAGTTCATATTGGAAGGCTAGAGAATGCCAACAGTTAGCTTTCTTTGGGCTTAAGTGGAATATATCAGTTAGGACCCCTGGTATATACATTACATAAAAGAATAACTTTTAAATCTCATTAATTCTGGAGTTAAAAGGAGAAGAGTAGTTGGGCCAGTGTGATGGCTAAAATAATGATAGATGGAGTAAGATGTGGTGTCAGGAATTTAACTTTATTTTCATCCCCTTAACAGGGACTTGATGGGAATTGTCATGTGCTTCTTGAGTATGAAGTCATTTCTTTCCTTGCTCCTGCATGCTATTCACACAGAGGCCACTCCAGGGAAAAGCATATTCTCATTCATGAAATAAACTTCTGGCCTGAATCCCTGTCTTCTTTTTTTCTCATTAGATGATGGGGTCTGTCGGCTGGCATTTATTAGGAAATTGATGTGATTTAGAGCAATCAGAGGATGCTCTGATCAAATTTAACTTCTTCCAGTTCCTTGAATGGCACAAGCCCTTTTTTGCTTCGGGGCCTTTGCACATGCTCTTTCCCCTCCCTGCCTGGGAGTGCTTCCCTTTCTTCATGCTGCTTCAGGCCTTATTTGTTCAGAGAATTGTTCTGTGACCCCACCCATCTTCCTGAGACACCCATCTTCCCAAGACTAGTTAGTGTCCTGTAGGTTTCCGGGCATTTAATATGTCATTTTCTCAGCATTCTATGTCATTCTTTGTTCACTAGATTCCTCCCCTGAGTATTATGTAACTGCAGCGAGGACTTGATCTGTCTTGCTCACTGCTGTATCTCTGTGATCTGCACCATGTGCAGCACATACCAGGCACTCAAAGAAATGTTTCTTAAATGAGTTCATAAAAGAATGACTGAATGAAAATGAATGAGTCAAGTTCTTGTGATGTAGCAGAAAGAATGTTGAACTGTGAAACAGAATGCCTCAGTACCATTCTTAGCTTCAATTTTAACTAGCAAAGTGACATCTAGGCCACTTTAATTTCTTATGCTTAAAGAAGCTTATATATTATTATCTCAAAAGGTTGTGAGAATTAAATCAAGTGTCTGTGTATTGGTGGATGCTTGGTGAAAAGTGAGTTCTTTCTCACCGTGAGATTAATCATGGATGGAATTGTGTGATCACTAAGGTTTCAAGAATTGGCTGTGTTACTGAAAATCATTGGCCAAAACACCATCTCCTGGCCTACTGATCAGGTAGAAGCTGTGAAAGAACTTAATCTTGAGGAGCTACTGGGAAGGTGGGAATCTGAAGGTGGGACCTATGTCCTCACTTTTTCCTTCTGGAGGGGAATGTGGATCTGGATGGGGGCATGGATGGCACCTCTCAGTGAGACAGGCCTCTTTCGGGAAGACTCCTGCTCTGGCATCAATGACCCTAGTCATAAAGATTGTTCATTTTCTAGTTTTCTGGGCTTCAAAGCAACATATATGAAGTGCCATAGGCTGGAGGGAAGCACACACCCTTTCTCTCTCCTGCAATGACTTTTGTGCTACAGGGAATCCTGAGAAGTATTGAGGAACTCTTTGAGGTTCTTTGGAAATGTGAATGTTATATATCCTCATTAGCTCCTGCTCCTGGCACTGGACTGGAGGTTCTTGGATATACCTGCCAATGTGTTGTGCTGGGGTTACTTTCCATTGAAATACCTCAAAAAAATATTGCAAAGACAAAATTATAGATCCAGAAGCTAAAAACTTCTGGCAGCTCCTTCCTTGAGAGATCCCTTGCCTAATTATCAATTCCAACCATAGTGCATGAAGGAACTGGATGCTAGATCCTTATTAAATCATGCTTTTATGGGGGATGGGTGGGACACCACTGAAATGGACCCTGGCAGGCAGGCCCCTACAAAATGCTCTTTGGCTAGCCCAGACAATGGGAAGATGTGATTTCCTGCTTGCTGTGGAGGCCTTGGAGTCTAGGCATTGTTTTGTTTATTTTCTGCTCTGCTATGGGATTTTGGAAAATCTAGAGCATTTCTCTACACTTTATGTGACACTAATTAGACTACAAACCTGTCACATGGAGGGATCTTGGACTTTGGGGTGAGACTAAACTGAGCTTAAAGCCCATCTTTCTACTTATCAGTGATGTGACCATGGACTCATCACTTAACCTCTCTCAGCCCATTTCTTAACACTATAAAAATGTCTACTTTTGGGGGTCGTTTTGGAGTTCAAATGAGTCAACATATGCAAAGGGCCTACAAGTACCTACCAACTAGTAAACAAGGTATCCCTTTCCTTAATACTGCTGTTTATTTTTTAAAAAGTGAATGAGATAATTATCTAGAAAAGTAGTGTTTTTGTGGATATAAGTTTGTCAATCAAGGGCAATTGTTTTCCACCCAAATATATTTGAATATTCTTGAGTCTTAAATAAATTTAATATTTATTTACAACATGTTATAAATATAATATGCAAATATAGTATACAAAATAACACCTGATTGGGTGGCTGGCAATTTATGACACCAGGAATAATAGAGGTAAAACCTTTAACATTTTGTTTTTATAATTTATAAGTTTTTCATACGGCTCACAATAAAATCACATATTCAGTCGGATCAATAATCATGAAAACTGAGACAACAGAAGTAACACCGATGGAAGAGAATAAAATTGTAAAAAAAAAAAAAAGGATTATATGGTGACAGTGCTTGAGCTTTTGTCAGGTATTCAGCTTCCAAATAGCTGAAGCAAAAAAGGGAAACATGAAGAATTATAAAAAGTCTCAACTTTTATGCAAGGAACCCCATTTACATTATCTCATTTAAGAGCCACAAATTACTTACAAGGTTAAAAAATGAAGTACACTGGTGTCAAGTATCTTTTCCAGCTTCCATAGCAACCAAGGGCAGACCATAATCCATCTAACTAGAAACTCTATACTCTTTCCACAGCATTGTGCTCAGAATGAGGGGAGTGTCTCGCCCTTTCCCTGCTGCCTCTGTCTAACAAAGATGTGACTCTGATCATCATATAGAAATATAGAATTCCTAAAACCAATATAGAATGCCCAAAGAGCCTGAATAGCCAAAGAAATCCCAAGCAAAAAGAACAAAGCTGGCAGCATCACATTACCCAACTTCAAACTATATTATAAAGCTATAGTTACCAAAACAGCATGGTACTTGTACAAAAATAGACATATAGATGAATGGAACACAATAGAGAAACCAGAATTAAGCCCAGACACCTACAACCATCTGATGGTCAACAAAGTTGATTTAAAAAATCAATAGGGAATGGACTCCCTATTCAATAAATGGTGCTGGAATAACTGGCTAGCCATATGCAGAAGAGTGAAACTGGGCCCCTACTTTTCACCATATACAAAAATTAACTCAATGTATATTAAAGATTTATATGTAAGACCTCAAACTATAAAAATCCTAGAAGAAAACTTAGGAAATACCATTCTGGACATCAGCCTTGGGGAAAAAAAAAGTATGACGAGGTCATCAAAAGCAATTACAACATAACCAAAAATTTACAACTGGGAACTAATTAAACTGTAGAGCTTCTTTACAGCATAATAAACTGTCATGGGCATCAACAAAAAACTTGCAGAATGGGAGAAAGTATTCACAAAATTTGCATCTGACAAAGGTCTAATATCCAGAATCTACAAGGAACTTAAACAATTCAACAAGCAAAAAACAACCCCATTAAAAAGTGGGCAAAGGACATGAACAGACACTTCTCAAAAGAAGACAGCCAACAAACATAGAAAAAAATGCTAAATATCACTAATCATCAGAGAAATGCAAGTCAAAACCACAATGAGATACTGTCTCATGCCAGTTAAATGGCTATCATTAAAAAGTCAAAAAATAATACATGCTGCAGAGGCTGCAAATAAAAGCAAATGGTGGTAATGTAAATTCATTCAACCATGTGGAAAGGAGTTTGGAGATTTCTCAAAGAGCTTAGAACTAACCTTCAATCCAGCAATCCCATTACTGGATATATACCCAAAGGAAAATAAATGATTCTACCAAAACTACACACACACTAGTATGTTCATTGCAGCACTAGTTACAATAACATACATGGAATCAACCTAGCTGACCATCAATGGTGGATTGGATAACGGAAATGTGGTAGGTAGAAAACATGGAATACTACACAGCCATAGAAAAGAACAAAATCATACCCTCTGAAGCAACATGGATGCAGCTAGAGTCCAGTATCCTAAGTGAATTAACACAGCACAGGAACAAAAAAGCAAATACCACATGTTCTCTCTTATAAGTGAGAGCTAAACATTGGATACATATTGGCATAAATATGGGAACAAAACAATAGACATTTGGGACTACTAGATGGGTGAGAGAGAGAGAGCAAAAGTTGAAAAATTACCTATTAGGTACTATGCTCACTACTTGGGTGATAAGATCATTAATACCCCAAAACTCCACATTCAAAATATGCTTTATACAGCTATACATGTAACAAAACTGTATATGTACCCCCTGAATCTAAAATAAAATTTGAAATTATAACAAAAGAGAAACATAGAATCTTTATTGTATTTACTGCCCACAGTCTGCGGACGCAGAATGGAGAGGATTCAGTGTCATGCTACACATGGCTTAACCTATTCAATTTACAACACTCCTTTAACATAAGGATGATCACAAACCCCATTTTATGAACGTAAAACTGAGACACAGACCAGTTGAATGAGTTGTCAGCTATCACGTCATAATCTAATAGATGACATAGCCCATGTGGACGCTACACCATTTGGTTCCAGACCCCAGGTCTCAATTACTACAGTAGATTACCTTAGTAAAGCCTGTGACTTTGATCCCATCTACCTATGAGAAATAAGGAAGCCCGTAAGGCCAGGAAATGCTGGAAAGAAGCAGAGTGGAAATCTAAGACCCCAGTTGAGTTTGGGGTCCTTCCACATAAAAAGCATTTAGTCTGTGTGGTTTGAACCTGAATCACCTGCTAGGGAGGCCTGAAAGGCTCTGATCAGTTGCCAAGGATCCAAAGCCTTTAGAGAAAAGGAGACTAGACCTCAGGATAAAATAGGCTCAGAGGAGTGAGGAGGGAGGTGGGAATGCTTTTTGGTGGAGGAAAGAACATCTTCCCTGGGTATCCTAAAATTCCTTCTCTGGGATTTCCAGGAAGTAAAGAGTATATGTCCCAAGCCAGGATTCTTGGCTCCATTATCTGAGTATACTTACATGTGGTAATTAACATTAATATATCAGTATGATTTCCAAAATCTTAAAATCAATGGCTTAATTCATTGCTTAATGAAAATAAATCTTCTACCAATAGTGTTCTATCCAACTTATCCTTTCTGAGTCATTCTGATGATTATTTCTGTGGGAATTTCTGGATCTCTCATAGTGATGATAATATGTTGATTGACTGATGATTGATTGATTCACAGTCTTGTTGCAGAAATGTTTTAAGCAGCTTCCTTAAAACATAGCAAGTTACTGTAAGTTGGCCCAAGGTAGAGAAGAAAACAAAATTTTTTTAAAGGAAAAAGATTCAGAATGACCTTCCAAATTGCTAGGGAGCGATCACAAATTATTTTAAGCATTACAGCAGTCACTGAAAAACAAGAACAGAATAAAACAAAAAAAAGGTAGTCACACAACTCTATGTGTACATAGTAGATAGAAACGTGCACTAGGTACTTAACATGACTTTTCTCTAATCCTAGCAAAATCTTTGCAAGATAAGTAGCATCATCTCTGTAACTACAGTAGGAATTAGGACAGAAGTCTAGCTCAGTGTTCCACTGATGTAATATTTGAAGCCAAATATATTTAGTTCCCGAGTCTGTGTTCCTGTCAAAGAAAGATGCTGTTTCTCTTCATTGTGCGTGGAGAAGCTTTAGTGGACCTATAACCTAGTGGGTTTTCTTTTTTCTACCTTCCTTTGCAGAGATTCTAGGGAAATGTATGAAGTTGCAAAGTGATTACATTACAGGAGGGCAGCCAGCAAACCTGCCAAGTTGAGTGTGAGTATTTGTTCAATACTTACATCAGGGTGAAGTTCAAAGACATGCAACTCTTGCAAAAAGCCAAGACATAGGTCTTTTAGACTGAGCCCCTTGCAGTTTCTTGAACTAGTTTCTCAAGTCTATTATCTCCACCTGCCACCTCCCTGTGTTCTTGTGAAAGGAAACCCCTCAACCCATATTTTATAAGCTCAAATGAAGCCTTTCCCCCACATACTCTCTCTTACCAGCAGATTCTGTATCTTTTTGTTATACTTGGCTGGACAGTCGTGATTGATACCTGCATACTGCCCTTCTAATCCCAACTGTGTAGCTCCATAGCAATCTCACTTCTGAAAGAGCTGTCTTTACATTTTACACTTGCGAGAGGCCAACTTTTCTGTCTATAGAATAAATGTTGGCACTTCACCATGCTTTCTAAGTCGTTGCCTATTTTTCTTTTCTTTTTTTATTTTTTTTAAGTTTCCACTATCCTCACTGGGAGAAAACTGAACCAATAACCTAGTTCAAAGGCATGTTTTAAAAGAAGCAATCAAATGAACATTTATGAGATAGCTGTTGTTACTTTTTGTGTTTTAGATGCTTATTTTCCAATTGCTTTCTGAGGAGCATCCCCAGCGGAGATTGACCCCTATATCATTGCACATATGACCTAGTTCAAGGGGGGTTCCCGTGGTCCACCTTTCCACAAGTAATAGAGGTAAATGAGTTATGAGGCTAAGCTATGACTTCAGTTAGCCAATGAAAGTCTTGCTGCCAAGTACATGCGACAGTGAAGGTCAGATTATTACAGTAGTGGTCTCAGCAGCACCTTCCTAAGGGTAATGAGAGTTATGTTGGCTGAGGCTATGGAGATGTTGGATAAGGTCGATCTCAACACAATCCCCTATACCTTCTTACCATGAACCATACATAGATGTTACTGTCTTTATTTTAATTACTCAACTCAATTTTTATGTACATGTCAGTTGCCCTAATAAATCATATTCTCCCTAAAGTTAAAAGCTATGTTTTCTTTGTCCTCTTTCTTACCTCCAGAGGTTGGCACAGCACTGGATGGGGTTGAGAGGTAATGTGAAGAACAAGGGAAAGAGCCACCAGTGCAAAGGCATGGAGGTGAAAGACAGTATAATCTGGTCCAGGATTCAAGTAGAATAGAAAGGAGGCCTTCTCAGACCCACTCTGAAATTCATTTTCTCTGTGGGATAGATTAATTGCAAAAATGACCCAAATTCTTTACCCTTCCTATAGCCTCGCCCTTTGCCATATAACTTTGCATTGCCTCACACTCTAACTCTGGGCGTAACCATCTGACTTCTTTTGGCCCATGGGGTATGAGCGTGCGTGACACAAGCACAGGTTCGAAAGTGTTTGTACAGTTGCTCTTGATTACTGTTGTAGTTCTGCCACTGCTGTGAGAATATATCTGGACTACCCTGAAGAAGGATGAATGACAAGTTGTCCTTGATTGTCCTGGTTGAGGCCATATTAGGTCAGCAGACAGCCTGTAAATCCAGAAGTCTAGACAAGAGCAGCAGAACTACCAGACAACTCATGGCTGAATACGCACTATGGGAAAGCCCAGGTAGCATCAACAAATACTCCTCTCCTCAGAGGACTGGAGTCCTCTGAGCAGACACAGGAGCAAAATAAACATTGATTGCAGTATGCCACTGAGGGGTGTGGTTGTTCATAGCACAGGATTTTGTGGCAGTAAATAACTAACACATCCTATAAAGAGCATATATAGAAATAAACAGAAGAATGGCAAAATGCTATTGAAAAGCAAATGCCGGGCAGGCAGCTAGTTTCATTCAGCAGCATAATGACTCCCTTAAGCTCACCAGCCTGAAGTATGCATGATTAAAATTAGTGCGTCAATAAATTTACCTATTACTACATGTCATTAGCTACTCAACGACACTTGTCAGCTGTAGAAACTGAAACATTAAAGGTACACATGGCTGGAGTTTAGTGTTTGTGGGGCAGAGAAATGGTACGAGATGGGGCTGGTGACACAAGAAGGAGCCAGACAGAGATGAGTTTGGATGCTTTCCTGGAGTTATCAGGAAGCTCCAGGGATTAATGAAGTCAGTCAAATAAACAAGATAGTCAAGTGGGGGTGGGTCCTTCTTCTACCTTCGTGAAAAACTGGCTCTGTTCTTTGGTGAAAATGTCATCTGCTACTGCAAATTTTACTGGACTTGTGGGCTTTTATTTGAAGAATATTTGCCAGGTTATATAGCATATAATCACAGACATAGGGCATCTTTAAATGGTGTAATTTTTCAAGGCAGAAAAGCCTTCTGTTAGAAGGAAGATGGGAAGAAGACCAAATTAAATAACAATTATGAATAATACCCTACTCAGCCCTTAACAAAAGGCTCTGGATTTTATAATATGTTCCTGCCAAAGGCCATGTGTAATATTTCCTTGTTAGTAGCTCCCAACCACTATGAAATCCACAAAACCTCTCCCAGCTGTTGAAGACTTATTCTCTGTCCTTTCTCATTCTGGGACACAGCCATAAGGTTTAGAAAATATGACTAAGTTTCCCAACTTGAATGACACTAATAATAATTTTCGAAGGCTTTGGAGAAAGATGTAAGAAAACCACAGTGCATGTCTACTTAAAAACTGTTCTATTTAATGGTATGTAGTGTTCCAAAGGTGGGGGGGTGAGACCTAGCTATTTAATAAACTGTCTTCCAATGACCTGACTAATGCTGGGAGTTAATTAATAATCAGCAGAAATAAAATTACAGTAAAAAATTGAGGTTTGAAGCATTAAGAAGAAATTGAGCCAGTAGGTAAATTTCCTTCTTTTTTTTTTTTATTATACTTTAAGTTTTAGGGTACATGTGCACATTGTGCAGGTTAGTTACATATGTATACATGTGCCATGCTGGTGCGCTGCACCCACTAACTCATCATCTAGCATTAGGTATATCTCCCAATACTATCCCACCCCCCTCCCCCCACCCCACCACAGTCCCCAGACTGTGATATTCCCCTTCCTGTGTCCATGTGATCTCATTGTTCAATTCCCACCTATGAGTGAGAATATGCGGTGTTTGGTTTTTTGTTCTTGCGATAGTTTACTGAGAATGATGGTTTCCAATTTCATCCATGTCCCTACAAAGGACATGAACTCATCATTTTTTATGGCTGCATAGTATTCCATGGTGTATATGTGCCACATTTTCTTAATCCAGTCTATCATTGTTGGACACGTGGGTTGGTTCCAAGTCTTTGCTATTGTGAATAATGCCGCAATAAACATACATGTGCATGTGTCTTTATAGCAGCATGATTTATAATCCTTTGGGTATATACCCAGTAATGGGATGGCTGGGTCAAATGGTATTTCTAGTTCTAGATCCCTGAGGAATCGCCACACTGACTTCCACAATGGTTGAACTAGTTTACAGTCCCACCAACAGTGTAAAAGTGTTCCTATTTCTCCATATCCTCTCCAGCACCTGTTGTTTCCTGACTTTTTAATGATTGCCATTCTAACTGGTGTGAGATGATATCTCATAGTGGTTTTGATTTGCATTTCTCTGATGGCCAGTGATGATGAGCATTTTTTCATGTATTTTTTGGCTGCATAAATGTCTTCTTTTGAGAAGTGTCTGTTCATGTCCTTCGCCCACTTGTTGATGGGGTTGTTTGTTTTTTTCTTGTAAATTTGTTTGAGTTCATTGTAGATTCTGGATATTAGCCCTTTGTCAGATGAGTAGGTTGAGAAAATTTTCTCCCATGTTGTAGGTTGCCTGTTCACTCTGATGGTAGTTTCTTTTGCTGTGCAGAAGCTCTTTAGTTTAATTAGATCCCATTTGTCAATTTTGGCTTTTGTTGCCATTGCTTTTGGTGTTTTGGACATGAAGTCCTTGCCCACGCCTATGTCCTGAATGGTAATGCCTAGGTTTTCTTCTAGGGTTTTTATGGTTTTAGGTCTAATGTTTAAATCTTTAATCCATCTTGAATTGATTTTTGTACAAGGTGTAAGGAAGGGATCCAGTTTCAGCTTTCTACATATGGCTAGCCAGTTTTCCCAGCACCATTTATTAAATAGGGAATCCTTTCCCCATTGCTTGTTTTTCTCAGGTTTGTCAAAGATCAGATAGTTGTAGGTATGCGGCATTATTTCTGAGGTCTCTGTTCTGTTCCATTGATCTATATCTCTGTTTTGGTACCAGTACCATGCTGTTTTGGTTACTGTAGACTTGTAGTATAGTTTGAAGTCAGGTAGTGTGATGCCTCCAGCTTTGTTCTTTTGGCTTAGGATTGACTTGGCAATGCGGGCTCTTTTTTGGTTCCATATGAACTTTAAAGTAGTTTTTTCCAGTTCTGTGAAGAAAGTCATTGGTAGCTTGATGGGGATGGCATTGAATCTGTAAATTACCTTGGGCAGTATGGCCATTTTCACAATATTGATTCTTCCTACCCATGAGCATGGAATGTTCTTCCATTTGTTTGTATCCTCTTTTATTTCATTGAGCAGTGGTTTGTAGTTCTTCTTGAAGAGGTCCTTCACATACCTTGTAAGTTGGATTCCTAGGTATTTTATTCCCTTTGAAGCAATTGTGAATGGGAATTCACTCATGATTTGGCTCTCTGTTTGTCTGTTGTTGGTGTATAAGAATGCTTGTCATTTTTGTACATTGATTTTGTATCCTGAGACTTTGCTGAAGTTGCTTATCAGCTTAAGGAGATTTTGGGCTGAGACGATGGGGTTTTCTAGATAAACAATCATGTCGTCTGTAAACAGGGACAATTTGACTTCTTCTTTTCCTAATTGAATACCCTTTATTTTCTTCTCCTGCCTGATTGCCCTGGCCAGAACTTCCAACACTATGTTGAATAGGAGCGGTGAGAGAGGGCATCCCTGTCTTGTGCCAGTTTTCAAAGGGAATGCTTCCAGTTTTTGCCCATTCAGTATGATATTGGCTGTGGGTTTGTCATAGATAGCTCTTATTATTTTGAAATACGTCCCATCAATACCTAATTTATTGAGAGTTTTTAGCATGAAGGGTTGTTGAATTTTGTCAAAGGCTTTTTCTGCATCTATTGAGATAATCATGTGGTTTTTGTCTTTGGCTCTGTTTATATGCTGGATTACATTTATTGATTTGCTTATATTGAACCAGCCTTGCATCCCAGGGATGAAGCCCACTTGATCATGGTGGATAAGCTTCTTGATGTGCTGCTGGATTCGGTTTGCCAGTATTTTATTGAGGATTTTTGCATCAATGTTCATCAAGGATATTGGTCTAAAATTCTCTTTTTTGGTTGTGTCTCTGCCTGGCTTTGGTATCAGAATGATGCTGGCCTCATAAAATGAGTTAGGGAGGATTCCCTCTTTTTCTATGGATTGGAGTAGTTTCAGAAGGAATGGTACCAGTTCCTCCTGGTACCTCTGGTAGAATTCGGCTGTGAATCCATCTGGTTCTGGACTCTTTTTGGTTGGTAAACTATTGATTATTGCCACAATTTCAGCTCCTGCTATTGGTCTATTCAGAGATTCAACTTCTTCCTGGTTTAGTCTTGGGAGAGTGTTTGTGTCCAGGAATTTATCCGTTTCTTCTAGATTTTCTAGTTTATTTGCATAGAGGTGTTTGTAGTATTCTCTAATGGTAGTTTGTATGTCTGAGGGATCGGTGGTGATATCCCCTTTATCATTTTTTATTGTGTCTATTTGATTCTTCTCTTTTTCTTTATTAGTCTTGCTAGCGATCTATCAATTTTGTTGATCCTTTCAAAAAACCAGCTCCTGGATTCATTGATTTTTTGAAGGGTTTTTTGTGTCTCTATTTCCTTCAGTTCTGCTCTGATTTTAGTTATTTCTTGCCTTCTGCTAGCTTTTGAATGTGTTTGTTCTTGCTTTTCTAGTTCTTTTAATTGTGATGTTAGGGTGTCAATTTTGGATCTTTCCTGCTTTCTCTTGTGGGCATTTAGGCTATAAATTTCCCTCTACACACTGCTTTGAATGCATCCCAGAGATTCTGGTATGTTGTGTCTTTGTTCTCGTTGGTTTCAAAGAACATCTTTATTTCTGCCTTCATTTCGTTATGTACCCAGTAGTCATTCAGGAGCAGGTTGTTCAGTTTCCATGTAGTTGAGTGGCATAAGTGAGATTCTTAATCCTGAGTTCTAGTTTGATTGCACTGTGGTCTGAGAGATAGTTTGTTATAATTTCTGTTCTTTTACATTTGCTGAGGAGAGCTTTACTTCCAAGTATGTGGTCAATTTTGGAATAGGTGTGGTGTGGTGCTGAAAAAAATGTATATTCTGTTGATTTGGGGTGGAGAGTTCTGTAGATGTCTATTAGGTCCGCTTGGTGCAGAGCTGAGTTCAATTCCTGGGTATCCTTGTTGACTTTCTGTCTCGTTGATCTGTCTAATGTTGACAGTGGGGTGTTAAAGTCTCCCATTATTAATGTGTGGGAGTCTAAGTCTCTTTGTAGGTCACTCAGGACTTGCTTTACGAATCTGGGTGCTCCTGTATTGGGTGCATATATATTTAGGATAGTTAGCTCCTCTTGTTGAATTGATCCCTTTACCATTATGTAAAGGCCTTCTTTGTCTCTTTTGATCTTTGTTGGTTTAAAGTCTGTTTTATCAGAGACTAGGATTGCAACCCCTGCCTTTCTTTGTTTTCCATTTGCTTGGTAGATCTTCCTCCATCCTTTTATTTTGAGCCTATGTGTGTCTCTGCACATGAGATGGGTTTCCTGAATACAGCACACTGATGGGTCTTGACTCTTTATCCAACTTGCCAGTCTGTGTCTTTTAATTGGAGAATTTAGTCCATTTACATTTAAAGTTAATATTGTTATGTGTGAATTTGATCCTGTCATTATGATGTTAGCTGGTGATTTTGCTCGTTAGTTGATGCAGTTTCTTCCTAGTCTTGATGGTCTTTACATTTTGGCATGATTTTGCAGCGGCTGGTACCGGTTTTTCCTTTCCATGTTTAGCGCTTCCTTCAGGAGCTATTTTAGGGCAGGCCTGGTGGTGACAAAATCTCTCAGCATTTGCTTGTCTGTAAAGGATTTTATTTCTCCTTCACTTATGAAGCTTAGTTAGGCTGGATATGAAGTTCTGGGTTGAAAATTCTTTTCTTTAAGAATGTTGAATATTGGCCCCCACTCTCTTCTGGCTTGTAGGGTTTCTGCCGAGAGATCTGCTGTTAGTCTGATGGGCTTCCCTTTGAGGGTAACCCGACCTTTCTCTCTGGCTGCCCTTAACATTTTTTCCTTCATTTCAACTTTGGTGAATCTGAGAATTATGTGTCTTGGAGTTGCTCTTCTCGAGGAGTATCTTTGTGGCGTTCTCTGTATTTCCTGAATCTGAATGTTGGCCTGCCTTGCTAGATTGGGGAAGTTCTCCTGGATAATATCCTGCAGAGTGTTTTCCAACTTGGTTCCATTCTCCCCATCACTTTCAGGTACACCAATCAGACGTAGATTTGGTCTTTTCACATAGTCCCATATTTCTTGATTTCTTGGAGGCTTTGCTCATTTCTTTTTATTCTTTTTTCTCTAAACTTCCCTTCTCACTTCATTTCATTCATTTCATCTTCCATCGCTGATACCCTTTCTTCCAGTTGATCGCATTGGCTCCTGAGTCTTCTGCATTCTTCACGTAGTTCTCGAGCCTTGGTTTTCAGCTCCATTAGCTCCTTTAAGCACTTCTCTGTATTGGTTGTTCTAGTTATACATTCTTCTAAATTTTTTTCAAAGTTGTCAACTTCTTTGCCTTTGGTTTGAATGTCCTCCCGTAGCTCAGAGTAATTTGATCGTCTGAAGCCTTCTTCTCTCAGCTCGTCAAAATCATTCTCCATCCAGCTTTGTTCCGTTGCTGGTGAGGAACTGTGTTCCTTTGGAGGAGGAGAGGCGCTCTGCGTTTTAGAGTTTCCAGTTTTTCTGTTCTGTTTTTTCCCCATCTTTGTGGTTTTATCTACTTTTGGTCTTTGATGATGGTGATGTACAGATGGGTTTTCAGTGTGGATGTCCTTTCTGTTTGTTAGTTTTCCTTCTAACAGACAGGACCCTCAGCTGCAGGTCTGTTGGAATACCCTGCAGTGTGAGGTGTCAGTGTGCCCCTGCTGGGGGGTGCCTCCCAGTTAGGCTGCTCGGGGGTCAGGGGTCAGGGACCCACTTGAGGAGGCAGTCTGCCCATTCTCAGATCTCCAGCTGCGTGCTGGGAGAACCACTGCTCTCTTCAAAGCTGTCAGACAGGGACATTTAAGTCTGCAGAGGTTACTGCTGTCTTTTTGTTTGTCTGTGCCCTGCCCCCCAGAGGTGGAGCCTACAGAGGCAGGCAGGCCTCCTTGAGCTGTGGTGGGCTCCACCCAGTTCGAGCTTCCTGGCTGCTTTGTTTACCTAAGCAAGCCTGGGCAATGGCGGGTGCCCCTCCCCCAGCCTCGCTGCCGCCTTGCAGTTTGATCTCAGACTGCTGTGGTAGCAATCAGCGAGATTCCGTGGGCGTAGGACCCTCCAAGCCAGGCGTGGGATATAGTCTCATGGTGCGCTGTTTTTTAAGCCGGTCTGAAAAGCGCAATATTCGGGTGGGAGTGACCCGATTTTCCAGGTGCCTCCGTCACCCCTTCCTTTGACTCGGAAAGGGAACTCCCTGACCCCTTGCGCTTCCCGAGTGAGGCAATGCCTCGCCCTGCTTCGGCTCGCGCACATTGCGCACACCCACTGACCTGCGCCCACTGTCTGGCACTCCCTAGTGAGATGAACCCGGTACCTCAGATGGAAATGCAGAAATCACCCGTCTTCTGCGTCGCTCACGCTGGGAGCTGTAGACCGGAGCTGTTCCTATTCGGCCATCTTGGCTCCTCCTCTCTACTTCTATTTTTTAAAAGCCTTTTATAGGACTTTAAACACACGTGGGAAAGTTATGAATTCTCCTGTTAATATACATGAGGTAGTACCTAATTCTGCTGGAGTCAAATTTCTCTTGAATAGAGAATAAAAATATAAGGCTTGTGCTGTTGAAAATAACACACCAAATGAGGAGAAAGTACCTTGAAAGAAACTAAGAAAACCTGTGATGCATCCAGTCTTCATTTATTTGAAGTATCTAACCAGTTGTTGGGGATATCTATTGATAGCAAACTTGTATAGTGCCCATGACCGAGCCAGGCAATACGCTAAACACATGTACTAACTTATTTAATTATTACAACAATGTTTTAAAGTGGATGCTCTTTTTATCCCCAGTTTTAGATAAATATGTTAAGGCTCAGAAAGGTTAATTATGTTGCCCAAGATCACACAGTTAGGAGGTAGTCATCAAGCCCATGTCCAGGTGATGCTAGAGCTCACGATTTAATCACCACACTTGATTATTACCACCTTTTGACACTACCTTTGTTCAGGGAGCTAAGTACTGGTGGCCCTTTAATTCCAAAACATGGGGTCGGGGATGTTTTTTTTTGACTCTTGAGAACATTCTGATTATGATGAAGCAGCTACTGACAATACATGCAGGGCAGTCAAGAGGCCTTTTAATTTGTATCTAAGTATTGGTGTTTCTTTAAACTTTGCTATAAGTACTTAGCAATTCTTGGCTAGTTAAATTAAATTGTTTCCTAAATTGGCAAAGCATTATCTTTAATAGAAAAGGCATAATTACCTAGAAGTCTTACTATATTGCTACTCATGCTGAAGAAAGCTTAGCCAGTTAGCTCTTGAAGCAATGGAGCAAGAAACTTGTGGATACTTCCCACAGTCTTGCAAACCTAAATCAATAATGTAGTCATACATGCCACAGAGAGTGCCAAGAACCTTGAATTTACAGGGCCTGCACATTTAGAGCAGCCATAGCAGAGGTCTTTTGCGATTAGTGCACCTTTTCCTTTCATCAGTAGGAGTGACCGCTGACATGTGTGTCCTTGTATTATCATATCATCCAAAGGTAAGAGTGAGTGATCTCCCTTGCCTTTGCTGACACTCTCGAATACCTTGGAAAATTTATGCTTCTTTAATGATGCCAGCCCTTGCATTCTTGTTGGGAAAATAATGTCCAGAAGAATGTGTCCAGAGGTGTTTTAATATAGATTTTATGAATATTTAGGAATGTCAAGGTCAACAGATCAGGAGAGGATTGCCATTGGGAAGACAGTTTGTTACAGATCCCAAGAGGAGCTGGCATGCTGTAGCAGGTGAAACCATACAGGGGAAATACTAGGGTCAGTCAAGAGGCAGAGGGAGAGGAGGAACTATGGACAAAAGCCTCTAGTAAGATTTCTGTAGGAAGAAACAGACAAGGCAGGGTAAGCAGGTGTAGGATTGGCTTGTTTGAATAATTTCAGTGGGCTCCGGGTTGTAGGCACTATCCCTAGTTCACAGGTACCTGGCCCTTAGGTAATCAAGGCAGGTGGATAATGGCAAGGAGTGTGATGGGGTGTGGGCTCTGAATTGGTTTGCTTGCCTTTGAAAGGCATGCTCCTGGGCTCTAGAAATTGGCTAGCTCTGGCAGGGGCAGGCCCTCTAGGGTTACCAAGGTAACCAAGGCCCCAGATGTTAAAGCATTAGCATACAGAAAACAAAAGACAAAGTTAATACAAAAACTTTGAAGAGTTCATTTTCCTAATGAGAAATATGGTGTGTGTGTGTGTGTTACACACATGTACACACTTGGGGGTGTCTGTATGCCTATGCTGTATTAATTTGTTTTACAGCATCACCTGAAGTCTTAGAATTGTTAATGATTTAATATGCATTTCCAGGAAATGAGGATTCCACATGCACTGTGTTATAAATAGCATATGTGTCCCTATCCATCCTTTATTGGCTTGGCCTGGGTCCAAGAAATCTAGTTAAGGAACACAAGAAGTTTTTTTTTTTTTATGAACTCTTCCTCCATTTCTAGGAAGTCATTGATTCTGGCTGGAGTTAGAGGTTCTATCATGGAGATAATGATTTTAACCTCTTATTCTGACTGGCTCAGCTAAACTGACAGCTGTGGTCATTATTGAAGGTGGGGAATAGGAACAGAGGGAGGGGCCATTCGTTAAATAACAGCAGGCATCCTCCTCTATAGTATGACTGAAAGTTGTTCTTAAGAGTTGAGATTTAAATTAACCAATTACTTCCATAAGAATATTTATTTATTAACTTGTACGTTCTAACATTAAACTAGGCACTTTGAGGTTATCCAAAGAGAAACTAAACAGAAAGCTTATAGCTCTAAAAATAAGTCTTAGTAACAGCTTCCTGAAGGCAAAAACCATTTATTCATTTGAAAATACATTTGATAATTCAATCCCTTATTAAATCTTAAATATTTCCTGAACTTTGAGAAAGATATTATTTTGAATTGCTGTTGGGAACTCCAGAAAACCACAGAGATGGTAGAGACTATATATGTATTTGGGAAACAAGAAAATCAAGATGTGGGGCTCCAGAGTCATATATACCTAATTTCAAATTTATCTATAGACCTCACTAGTCCTAGGACTTTGGGAAAATTGCTTAGATATCTAAGATTTGTTTCCTTCATCTATTCAAGAAAGTAGTATTTAAAACAAATCATAGTGGAGGAAAGAATTGATACAATTAGAATTATCAGAATAACTGAAAAAATTATGTGAATTACTCAACACTGTGCCCAACTCATATCAAATACTCACAAATTTCTTTTATCATTATTAACTTTGTGATGAATGCAATGCGTTACAGTAGAAACCTATTAAGAGTTGACACCAGGAAAGTAGGTCTGAGTCTCAATGCTGATTCTGCCCCTGCTAAGTGTGTAATCCTGAGTATGTTACTCAACATTTCTGAATCAGAAATAATCAAGCCTACATTTGAAAGGTTTCCTGAAGCTGGAAGATAATGAATGTGAGATGCCCATAACTTATTATTTGTTGATTTCCAAAATAAGCAATAGCTGTAACTATCAGTGTTATCTAGTGATTAACTAACAATCTTAGACTCAAGATTATCAGCAATGCATTTCTGAGGGAGAAGAACATAGGGCAGGGAGATGAGAGAATCCTTTTGCTTTTTACTATGTTCTGTTTTTCTTAGCATGCTGGAGCAGAGGTCACTGGTCGCCGTCTGTACAGAATGCCTGTGGTTCCACCCACCCAACCCAAAATGCTTTTCATCCAGTCTCCAGAACCTGCACTGATGTCTGTCTTTGTGGCTGTTTCTGACCACAATTGGAGAAAGTCCAGTCAGCTGGGGGAGGCTTGTGTGTAACTGTGTGTCCCTGGGTACCTGCCAGTGGACTGATTTTGCTGGAGGAATGTGTAATATGTGCTGAGATTCCTGGGGCCTCAGAGTGGGAAGACAGTCACTCAGGGCCAAGGGGACCTGGAGCCTGGGGAAGAAGGGCAGACAGCAGGCTGTGCAGCCAGGTCTTTACATGGAGGGTGTCACAGATATCAGCCCAACCTCAAAGGGTTTGCTCTATTCCCAGTGGGAGGGACTGAGAAGCGTCCATGAATAGAGCCAGTAACAAATAAGACAGTAGAAAATTAAAGGATGAGAAATGAATCTAAACTCAGATGACTTGGTTTTGAAGATAGTTCTACCACTCCTAGCTGTGTGCTTCTGTACAAGCATCTTTCTCTCTCTGGATCTGTAAACTGGGGATCATAGAATAATGAGCATCACACATTCATTTTGAAGATCAAATCAAGCACTTGCTGTAAGTTTACTTGATCATGATTGACACTTTTGCACCAAAGAGCACAATCCACGGATGTGTTTTTCTTGACAGTGAGTATTCCAGAGAAAGATATACATGAATATTTCTGGTGGAAATGTAACTTATATGTAAATTATGTTGTATATTTTATATATATATACATATACATATATATATCTCAATACATTGATACCTAAGAAATGTAAGATACTTATGCAATTCTATTCAGAAATCCAATACCTGCTGTTATTAGTCTGTTCTCATGCTGCTAATAAACATATACCTGAGATTGGGTAATTTATAAAGGAAAGGCGGTTTAATGGACTCACAGTTCCACATGGCTGGGGAGGCCTCACAATCATGGCAGAAGGCAAAGGAAGAGCAAAGGGATGACTTAAATGTCAGCAGGCAAGAAAGTGTGTGCAGGGGAACTCCGCTTTATAAAACCACCAGATCTTGTAAGATTTATTCACTATCACGAGAACGGCACTGGAAAGACCCGCCCCCATGATTCCATTACCTCCTACCGGGTTACTCCCATGACATATGGGAATTATAGGAGCTACAATTTTAAATGAGATTTGGGTGGGGACACAGCCAAACCATATCACCTGCAAATCTGGCCCATAGAAATAACAAAACACTGTCATCTATAAGTATATGTGGGTAAGTATTGAGATGACTGGCTGGTAGGAAAAACATGATTTATATTATATTATAAGTTTTTATGTATAAGTATCTTCATTATGACATTATTACCATCAACAAAATAGCCATCAACAGAGAATGGTTGAATAAATTGTGGTATAATTAGATAGATAGCAGTGAACTAGTTTCCTAACTGTTTTGATGCTACTTCCCTTTCCAGCTGCTACCCTCTTTCTTCATTCTCTTTTGAAGAAATCCTTTAAAAAAAAACCTGGTATGGGCTGGGCTCAATGGCTCACACCTGTAATCCCAGCATTTTGGGAGGCCGAGGCGGGTGGATCATGAGGTCAGGAGATAGAGACCATCCTGGCTAACACGGTGAAACCCCGTCTCTACTAAAAATACAAAAAAATTAGCAGGGAGTGGTGGCACACGCCTGTAGTCCCAGCTACTCGGCAGGCTGAGGCAGGAGAATCACTTGAAACCTGGAGGCGGAGGTTGCAGTGAGCCGAGATGGCGCCACTGCACTCCAGCCTGGGCGACAGAAGGAGACTCCGTCTCAAAAAACAAACAAACAACCCATGGTTTCTGCTCTATGATTTCAACTCTTCTTTTCCCCATTCTCTTAAGCTCCTATCATCCAGCAAGGCTGCTCTTGTACAGGTTATTAATGCTGCACCCAGCAGTTAGTTCTGAGAACTCACTTAGAATCCTCTGCAACATTTAACGCAGTTGATCACTCCTCCCTCTGGAAACATTTTCTTCACTGAGCTTCCAGGAAATTTAAGACTTTTGATTTTCTTGCTACATTATTGGTTGCTCCTTCTCAGCCTCCTCTTCCGGTATTTCCTTTTTGGCCCCACCTTAATGTTGAATATCCCAGGGCAGAGGCCTTGGTGTTCCCTGCCCTATCTAGTGTCACTCTCTCTTGGTGACCTCATCTAGGCTTATGGCTTAAATAACAACTATAACTACTAATTTATATTCAGCATACGGCAGGGGCTTATGTGGTAGTAGAAGGAAGGAAGGGAGGGAGGGAGGGATAAAGAAAGAAAAATTGAAGGAAGGAAAGAAAGAAGTTAATATTGTTAACTTGAAAAAGTGGACACTAGAGGTATTAAAAACCTAACTATAAGAGCATGAATTCTTGAGCCCAGGTAACCTGAGTTCAAACATAGATTCTTTCACATCCAAACTATGTAATTTTGGGCAAGTTATTTAATTTGTTGATGCTTCAGTTTTCTCATCTGTAAAATGGGGACAACAACAACAGCGATCTTATTTGCTTGGAGGTAGTTCCTAGACCTAAACATGCTAGGGCGTGTGAAATACTTCAAACGGTACCTGTATAATAGAATGCCTTGTACAAGAATATCCTAATGACTTAAAAGTGGTGAAAAGCTAGTTAAACAAGATTCCAATGCACAAAATCATCAAATGAAATAATTATATACATTTTTGGGTCTTTATTTGAGACAATACCTTAGGCAGTGTTAACAAATGAGTGATGTGTTGGGAAAATATATCTTTAATATTTAAAATTAAAGAGAAATTAATTTCTGAGATATGCCTCAATTCCAAATTAGCAAAATAAAGCAGAAAACTATAGTAGAAAAAATAGGCAGAGTGACCAGGCAATTTGCAGAAATGGCAGCACAGGTGTCTGAAGAGTATACAAAGATATGCTTGAGCTCATCGGAAATCACAGGAATAAACATTAAAACAACGAGATACTACTTTACACCGATTGGAATGGCAAAAAATAGAAATATTGAGACTATCATTTGTTGTCAGGACTTTAAGAGATAGGAAATTGTATGCACTGTTGATGGAAAGTAAAGTGTAACAACCATTCTGGGAGGCATGTAAGCAATTTTCCCATGTGTATAAACCAGAACAATTCTTGCAAATGTTTGTAAGGGATCATATACAAGCCTGTTTTTCAGTGTTATTTTTGGTGTCAAGGAACTGAAGTCAATCAAAGCTAATCTTTAAGGAAATAAGTAAGTGATGGTTGTTCACTAACACACTGTGGGCATCAGTAGGGAACACAAACTAGATGTTCATAGTTACATGGGTAGATCACAACAAAAGTATTGAGTTAGAAAAAAGATAGGTTACAACATAATATAATTTATGTGAATTAAAACACACATATAAAAACTAAGTTGTTATCTTATAAGAACATACTATTAATAATATTTAAGGGCATATATTGAGCGCTTTATATTGGTTATCTTTGAACTAGAGAATGGGACTGGACACCAAAGATTTGGGGGAAAAGGTGAATTAAACTCCACTGTTACCTGCAGGGATAGATTATGTCAGTGTTCTTAAGATGACTAGCTCAGCTCTTTACACTTAAAGTTTAACTTAAACAACAAAAAGGACATTTTTCTATGTAGACATTGACATGACATAAAACCCAAAAACATTTCCAAATACATTTAAAACTGAGTTTATTCTATACATTACAGTGTTCTAAGAACAATAAAAGGAATCATCTTTGACATGATTTTTAAAACTTATTTGTATTCATAGTCTTGCATCATCTTTCTTTGAAGTTTCTATCAATATCCAAAAGAAATTTTAACTTTTTATTGCCCCCAAACTGTACTTTTCTTTGTAGTTGCAAAGTTTACAAATGTTTCTGTCCATTTGCCAATGGGCCAAGGCTGAAAAATTATACAGTTGACCTTGAGCAAAACAGAGCTTAGGGGTGCCGAACCCCCAAGCGGGTGAAAATCCACATACAACTTTAACTAGAAAACTTAACTACAAATAGCCTACTATTGACCTGAAGCCTTGCCAATAACATAAACTGTTGATTAACACTGATTTTGCATGTTGTACGTACTGTATACTGTATTCCTATAATAAAGTAAGCTAGAAAAAAGAAAATGTTATATAGAAAATCATAAAAAGTCTTACATTAATAACATAGTTGGCTAACACATAGCTGATTAACACATATTTTGTATATTATATATATATAATATGTACTGCACTCTTACAATCAAGCATGCAAGAGAAAAGAAAATGTTTTTAAAAAATCATAAGGAAGAGAAAAAACATATTTCCTGTTCATGAAGTGGAAGTGGATCATCATGAAGGTTTTCACCCTCATTGTCTTCACAGTGAGTAGGCTGCAAAGGACGGAGAAGAGGAGGTGTTGGTCGTGCTGTTTCGGGGGTGGCAGAGACAGAAGAAAATCCACATCTAAATGTACCAGCACAGTTCAAATCCACATTGTTCAAGGGTCAACTGTATACATTATTGAACTAAGCAGACTAAATGCATACAAGAGTCCACTGATTGTTTCAATATGTACAACCAACCACTATATGAATGGTTTGTTACATTCTTGTACAATTGTCACATCATCTGTGACCCAATTTCTATTGGAACACCTCCTCTTGCCAGACCCTTTAGATTTATCTCCCTCAACCTCTGCAGCTTGCATTTGCCTTTCCCTTTGCTAACTGGCCAAGTTCTACCCATTTCTCTAAAAGTAAGCTGCAGTAACACTTCCCAAGGTGTTTCCCCCATTGAAAGTGGTGTGTACAATAATATCTTGTCTTTCTTCTCCAAGTAGAGTCATCTGGGTACTCAACCAATTAGCTGAAGGGATAGGAGTTAGTATATTCAACTGGAGGAAATTTCACCTGGATAGTGGAAGAGGTAATTCAAAACTGTTTTATGAGGCTTCTGGGGAAATAATCACACCAGAAGAGCTCAGGATCATATGTGTGTGAAACTTGGTGTTTAATCACCTGTGCATTCCTTTTGTGATATTCACTGAAAGACTGTTGGCCTGTGAAGGAGAACAATAGACTGGCTAGCGTTCACATTAATTGTTCCCTTGATTGACAGCTAAACAAAGGCTTGGTGTTATTCTTCCCAATAAAGGCCACAAACCTCCTACACAAATTGCTAAAGAGTATTTTTAAATTTATGAGTTTTGCAATACCAAGGTTAGATTTCATTGTTGTTGTGTGTGTGAGTGACAAAATATCCTATAAGTGATAACGAGATTGTTGAAATGAAGTGAAATTCTTTTATTGAGCAGTCCTCTATTGTTGGTGAATAACTTGTAAAGAAGAATCTTGATTTTCATATTAGTCAGGGCTCTCCAGAAAAAACACAATCAATAGGCTGTGTGTGTGTGTGAGTGTGTGTGTGTGTATCAGTGAATTTATTGTAGAAATTGGCATGCTCTGAAGGCCTGAGAACAAGGAGGTCCAATGTCTGAGGGCAGGAGAAGATAGATATTCCAGTTCAAGAAAAGAGAAAGAAAATTTACTCTTCCTTCACCTTTTTGTTCTGCTTAGCTCTTTAATGTATTGGTTGATGCCCTTCCACATTGGTGAGGGTGGATCTTCTCTCGCAGATACTCATTCAAATGCTAATTTCTTCTGGAAACACCCTCCCAGACACACCCAGAAATAATGTTTTACCAGCTATCTGAGCATCTTTTAGCATGGTCAAGATGGCACATAAAATTACCCACCACAATTATGTACTATTTGTGGTCAACCTGTAAAGAAGAATCTTACAGAATATACATTGGAAGTAATGCTTTAGAGACTAAAAAAGTAAATCTCAAAGCAGCCCTGAACTCATGAAATCTATGAAAAGAATGAGAGCATTTAAAAACTCCGATAAGACAAAGAAGAAGACTATTCTTCCCGTCCATTTTGACTACAGACAATATGAAGAATAAAGATATCATAATGAATAGATGAATACTAATTAAATAATTGAATGGAATGGTTTCAATTATCAAACTTGTTTTACTATTTCTTATAATAGGAACCTTTAATGTTCACAGCTCATGGAGGTAAGTGCAGCATTAGAAATAAAGAAGACATGATGTACTTTAACAAACCAAACCATAACTTATTCTTTCATAGCACACAGCTAAATAGCACAGTTTCTTTTGTATCACTGAGATGACCAGAGTAATAACATTTGTTACTGACTCTAATGATTATACCCATGCCCTTCTATTGAGACCCTTTAATAACTATTTTCTGAGGGAGAGCTTATTTTTAAAGGGGAATGATTTTATAATAAATATCTTATAAAGCTCTCTCTGAGCTCTTCTTAAAATTCGACTTATTAATGGTGGACTTTAATACAGGGACCTCTGTAACTCTAAAAGGAGGAGGAATTATATGGTCTAGAAAGATATAGTTAGCTACTCTATCAGTGCACAGTACTATCTCTTTGTGTTTAAATTTGTACATCTCTGTTTATGAACAATTTTGATCATCTTGTTATGCACGTATTTGCTTTAGTTTTCTGTAACTTGCCTGTTTGTATCTTGAGCCTGGTGTATTTGGGGGAGGAAATGTTCTTTTGAATCAGCAGAAGATTGATTTCTGTTCTAGATATTCTTTTTTTTTTTTTAATTTTAAACGCGGGGCAAAGCTCCCATTAAATTTATAGCTTTATGTTTTACACTTACGATGTTAATCCTTCCAGATTTCAATGTTTTATATGTGGTGTTAGATAAAGATCTGGATTCATTTCTCACATGAAAATGAACCAGTAGTGCTCTTGCTGTCTACTAAATAATTTGTCCTTTTCCCATTAATTTCGTGTGCCAAATTTATCATATATTTAGATGTCACATGCTAATGAGCCTGTTCCAGAGCTACTTATTATCAAATTAGTCAATTTGCCTGTTTTTACACCAATAAAACGCTATTTATATTACTACAGTCTTACTATATGTCTTGATATCTGGTAGAGGCAAGCTTCCCCTTTTTACTATTTTTATAGTTAATTTAGCTATTTTTAGTCAACTTAAAGTTTTGGAATAGGTTTACTAAGTACATTAAAACCATATAATTAGAATTTCTATTGAGCTTGAATCAAATTTGTATCTTAATCTGGAGAGAATTAATATCTTTAAAATGTTATCCAGTCTAAAAGCATGGAAGCTTTTCCATTTATTCAGATTACTCTTTATGTCCTGTTTGGAGTTTTAATGTTTTGCCCATAGGAATCTAGTGATTCTGGTTAGTTTAATTTCTAGGAACCTTAGTATTCTGCTATATTATGTAATATTTTATTTTCAAACATTTTTAGTTGCTCATTTCTTGTGTAAAGAAAGAACGTTGATTTCGCAAGAGTGACATTGTATCAGGAATCATCGTTGAACTCTTATAAATTCTAACAGTTTATTGATTTGATTACTTTTTAACAGGTAGAAAAAAATCATCTTTAAGGATTATATCTTTACTTACATATTAATACCTATTTTTTTCATTTCCTTGCTTCATATATTATTGCTGATGAGATAGGCATTCATGTCTTGCTAATGATACTAGAAGATGTGTGGCCAAAGTTTGCCAATCAATTGTTTTATTTGCTTATTAGTTTGTTTCATTATGTAATGTCCATCAAGTCGAGAACATTTCCATTTATTTCCTATTTGTTTTTGTTGTTATTGTTTATTTGTTTAACCATTAATGGTGCTAAAGCTTATTATGTTCTTTTTCTAAATTAAATGTATCCATTGATTTTTCTTCTTTCATCTTTATAAATTTAGTCAAGTTGTGGTGAATTTTACTGATGGAGTCTCTGATCATTGTACTTGATCAAGATGTGTTATTTTGAATGCATGATCAGCTTTATTTAGCAAATGATTCTTTCAATTTATACAATTGTGGTTATAAGTGAAAAGGGCAGAAATTAGAAAGATAGCTAACACCAGACATGGACAGATGTTCAGATAAAGGAGACTTAATACACTGCTGACTAATGGATTTATACATTCTAGTAACCCTAAAATTTCTCTCTGAGATATATATTCCACGCAGCTCTATAAGTAATTTTGCTTGAAGCTACTCACTGCAGTTTATTTGTGTTGACAGAGTTAGAAGCCTCCTGGGTATCCATCACTTGGAGAATGAATAGGTAATATATGTTGGACATACAATATGGAGAATTTTTCAGCAATAAAAATCAAACCATAAAGGAATGTTTTGGAAATGTAGCAGAGTAGGAAGCAGCAGGAATCTGTCTCCATACCTAGACAACAATTACAATGGCAGAATATATCCAAAGTAACTACTTTGGAACTTTGAAGTCTATTGAAGGCTTAAAACTTCCAGAGGAAGCCTTGCTTCATAAATTGCTGTTCATTTCAGCTGATTTCAGCTATTAGCACATTAGCAGCTACCCATTCCCCATCCCTCAACCCCATGGTGGGCAGATGTTAACTTGTTCCTGGAGCAGCTTGCTGATAGCTTAAAGGGGAAGGAGTGGGCCAAAAGAACCCTAGTCTTTAAGTACTAGGTAACTGTGATTTGATAATCGATTGCTGCTTCTGACCACAGAAGTCCAGACAATGAGGCTGTGACCATTGTTTTTACATCTCTTCCCATTGTTGCAAGCTTCTTCTGCTCTCGCTGAGGTGATTTCCAGAGAAGTTAAAGGACTGATGCTATCCCCCTCATTTCATTTTTTTCTTCATCTTTTTTTGAGAGTCAGACATTGAAGAGTAGAATATACAAAAGCAACTACATATGTAAGAAAATTTAGAAAGTCACCATGCATGCTCAGGGGTAGGGCCAAGCTCAGAAAAGACCTGAGAATACCTTAAGCTTACAACTTAGACTGATCTTTCACACAGAGACAGCCTATAACTATGAAGAAACAAAAACAAAACAAAACAAAAAACAGCACCAAAAAAATCTCAAGGTTAATAAAAAACTGAAACAGGAGAGTATGACCCACTCAAAAGAAAAAGTAAATCCATAAAAACTGTCTCCAAAAAAGACCTAATGACAGAACTACTAGAAAAAGACTTTAAGACAACAGCCTTAAAGATTCTCAAAGAACCAAAAGATGACACAGAGATAGTCAATAACAAAATGTATGAACAAATAAAAAATGTCTAAAGAGATATAAAACCTAACATAAACCACACAGAAAAAACATTCTGGAGCTGAAAAATGAAAATAAAAATGAAAATGAAAATCCACTGGAATATTTTAGAGATAGATTTGAGCAAGCGAAAAAACTATTTCAAAGATAGGACAAAAAAATTGTCAAATTTGAGAAACAGAAAGAAAAATGGATGAAGAAAACTGATCAGAGCATCAGAGCATACATGACCTGTAGGACACCTTCAAGGAGACCAAGATAGATGTTATGGAATTGCCAGAAGGGTAACAGAGGGTAAAAGGGGCAGAGATAATATTTAAAGAAATAATGTCTGAAAACTTTTCTAATTTAATGAAAGACATGATATAAGCATCTAAGAAGCTCAATAAACTCCCACTCCAAAAAGAATGAACTATAAGAGAATCACACTGAGAAACATTATAATCAAGCTGTCTAAAGTCAAAGAGAGAATTTTAAAAGCAGCAAGAGAGAGGTAACACATCACACACAAAGGATCTTCAATAAGATCATCAGTTGATTTTTTTGTAAGAAAGTAGAAGTCCAGCAAAAAACAAAAAAACGAACAAAAGAAACCCCTGTTATCCAAGAATCACATATCCAGCAAAACTATCCTTCAAAAGTGAGAGAGAAATAAGGACATTCCCAGATAAACAAAAGCTAAGGGAGTTTATCACTGCTAGACTTGCTGTTCAAGATGTGCTCAAGAGAGTCTTGCATTTTGAAATGAAAGAAAACTAGATAGTAACTCTAAGTCATATGAAGAAATAAAGATCTCAGTCAATGTAAATACATGGGCAATTATTAAAACTAGTATTATTATAATGATGATGTGTGGCACCATATTTTTGTTTGTTGTCTACATAATTAAAGAGACTAACACATTAAAAAACTAGTCTAAAAGGTAAGTATTGCATATTTCTCTTTCAATACTATTTACGATTCATTTACATTTAAAAATTAATAGTTTATGTTTTTGGACACACAATGTACAACAATGAAGTTTTGTGGCATTAATAACAGAAAGAAATGAGGACAGAACTGTTAGAAGAGCAGAGTTTTGTACTAAAAACTATAAAAAGGGCAGAGTTATATAAGTTAAGCTGGCATAAATTTAACTTAAGGGTATTACAACTTTAGGATTTTGAGTATAATCCTCATATTAACTACAAAGAAAATATGTAAAGAATTTACACATAAAGAAACAAGAAAGGAATTTAAAAGTTTAATTACAAAAAATTAACTAGGCACAAAAGAAGACAGTAATGTAAGAAGTGAGGGACAAAAAGCTATAAGGTATATAGAAAACAATTAGCAAAATAACAGAAGTAATTCCCTCCTTATCAGTAATTACTTTAATTGTAAATAGACTAAATTCTCCATTCAAAAGACAGAGATTGACAAAATAGATTTTAAAAATTATCCAATTATTTGCTGTCTACAAGAAATTCACATTAGACCCAAAGATACAAATAGGTTGAAAGTGAAAGGATGGAAAAGAATATGCCATGCAAATAGTAATCAAAAAGAGAGTAGGGTTGGCTAGGCTAACATCGAGCAAAATAGATCTTAAGTTTTTAAAAAGTTACAAGAGAGAAAAAGAACATTATATAAATAATAAAAGATGCAATACAGCAAGAAAATACAATTATATAAATTTACAAAGCTAATAGCAGACCATCAAAATATATGAAGTAAAAATTTACAGAATTGAAGGGAGAAATAAACAATACTACAGTAATAGCTACAGAGTTTAGTACCCTACACTCAATATTTGATAGAGCCACCAGACCAAAGATAAGTAAGGAAATAGAGAACTTGAACAATGCAATAAGGCAAACAGATCTAACTCATATACAGAACACATTTTCCAACAACAACAGAAAATACATTCTTCTCAAGTGTACCTGGGACATTTTCATGATAGACTACATGTTAGGCCACAAGTTAAACCTCCCCATGTCTAAAAAGGTGGATATCATACAAAGTATATTCTCTGACCACAACAGAATGAAGTGAGAAATCAGTAACTGGAGAGAAACTAAAAAAATTATATATTTGCAGAAATTAAACAAAAAAGTCTTACACAATCAATGGATCAAATGAGAAATCACAAGGGAAATTAGAAAATAGAGAAAAATGAAAATAAAACCACAATATGCCAAAACTTATGAGACACAGAGAAAGCTGTGCAAATGAAGAAATTTATAGCTATATATGCTTACATTATAAAATAAGAAACATTCAAAGCAAAAACAACTTTATAATTTAACGAACTAGAGAAAGGAAACAAACAAACCCAAAGGTAACAGAAGTCAGGAAATAAAGATTACAGCAGAAATAAAATAAAACTGGCAATAGAAAAATAGTAAAAAAAAATCAATAATACCAAAAGATTCTGCCTTGAAAAACTGAACCACATTAACATTTTTAATTGTATTAAGTTCGATGAACTAAAAATAAAAAGACTCAACCTACTAAAATAAGAAATGAAAGTGGGAACATGGTTGCCAATTGTACAGAAATAAAAAGGATTATAAGAGCGTACTATAAGTCTACACAAATTGAATAACTTAGATATAATAGGCAAATTCTTGGAAACACAAAACTAACCAAAAGGAAACCAGTTACTAACTTTCTATGAAGCAGCATTAACCTGATACCAAAGGTAGACAAAGATACTACAAGAAAAAAACCTTCGTCACCTTTTTAAACATTGATACAAAAAATCTCAACAAAGTTCTAGCAAGCCATATTAAAAAGATTCACACTATTACCAAATGGAATTTATTTCTGGAATGCAAAGATCATTCAACATATAAAAATGGATAAATGTAATATATCACATTAATATAATTAAAAAAACACATGTGACTATCTTCATTGATACAGAAAAAAGCATTTGACAAAATTCAATGCCATCTTATGAGAGAAACACTAAACAAACTGAGAAAAAAAGGAAATGACCTAAATATAACAAAACCTATATATGTAAAACCCACAGCAAGTATCGTACTCAATGCTGAAAACTGAAACCTTTCCCCTAAGATAAGGAACATGGCAAAAATGCTTGCTTTTACCATTTCTATTCAGCATAATAATAGAAGTTCTAGTCAGAGCAATTTGGCAAATAATAATAATAACAAAAGGCATTTAAATCAGAAAGGAAAAAATAAGATTATGTCTGTTAACAGATGATATGATCTTACATGTAGAAAATCTAAAGATTAAACAAACAAAAGCCCAGTTAGAATAAAAAAATTCAGCAAAGTAGTAAAATATAAAATCAACACGAAAAAAATCAGTCGCATTTCTATAAACTGTCAACACTCTCATAAGTAAATATTTTAAAATTATATCTGTAATAACATCAAAAAGAGTAAAATAGTAATCAATTAAGAAGGTAAAACACTTGCATAATGAAAAGTTCCAAATGTATCTGAAATAAATGAAAGAAGACATAAATTGAAAGACATTCTGTCTTCATAGACTGGGAAGACAATATTAAGATGTCAATAATGTTTGCTTTAATCCATTTTGAGCTGTCATATTAGCATACCACAGATTGGGTAATTTATAAAGATATAAAATTATTTTCTCAGAGTTCTGGAGGCTAGGAAGTCCAAAATCAAAGGGTCAACTTCTGGTGTCTGGTGAAGCCTTTTGGCTACATCCTCAGATGCGGAAGGCTGGGGAGTAAAAGGGACAATCTTCCTTCATCAAGCTCTTTTATAACAATGGTACTTCATTTCTGAGGGCAAAGCCCTCATATCCTAAACACTTTCCAAAATGCTCCGCCTCCCAACACTGTTACATTTTAGATTAAGTTTTCAACATATGAATTTGGGGTAACACATTTAAACCACAGTATTACTTAAAGTAATCTATAGACTTAATGTAATCTCTACCAAAATCTCAAAAGCATTATTTACAGAAATAGAAATACCCATTCTAAAATTAATATGGAATTTTAAAGAGATGCTGGATAGGCAAGATAATCCTGAAAAAAAAATGGAATAAAGCTGGAAGACTCTAGTCTGGGAAAACTGGATATCTATAAGCAAAATTTGAGATTAAACCCTTTCCCAACAACATATACAAAAATTAACTCAAAGTGCATCTATGACCTAAATGTAAGACCTAAATGTATAAACCCCCTAAAAGAAAATAAGACAAAAGTTTTGTAATATTATATTTGGCAATGCTTTCTTGGATATGACACCAATGGCCCAAGCACTAAAGCTAAAAATAGACAAACTTCATGAAAAAAATTTTACAGTGCATCAGAAGACACTATCAGCACCGTAAAAAGGCAGCCCACAGAATGGGATAAAATATTTGCAAATCATATATCAGATAAGTGACTAGTATCCAAAATATAGAAATAACTTTTAAAATTAAACAATGAGAAGATAAACAACCTGACTTAAAAATGAGCAAAAGACTTTGATAGACATTTATCCAAGGAAGATTCACAAATGGTCAATTAGCATGAAAAGATGCTCAACATTACTAACAGGGAAATGGAAATCACAACTATGAGGAAACCATGACTGTCAGGCCTCTGAGCCCAAACTAAGCCATCATATCCCCTGTGACCTGCACGTACACATCCAGATGGCAGGTTCCTGCCTTAACTAATGACATTCCACCACAAAAGAAATGAAAATGGCCTGTTCCTGCCTTAACTGATGACATTATCTTGTGAAATTCCTTCTCCTGGCTCATCCTGGCTCAAAAACTTCCCTACTGAGCACCTTGTGACCCCCCACTCCTGCCCGCCAGAGAACCCCCTTTTGACTGTAATTTTCCTTTACCTACCCAAATCTTATAAAATGGCCCCACCCCTATCTCCCTTCGCTGACTCTCTTTTCAGACAAAGCCCACCTGCACCCAGGTGAAATAAACAGCCTTGTTGCTCACACAAAGTCTGTTTGGTGGTCTCTTCACACGGACATGCATGAAATTTGGTGCTGTGACTCGGATCGGGGGACCTCCCTTGGGAGATCAAACCCCTGTCCTCCTGCTCTTTGCTCTGTGAAAAAGATCCACCTAGGACCTCGGGTCCTCAGACCCACCAGCCCAAGGAACATCTCACCAATTTGAAGTTGGATAAGCAGACTCTTCTTATTCTCTTCTCCCACCTCTCTCACTATCCCTCAACCACTTTCTCCTTTCAATCTTGGCGTCACCCTTCAATCTCTCCCTTCTCTTAATTTCAGTTCCTTTCCTTTTCTGGTAGAGAACGGAGACGCGTTTTATCTGTGGACCCAAAACTCCGGCGCCGGTCACGGACTTAGGAAGGCAGCCTTCCCTTGGTGTTTAATCATTGCAGGGACGCCTCTCTGATTATTCACCCATGTTTCAGAGGTGTCTGACCATGCAGGGATGCCTGCCTTGGTCCTTCACCCTTAGCAGCAAGTCCCGCTTTTCTAGGGGAGGGGCAAGAACTCCAACCCCTTCTCTCCATGTCTCTACCCCTTCTCTGCTTTTCTGGGAGGCAAGAAACCCCTGATACCTTATTTCTGTGCCCCGACCTCTTATCTCTGTGCCTCGATCCCTTATTTCCACACCCCCACCTCTTATCTCTGTGCCCCATCCCTTATTTCCACTCCCCGACCTCCTATCTCTGCTCCCCAATCCCTTATTTCCATGCCCCGACCCCTTTCCCACTTTTCTGGAGGGTAAGAACCCCCGAACCCCTTCCCTCTGTGTCTCTACTCTCTCTTTTTTCTGGGCTTGCGTCCTTCACTATGGGCAACATTCCACCCTCCATTCCTCCTTCTTCTCCCTTAGCCTGTGTTCTCAAAAACTTAAAATCTCTTCAACTCACATCTGACCTAAAACCTAAATGCCTTATCTTCTTCTGCAACACCGCTTGGCCCCAATACAAACTTGACAATGGCTCTAAATGGCCATAAAATTGCACTTTCAATGTTTCCATCCTACAAGATCTAAATAATTCTTGCCGTAAAATGGGCGAATGGTCTGAGGTGCCTGACGTCCAGGTATTCTTTCACACATCGGTCCCTCTCTAGTCTCTGTTCCCAATGCAACTCATCCCAAATCTTCCATTTTTCCCTCCCACCTGTCCCCTCAGTCCCAATCCCAAGCGTCGCTGAGTCTTTCTAATCTTCCTTTGTACAGACACATCTGACCTCTTCCCTCCTCGCCAGGCCAAGCTAGGTCCCAATTCTTCCTCAGCCTCTGCTCCTCCACCCTATAATCCTTTTATCACCTCCCCTCCTCACACCCAGTCTGGCTTACAGTTTCCTTCCATGACTAGCCCTCCCCCACCTGCCCAGCAATTTCCTCTTAAAAAGGTGGCTGGAGCTAAAGGCATAGTCAAGGTTAATGTTCCTTTTTCTTTATACCAAATCAGAGCACATTTAGGCTCTTTTTCATCAAATATAAAAACCCAGCCCAGTTCATGGCTCATTTGGCAGCAACCATGAGATGCTTTACAGCCCTAGACCCTAAAATGTCAAAAGGCTGTCTTATTCTCAATATACATTTTATTACCCAATCTGCTCCCGACATTAAATAAAACTCCAAAAATTAAATTCCAGCCCTCAAACCCCACAACAGGACTTAATTAACCTCATCTTCAAGGTTTACAATAATAGAGTAGAGGCTGCCAAGTAGCAACATATTTCTGAATTGCAATTCCTTACCTCCACTGTGAGACAAACCCCAGCCACATCTCCAGCACACAAGAACTTCCAAACGCCTAAACCGCAGTGGCCAGGTGTTCCTCCAGGCCCGCCTCCCCCAGGAGCTTGCCACAAATGCCAGAAATGTGGCCACCAGGCCAAGGAATGCCCGCAGCCTGGGATTCCTCCTAAGCTGCATCCCATCTGTGTGGGACCCCACTGAAAATTGGACTGTTCAACTCACCTGGCAGCCACTCTCAGAGCCCCTGGAACTGTGGCCCAAGGCTCTCTGACTCCTTCCCAGATCTTCTCGGCTTAGTGGCTGAAGACTGATCCTGCCCAATCGCCTCGGAAGCCCCCTAGAACATCACCGACGCTGAGCTTCAGGTAACTCTCACAGTGGAGGGTAAGTCCGTCCCCTTCTTAGTCAATACGGAGGCTACCCACTCCACGTTACCTTCTTTTCAAGGCCTGTTTCCCTTGCCTCCATAACTTGTGGGTATTGACGGCCAGGCTACTAAACCTCTTAAAACTCCCCAACTCTGGTGCCAACTTAGACAATACTCTTTTAAGCACTCCTTTTTAGTTATCCCCACCTGCCCAGTTCCCTTATTAGGCTGAGACACTTGAACTAAATTATCTGCTTCCCTGACTATTCCTGGGCTACAGCCACACCTCACTGCCACCTTTTCCCCCAGTTCAAAGCCTCCTTCACATCCTCCCCTTGTATCTCCCCACCTTAACCCATAAGTATAAGACACCTCTATTCCCTCCTTAGTGACCGATCATGAACCCCTTACCATCCCATTAAAACCTAATCACTCTTACCTGGCTCAATGCCAATATCCCATCCCACAGCATGCTTTAAAATGATTAAAGTCTGTTATCACTCGCCTGTTACAGCATGGCCTTTTAAAGCCTATAAACTCTCCTTACAATTCCCCCATTTTACCTGTCCTAGAACCAGAGAAGCCTTACAGGTTAGTTCAGGATCTGAGCCTTATCAACCAAATTGTTTTGCCTATCCACCCTGTGGTGCCCAACCCATATACTTTCCTATCCTCAATACCTCCCTCCACAACCCATTATTTTGTTCTGGATCTCAAACATGCTTTCTTTACTATCCCTTTGCACCCTTCATCCCAGCCTCTCTTCGCTTTCACTTAGACTGACCCTCACACCCATCAGGCTCAGCAAATTACCTGGGCTGTACTGCCAGAAGCCTTCACAAATAGCCCCAATTACTTCAGTCAAGCCCAAATTTCATCCTCATCTGTTACCTATCTCGGCATAATTCTCATAAAAACACACGTGCTCTCCCTGCTGATCGTGTCCAACTAATCTCCCAAACCTCAATCCCTTCTACAGAACAACAACTCCTTTCCTTCCCAGACATGGTTAGATACTTTCAACTTTAGATATCTGATTTTGCCATCGTAACAAAACCATTATATAAACTCACAAAAGGAAACCTAGCTGACCCCATAGATCCTGAATCCTTTACCCACTCCTCTTTCCGTTCCTTGAAGACAGCTTTAGAGACTGCCCTCACCCTAGCTCTGACTCATCCCAATCCTTTTCATTACACACAGCTGAAGTGCAGGGCTGTGCAGTCAGAATTCTTACACAAGGACCAGGATTGCATCCTGTAGCCTTTTGGTCCAAACAACTTGACCATACTGTTTTAGGCTGGTCATCATGTCTCCGTGCAGTGGCTGCTGCCGCCCTAATACTTTTAGAGGCCCTCAAAATCACAAACTATGCTCAACTCACTCTCTACAGTTCTCATAACTTCCAAAATCTATTTTCTTCCTCACACCTGACACATATACTCCCTGGCTCCTTCAGCTGTACTCACTCTTTGTTGAGTCTCCCACAATTACCATTCTTCCTGGCGCAGACTTCAATCCAGCCTCCCACATTATTCCTGATACCACACTTGACTCCCATGACTGTATCTCTCTGATCCACCTGACATTCACCCCATTTCCCCATATTTCCTTATTTCCTGTTCCTCACCCTGATCACGCTTGATTTATTGATGGCGGTTCCACCAGGCCTAATCGCCACACGCCAGCAGAGGCAGGCTATGCTATAGTAAAAGCCACCAGCCCGCCTCTTAGAATCTCTCATTTCCTTTCCATCTTGGAAATCTGTCCTCAAGGAAATAATTTCTCAGTGTTCCATCTGCTATTCTACTACTCCTCAGGGATTATTCGGGCCCCCTCCCTTCCCCACACATCAAGCTCGGGGATTTGCCCCCGCCCAGGACTGGCAAATTGGCTTTACTCAACATGCCCCAAGTCAGAAAACTAACATACCTCTTAGTCTGGGTAGACACTTTCACTGGATAGGTAGAGGTCTTTCCCACAGGGTCTGAGAAGGTCACCGCGGTCATTTCTTCCCTTCTGTCAGACATAATTCTTCGGTTTGGCCTTCCCACCTCTATATAGTCCGATAGCAGACCGGCCTTTATTAGTCAAATCAGCCACGCAGTTTTTCGCTCTTAGTATCCAGTGAAACCTTTATATCCCTTACGGTCCTCAGTCTTCAGGAAAAGTAGAACGGACTAAAGGTCTTTTAAAAACACACCTCACCAAGCTCAGCCACCAACTTAAAAGGACTGGACGTACTTTTACCACTTTCCCTTCTTAGAATTCAGGCCTGTCCTTGGAATGCTACAGGGTACAGCCCATTTGAGCTCCTGTATGGATGCTCCTTTTTATTAGGCCCCAGTCTCATTCCAGACACCAGACTAACTTAGACTGTGCCCCAAAAAACTTGTCATCCCTACTATCTTCTCTCTAGTCATACTCCTATTCACCATTCTCAACTACTCACACGTGCCCTGCTTTTGTTTCCACTGCCGTTTACTCTGTTTCTCCAAGCCATCACAGCTGATATCTCCTGGTGCTATCCCCAAACCGCCACTCTTAGCTCTTAAAGTAAATAAATAATCTTTGCGGGCAAGGCTGTGCTGAACCTCCTTAGGCACTCTCTAATTAGATGTCCTAGGTCCTCCCAATTCTTAGTCCTTTAATACCTGTTTTTCTCCTTCTCTTACTCTGTTTAGTTTTTCAATTCATACAAAACCGTACCCAGGCCATCACTAATAATTCTACACAACGAATGTTTCTTCTAACAACCCCACAGTATCACCCCTTACCACAAAATCTTCCTTCAGCTTAATCTCTCCCACTCTAGGTTCCCACGACGCCCCTAATCCCACTCGAAGCAGCCCTGAGAAGCATCGCCCATTATCTCTCCATACCATCCCCCAAAATTTTCGCTGTCCCGACACTTTACCACTATTTCGTTTTATTTTTCTTATTAATATAAGAAGACAGGAATGTCAGCCCTCTGAGCTCAAGCTAAGCCATCATATCCACTGTGACCTGCACGTACACATCCAGATGGCAGGTTCCTGCCTTAACTGATGACATTCCACCACAAAAGAAATGAAAATGGCCTCTTCCTGCCTTAACTGATGACATTATCTTGTGAAATTCCTTCTCCTGGCTCATCCTGGCTCAAAAGCTCCCCTACTGAGCACCTTGTGACCCCCCAACTCCTGCCCGCCAGAGAAAAACCCCCTTTGACTGTAAGTTTCCTTTACCTACCCAAATCTTATAAAACGGCCCCACCCCTATCTCCCTTCACTGACTCTCCTTTCAGACTCAGCCCACCTGCAGCCAGGTGAAATAAACAGCCTTGTTGCTCACACAATGCCTGTTTGGTGGTCTCTTCACATGGACGCGCATGAAAATGACACCCATTAGGATGGCTATAATCTAGCAAAAAAAAGAAATACAGAAAATAGAATGTTTTTGTTAAAAATAACATGTTGGTGGAGAAATCGAACCTTGTGCACTGTTGGTAGGAATGTAAAAGGGTATAGCCACTGGCCACTGTGGAACACACTACTGTGGTTCCTCAAAATTAAAAATAAAATTAATATATGATCCAGCAATTCTACTTCTGGGAATATAATCAAAAGATGGACAGCAGTATCTCATAGAGACATTTGTACACCCGTCTTCATAGGAGTACTATTCACAGTAGCTGAAATGTGGAAGTAACCCACATGTCCATCAATGGATGAATGGACAAACAAAATGCAGTATATGCATGCAATGGAATAATATTCAGCCTTATCAAGAAATGGAATTCTGACATATTCTACAACATGAGAGAATCTTTAAGATGTTTTGTTAAATAAAATAAACTACCCACAAGAATGACAATTATTGTATAAATTTACTTACATGAGGTACTTAGAGTATTCAAAATCATGGAGACAAAAAGTAGAATGATGGTTGCCAGGAACTAGGTACAGAGGAGAATGGGGAATTATTGTTCCATGCGTGTAGTTTCGGTTTTATATAATTAAAAGGGTTCTGAAGATTGATGATGGTGTTGCATGAACAATATAAATGTACTTACTATCACTGAACTGTACACTTACAAATTATTAAGATAGTATATCTTATATGTATTCCAGTAAAAAACATTAGAAAAGAACAACAGAGCAGTGTATGTTCACATGAAAAACGGATGGCTCTTAAAAATGGAGGGTTTGTCAGAGAAAGACAAATACAAAATGAGATAGATAATGCAATTCACACAAAGCAAAAAAAACTTGTAAAAATACATACAAATCAAAAGAAAACTATAAATAGAAAGATTACTTGTGAGAGGGATCAGGAAATAGAGTCGGGAAAGAAAAAGATAAAAGAAAATAAAAATAATTAATAAAAAACTAAAGTAATCTTATATGAAACAATAATAATATGTGCCATAAACTGAGACATATAATTAACTCAAACATACATGCCTGTATACTGAATAGTTAAAAACTATTTTTATCTATTGGTTAAAATTTGGGTGATTTCCTTGTCTCTTTCTCCTGTAGAAAGATGGACTGTGGATGTTCCATGCTTAGAAGAACACTTTTTAGCCTACCTTGAGAGTCTTAGAAAGGGTTTATAGTCTGGATCTGGCTTCCCCTTTTCTCAATCTTTAGAGAGGAATATTCTTATTTTTTTCCCTTGGAGCCATTTTCTATCTGACACCTCATGTCATCATCACAGATGTGGGATCCAGCATACCAAGATGAGGGCGTGAGCATCGGAGAAAGCAGCTGAAGAGGCTGTGAGTCCTAATTTTAGTAAGAGGTTTGAGGTAGGCTAGTTAAGGAAGCACACCACTCATGTGTGATACAGCCTGAATGTCAGAGAATGAAGCCACTAGGGAATTTGATGCCAATTGCCCCGGATGACTAGCAGTGGGTGGAGGAACAGGTATACATTTGCTTGGATGGAATTCTACACATACACATTTGAGACCTTGCTTCTGGGTAGGTGGTTGGTGGAAGATTCAGAGAATAGATTCATAGTCCATGTTTCAATCTGTGATGACTAAAATGATTATATTATACAACAGAATGACAGTTGCAAGAAACAGAAACAAATCAATCTGTCTTAAAAAACAACAAAAAAACCCATTTATTACTTCTTTTTTAATTTTTTATATTTATTTATTTATTATTATTATTATTTTTTTTTTTGAGACAGTCTCACTCTGTCGCCCAGGCTGGAGTGCAGTGGCACCATCTCGGCTCACTGCAAGCTCCGCCTCCCGGGTTCATGCCATTCTCCTGCTTCAGCCTTCCGAGTACCTGGGACTACAGGTGCTCGCCACCACACCCGGCTAATTTTTTGTTTTGTTTTGGTTTTTTTAGTAGAGACGGGGTTTCACCGTGTCAGCCAGAATGGTCTAGATCTCCTGACCTCGTGATCCGCCCACCTCAGCCTCCCAGAGTGCTGGGATTACAGGCGTGAGCCACTGCTCCTGGCCAACCATTTATTACTTCTATTTACAAAACTGGTGAATTGAAAGCCAAGTCTGGCCAAACCTAGAGGTTCGGGTTACATTGCTAGTCTATTTCATTTCACATTCCTTCACTTTGCTTTCTTCTCAAATACCTTGCACATAATGGGAAAGATGGCTGCTGAAGGTCCCAAGTCCACATTATACTGCCAGTTCACTGAAAAATAGTCTTTTTTGGCAACTATAAATAAGAACAATCTATTTAAAGTTCCTAATTTCGGAGAATAAGGTACATTGATTTGATTAACCTGGGTGAAGTATGCATCTTTGTATGAGGGAATGCAGAAAAGAGCCAGGTATGTCACATTCAACCCATAGAGCATGGCTTTCTCCAACAGAAACAGGACTGTTTACCAGAAAAGGAAGAAAAAGTTTATCAGTAGTTAAATATAACGAATATTTCCAAAAACTGAATTGTTAATGTTATTTCTTTTTCTTTCTGAAAGTCTTCTTTAAGCCAGAAATCAGAGTGATCAAACATAATGCAGTCATGGCAAATTTCATTTTGACCATGACTTAATGGGGCAGTGATGGATAGAAAGATTCTCCCAATAACTGGAGAATAGTATTGGAGGAAATAATGTTGAAATTTTTCATACAAATATTGATTGAATAAAACAACAGAGTTTTGCTAATGACTAGAATTGGATCATTTTGCCTTTTATTGAATATCTTTTTATTTAATTTCAGGAAAATTTAGAATTAATATCTATAACTACAGTTATATTTAATTATTCACTTTCAACTGATTTTTTAAGAAAAGTGTTAATATTGTATGATCATAGCAACCATTTGAGTGACTACAATATGTCTAATACACTAAATTATTGAGATGCAAAACCAGCCATTACATTGGTAATATTATTATTTTTCATGAAGGAAACAACTCATGCTCAGAGGCGTAATGAATCAGTTTCTCAAAATAACACAGCAGTAGGTACACAGATGTGATACCAAGTCCTGGCTTTTGCCAATGTAACCATTCTGGGTGTAGACAGTCAGATCTTTGTGTGCTAAATTGTATCTGCTCATTCATTTAACAATGTCTCCAGTGAACAGGTAAACTTGGAAAGGAATTAAATATAATTTATGCTGGTTATCCTATTTACCCCTTCTCCGCAAAAAGTCTCTGCTCCATTCTCCTCTGTTCTCTGAGTTGCAGAAGCCATCAGACTTGATCAACCTTCCACTTTCATTCAACCAATGAAAATCAATCAACAAGAGATTGGTGATCTACACTAATATTTCTTTGTCCATGTATTTTTTGCTGTTTTTGCAACAGTTGTGTCCCTCTAAAATAAAAACTTCTGCCAGGATGCCCTTCTTTCATGGTTTTAGCTTTCCGAGGGACTCTAGTAACATACTATCTTCTTCTTACCTCCTCAGGATGTAAGGGGTTTGCAAATTGCCAATCTCTTGGTACTTCAACACATTTTATGGTTCTCTGAAGCCTGCCTATAAGTAGTGCCTACCTTAAGTTCTCTTCTGAATTCCTTCTGAGTGTATCTTTCATCTCCTATTAGAATTTTGACTTATATATAAGTCTGCTAATATTGAGTGAGTAAGTTTAATAATAAATGCTGTGAGGATTTACACGGGTTAAAAAAAAAAAAAGAAAAAAAGAAAACCCAAACCTTTACTATTCAGCCATAAAAAGTGATATTTAAGTCCTGTTACATGCTACAACATTAGTGGACTTTGGAAAGATTATACTAATTTAATGAATCCAGAAACAAAGGCCACATATTGTACAATTTTATTGGCATGAAAATTGAAGAGTAGGAACATCAATAGAGACAAAAACTAAATTAGTGGTTTCCAGGGAAGAGGGGAAGGGTATTGGAACTAACTATTAGTAGGTATGGAGTGATAAAAATGTCCTGGAATTAGACAGATGTGGTAGTTGCACAAAAGAGTGAATATCTGAAAAATCCTGAACTGTAGACTTTTCAATAGTGAATTTTATGTTATATGATGAATATCCTAATTAAAAATACTGTAAATGGTGAAGAAAGTTGAGAATAAAAAGGCAAGCCACAGATAGGAAGAAAACATTTGCAAAACATAGATTTGACAAAGAACTTATATCCAAAATACACCAAAAAATCCTAAAAAAAAAAGTGAGAAAACAAATAATCCAATTTTAAAAAGAGCAAAATAATCTGAATATATTCCTCATAAAAGAAGATATAGAGAGGGCAAATAAGCATTTGAAAAGATATTCAATATCATATGGCATTAGGGAACTGAAAATAAAACAATAATGAGATGCCACTAGGCACTTATTAGAAAGGTTAAAATTCAAAACAGTGGCAATACCAAATGCTGGTGAGGTTGTAGAGCAACAGGAACTATCATTCATTGCTTATAAAAATGAAAAGTGTCACATGAAAAATGGAAGATAATTTGGCAGTTTGTTATAAAGCTAAAAGTACTCTTACCACGTACTAAAGACTGAATGTTTACATCTCCACCAAATTTATATGTTGAAACCTAATTCCCAATGTGATGGCATTTGACAGTAAGGCCTTTGGGAGGTGATTTGGTCATCAAGGTGGAGCCCTTATAAAGGGGATTAGTGCCCTTATACAAGGAATCCAGAAATCTCCAGTGCCATTTCTGCCATGTGAGAACTCAGGGAGAAGGCAGCCACCTATGAACTAGGAAGCAGGTCTTCACCAGGCACCAAATCTGCTGGTTCCTTGATCTCAGACTTCTCAGCCTCCATAACTGTGAGAAATAATGTTGTTTGAACCAACCACTTTATACTATTTTTGTTATAGCAGCCCAAATGGACGAAGACACCATAAACACAATAACTACACTCCTTAGTATATACCTAATGAGTTGAAAACTTATATCAATACAAAAACTGCACAAGAATGTTTATAATAGCTTTAACCAAGATGTTTTTCAATAGGTTAATGAATAAACAAACTGTGGTATATCTATACAATGCAATATTATTCAGCAACAAAAAGGAATAAACTATAAAGTCATGAAAAGATATGAAAGAACCTTAAATGCATATTTCTAACTGAAAGAAGCCAATCTGAAAAGGCTACATACTGCATAATTTTAACTATATAACATTCAGGAAAAGGAAAAACTGTGATTTGTCAAAACCCATAAAATGTACAACACAAAGAGTGAATCTATTGTGAACTATGGGCTTTAGTTGATAATAATGTATTGCTATTGGTTCATTAATTGTAACATTTGAAGAACATACTAATAGAACATGCAAATAACAGAAAACATTTGGGGTGGCAATGAGGGGGCATTAGAGAATTCTTTGAACTTTTTTTTTTTTTTTTGAGATGGAGTCTCACTCTGTTGCCCAGGCTGGAGTGCAGAGGCACTATCTCAGCTCACTGCACCCTCCACCTCCCGGGTTCAAGGAATTCTCCTGCCTCAACCTCCCGAGTAGCTGGGACTACAGGCGCCTGCCACCATGCTCTGCTAACTTTTGTGTTTTTAGACGAGATGGGGTTTCACCATATTGGCCAGGATGGTCTCGAACTCCTGACCTCAGGTGATCAGCCCATCTCAGCTTCCCAAAGTGCTGGGATTACAGTCGTGAGCGACCGCACCTGGCCAAGCCAAAATTTCATCTGGCCCCTCAACACAAGAACAAATTTCCAATGTTGGTTAAAAAGATTGTTTTACTGGACTCACTGAAAAATGGCACATAGAAAATCATTAGGCTGCTTCCTAAGTAATTTTCAAGGGTAGCATTGATAATGCAAGGTTTTCTTCTTTACACACTGACTTTAATGTAGCTATACTTTATAAGAAGTTTCTTTTTCTTCCTCCTTCTAAACACACACATACACACACGCATACATAAATGCATTTTTTCTTAGAATTACCTGCAAGTTTCTATTGTCCTATTTTTATAACAATGAATGAAATTGAGTCCTACATTTTCCCAAAAGAATTAAACCAAAATTAGAATGTGGGATTTGAAATCAGGTTCATCTTTTACTAGATACTATAAATGGAAAGGTAACTATTTTGTTAGCCATTAATGTACATATGTGTGTCTGTACGTGTTTTAAAGTATAGGTTTTATTACTATTTAGGTATGGAAAAGCCAATAGGTCAGGAAATAACTATTTCTGAAAATACAATTAGACTTACAGATCCCAAAAGAAGGGACAATCCAGGTAATGGGAGGGCCATACAGAGAAACACCAGAGTTGGTCAGAAAGCAGAGGGGGTGAGGTGAATTTGCAACCAGTCTTTATTGTGATTTCTCCAAGAAGAAAAGGGCAAGACAGGATAAGCAGGTTATAGACTGGCTAATTTGAAGATTTTTGACAGGCTCTAGGGCATAGAGGTTGTCCCTAATTGACAATGACCTGACCTGAGGGTGATTAATACAGGGGAATAGTGGCCTGGGGTGTAAAAACTTGATAAAAGAGGTGGTTACGTACATGGTTTATTGGATTGGCTGGTCTGATATGAAGGGTGCACACACAGACAAGTTGTTCACTCTCTTTAGGAATTAGCTAGCCCTCAGGATGGTGTGTGTGTGTGTGTGTGTGTGTATGTGTGCATGTATACATTTGCATATATATATAGTTATGTGTGTTTTTAGATTGAAAAAGAGAGAGTAATTTTTCCAATGGTGAAGCAGCTGTCTAAATATAGGAGCTGACCTAGCAGTTCCATGTCTAACATCAGGGCAATATGCTGTCTACCCTGCAAGCCATTCTGCTTGTGGTTTGGTGCTTGGCTTCACGGGGTGGTGAAGGTCTGGCGGAGTGTTAGTGTCTGGTGCCTGAAGCAGAGGATTACAGTTATTATGAGAGTAGAGTCCTCTTGCTTGTTCTGCATCAAAGGCTAAAAGGCTTGGAAAAGTGTCCTACGGAGTGGGAAGAGAAGGAAAAAGAACAAACTATGTTTCTTGGAATTATGACTTAGATTTGTTTTTAAATCATTCTGTGTTCTTGTTTGGCTCGTTTTATAAGTAAAGGAGCATTTTTGTTGCAGTGGTTGTTTTTGTTTTTAATGGCGTGCTTTCCACAGATACACTTTTCTATTTTAAAGGTCTGCTCTAGAGATCTGTCTGCAAATAGGCAAGATTCTAAAATTTAAAGCTAAATAAATTTTAGAACAAGTACTACTTTAGAGATAAGAACATTGAAGTTAAGAAGTACTTTAGAGATAAGAACATTGAAGTTAAGAGTTCCTAAAGATTCATGTTTGATTAGAAAACCATCTGATATTACAACCCATGTATATGGATTCTTTCCTTTGCATCTTGCTGTGATTATTTAAAAAGCGTTTCTTATTTTTTTTTTTTTTTTTTTGAGATGGAGTCTCGGTCTTTCGCCCAGGCCCGAGTATAATGGCGCTATCTCAGCTCACTGCAAGCTCCACCTCCCCGGTACATGCCTTTCTCCTGCCTCCGCCTCCCGAGTAGCTGGGATTACAGGCGCCCACCACCATGCCCGGCTAATTTTTTGGCCTTTTAGTAGAGACAGGGTTTCACCGTGTTAACCAGGATGGTCTCGATCTCCTGACCTTGTGATCCACCCACCTCGGCCTCCCAAAGTGCTGGGATTACAGGCGTGAGCCACCGCACCCAGCCTAAAAGTGTTTCAACATTACTTTGGGCTTCATGTTTTGTCCTTGGTCTACCACTCTTTCTTCAAAGTCTTTCATACCTCAAGATACATTGCCCTTGAAAGCCAAACCAACTTAAAGTCGTTGCATAAATGTATGGAACGTTCCATAAATGTATGGATCACACAGTTCATCCTTCACCCTCCTGACCATCACGAACCCATCCATTTGTCAATGGTCATCTCAAGCATGGATCCTTAGAGGATCATTCCCTGACCCACCCTAGTCTAGATTAGTGCTCTCATTTTGATCCACATAATGGCCATATGTTATTGATTATAGAATGTTGAACTGGTGGATTTCTTCTTTCTCTGCTTGACTAGACTACACGTTCCTTGAGGGGTAAGTCACTGGCTCTAAAGCCTTTATTTTAAGGGCTTTCATACTATTTCATAAACAGAAATAGTGTGTTTATGTCTGTGTGGATGCAGGTGTACTTGTGTTAATGTCTCCTGCATTCAGGAATAGATAAACTATTTCCAAGCCACATTTAAAAAGTTTGATTGGTGTGAAGTAGGGTCTAACTTCATTCTTTTGCAAGCAGCTATCCAGATGTCCCACCAGCAACTGGATAATCAGTTGAAAATAGTGTTCTTTCCCCGTTGAATGGTCTTGCATCAATTGTTGAAAATCAATTAACCATGGACACATGGCTTTGTTCTGGACTCTCAATTCAATCCCATTGATCTTTACTTGTACAGTAACACATTGTATTGACTGCCATTGTTTTGTAGTAAGTTTTGAAATCAAGAAGTGTGATACTCTGTAGTTTTTTTCAAGATTGTTTTTGTCTATTCTGGGCCTTTTGCAATTCCATATGAATTTTAGAATCAACTCATCAATTTATCTGAAGAAATCAGCTGAGACTCTAATAAGGCCTGCACTGAATCTGTAGACCACATTGGGGGTATTGTCATCTCAACAATATTCAGTTTTTAAAGTCATGAACATTGGATGCCTTTTCAATTATTTAAGTTGTCTATAATTTCTTTCAACAGTGGTTTTTTTGTATTCAGAGTATATATTTTGCACTTATCTTGCTGCATTAATTTTTACATACTGGATTCTTTTTGATGCTATTGTAAATTGAATTTTTTGCTAATTTTATTTTTGTATCATTTATTCTAAGTATATAAAAATACAATAGATTTTTGCCCATTGATTTTGTAGCTTGCAACCTTGATGAACTCATTTATTAGTTCCAATAGCTTTTTTAGTGGATTTGTTGGGATTTTCCAAATACAGGATCGTGCCATCTGCAAATAGAAATAGTACTATTTCTTCCTTTCTAGTCTGGATGTTCCTTATTTAATTTACTTGCTTAATTGCTCTCATTAGAACCTCCATCCCAATATTGACTAAAAGTGGCAAGAGAAAATAACCTGTTCTTCTTCCTGACCTTAGAGGGAAAGAACCCATTCTTTCACCATTATATACGTGATTAGTTGTGAGCTTTTTGTAAATCAGGTTGAAGAAGCACGCTTCCATCCCTACTTCCTGGTTTAATCATAAAGCATTGTTGAATTTTGTTTTTTTATTTAGTTTTGCAAGTCTCATATACTGTCATTTGCATACAGTAGTTATTCATTAAGTAATAACTGCAAATTCATGTATTCATGAATGGATAAATACAATCAGAGTTAAGTGAAAAAGTGATTTCATTAGTGAATTAAAGGTAAAGAGAAATAATAATTATTTAAGTGATTATACTTTCTTAAATCTTAGTTCATTTCTTATACATAGTATAGAGAAAATGATTAAAATTATAAAATTTTGTGTTTTGCCAAGTTATTGCAGAATGTTGTAATAAACACAAAGCATCAATATTTGAGAAAGTATTTTTTAATAGGAGATGCTTAACTTGAGACCATCGTGGAAGCAACAATTTTTATCTGATAAGCACTTATTTTATTTGCAAATCAAAGTTATAAAGAGATGGTAAATCATTAGATTTCTGTTAAACCAGTAAAAAAAAAAAAAAAAAAAAAAAGGATTGGGCTCTGGAAGTAATAAGGTTATTCATTTAGAAAAGAACCTCCGTATTGTAGTTGTTTGTGAAGAAACTTAGTACTCTTGAAGAAAGCAGCCTCTGGTGAAAGCACTCCTTATTTTTAAACAAATTGCCTTTCATCCTTTATTTATTTAGAAGGCTTCTAAGATTGTCCAAGTAGAAAGGCACGTAGCTTCTCTTAAGTAGCTAATATGAGATGAACCCAATTACAGTCCAGCCTGACTGCAACTCTTCAGTTTAGAAATGCACATTGCTCACAGTAGCACAGAGAATGGCCAAGGGAAGATTCATGTGCTTGCCTTGGTTGAAACAAGCCCATTGTTGTAAGGGACCAACTGGCTTCCATTTAGTCTTGGTGTTGTAGGAAATATATACCAAATTTGCTTTCCCTCCTCCTTCCTTTTTCTTTCTTTCTTTCTTTTTTTTTTTTTTTGCCTTCTTTCCTCCCTCTTTCTCTCCTTTCCTTCCTGCCTCCCTTCTTTTCTTCTTTCTTTGCTTTTATATTTCATACATCTCTCTCTTCTTCTTGTACTTTATCTTTTCTATGAACATTTAGTGTCCCTAGTTAATGCATAGCCTTGTGCTAGACACCATGAGAAATAAAATAAAAAACTTAGCTATTAATCGTGTTTCTCTTTATGGAATTAAGAAATATATGCAAAAAAGAAAAATGTCATCGAACAAACATTACCAACTCTATCATAGAGGTAGTAACTGATACAGGAGTTGAGATTAAATGGTGCAGATGGTGGGGAGAAGAGTCAGAGCTGGGAAGATTTTCTAGTCACCTAAGGACAGGGACAACTAGACTTATGATCTAGTTGTCAAGGCTTGGATCTCAGTAGGTACAGCCTCCTTTCCCTGTCTGCTTCTGGAAAGAATTGCACCTAAGTAAGATACCCTGCTTAGTAAACAGATAACTGGCAAATAGAAATTCCCGTTACGAACAGGCTGCCATATAATTTATTTTCTAAACTGAGACACTTTTAAAGTGAAACAGGATTCTCAATAATTACACCAGGAAAACTGGCACAAACTGGGATTGTCCTGGGCAAACCAAGATGAATGGATAACCTAAGTGACTCTGATGGCTGATTTTTAATCTTTCTTTGGGAGATGGAGGAGGGGGTTGAGAACTGAAAATTTAATCCAATTTAATGACAAGTATAATATACTACTAGAATATAGAATATATAGGATTTTGTTTTGTTGTGTTTTTGTTATATGTTTAAATTTCAGATTCTGTGATAAATGATACCTTCTGAGGAGTCATTCTCTCTCTCTGAGGGAACTCTGAATGCATTTTAAGCAAGACAAAACAGAAAATGCAAATGGGAGTAAGTTCCATGGGTCCAGGAAAGAAAGAGAACTCAACATCACTGGAGAGAAGTGAGTAAGAGAGCAAGTAATGGTCAGGGGCAGCTCCTGTAAGCCCGCTTCTCCTCCTCTCTTTAGAAGGCAGTAAAGCAGGGGGAAGGGATCCATTTCTAGTGTCCTTACATGAGTCCAGAGCCCAGAGTTGCCGCTCACAGGCTCAGTACCCTTGGACCAGTTGTTCAACTTCTGTCTACCTCAGTCTCCTTAACTTTATGATGGAGAAGATAATAGAACCTACCTCCAGGAACTGTGTGGCTTAAGTGTGCTAATACATGTAGGTTTAGAATGTCATCTGGGCACAAAGTAAGTGTCTGAGTGTTCAAAAAAATGTTAGTGGTTTATATTGTCATTCCTCTGAGTAGAAGCTACTGCTTTATCTAAGAAAGACACAGGACAGACCTAGGGGTTGATTTTTTGAGACACTGGTGCCTCGCTCTAGGTGTTTCTCCCACTACTGGTTCACCTTAGCCACATATGATTGATTTGTAAAGATCTTTTACATTCTGAATCAGCATTCATAGGTCTACTAGCCTGCTCTGAAATTGTCTGAAGACAGACTTCCAGCTTCAAATTGTAATGACTAAGTACTGATTTAGATGTCTGAACTCCAATCCGTATTCATGGACCTCAAGTTTGCTTTGGAGATATCTGGGATTTTTCCAGTGTTTTGTCCTCTAAATGTTGAGAAACTCAAACTTACTCTTTAAAATAATAATAATAATAATATAACCAACAGCAAGAATAACAGCAGTAATAATAATGAATAGCAACCAACAGCTATGGACTATTCCTTTTGTGCCAAACACCCACCTTGTTGAGTGCTTGCAAGATGTCAGCTTATTTAATTCTCAGAACAATCATGTAAGTTTTGAAGGTTAAGGTAGCATTGCTAAGGTGTGGGAGTGGAGGACTGGAATCCAAATCCAACTCAGCCTGTACTTATGCCTGTGCTATGCTGCCTCCACATGGGCAGAGGTAGTTCTAGGATCACAGCAGATATTTTGGGCAGTCATCAAAGTCTCTTAGTCTTTTAACCTACAGATCTCACAGGAATAGCCTGGCTGCTATCTCTGCCTCTGCCAAAAAGGAAATGGCTCCATCATACAGTGATCCAGATTTTCCTAGTGCTTATATCTCTCTTGGAAGGTCAGATGAAACAACCTAGGAAAGAGCATCCTCCTCAGGTCACTGAACTGCTGCAGATGACATTAATCTGAAGCTGCATCACTGATACTCTTGTGACCTGATATGAGCAACATGCTATTGAAAGGATCTAACCTATTTCCAGAGAACGACTTTCCTTCCAGAGAATCTGTGCCTTGCTCAGTGGTGGCAGGAACAGTGCTCTTCATTCTGGTGCCAGCCTGAGTTTAGGCCTTTTTAAGTGGCATTGAGCATTCACCTCGTTAGACATTTACTGTATCCAGCAAATTCATGGAAAGCCATTACAGGAAAAAAACTGACCCTGGGCTTCCACTGTGTAATTTTACTTGGTCTTCTATTTCAAGGTGACTAGCACATCTCAGTTATCATGTTTCAGGGAAGGGGGAACATTAAAACCAATCTAGGGAGATAGCCTTGTGTAGTAGTGACAAGCATAGAAGTATGATTTCTGAAATCACTGTAGGCAGGTCCACATGTCAACTTTGGAAGTTAATACCTAAATAACTGGCTACTCAAAACTCTGTGTTCCTCACTGTTGGTTTTGTTTTGTTTTGTTTTGTTTTGTTTGGGGCATCTAGTATGTAGAATTGTTGAAAGGATCAATGACATTATGGTTGTGAAAAGGATTAACTCATATGCCAAAACCCGTTTTTGGGTTGACCCAGTCCCCATCCATGATTCCTTTTCCCTTGTCCACCTCCTAGCTAAGGATGGTCATGTGATATACTTCTGTCCAAAGAAACAAAAGCAGACTTCTCTTTGGTGAGCTTCTAAAAACTTGTGTATTATCCTGATAAAAAGGACCCTCCCTTAGCCTTTTTAGTCTCTCTCACAAACACCTACCTTTTTTTGTTTACTGGAACATAGACATGAGGTCTGTCTTATTACAGCTATCTTGTAATGAGTAAATGCATTAATTACGTAAAAGTGATTACACAAATTCTTGGTGCTTGGTTAGCTCTACAAGTGTTAACATTATTAGCATATTATTATTACCATTATTATCATTGTTAACTTTATCATTGTTAGGAGCATGAGAACAAGGTCTAAATAATAATGACAGCAGAGTAAAACAATTATACATTTCTCTAGTCCATGGTTGCATTGAAGAGCCAATTTACCACCCTGTACTACCTAACTTTGGACTTCATGAAATATTCAACAAATAACCCTCATTTTTCTAAGTTGTATTGTGTTACTTGTAGTAAAGTAAAGTACGGTCCTAAGTATACGACACAGGATTTGTTCATTTCTATTTATTTTTTATTTTAGTCTCAAAGTGTGACTAATGCTGGAGCTCATGTGAAAACATCTCCACCAAATGGTCATCCAACCTCTGTTTGTACACTTCCAGGGACCGGAAACTCACTACATTTCCAGGTCATCTATTCTACTTTGGGGCATATCTGACACCTAAAAAGATATTTCTTATACTGAGGCACATCTGTTTTTCTGGACTTTTAAAAATATTTTTTTATCTCTGAGAGCCATATTGAACTTGTTGATTCTCTTGTCTGTAACACACTTCTAAGGGAGTCTATTTACTCTTGTGAAACTCATGCAATTGGTTTGAAGGTAAAACTGTGGGATATATTTGTGAGACAAAACTCTGACATTCCTCTTCTCTCTATGCATCTCTCTCAACATCTTTCTTCCCCCCACCCTATCATTTCTTTGCGACAGTACAGAGGTGCTTAAGGTCATTTTTTCTAAATTCTACTTCAAATACCAGGATCCTAGTCTTAAGATATTCTTTGTCCCTCCTCTTAAAAGAGACTTACCCTTGTTTCCATTTTAGCTTATCAAATATGCTTACTTATGTTGAGATATAAATAATCGCTAATAGTTTGTTCTTCAGTTAAAATATGGTTTCAAATATAAATTATCTTAACACTGAGGAATAATATTACTGGTAAAAAGAAACATGTTTAGGCCAAGTGCAGTGGCTCATGCCTGTAATCCCAGCATTTTGGGAGGCTGTGGTGGGAGGATCACTTGTGCCCAGGAGTTGGAGACCAGCCTGGGCAACAAAGCGAGAGCCTGTCTCTTCAAAAAATGAAAAAAAAAAAAAAAAAAAAAAAAGATAGCCAGATGTGGTGGAGAGTGCCCATAGTCACAGCTACAAGGAGGTTGAAGTGGGAGGATCACTTGAGCCCAGGAAGTTGAGGCTGCAGTGAGCTGTGTTTAAGCTGCTGCACTCTAGCCTGGGCAACAGAGCAAGACTCCATCACTAACAAAACAATAACAAAAAAAGTTTGTATCCTTGTGTCTGACCCAATCCAAGCTGGCTCACCTACATACCACAGAGTCTGACATAATTAAAAGAAACAATGTAAATCTCAAAAGTGGAATCTATGACTTAATTTTAGGAATTCATCCTTGGACACATACTAGTAATTATATTCATAGTGAACATTGGTCCACTCCTCCACCACAGTATTTAAATGCAGAATCATCCCATTTGGCTGACACCCTTCACGGGAAATTGATGCTCATAAATATGTGTTGAGTGAATGAGTTCTTGTGTACATATGATTTTGGTGGCACCCAGAAATTGACGGATACCAGGCCATGAAGTGCAAAAGGAGTTAGTGCATCTCCCTGAAGTGTGCTGAGCGGAAGAATGAGAATGGGAAAGTGCTCTGGAGAAATAGAGACAGTAAAAACCAACGTTACCACATCCACCCAAGCAGATTTGTCTGAACTCCATGAAGTCTACTTCTTTAGGACATGCGTGTTGCTTTTCGGGGCTGATGGCTTCAATCTCCTTTAAAGCTATTGTTTCTGGGCTTGTATAAAATATCCTCTTTGCCATCAAAATCTTGTCCAGGTGAATGGGGAAGGAGTGGTCAAATAGGAATAAAATGGGGGAAAACCTTCAACAATTCCTTAAGGAAAAGAGGCTAGTGTTTAAAAGCCTAAAACTCATTGGATCTCTTATGAAATATGATTACCCCATTTGACCCAAACTTCTACCCTCACAAATACCATAAAAGCAACTGGGTTATTCTTTGGGGTGGATGCTCATGAATATGACAGGGTGTGTTGTTAACTGCCAGAAACTGCTAGGCAAACTATTCATTGGGCCAGCCTTGGTAACATTTTGTTCTTCACAGAATTCATCAGAACTGGAATGGGGAAGCTTCTCTGCTAAAGTGGAAGCCTGGGAGCTGAGACATCATGCACATAGCTGTCAATAAGAAGATGCTTAAGAGACATCTGTTTCTACTCCCATTCCACCCCATACCCAAACATCAAGTCTCACAAAGACAGCATGTTGGTGCTGAAAGGAATCTGCTTCTAGTGCAATATTCCCTTTGTACCAAATCCCAGGGAAGTCACAGAGTTCATGGGGAAAATAAACACAGTGGGTAAGAGCTGTGGGTTTGTAACAGTCAACAAAGTGAGTCAGAGCTTGGGTTCTCAAGGCATTCGCGCTTTCCATTCCCTTCTCCACTACAAAGTTATCATGTAGCTTCAAGTAAATTCTCTAACACCCTTAACCCAAAGTTTCTCCTCTATTAAATGGAGATAACAATGGCATTTTCTTTAGAAATTGTTTAAAGAATTAACAATATCTTTAAAGCCCTTAAACAGTGGTGGTCCTATAATATGTGTTCAATAAATGTTAGGTATTGTTATTTATGCACTAAATATTTAACAAGGGGCAGGGAGGCTGTGTCAAGAACCACACTAAGGTCTGGAAACAAAATGTTGAACCGAACATACATTGCTCCTTGAAATCATTGAACTTACAGTATATCGAGGAGAAAGTGAGTAAGATAAATAGCAATACAGTGTATGAGTTCTATTAGAGATGACCACAACAGTGCCCTGCAGATCAGAGGAGTCCTGATGCCATTCAGGGGCTGTGAAGACTTTCTGGATACAGTGATGTGTAGATGGTTGCATGGTGGTGGTAGCTGGGGGCAAGGGCTCAGTGGAAGGTGAGTATTCTAGGCAGAGGGAATGAGACTCTCCAGGTAATGAGAGCAGCTTAGACTAAGATACACGAGAGCTATTGTAAGGAACAGAATAAAATTCAATAGTGGAGGCAGTGGTGTATATCATGCGGGGAAAAGGCAGAAGCCTGGAGGAATCAGGACAATGTATGTGCATTTGGGAGCACTGTGGGAGGTTGTTAAGGGGAGTTTGCTGACCAGGTTTCCAGCTTATAATGGAAGGTGAGAGGTCGGGGAAAACAAATGAAGAGACACTTTCCTCTCATTGATTCTCTGTTTCGATGTTCTCTAATCCTTTGGAAACATCTTTTCCTCTGTCATCTCTGGAGGACCCAGACTCTATGCTCTAAAGAGATAAAGATAACCAAAGAAGTCAGGAAAGGGAGGCCGGGGTGGGATTGTGTTTCTTTCCATCCTCAATACAGCAGTGTCAGGTGTTAGAGGACCATCTCTCAGCAGTTCTTTCCTGCATCAGTTGCCTGAGTCTTTCTTTCCTGGTTCCTCCCAAGGCAGTGGCTGAGTTTGCCAGAGCCAGCCCTCCCAAAGGATAGGAAGGCATCCTCACTCTCATGCTGTCCTGGCTTGTAGCAAATTCAGCTTTCACCTGCAAAGTGCTTCAGAGTTCAGATTTTCAAGCTTTTTGTGGTTGTGACATTATTAAATATATTCTTCCAATAATAGAGTATACATTAAATAAATATTTGTTGAAGCTGTTTCACCTAAAGAGAAAAGCAAAAGAAGTGAACTTGGGTTCAGAACACCAAAGTGCTCGTCCTGCTTCTGTCACTAACTAGTTATCTGACTTTATATAGATACCTTCACATACCTCTGCTTTTTAGGGTTTGGGAACTACATGATTTTTTTTCCAACCCTTTTCCATTTTACGTTCTCTGATTCCATCTTCCAATTCTAGAGATGAAGAAACTGAGGTCTAGAGATGGTTTTCACACGATCTCCCAGTTAATTAATTAATTACCCAGGCACATCCAGGAGGATCTCTGTTCTTATACATGTTGGCAAAATGACTCCACAGTAGCCGTCACAAGGTGTTTTACCCAGAATGTGAAGGATGAAATCATAGCATGAGCTGGCTTCATGGGCCCAGTTGGATTTAAAGTAAAGATCTCAATTCTTTTCCCAATCTTCTCTCTCCCTTCCCTGTTTGAGTCAATCAAGGGGATAAAAGAGCTTGCTCTAAAATTAGTTGGTGGAGTCCTTTCATCTTAGATTCTTTTGAAATGAGAATTTAAACCCAAGCCTCAAGGAACTGAAAATCTAGTTTTTCTTCCACAAACTTCTGGAATGTCTGGACTTTTGCCCTCACCAGACCAACACAAGGGTTTCTCAAGTGGGATACCATTTTTATCTCAAACCACCTCTTTGGAGGGAAGTTACTGAAAATGCCTTGGCCAAGATTCTGTACTTCAAACCATGTCACGTTTCTCTCTGGGGTTTTATGTATCGGCTCCTCCTACCCAGGACTTCCAGGAAGCCCCATGCTGCCCTCATTGTGGGCTTGCACTGGAGGAACATGAAGTACAAAACTGACGGAGCTGTGCGTTCCTCGGCCAGGACGTGTGGGACTCTAATGTGCACCTTCACATCTAAATGCTGAGGCAGTCGGTTCTTTGGTCACCACAGAAGAGCTAACAATCAGGACAGTGAAAGGGAAGCCAGCTCATGGGATCAGCCACACATCCACCCAAGGGCTGTGGTTACTGCACATGGTGGAGCAAGCACAGTCATGACGTGTAGCTGTGGGCTAGAGTGTTTGAGGGACCCACTGGTCCAGTTCAGAGTGAACTACTTTGGAATCATCGGGCAAGTGTAAAATTGTCCTCTGGAAAGGCTTTCCCTATTTAGCTACCTTGTCATAAATCCTGTAGCCCTGGCTGCCAGGCTGCTGACCATGGAAGAGCCAACTGTCCAAGTCACCAAGTCACAGGGAACACTGGGAACCTCAACACCTATGAGTGAGCATTTGCAAGGCCTTTAATATCTCGCCACAGGAGTCAGAAAGATCTGGGTTCAAATATCAAATATCAATGAATGACCTTGGGGAAATTACCAATGCTTTCAGAAAAATCTGTGCACATGCGCGCGCGCACACACACACACACACACACAGTGTTAAGCACAGTGTCTGGCACATAGCAAGTACTCACTAATTACAAACATTAAAGACAATTATAGTAATAAAAATATTTTATTAAGAAGGTTCTTCTATCTATGAAAATCGTGAGCTTTCAGGTTAGATAGATAAGGGGTTGAAAGTTGTGTTCTGCTATTTACTCTCCTTGTCCCTTCAAAGCTTATGTTTTGTTTGTCTTTCTGCTGTACAGTGGGGTTATAATATCTACTTGGGTGGAGGATTGCTTTGAGGATTTGAAATAGTTTATGAAAAGCACAAAGCACATTGCCTGGCACAGAGTAAACACTTTATATGTAAGATCACTGTTATGATATCTCAGTTTGTCCTTTGGTTACACAAAAGGACATTAACCCAGATTACCTCTGAGCTCTTTCATGGTTCTGTGACCCTAGAGTCCATAATCCCAGAAAGCTCAGAAAAACACTTCAAATTCAAAAGATGCTTTCTACTAGGCAATATTGCAAGGGGCCAAAGTCCACAGGACAGCTGTCCTACTTGGCCTAAACATGTTCCTTTCTTTGTCCCCCTCCCTAGATACCTAGAAAGGATACCTTGGCAGACTCACTTGACCTCCATGGGATGATATTCACTGACTTTTACACACATGCACTGAGGCAACCCTTGAAGAACTGACAAGAACAGAACTACTCTGACTCTGAGGGCTGAGTTCATCTGTGTCACTGTCAACATGTTTAGCTCCACAGTTCCCAGGGCAGTTGGGTCGGCCTCCCCAGCACAAGAAGTCTGGATTACAAGGACCAGAGTATATTATGGAGCTTTGTCAGCCATAGGGAAAATAATGGAATTGATTCTAATTATGTTGAGATGCTGGATGTATAGTGCAGGATTCAGTCATTAATATTCACACCCCGCCCAAACTTGGCATTCTGTGGGATGTTTTAAATTATGAAGAAGAGGATAAAACTAAACACATTTATGTTATGTAACTTTTTTTCCAAAAGGATTAGCTGTACTGGGGACACACAGCTGTTCTTTCCACAAGTCTCTTCAGAGCAAGTTGCAGACAATGGTAAGAACAGAAAGCTTAAGACCAAATTCCTCTTTTCTCTCTTCCTAGCTGAAAATCGCTCTGCAAATTCTTGCATTGAGCAGGAAGTGTGTTCAGCTGAAGAGAGGGTAGCTTAGTCAGGTCTAAATGATGGTTATCCTTCTCCATGTCTCTAATTAAGCCCTCCTCACCTGTACTCCACTGGGCTAGTCCATATATTCTTTTCCTTCTCAGTCCCTTTGAAGGCACATCTGTTTCTTCTTTTTCCCTTTCCAGAGACAGACGTACCATGACACTATAGAGTTAAATTTCCAGAGCCTGTTACACATGCAAGCCATTTCCTCTGCCCTATAATCAATATCATATTTGTAGTTTTATATTCATTTTCTTAATGATGCTCTCCCTAAATTGTTTAAGTTTTATATCTCACAGATTCAAGATCTCCTCACAGTAGCTACACCTCAATTTTCTCTTGGGGAGATACAGCACCCCATTCTTATTCCATGTGGCTTGGGGATTGACCAATCCCAATTCCAGTGGTAGAAACACAATCTGGCCTAGCCAACCAGTTTATTCCATCTTTCTCATCACGAGGATTACTTGTGATGAGAAATTAGGCAAATGACACAACTCAATCCATTGATACTCCAATGTGAGACTTTAGTTGGAATAAATAAGTAGGAATAAATAAATGGGAAAAAATACTCCCTTTTCACTAAAGTTCCTGAAAAGGATGCCTATAAATCTGCAGCTACTGGGGACTTACTTATCATGGAGACAGAAAAGATCACCATTCTGTGAATGAAGATAAACAGCCAATAACTAAAGAAAGATAAATTTTTAAATGCAGTATTCATTTACCAAGCAATGGCTCAGTGCTAATAATTTCCAAATACTATCGCCTGCAAGTGAGCTTCAACAGTCAACAACCTAGATAACATCTTCATCCTCATATCCTCATAAGCTGGTATCTCAGTGATATGAGATTTTACACACACACACACACACACACACACACACACACACAGGCTGAATATCCCTAATTTAAACATCTAAAATCCAAAATGTTCTGAAATCTGAAACTTTTTGAATGGCAACATGATGCTCAAAGGAAATGCTCACTGGAGCATTTTGAATTTTGGATTTTCAGATTAGAGATGAAAATTAATGCAAATATTTCAAAATTTGAAAAATGTGAAATCCAAAACATTTCTGGTTCCAATCATTTGGAATGAATAAGAGATATTCAACGTGTGTGTGTGTGTGTGTCTGTGTGTGTGTGTGTGTGTGTAAAATTAATGCTATGGAGAAAAATAAAGCCAAATAAAGGGATAGAGAATGATTTGAAGAAGACTCTGTCTTTTTTCTTTGAGTGATTAGAGATCTCTGTAATGAACTTGACGAATGAATAAGAAATAAAGTATAAGAGTGAACCATTCTGACACGTGGGAGAAGTGCAATTTAGCATAGGAAAATGCAAACTGGAAGCTTCTGATGCAGGAAAGTGAGTGAAGTGTTCAAGAAAAGCAGCCACTGTGGGTGCAGTAGAGGGAAGCTGTAGTCGAGTAACAGAAAAGAGGTTGGAGGGACCACCAGGGCCTCAATAAATTATAAAGCCTTGTCAGCCATAGGAAAAATAGTAGAATTAATTCTAATTATGTTGGAAAACTATTGGGGCTTCTAGAAAAGATGCAATATATTAAAATTTACATTTTCAAGGATTGCTGTGGCTGCAGTATAAAGACCAGGCTGTAGCAACGTCAGAATGAAACCCTGATGACCAACTGGGAGATGGCTTCTATGGTCTAAGTGGGAGATGATGGGGTCCGGACAGCATTATGGCAGTGAGGGTGGTGAGAGGGGATTGGATTATGGGTAGATATTGAAGTTAGAGGAAACAAGATTTTCTAATTGATTGCATGGCAGAAGTAAGTAAAATAGAGGAATTAAGGATGACTTTCCAGTATGGGCCATGAGCTCAGAGTTAAGTGGTGTTTCTATTTACTCAGATGGTATATGCCACTGGTATCGTTTGGATTTGTGTTCCTGCCCAAATCTCATGTTGAATTGTAATTCCCAATGTTGGAGATGGGGCTTGGTGGGAGGTGAATAGATCATGGGGGTGGTTTGTCATGATTTAACACCATCTCCCTTGGTGTTGTGGCAATAGGGAGTGAGTGAGTTACCATGACATCTAGTTGTTTAAATGTGTGTGGCACCTCACCCTTCTCTCTCTTGCTCCACTCCAGCCATGTGATGTGTGTGCTTCCCGTTCCCCTTCCGCCATGATCGTAAGTTTCCTGAGGCATCCCCAGGAGCCAAGCAGATGCCATATAGCTTGAAAAACCATGAGCCAATTAAACCCTTTTCTTTAGAAATTACCATCTCAGGTATTTCTTTATAGCAGTGCAAGAATGGACAAATACAACCACAGAAGGAGCAGGTTTGGGTTAGGGTTTATCAACTATAACTTCTTTTTCTATTTCAGTTGAAATCTCTTCAACATTTGAAACTGATGGCCATTTCCTTCTTAAATTGTCTCTTTTGTTGTCTATGTCTATCATACTGCACTGTTTTTCTTATTTAATCTATCACTTATCCAGCTCCTTCTGCTAAATCTGCCTCCATGAATCTTCTTCCTGTCTTTACCAGTTAGAAGTGTTCTGACTTATATTTTCCTAGTAGCTAAGTGGTCCTGAGGCCTCATCCATATATAATGTTTCACTATCATGATTTTCCTGAAAACTATATATTTCTATCTCCAACCCATTGTACCTTGGACACCTATTCCCAGAAGTCCCACAGACACCTCAAACAAGATGTTTTCCTAACCAAACTCACCATGTAAATAGCTTCTCTTATTTTGTCTCTCTTCACAAAAGACATGGTTGCCCTTCATGTTGCCTCACTAAAAGCCTGAAACCATCCTACATTCCCCCTTCTCAATTACTTTGCCCCCACATTCAAATAGTTAGAAATCCTACAGATTCCACTTTCTTGATACATGTAAAATCTGTCTTTTGTTTTCTTTCTGCTATTTCTGCCTTGCTAGACTTCTCAATAATCTTGTCTACAGTATTGCCTACTTCCATATCTCCACACTGTTGTCAGAATGACACTTTAAAGACACAGATCTGAGCATGACATTTTTTTTACCCAAAACTGTTGATTGATTCTTGCACAGCTTTTGAAACCAAGTTCAAACTCAAGGCTCTTCATGATGTGTTATTTCTGAGCACAAGCATCTCAACTCAACTCTTACCTGGCGTTAAAGGGATTAATATCTGGCCTTTGTATTTCAACTCTTTCTTCCCCCTATAGAATTTTTCTTTTTGTGAGTTTGCTGAAAACTAAATGATGGTTTCCTACCTCTAACTTGAATATAAAGGATTTATATTTTTAATTTAATTAACATAATGTCACAACACAAATGCTACAGGCAGCACCTGAAGATGAAGTCTAGGCTCTCTTGCCTATCACAGTGGCCCTGAGCAGTGTCTCTCCTTTGCCCTTGATGGTGCTACCTCTAAAATGGAGCTAAGAAAGGGATAGCAAATTCTGGTGCTCTTGTAAACAAGGTGAAATGTGACTCTCTAACCCCTGATCTAAATAATTCCTATTAATTTTTAGATTAATATTAATTCTATTAATTCTTCGGCCAGTTTCATATCATTTGTAGAACTAGGAGACTACCATTCAATAAAGCCATTAGTCAATCTACACTTAAGGTATAATTCCAACCATTGCTATCAAGAAAGAGATGGTGAAGTTAGCTACTGGCAGCAGAGAAAGTTCAATATTGGCTTACACCATTTAAAACATAGATCACTGTTATAGTCAAGTGTGAAAAATAATAGTAAATTAAAATTATCGTTATTAACTAAATATCCTGTAATGTTGGAGAACATACAATAAAACATCTTTCTTCTATCCAGTGGTGAGACTTTCCCTCCAATATTTTGAATGTTAAATTTCCCTTTTTATAAGAGTGACTGATTAAGCCAAAGTTTCATCCTTGCCTTCAAAGGACGAAGACCAAGATTTTGTGTCTAGTAATATCTGTGGACTAAAGATGTAGAAAAGTCTTACAGATAACCATGTGCACACACACATGAGGTAATTGGGAGTGGCACTTTAAGCATTGTTTATAAGGGCTAAAATTGGGTGAACTTTAACTTTCCTTTTGCTCCTGATAATTTATTTCTCATGAACCTAAATTTCATTTTATCTCCCAACTCAGTAATAAATGCCTAGAGGCAAACCTATCCAACTGAATACTGTTTTTTTCCATGGGCAGAGGGTCAGAATATGGCACTATTTTTAACGGATATTGAAAGGATGAATGGCAATGCCTGTGACAGAGGGAATTACCATGGCCTTTTGCAGATGCCAAATGTCACTGTGTCCTTTAGGCTCTCTCTAACATCTGTGGGAGAAAGTGAGCATGTCATTTGAGGGAGCAGAGCCAGATCGAGGCTCCTGCTCTGTCAAATGGCACGCCCAGTGGACCGCCTTGTCTCATCGTCTCAGGAGGCAATACAGGAGCTTCCAAGTATTATCTGACCTTCATGTACAGTGGAAAATAGATAACAATGATGGGAACAATAAACTATTCAGAGTTAAGAAACTACTCAAAGAGGCAATGAAGTAGTTAAGAGAGCATGGACTCTGTAGTCAAATAGGCCACGGGTTCATGCCAGCCTTTCTATTCATTATCTGTGTGTCCTTCAACAAGCTACTCTCTCTCAATTAGAGTCTACATTTATAAAAGAAGGTGTTCATTTGTTCAACAATATTTACCAAGTATCTACTGTTTGTCAGAAATGATACTAGGTTCTGAACATTCAATGATGAATAAAACAGAGATCAGAGGCATAATCTATATCCCCATAACATAGATATCATACATATCACAGTCCTGGAGAGCACCGACTGCCTATTGTGTACAGAATGGTTTTACATACAACATAAAATTCCTCTAATGCAGGAATGTTTTTGTTTGTTTTGTTTTGTTTTGTTTTGTTTTGTTTTGTTTTGAGATGGAGTCTCACTCTGTCACCCAGGCTGTAGTGCAGTGGTGTGATCTTGGCTCACTGGAACCTCCGCCTCCTGGGTTCAAGCGATTTTCAGCTAATTTTTGTATATTTAGTAGAGACATAGTTTCACCATATTGGCCAGGCTGGTCTTCAACTCCTGACCTCAAGTGATCCACCTGCCTCGGCCTCTGAATATAGTGTTTCTCATCTTGACACTCTCAGCTCTTTGCCTGGAACTTGTTTGTTGATTTCTGTGCCTTTCTGGCATTGTTGTGCTCCACTCACCCGCCAGATTTCTACTATGTTCATGATAAGTTACTCACTTCTCCTCTGATTATATCCTGTTCCTCCCTTCTGGGAATTTTGCTTACATAATGGTGTGGATTGAATTACGTTCCCCTCAAAATATGTTCAAATCCTAACTCCCAGTACCTGTGAATGTGACCTTACATAGGAATAGAGTCTTCGTAGATATAATCAAATTACAATGAGGTCAGGCTGGAATAGGGTGGGCCCCAATCCAGTGACTGATGTTTTTATAAGATGAGTGAAATTTGGACTCAGACACACAGGGGAATGCCATGTGACAGCAGAGGAAAAGATGAGGGTGATGCATCTGTAACTCAAGGATCACCCAGGATTGCCAGAAACCACCAGAAGCTAGGATATGTCTGCCTTAGATCCAGAGTGCACGGTTCTGCCAGTCCCTTGGTTTTAGATATCTAGCCTCCTCACTGTGAAAGAATAAGTTACTATTGTTTAAGCAACAGACCTATATTTTCCTAGTTGCTAAGTGGTCCTGAGACCTCATCCATATATAATGTTTCACTATCATGATTTTTCTGGAAACTATATATCTCCAACCTATTGTACCTTGGACACCTATTCCCAGAATTCCCACAGACACCTCAAACGAAATGCTTTCCTAAGCAAACTCACCATGTAAATAGTTTGAGGTACATCTCTTACACCAGCCTTAGGAAACTAAAGCAGATGATTGCTCTCATTTGAACTGCACTGATCTCTTATCTCTACCTGATGGAAGCCCACCTCTTCTTCAAAGCCCAGCTCAAATACCACCCCAGCAGCTCACTTCAGAGTTACCTACCCATTAGGTTTCCATGTATTTTTATATGTTTATGCCTAAAAATAATAGAAGAGAAACTAACATTTATGTACCACTTTCAAAATTATCTAATGTTGTCTTCCCAACCTGGAAATGCAGATATTATCCTCATTCTAAAAGTGAAGAAAGTGATGGTCAGAGGAGGTAGTAACTCACTTAAGGACCCACAGCCATTTTATGTCCACAGAGAAATCACAAACAGGAGGAGGGTACCTATGCTCTATGAATGCATGTTTGGTGTTCTTCTTACTATCTTTGTCGGTCTTTCTTATCAAGAAAACCTAAACTCCTGGAGATCCTTCTCAGCTGATGGTGGACTCAGGGTAAGCAGTCAAAATACTTTTTCACTATATGGATTTTAACTGGAAGAGAAAGATTTTCTTTTATGTCCCTACTTCATTTCAAGTCCAGAAAGCATCACCAGCATAGATTACAAAAGAGGATAGAGAATCTGTATCTGGGCGGTAATCTGCCTCCCCAGAAAGCCCCATCACCTCTTAAAGATCATGAGGTAAGTAATGAGGAAGGCTGGCTTCCACATTTCAGAGGGAAAAGGATCCCAGAGCTCTAGAATTATTCATAACCTCTCCTGTTTCCACTCCCTATTATAGAACAGATGGAAAAGGATTAGGGCCCACAACAACTTTGTTTGTTGGCATAAATCACCAAAGACACCTGCTATTAGCAATCTCATGGATGAATCAGTGCCTTTTGCCCAGTCAGAAGCATCGCAGATTGAAGTTAATCTCTCTCCCTTTTGCTCTCATTTTTTAAAGTGTCATAGCTTTATCCATAGAATTGCTGGGGTTTTAGCAAAATGTCCTCAGTTTGAGTCTGCTTTTTGAATCATCAGATGCTCTTAGCTCACCTATTTGTCTGAGGGGCCCCTAAACAAAATCAAATGGCAACACCCTGCAAGAACAATACATTTGTTTCCTCTTTCAGGCCAGTTCAATCTGTATCTTTTGCTTTGTGCCTCATACATATCTTTACAAACTGCTGAAAGCTTGGTTTGGAGCTGTTCCCAGCACATGCTGATATTAATCTATGCATTTGTGGTGTGCTCTTCTTGGGCCCTGCTGAAGGAGTATTAACATGAACAGTGTCTGGATGCCTGCCTGGGAAGAAATAAACTTCACTCAAGATCCACCACGTCAAACCTTGGTTTATCATGCTACACCTTAATAATGATGCTCAGAAGGCAAGTTCTTGCTTTCTCCTGATAGAAACCACCAACTGTCTCCCTGTCAGGTAGGACTATGAAACAGGCAGTCTATTTTGGATGATGGCCTTGGTCAGAGCCTTCCTGTCAAGGACCATGTTTGACATGTGATTTTGCTTTGCCACCTCCTACTTAACCTCCAAAGCTCTATTCACTTCCATCATCCTCCAGAAAGCCTCTCTTCACCCTTGGTTAGCACCCAGGGCTGTAAACACCCATGCTCATGCTTACCTCTGTCAATTCCACTGATCTGTAATTACCCATTGCCTTCTCTGTCTCCATTGTAAGATTATTATCACAAATGATATTGCTGGACTCTCAAGTCCCCTGGAATCCCTTTTACCTGAAGGATTGGTGTACCTATTCCTCAATTGCTTGGGGTGTTTCAGCTCAGAACTTTCACTTGCAACTTTCTCCAGAGGATTCCTCTTGATCTTTTGAAAATGCTTCTCCTTGGAGTTTCTGGGGTTGTAATACACCATGACTCCCTCCACTACCACTGACCTTGCCTCAAGTCAGGGCAGATTCTTTGGTGCATCTTATGTTCCAGAAAGCCCCAGAAAATCAGACTTATTTAGACCTTATCTGAGACTACATTCTTATATATCTCCTTCCTCTTTATTTTGTTTCCTCATTCGTTTACCAGCTTCTCCTGAGGGTACTCCTTCAGTTAGTTACATGTGCATGAATCCCCATATCAGGCTCTGCTTCAAGGAAACTAAACCTAAGATAACTTTATAATCTCATGTAATTTTTATAACCCAAGAGACAGGTATTATTATTCCAGCTAAATAAACTGAAGTTTAGGGAGAATAAATAACTGCACAAAGCTATGTAGCAAACACTTGCCTGCCACGCATCAGGTGTTCAGTAAATAGATGTTCAATGAAATAATAATCCCAAACTGCATTGAACATACCCAGTGATCTTGATTCCTGAGACTGGGTATTGGTTCATAATAGAATGAAACAATCTGAGGAAGGTCATGATTTGGAAGCTAGATGGGTCCCTAGGGATAAATGTAAAAAGAGGAAATCCAGATTGGTTTATAGAGAGAAACATCAATAAATGGGTGAAATGTAGTATCAGTGGGGTCAGGAACAGGAAATGAACTTAGAACTTTAGAAGAGGGTAATAGAAATATGACCATAAGATCCACAGTTCTAGAACGGCATTTGAAACCTCCTCATGGCCTCAGCAGGACCTGGAAATGTCCCAACGACAGAGAAGCTTCCTAAGAAACTAAGATAGGGTATTGGGCTCAGATGAATAAAGCAGATACTGTGCTTCTTTAAATGACAGGAACAAAACTTAGTTATCACTGTAGCAATAGTGCTTAGTAGAGCGCCTGACATAGTTGGTGACACTAAATATTTATGCAATAAGCAATTGAATTAATAAAAGTTACACTATAAGGCTGAAGTATATTTGGGGCTTAAGGTAAGAATCTAGTTATGAAAGCTCAGTGACTCTACTACCCAGGACCATCAGTCAAGTTGACTTATTTCAGAGCTTCCTGGTACCTGTGCTAAGTCCTAAAGTTATCCCTGCATAGGAAGTGAATCCAGATCATTTCACTTGTTTGATTCTGCTGAAGAAAGTAAAATAATTTGTGCTCAGGAGACTGGGCTTGGAAGCTAAGTGAGGCATTTCCATGGACAAATCAGTTTCCTTCTCCAGGACTTACCATGGTTCATCTGTTAAGCTAAGCACATGAACCAGATGAACTTTCATAAGATTGTTACTTCTCTATGATGGGTGATGAGTCACTTTTTCGTCCTTTGGAAATGGGAAGTAGAATAAGCACTCCTCAATTACTTGAAGATCCCAATGAACTGCTTCTCACACATGATTCATCTTGTGTGCAGCTTTGCTCTGTTGGTGTGGACTGGTCCTACCCATGTGCTTGAGTACTCAGCTCCTATCAGCTCCACCGAGAAGCTTTCTGTATTCTATGGCACCCTAATCTTACTTTGACTCAAAGTTGGATTCATTGTCCCCTCTTCTGAACCTCTGAATTCATACCAACTCCCTACATTTTTCTCTATCATAGCATTTATTTTCGTACATTAAAATTTTCTCTCTAGTTCTCTCTCTCTCTGTCTGCATGCATGTATCTGTCTCTCCAGCTAGATTTTGAAATTCTTAAAGAGTGATAAGCGATTTTTCCCCAAATTGATGCACCTTAAGTCTGGCATATAGTAGATTTTCACTGTCCATCAGATGAGTAAATGACATAAAGTTGCAAAAAGTTGCAGATACATGGTAATAAGACAGACCCATAAAACTTTTTAAATTTATTCTCACTGTTGATCAGGTCTTGATTCTAGAGATATCAATGCCTTGGAATTAAAAGGAAAGCTTAGTAAAGGTTCAGAGATGGGACAGAAGTGTTAAAGCTAGAAGAGATAACCACTAATTTGAAAGCCTAGAAGTGATTCAGCTTATATAATAAAACACAATTGTCTTATGGTAATTATTTCAGCATTTCAATTCAGTTCAATACAACTTTATTGGGGAGATTCCCATGATCTGGAAACACTACCTCCTGAAGACAATTGAATTGCACAGGCCATAAGGGGAGAAGTGAAGAGAGGTGAGAGTAGAAAGGTAGTTAAGGGTCAGATTTGTGGTGTCCTTGGCCAACCTAGTCAAAGCAACTGAAAATTTACTGGAAAATTATAAAAGGAATTATTTACCACAAAGTATGCAACCACAATTAGTCCTCAAGTATTGCTGGCATTATGAAGAAATATCCTGAGCCTGGGAAAAACAGATACAAGAGATTTAGTCAAGTTGCTTAAAATCTTATGTGAACTAGGAGTGAAGTTGACCAACTCTTTGTGACCACAAAGGTCAAAGCCAATGTCTTGAAGCTAATAAGCGAAGAGTTTTTATTGCTGACACATACATGCTGTTTTCTCTGTTCTGGGCAGAACTCTAAGCGCTGTACATGCAGGAGATCTTTCATTTTCCCAACATTCTTGTTGAGAATCATCCATTTTGCACAGAGAGATTAAGGAACTTGCCTAAGGTCACAACAGCTACTGATTAGCAGGACCATGACTAAACCCAGAAAGTTAGGTCAAAGAGACTGCGCAACACTAACTTTGAAATACTGCAGTTAGCTTTTAGAAAGAACTTACTGAACTTGAAAGTTACAATATAATGGCTCTAATTTTTCCAAATGTAGGACCTCTTACTGCTCTTTTACAAAGTTTTGAAGATGTAATTAACTGTCTTTCTTAGATGACTTGGATGCAAGTATGGCTTAGAGATGGAAAGATTCAGTTGGAAAACACACTTTTTTTTCACTTTTATGTCTGTGCTTTTGTAGAGATCAAGGGCCAGAAGTTTTACAACATAGAGTTCTTCTTTGAGGGAAACCTTTGTATTTCATATAAAAGTTTATTAACTTCTCAAGGTTTATTAAACAACAAACAATAAAATAAGTGCTATGACAGAGAAAAATGTAGGGAGTTGATATGAGTTCAGAGATTCAGAGGAGGGATAACTAAACCAACTTTGAGTTAAAGTAAGATTAGGGTGCCATAGAATACAGAAAGCTTCTCAGTAGAGCTGATATGAGCTGACTACTCAAGTACATGAGTAGGACCAGCCCACACCAATAGAGTAAAACTGCAGACAAGATGAATCACATGTGATTAAACATTGAGAAATACAAGTAACAGGAGGTATGTCCTCTGGAGATAAAGTGGGTGAATGGTCTGGGCATCAGGTAATTTTCTAATGAGTGTTTCTCACCTTTCAAAGGTGAGAGGAAAATGTGCACATCTCAACTGGGAACTGAGAATGGCCAAGTTTGAATGCCTTCTAAAATTTACATACAAAAATTAGCAGAAGTAAAGTGACTTATGTAAGACCTCTGTGCTAATACATAGCAAACTAGGACATAAACTTTTAAAAATGTAAAATAATATGGTGTTTCAATTGTCTTAACATGAAAGTAACACTAACAACTTAATAATATTAGGTTGTATTTTTTTCCCAGTAGTTTTCTAGTGTATGTTCATTTCTATAGCAGCTCAACACACACTTGTTGTCTGTCTTCAATGGATGAGACCTCTTCCAGGTACTGGGGGCCAGTAGGGAGCAAACAGATAAGGTCTCCACTCCCCTGGAGCTCCAACACTAGACATGGCAGGGTGGGAGTGTCTCAAACAAGAAGAAATCAATGAGTCTATTCAATTATGAATAAATGAATACATTATGAGAAGAAGTAAGTCTAAGTGAGGGCAAAGTAATAAGAATGGCAGCAAATACTTCAGTTTGGGCATTCATGGGAGGGTGTTTGAGAGAGTGACATTTATACTGAGTTCTAATTGGTAAGGCATTGGTCGAACAAGGGAAAGCACACTCAAAGGCAGAACTAAGCTTGGCCTAAGAGAGGATCTTGATGAACTGGCATGAGAAGAGTGGTGTGATATTTGATCTGAGAGGTAGGCAGAGGTCATAGAATGTGTGCTTTGTTAATCAGAAGAAGGAATCTGGTGGGAAGCTACTAGAGGGGTGTGTGTCTGTTATGTTTGTCTTTTGTGCACACGTGTGAATGTGCTTTTATAAGCTCGGAGCTACAGTTTTGATTTTTTCTATTTTTTCGTATGTACAAAATGTATAAGAAATAATTTAATAACAATATATATGCCATTGCCCTTTAAGAAGAGAAATATTAAAAATAACCTATTTTATTTTCCTCATGATTCCATTACTATATTCTCTTCATCACTTTTTTGCTCCCATCATCTTTCCAAGACATAACCTCTAACATGAATTTGATGACTTTCATTACTCTTCCTGTCTTCATATTTTTAGAGCACATGTAAGCATCCTTGAATAATTACAATATTGTTTGGCAAATTTGTAACATTTACATATATAACATCATATTGAATGTTTTCTGCAACTTTTTTCTTCAATATTATATTTGTGAGATGTATCCATATTGATTTTGTTGTATGTAATGCAACAATTTTGTTTTCCATTCTATTGCAAATCAGTATTTTGATTTTTTTTTCAAAATGTTTACTATCACAAAACACTGCCACAATGAACATTCTGGTATGCCTTATTGTTTGAGAGGTAGTCTGAGGCAGTGATTCCCAATCTTTTTCAATATGCATAAAATATGCATAAACATAATAATTCAGATGAGACTGCTTAAGGCGAGAGACAGACCATGGGCTGAGGGGAGGAGTGCCTCAGCCCGCCAGTAATCCATTAAGATACACGGCATTAACATTCTTCCTCTGCCTGATCTATCAATTTCTGAGAAGGTTATGAAAAAAGTCTCCATTTATGAGTGTGGAATTATCAAATCAATTTTGTCAGTTTTTGCTTTGCATATTTTGTCCTTGTGATATTAGATTCATTGACATTTAGAATTTTTATATCTTTCTGGTGAATTACTCCACTTTATCACTAGGCTGTGATCCACTTTGTCATTGGAGGTTTTGTTAAGCAGGGAAGGCTATCATCTGAGTTATGCTTTAAAATGATTATCCTAATTGTCATATGGAGAATGGAGTGTAGGGACAAAAGAACAGAGAAGATGGTAATCAATTAGGAGGTTCCTGAAGCCAACTAGGAGAGAGAGGATGTCACCCAGGATGAGGATGGTTGTCCTAAACATGAGGAAGAAAAACACATGTTTGTGGTATGTTTTGAGTTGATGGGATTTTCTGATTAAACAGACGTGAGTGTAAAATAAAAGGAGGCATATTCAGGATAATACTTTGATATTTGGTTTGAGCAATTGACTGAAAGTTATGACAGTGTCCTCGTCTTCTGACACGTTAAGGTGTGGCACAGTATAATTTCCAAAAATGGCTGAAGTCATATGTCCATATTCTATCAGAACCCAGCCAGTCCCACAAGTAGAGTCTATGGTTCCCTCCCTTGAAGGAAGGGAGTCAGATCTCTGTGACTTCCTTAGCTAAGAGTAGGGAATGGTGTTCTATATGACTTCTGATGTTAGATCTTGCAGGTGGATACAGTTTCTCCCTGGTTCTCTCTTGGGATGATTCCCCTTGGAACCCAGGCGCCACGCTGTGAAGAGACCTAGACAACATGGAGATACTCATTTGGAGAAGAATGGAGATCCGTGGCCCTCAGCCCCAGGTGAGCTTCAGAGCCAGCACCAACTTACCAACCAAGTGATTGAGCCACCTTGGAAACTGACCATTCAGCCTCTATTTCAGCTGTCCACCTAAGGCTACATGAGGGAAGCACAAGCCTTTCCTGCTAACTTCTTCCCAAATTGCAGATTTGTTTTTTTAAAAAGAGGTGAAAAGATTTGGGGATAGTTATTGTTTTCTTAAGTCACCAACTCTTGGTTTTTTTTAATGCATCAATAGATAACTGGAACAAATACATGGAAGAATATCTTGCAGAAGAGGGTAGGACGTCGAAAGACAGCTCTCTTTTGGTTGTGTTGAGATTCATATTGACACTTTTTTAAATATTTTGAATGAACAATTAGACACAAATGTCAGACATTCATTGGAGGGATCAGAACTACAAATGACAATTTTGGAATCATTGATATATAGATAATATTTAAACCTACAGGGCTAGGTAAGTTTATTAAAAGAGATCGTGTTTATAAGGAGGAAAATAATGTCATTGATTCTAACATATAATTATTGCTTCATTGGGTCATTGATTTCTCTACTTATTCAACAAATATTCTAGGACATCCTAAATATATTATTAACTGTAAAGTGTGTTAAGCATGAATCTGCCTATATAGAGTTTATATTTATCAGGGTTACTTTGGACTTTGGTTTTATTTAAAATTAATTTTATATAATACATTTGGTACCTATAGACTTTCTTGAGTAATCATTCTAGTTTCCATACCATTTTTTTATTTTCTTTAATTTTATTATGACTAACAAGTTAGGCACAACAAACTACTTTTTAAAAAATTATTATTATACTTTAAGTTCTAGGGTACATGTGCACAATGTGCAGGTCTGATACATAGGTATGCATGTGCCATGCTGGTGTGCTGCACCCATCAACTCATCATTTACATTAGGTATTTCTCCTAATGCTATCCCTCCCCCAGACTCCCACCCCCGATAGGCCTCCGTGTGTGATGTTCCCCACCCTGTTTCCAAGTGATCTCCTTATTCAATTCCCACCTATAAGTGAGAACATGAGGTGTTTGGTTTTCTGTCCTTGTGATAATTTGCTGAGAATGATGATTTCCAGGTTCATCTATGTCCCTGCAAAGGACAGGAACTTATCCTTTTTTACAGTTGCATAGTATTCCATGGTGTATATGTGCCACATTTTATTAATCCAGTCTATCCTTGATGGACATTTGGGCTGGTTCCAAGTCTTTGCTATTGTGAATAGTACCACAGTAAACATACATGTGCATGTGTATTTATAGTAGCATGATTTATAATCCTTTGGGTATATACCCAGTAATGGGATTGCTGGGTCAAATGGTAATTCTAGTTCTAGATCCCTGAGGAATTGCCACACTGTCTTCCACAATGGTTGAACTAATTTAAACTCCCACCAACAGTGTAAAAGCATTTCTACTTCTCCACATCCTCTCCAGCATCTGTTGTTTCCTGACTTTTAATGATTGCCATTCTAACTGGCATGAGATGGTATCTCATTGTGGTTTTGATTTGCATTTCTCTGATGACCAGTGACAATGAGCATTTTTTCATGTGTCTGTTGGCTGCATAGATGTCTTCTTTTGAGAAGTGTCTGTTCATGTCCTTTGCCCACTTTTTCATGGGGTTGTTTGTTTTCTTTTCTTGTAAATTTGTTTGAGTTATTTGTAGATTCTGGATATTAGCCCTTTGTCAGATGGGTAGATTGCAAAAATTTTCTCCCATTCTGTAGGTTGCCTGTTCACTCTGATGGTAGTTTCTTTTGCTGTGCAAAAGCTCTTTAGTTTAATTAGATCCCATTTGTCTATTTTGGCTTTTGTTGCCATTGCTTTTGGTGTTTTAATCATGAAGTCCTTGCCCATGCCTATGTCCTGAATGGTATTGCCTAGGTTTTCTTCTAGGGCTTTTATGGTTTTAGGTCTGACATTTAAGTCTTTAATCCATCTTGAATTAATTTTTATATAAGGTGTAAGGAAGGGATCCAGTTTCAGCTTTCTACCTATGGCTAGCCAGTTTTCCCAGCACCATTTATTAAATAGGGAATCATTTCCCCATTTCTTGTTTTTGTCAGGTTTGTCAAAGATCAGATGGTTGTAGATGTGTGCTGTTATTTCTGAGGCCTCTGTTCTGCTCCGTTGGTCTATATACCTGAACAAACATTTTTATATAGAGAGGTCTTCATTTTATTTTTACACAAAGTGGTCTATATATCTTATACAAATCATGAGTTTCTCCACTAAATTCAGGATTAAGATTTTCTGGATGAATCTACTCACCTGAGGAATAAATTTTGCTTTTGAGTGATATGATATCAACCTGGTAGATGTTTATCTCGCAGTTTCATAGAGCTTAGGGCATCCTTGTCATTGCTAGAGGAGGGAGAATATGAGGAAGTTGGGGAACCAGAAACTTCCAAAGAGCATCTCCACTTCTAACTGTTTTATGCATTTATATTTCTCATGAGTGTTCTATTTAAAAACATAAAAATCATGGACTTTATTCAAACGTCCCCTTTCAATTAATAGTTGTGAACTCAAGTCCTATTTGAAAGGAATAAATTGAATAACATAGATAAAATTCCTCAGTAAGCTTGATTACTCCTATCTGATCTACTATCATTATTCTTTCTGACCTGGATGCAGCTTTTGGTTGTATGCCATGCACAGATATTTTATAACATAATTCAGTTTATCTTCAGATTTGGAAGACCCAACATTACTTTGAAGGATAAATGTTGGAAATGATAGGTGAAAATAGCCCCTGCTATACTTAAAGCCCTAGAAATTATTAGATAAGCAAACCCTAATTTGTCTTGTTTTAGCATTTGCCCTAATAGATAAATACACTAAATTTCATAATTTGACAATTATTTAATAAAATTTAACAGCAATTCTTTGGGTCTTTTAAAATGAAATTTACTTAGTGCTTATCATACAAAATTCTTCATGTGTAGTCTCTCAGTAGCTACCCCAAATTCACCTGTAAAATAGATATCAACCCTATTTTGCAAATGCAAAACCTGACTTTTGGTGAACATTAGAGCCATTACTAAACAAATGTAGGTACTGGCCAGGTGTGGGGGCTCACACCTGTAATCCCAGCACTTTGGGAGGCCTAGGCAGGCAGATGGATTGCTTGAACCCAGGAGTTCAGGGGAAATCCCACTTCTACAAAAATACAAAAATTAGCCAGACATGGTGGCAGGTGCCTGTAGTCCCAGCTACTTGGGAGGCTAAGGCAGGAGGATTGCTTGAGCCCTGGAGATGGAGGTTGCAGTGAGCCAAGATAGCATTACTGCACTCCAACCTGGGCAACAGAGTGAGACCCTGTCTCAAAAAAAAAAAAAAAAAAAAAAAAAAGGAGGTCCTTCTGGTTCCAGAGCCAAGACTCTCATCCACACAACCTCTCAGTCTATTGCTCTGCAGGAAACCTTGGAGTCTCAGCACCCTCATTCTGTTGGAAAGAAAACTGAGGCATTCACAGATGAAGAGATTTGTCTATATCTGGTAAACAGTTGACCCAGGATTCAAACTTAGTTGCATCTGGCTCCAAATCCAGGGCTTTTCCTACTCTCCTATCTCACCCCAGCCATTTTGTTTAAGCCTGGTCACTGTAAGGAGTTGTGTATTTTCTTTCCCAACAGTACTGCTGGCCTATAAAATAGGAGCTTCTACCCTTTTGCAAATACTGAGTTGATATTTTCTGCTCTTCTCTTTACCTCTGATGAATTTTCCTCCAAAAGAGAAATTAGAGATTTTAAAAACAGTCACTTTATGACTTCTCTTGGCTCTCTTTTATGGGATCTGGTTGCCTGCAGACAAGACACTCTCCTCCATAAGCTAAGCTGACCAGTGTAGACTACATTGTAGACCAATGTAGACATCAGTTTCATCAGAAAAACCCTGTAGTGTTACTACTGTGCCTGTGACTGGGCTGGTGAGTTTAATTCAGCAGAAAAGCAGAAGAAAGGTTTATTTTGAACCCAGTTCCAAAATACTCTAGTCTTACTTAGTAACAAGGCTATTTTTTCCTATATTATTTCTGTTTCTGTGTTTTAGATAATTCAATATGCAAAGAGAGAAAAGTAGCTCCAGTTGTAAAGTAAGGATCTGGGTGGCCATCACCTGCTCAGCATCCTTAGAAATGCATGTCTCTCAATATTTTGTAAAACCCATAGGAAACTCATTTTCAAGATGCTACCTCTCCCTTTTTATGTGTGTTGCAGCTTCTAAACCCTTTCTATATAGAAATTCTGGAGCTGCAACTGAAAGAAAGGGTTAATTATTTAGACTGCTCTAGAAGCTTCAATATAGATGATCATTTGGTTCCTGTAAAAACTCCAATAGTCATAGATTACTTTAACAAATTACATAAGTATCAGCTAGGATCAAGAGTTTCTTGACTTGTGGAACTAATTTTCATCTACAAAGCCACTGGTCAGTTCTGGAATTGACATAACCACCTGGATCTTAAATTAAGAAACCATGGTAACAAAGCTGCATATGCTAGAAAAAATTGTCAGGGATCTAAACAGGCACTGTGTCAATGCCACCACCACTCATTTTAATATCCGTGAAATGGTTGATGTCCTTCAAGCCCAACACAGTTCTTTCTAAGTTTCCTGAGCCTGAATGCATGTGCATGACCACTCCACTGCAAACATCCATCTGTCAAAGAGAAGATGAGGAGTAAGTGAAATTAGACCGTGGCTCTCTGGTTTCCCCTCAAAACTGCCAATGAATGAGAGCATCAGCTGCACCAGATTGGGCTCGCCAGGCCTCCCATCCTTTACTGAACACGCTCCACCCAAGCTGTGAGGCACATCCTGTGAATAGGGATGACTCAGCCTCAACAGGTGTCTGATGGCTTTGCCAACCAACCGCCTGTTTCAATGGATGGAAGCAGCAGCACATTCTTGGCGGCATGCAAAGACTGTGATGAATAGGATGCTGTGTCTCTTCACAGAGGGCAGGGATTGGGTTGGGGGCAGGTGTGAATGGCAGACCCAAGTGCATAAATGCATATTCTCAGTCCCAGTATGATGTCCTGCCAACTGGCACATCAGCAGCCTTTTGGTTTCTGAAACATCCATAGGTAGTTCTCTTCCATGGAACCTCTGAGTCAACATCATCTCTCAGTGAAACTATAGAAATACCTTACAAATTTTCTAAATTTTAACTTTTGAAGATACTTACATACCTATTACTGTATAAACAACTTTTTATGCTACAGAAGTGTTGATGTTATGATGTGTATCATATAGAGAAATAAACTAAAGTGCATACAAAGTGAATTTTCATAGGCACATAGTTTACCCAAGAAGGAACAGGGCAAAATCCAGCTCCCTTAATTCTCAGCCCTGTGTTTTTTCTAACACTCCTTATTGCTAAAATATACATGATTTACACTTAATTCTGAGAAACTCCTGGGAGAAAGTTAAATTGTATTGTTCTGAAATAGATGGGATTGGAGGGCCGTGAGTTCATTCATATATTTTTTCTAATATTCATCTACTTATTCAGTTATTGGTTGTAATTAAATAAAAAGGGATAAGGATAGTCTTGTACCCGTGCAAATAGATTATCATCCTGGGCTATTTATTATCCAAGGGCATCTCTTAGCCAGTACTGTGGAAATCACTTGATTCCATGGTGCCAAGATGATAACTATTAATATGATTATGTGAATTTTCCTCATCTTCAATTAATGGTGACTTCAACAAGACCTGAGTATTTTCCTTGTTCTTGCATATAAACCCTGTTAGATGATCCACAACTGCCTTGGTGACTTCACAGTCCCAGAATCCTTATATCTTTCTGCTCTACCATCCTCTACTCCCATCTTCCAACTTATGTTTTAAGCTGTTCAACTTTATTTTCAAGTTTATCATTCAATTCTATTAAAAATATTTACATTATATCTTACCTAAAGGAGAAAGGAGACAGAAAAAAAAATACTTCCTTTCCTTATAGATATTTCTTGGGAGTTACTTGTAGCAAATCTTACAATCTATTGGGTAGCACTTACCCAAATGACCAGATCTATCTTTTCAGGGAAGACTTAGAAATGAGGTCTATAATTTGGAAACCATAAGCCCAGCTAATGCTGGGGAGTTTTATAACTGAGGGAGGCTTGGACATTGGATTTTGGTGGACAACCAGCAGTGACCATCTCATACAGCATGAAAGCTCAGCATTTGTGAAATAAAATGGAAACTATAAGTCTGGGAAACATAGGCAGAAATAGCTAATGAACGGCATTTCAAAAAACAAGAATAGTAAAGCTAATTTTTACTGAGTGCTTTCAAAGTAAATGCTCTGTTGGTTTTCAACCTGACTGTGTTAGTTTATTTTCATACTGCCATAATGAACTGCCCAAGACTGGGTAATTTATAAAGGAAAGAGGTTTAATTGAGTCACGGTTCAGCATGACTGGGGAGGCCTCAGGAAACTTAGAATCATGGCAGAAGGTGAAGGGGAAGCAAGGCACTTACTTCTTCACAAGGCGACAGGAAGGAAAAGTGCTGAGTGAAGCAGGAAGCACCCGTTATAAAACTATAAGAACTCCTGAGAACTCGCTCACTATTATGAGAACAGCATGGTGGAAACTGCTCCATCAATGAATTGCTGCCACCTGGTCTCTCCCTTGACATGTGAGGATTATAGGGATTACAATTCAAGATGAGATTTGGATGGGGATACAAAGCCTAACCATATCACTAACTCTCATGCATAAAGGCCCTGTGAGATAGCTACTGTTTCCATAGCAATTTTACAGGTAAGGAAACTAAGATACAAGCAAGTTGAGTCAATTGCCTAAGGTTTCACAGCTAGAAAATTACAGTTAGAATTCATGTCAATGTCATTTGATCCCCAAACTTCTATTAACTATTGCCTCGCAGTTGTTCCCACATGATCACATTTTAGCCTCTCATTGAAGAGACTTCATATGATTTGTGTTTTATGGATAAAAACACTAGTGATGAAGAAACATGTTTGTGCTCACACAGACAAGTGGCCCAAAGGAAGTTTTGAACCAACTTTTTCCCACTATGCCAAAGTATATATAGATTTATGTATTAACAACCCTAAAATCAATTTATAAAAGAACAGCAATAATTAAGGAGGAGAGAGAGAAAATGGCTGCACAGGGTCCTTTATTTGACCATTTCTCAATGCAATGATGGTTTTCATCACCTTCATTATATTTGAACAGAGCTCAATGGGTAAATCAATATGTTGCTGACATGCCTGGAGTAGATCAATTGTTTTTGATTTGATTGATTATTCAATTACGGAGCCATGAGTTTGATTGACCTTGTGAAACTGGGTAAAAAAAAAAAAATTCCTTGGGACCACCTAAGCATTCTGGCAGTATTTAAAGTGTGTTTCTCAATGATGCATGAGGAGAAACACAAAAAACATGTCTGAGGTAGGATTAGGGAGGATTATGGGCAATTTGGAAAGATAAGAGCTTATAGAGGAGTTACAACACAACACCAACTTGGCTGTAGCATTTAAATTGTTTTCAAATTTCAACTAACACTAGTTGGCTGTGACAGTATTTTCTGCTTTTAAACGATGTCATGGATATAAAAATATGAGAAACACCGGTTGATAACGCTGATAAAATTTGGCTTTGCTATTTGGTGGCTGTAGACTCAAAGCTCTTGCCGTGATACCATAGTGCCTCTCAGTAAATCAAATCATGCACATATTCACTATTGCTTCCCACAACAAGACTAAAAGAAAACTTGATTCTGAGTGAAACTGGAGCATTTTACAAAGTGATCATCTTTTTGAAAGATAGTGAATAAAAATTACTACACCTCGCTGAGTACCAGTGGTGTGTATTGCATTTGAGATAATATTGTCTCTTTTGATTGTCTGAACAACCATATAGTGTAAGTGTTATAATCCCCCATTTTTTTCAGATAAGCACCTGGGGCTTTAGAGGCATTGCCTAATCTCACAAAACTTTTCACAAGTTAACACTTTTTCTCAAGGTCTCTCCAGGATAAGGACAAACAGTCTCTTTTTTGATATTCTGGGACTGACAATTCAAAAAGGAAATTAAGTAGCACTGAACCAGAGACAGTAATACAAACTGCAGAATAAGGGGATATAAGTACAAAAAAAACCACTATACCTTCAAGATGTTTATTTTTGGAGTCATTGTAACTTTTATAATCTTTAAAAATTACATATGTGATGGTTTGGTACATGGGTGTGGCAATGGGCTAGAGCCTGTCATAGAAAACAAATGTTTCTCTGACAAATATTTCCAGATAGGATGTTTGCAACAAAAGTTACGTATTTATAATGTACTGATTGCAAATTAGTCTATTCACTTTTTTAACTCACTAACAAAAATCCGGCTAGTAATACAAGCTAGCTTCCTCTGTCTTTATTGGCATGTGTTTGTGCATTTCAATTCAATTCAGTAGGCTCTGTCAAACACCTATTATGTGCTAGGTCCTGCCTTTTGTAGATGGGATTTGATCTCTTACTTCATGGGGCTTGCAGGAGTAATATTACCCGTTGTTGTTGTTGTTTATAATATTGATGTTGAAAATGTTACTTTTATTTTTTTCATAGTCAACTAATCCATATTAATCACAGACAATAATACAAAATAAAGTTAAGCCCAATGAAAACACACATACAGAATCCCATCATCTAAGATCTTCATTATCAGCTTGTCGATAAATAAGAGCAACCACATACATTTATCAAGTGCTTATTAATGCCTAAATCAGTTTTCCAACCTCAGCACCAGTGATATTTTTGACCAGACAATTCTTTGGTGGGGTAGCTGTTCTGTGTACGGTAGGACATGTAAGAGGATTCCTGATTTCTACCCACTAAATGCCAATAGCATCACCACCTCTCACCTCCAGCTGTAACAACCAAAAAATATCTCTAGACATGCCAAGTGTCCCCTGGGGACTAAAATCACCCTAGCTGAGAGCCACACTGGGCCAAAATGTAACAAATGCGGCATTTCATTATAACAGCATCAGGAGATAACTATTATTGTTACCTTATTTAACAGCCAAGGAAACTGCTGATCAGAAACACTAAATAACCTGGGCTGATCTCTTCAGCATTTAAAGGGAAGAACGAAGATTTAAACATAGCTGTGACTGTCCACAAGTCTCACTCTCTCTCTTCCCCATCCCCATTTCTCTCTTCACCTCCCTCTCCCTGACCCTCGCTCTCTTTTAGAAGAATGAAATAATAATAAAACATATTATCATGAAACCTGTCTTTCTTGCTGTTTAACAAAATATAATGTGTGTCTTTCCCTGTAGGTATATATAGATCTAAATCACTATTTTATATTATTTTATTTTAGTTTTTTGAGACAGGGTCTCGCTTTGTCGCCCAGGCTGGAGTGCAGTGGCACCATCTTGGCTCACTGCAACCTGTGCCTCCTGGGCTCAAGCGATTCTCCTGCTTCAGCTTCCCAAGAAGCTGGGTTACAAGCTTGCACCATCACACATGGCTCAGTTTTGTATTTTTAGTAGAGTGGGAGTTTCACCATGTTGGCCAGGCTGGTCTCAAAACTCCTGAGCTCAAGTGATCCACCCGCCGTGGCTTCCCAAAGTGCTGGGATTATAGGCGTAAGCCACCGCGCCCAGCCTTAAACCATTATTTTAAATGATGATCCAACATTCACATATAAGGATGTCCATTATTAATTTAGCTAATTCTTCATTGTTGAACATTTGTCATTTCTTGTTTTCAGTATTACAAGCAACACTCCAAAAAGCATCCTTCTACCTTTATCTGTGCATACTGAATTTTTAAAAATGTTCCATTAATTGGAATTTCAGCAAGAAATTTAATCCAAAGGTGACATTTCTGAGAGAGAATTGTGGTAATACTAATGCTTATGCCAGAACAGATAACAGCCATAAACTGGATTATCCCAGGAAACTCTTATGTATTTTTATCCAAGTTTCAGTCACTTTTCCAAAATTAGCACACATTAGCATAATAATTTTTTGTTATTTAGATTTGTTTTCTTTTTCCAAGAAGATCACAAAGTTTTCTATAAATTCATCAGATCTTCCCAAGAAACAGAACAATTTCTGCTCAAATAAAGAGTGTGAGAATCTAAACTATAATTTTCAGACTCCAGGCACACAGTTATCTCATAATCGAATACTGCTTCCTATCAGAAGTATCCAGTGTTTCTGTCTGAGACTGGCTGATTTTACATAATCTATTTACCTTTCACAGTTTCCTCAATTTGTTGGAACACAGAACTACATTTCTACTTTTCATAATCATTTATTCTATTCAATAATGATTGAATATTCCATGCCAGGCAGCATGCCAGACACTGAAGGTACAAATATGTTCAACATTCATCAGCTCTTAGCAGTATGTATATAATATAGAGACTTTTGAAACATAAAACATTGTTTTCCAGTTCTTATACCAGTCTGTTTACCCAGGACCTCAGTTCTCTGAGCTTTTGTGCCTCCATTGCTCTTCTTCATGGAATGTCCTATCTGTCTATGCTATACCTACTATTGTCTATCTGAAGGACAACATCTCTTTATTCAAAATCTAGGGTTAAGTATTGTCTTTTTGGTGAAGACTTCAGTGTCCCCTAAGCACTACATTTCTGTGCTCTAACTTGGGCAATATCTCCATTAAGGCACTTTTCATTGCTTTTGCAATTATTTACTTACTTGTCTTCCTTGAGAAGCAGACACAGTAATCTTTATCTTTGTGTCTTAAAAGCCTAGGTGTTTAGCACATGATAGGTACTAAATAAACTCTCACTGAATAAATGAAGGGAGGAAAAGAAGGGCAATGTGTAAGTATTCTTGGTCTTGCTCTTACAATGTGCGAAGTTTCCCCAGGGGCCAGGGAAGAGATTGTAATTCATCCAGAAGTTATAGGGCCCATACTATTAATAAGAGAACTCGCCTGATGGTAGCAGCTTCCCTGTTTTTCTCCTGGAGAGTTACTAAATCCTAATGCCCCAGGGGGAATACAGAGGAATGCAATTCTATCCAAAGACATAAACTGGAAAATTAAAAGTGAGCATGAAAGCCGAAAACAATCTCCCTGCTGGTCATCAAACAAGTTCTAGACAGTTCTAGGCTTCCAAACGGGTCTATTTGAATAATTCCTGAGAAGCCAAGTAATCTTGTGTGGTTAATAGAAAAAGAGCAAGCAGAAACCAGGTAAGCAAATGCTGATCAAAAAGCCTCACCTTCACACTGCTGTGCTCATCGCCTTCCTTGTTGATTTTACCTACAAGAATGAAAGAATCTCAAGAGTCAGGACCATGCAATTGATTTCTTTTTATAACCTCAGTGTTTTTCCCAGTGCCTGATATAGAGTAGGTCCCTATTTCATGGTTGTTGAGTTGCAGGGCAGCCTCCATTTCCCCACAGGAATTTTTCATAGACACACAGGAACTGAAGCAAAATCTACCTTGGGTACTCTAGATGCTTTCAAGAGAGAAAGGCCTGGCCGGGCGCGGTGGCTCACGCCTGTAATCTCAGCACTTTGGGAGGCTCAGACGGGCGGATCACGAGGTCAGGAGATCGAGACCATCCTACTAACACGGTGAAACCCCGTCTCTACTAAAAATACAAAAAATTAGCCGGCCTGGTGGCGGGCACCTGTAGTCCCAGCTACTTGGGAGGCTGAGGTGGGAGAATGGCGTGAACCCGGGAGGGGAGCTTGCAGTGAGTCTAGATCGCGCCACTGCACTCCAGCCTGGGTGACAGAGCGAGACTCCGTCTCAAAAAAAAAAAAAAAAAAAAAAAAAAGGCCCTACCTGCAGTCATCTTAGACTTTTGAAAAATGACCTAGTTCCAGCAGTGGACTGGAACGACCTCATATTGACTTGTTAAGAGCCACTTGTTACATTAATTTCAAGGAATTTTGTGAGCTGCTTCCAAAAACCTGGCAGTTTGAAATTGGCATGGAGAGGGCATTTACACCACAGAAACTGGCAAACACTACAGATCAGAGTCTTCCCCTCCCCTTCCCAGAAAGCCATATTCCCATCACACCACTTTCTAGTTCTAAGTCTTGGGATCTAGCTTTTGTTTTTAAATAACCCTCTACTGGATTCAGACCCTTAGTAGCTTCAGCTAAAAACAATCTTTACTTATACAGGTAATGACTAACAGTACAGGGAAAGAGAAAAGAAATACATTTATGTCTAAAATTAGGTTTAATATAGTGCCTCTTAATGACATTTTTCAAATTAAAAGTTACAGGTATAGAACGTATACTTTGAACTAAGAATTGATTCTTAGGATAAGTTTTTTTAGTAGTCTGAGCTCCGATGCCCACATCTGCAGTTGAGGCTGAATAACTAATTACCACAAGTGGTAAACAAAATAATGTACAAAAGATTAATAACAACAATTTCTTGACATGTACCACATAAGCACTTTGAACAGATGTTGTTTCAGCCCTCAACTCCTTAACTGAAGTTCATAGAGATAGCTTTATTTTGAATTCAGAGGTCTTAGATTTTCAGAAAGATAATGTATTAGTCTGTTCTCATGCTGCTATAAGGACATACCTAAGACTGGGTAATTTATAAAGGAAAGAGGTTTAATTGACTCACAGTTCCACTGTGCTGGAGAGGACTCAGGAAACTTACAATCATGGTGGAAGGGGAAGCAAACACGTCTTTCTTCACATGTTGGCAGCAAGAAGCGCACAGCAAAACGGGGAACAGCCCCTTATAAAACCACCAGCTATCATGAGACCTTATTCACTATCATGAGAACAGCAGCATAGGGGCAACCACCCCCATGATTCAATTACCTCCCACTAGGTCACTCTCATGACACGTGGGGATTATGGGAACTAAAAATCAAGATGAGATTTGGATGGGGATATAGCCAAACCATATCAGGTAATATAATTTACATATCATATGTAGATGAGGTGTGTGTGTGTGTGCGTGTGTGTGTATGTGTGTGTGTGTTAACTATCTAAGAAGGGTCTTGAGTAGCTCTCTGTAACCAAACATATTAACTCCTCTGCAGTGAAATGCATGAAGATACACCTCAAACAAGGCTAAGAGTCAAAATAGTCTCAAGTGAATTCAGGTCAGACTTAGTCATCAAACGAATCTGCATGGAATTGCAAAAAGATTTAACAGTTTTTAGAGCCACTTATAATTTGAATTGTGATTGGGGATTTCTGTCTGTATTGTCAATATTGTTAATTGGATATGTCCAGTGGGATTGTTTTATAACCAATATTTTCTGGTAAATTCTAACTTCAGAGCCCAACATATTCTCCCTTAAATCATCAACATGTTTTAGATACTTTAGTTTTATCTCCCATCCTGGCTTTCACATCTTGAAGTGATATAAATATTCTTTGTGGGATTCAGGAAACAAAAACAGTCACTCAGTAGAAATCATCTTTATCTCCTAAAGAGCCGCTGCTGTAAAACACATCACCAGCCTTTGCCATAGGGTATTTGGAAAAGCTATCACCAGCCTAAACTCTCTCATGAGAAATTCCTCTTCCCTTTCAGATATTTTCTCTTCAAGGAACAGGTCTTTACCATTATGGGTTCCCCACATCCTCCAAAAATGTATAAAAGTATGGGTCTGAATTTATATTTCATTTGCTCCACAAGTTGAGATAACTTTTTTGCTACATGTTTTGATGACAGAATGTTTCAATGCTAGTCATGAACTTAAATAAACAATCCTTTCACTAAAGAGACAGCAACCCAAATTTCTACAGTCTAACTCTGTGAAGCATGACATTCTATTTTATGGTTTCCTAACAGGATAATGGCTTGGCCATTTCTAGAGTGGACATGATTATATTTGCTGATTGGGTTTGTTAAAAATGCACTCAAATTTGACCTCTGCTAACATGAACATAAAGTACATTGCAGACATTAATGATTCCAGATAGTCTACCCATTAGGACATTAAGAAACAGATCTGATTAAAAAGACATGTAATCTGTACCTTACAGGCAAACTCATTCATACTTCTTTGGATTAACCAAATGTTAAGGACTACAGACATTAAGCTCTTCTGGGAAGACAGCTTTCTCTTCTATTTCTCTATAGTAATAACTAGAACAGTAAGGGCAAAATGAAAGCTGAGTATCTAACCAGTATTTCTACATGGACTATTTTTGCTCTCTATTGATGTGCCAGGCACTTAGCTAGGCACTTTACACATTCCTCTTTTTAATTGGTTTGATGACTCTTATATCTATTATTAGTTTTTACATAAATGAGGAAACTTTGAGGCTTAGCTCTTTTAAAAAGGAAATCCCTAAAAGTTAGTGTTTATTGACATGGATTAGTAAGAGCAAAAGGGAATAGCACTTGATTAGCACTTGCTATGTTCCAGACATTTAATAGAGATGGTTTCAATTGATGTTCAAAGCAGTTCAGAAAAAAAGATATACTTATTTGACAGGCAAGTAACCTGAGTTTAGAGAGATTAAGTCAACCAAGATCACAAATGTAATAAATGGCAAAGATCAGATTCAAACCCTTGAGTCTGACTCCAGAGCCCAGTGCTTTCTATTATGTAAATCTGTCTGCCAGTCAGGTACCAAGCCAGGTACAGTGGGCAATTAATAATCTCTACCTTCCAGTAGCTTATGATCTATGTTGGGAAACAATTTGTGTACATGTGACTAACATTGGAGGGAAGACGGGGTCACTTACAGAATGTTCAAAATGTGTATTTGAGACTTCTGGAGAGAGATGTTTCTCCCCATTTATTTCCATTTTCAGGGAGACCAGGTGAAATAATGCTTCTGGCTCTCTCTACCTTCTTACATCTGATTGGTGAGCTTGGAAGGAAAAACTGGGCAAGTGTAGCCCAGGCCAGTAGTCTTTTTCTCTTCAGGATGCTACCTGCCCATGGAGAGCCTTATCATGCACCTCCATCCTGTGGTTTTTACCCACCATTGCCTATGAGTAGGCTGGTCTGGGTAAATTTAATCCTAAAGCGCAGAGTTTGTATGTTCACTTGCTCACAAATAACAGGCCCATTCTCCAAAGGTGATATTTTAGACTTATATCTGCTTAACTCTCTTGTCTTAATGTCCTTAATTTGACATTAGAAGCACTAATTATTGGGTTCCCTTGATTCCAACAGAGACCATAAAAGTCACAGAAGCCACAAAAAAATAAGTTCAACATTGAATAAAGTAATTGGAAAAAGCTTCATGGAAATTGAGAACTCCGAATTGAACCTTGATAAATGAAGTGATATAGAGAAACACATGGTCTTTGCATTCCACAACATAGCAAAGCATAGCCCCTCATCAGAAAAAAAAAGAACACGGCTCTGTGGTGGTATTGGTACAGTCATGCTTTTAAATGTTGGCTCGGATATGGCAATTCTGTTATGCGTGTCAGAAATGTGTCTCCCTTTCCTAATCTGTAAAATTAAATAATTCAGTCTTTCAAAAGAAACGCTGCATATGCAGCATATTTTATATGCATATATGGCATATTTTATATGCATATACCGCATATTTTATATTTAAAATAATGCACATAAACATAAAAATGTATTTTTTATAGACACAAATAAACTTCCTAGATGAACAGTACCTCATGAACTATTCTCCTTTTCCAACATAGCCTCCTTTTTATCATAACATTTTTATTTTAGGAGAGTTTAACAATTACAAAACAATTTGCCGACATTGCTGAGTGTTCCCTGATACCCCTCACCTAGTTTCCCCCACTATAAATATTTTACCTCACCATGACACACTTGTTCAAACTAAGAAATTGACATTGGTACATCGCTCTGAACTAAACTCCACGCTTTATATGAATTTTTTCTTTAACGTCATCTCTCTGTCCAAGGATCCAATCCAGGGTGCCATATTACATTTAGTTGTCATGTTTCTCCATTCTCCTGTAGTCTGTAGAGGTTTCTCAGTCTCTCCTTGGTTTTCATGACCTTGTTAGTCTTCCTTCTTTTGAAGAGTCAGTACATCATATCACAAGTGGAGAGCTTGGAGTTAGACTAAGACATTCATTATGATTCTGTCAAGTATGATTCATGTGACCAAAAAAAAAAAAAAAAAGTGACTTAACTCATCTTGGCCTTCACCTCCTCAGCTGTGAAATAGGAACAATAATATTAAGTTGGTGCAAAAGTAATTACGGTTTCTTGCCATTACTTTCGATGCCAAAAGCCTCAATTATTTTTACACCAACCTAATACCTACCATACAGAGTTGTTATAAGGATGCAAAACACTGAAATACTCTAGAGAAACTAAACTAATGGAATATATGTAAAGAGAGAGAGAAGAGAGATTTACTATAAGGAACAGGCTCATGCACATATGGAGTCTGGCAAGTCCCAAAATGTGTAAGGTAAGTCAGCAAGCTGGAGACCCAGGGGAGCTTATCAGAATCAAGTCCCAGGAAGAGCCAATGTTAAGTTCAAGTCTGAAGGCAAGAAAAAAAAAAGCCAATTGTCCCAGTTCAAAGACAGTCAGGCAGGGAGATTCCGCTATTACTTGGGGATGGGTCAGTCTCTTTGTTCTATTCGGGACTTCAACTGATTGGACAAGGCCCACCCACATTGGAGAGGAATATCGGTTTCACTTAGCAGTTTGATTTAAATGTTAGTTTTATCCAAAACACCCTCACAGAAATGCCCAGAATAATGTTTGATCAAATATCTATGCACGTTGTGGCCCAGTCAAGTTGACATGTAAAATTAACCATCACACTAAGCAAAAAGCCCCATGTCCACAGGGCATTCCGGAAACAGTAGCTATTATAATTATTATGTTTAGATGACTGTCAAAAGGCACTCAGGGGTTTTCTGTCCATGAATCCATCTCCAGTCACAGGAAGAAGACTTTGGACACTGTTGAACAGGCTGCCATTTTCAAAAAAGAGCAGAAATCATCATTATAGGGGGAAAAATAAGGAAAGAACAACCCCTAAGTAAGCAAAATGTAAAAGATACCAAGAGTTAAGAGCCAGGGCTTGCGTCCTATCTGATGTCTCAGAGGGTGAGGAGGCAATGAACAGGGCTGCAGCTGACCTTTTCTACCCGCTGGCTGGGTGGTCCACGCACATTTCTGCTCCCTGAGTTTGTCTTCCTCATCTCTAAACCTCCCCTCCTCCAGCTGGGCGCAATTTGAGCATTGTTGCTCACCTTCACGTAGCACCTATCGTGTCATACTCTATTTATTCTCCACAGTTTGGTCACTTCTGTCAGTATCCTTGGTCTCTACTCTAGCACAAGGCATTGTCCTCTCTGATTTGAACCACATTAACCCACCCACATCTGTCTGACTACTTCCACTCTTGCCCCTTCTGATCTTTTCTTTATGCTGCTAACAAAGTAATCCTCTCAAACTCTAAATATCATTTCCCAAGCCCTTACCACCGTTATGGTTTCCCACTGATCTTGACATAAAGAGCAACATTCTTGGCAGGGCTTCGAAGCTTTCTTCAGGCTTCTCTTTCTCTGCTGTTCTTATTCCTCCCTGAATCTCAGTCACACTGGCCTCCTTTCGTCTCTTTCTGACTCCAGAATCTTTATCCAGTCTGTTCCCTCTGCCTGGAATATCTTTCCTGACCCATAATCTCTTGGACAACTGATTTTCACTCATTCTTCATGTCTTAGGCCAAATGTCACTTCCTAAGAAAGCCTTTCTTGATCCTTAAGACTAGGTGAGGGCCTTGTTTCCATCATAGATTTACCACAGCTTGTCATTTCAGAGGTGTACGTATTTGCATGAATATTTTAAAATGTCTTCGTCATTTGTCTGTGGAGCCATGAGCAAAAGGGGTCCACACTTTATTATGGTATCTCTATCATCTGGCACCGTGCCAGTCACATAGTAAATGCCAAATGAATATATATTGAATGAATAAATGAATGAAAAAGTGAATGAACTAATCTCTTCCCTCCCCCTTGGATACTGGGGACCATGCCTTCATTATTATGTGCCTAGCACTTAGTGAAGTATCTGAAACTTAATGGGATGTTTCTATAAATGTGTATTAAAAGAAGGTACTTCCTAAGCAGTTGTACTGAGTGACCTTCAAGTTTCACCCAAACAATACGTTTCTGTGACACTGAGTCTCTGGCTCCCACTTCTCTTGATAACAGGGAATTGTCTATGTTATGTCATGACTCTGTAGCATCTATTTATGATTAAACCAAAACACAAAACTCTGGACAAAGCCTTTCCATTTTCAGTAGAGTTGAAAACACTTGCTGCATCTAAACTCTGTCCACCACCCTCCCCATCATTTGTCATTCCTGCTAATCAAGGACATATTTCTACTGACTTCATTGGGGCCTCTGGTGCTCTCTGAGCTACTAAGATAAGAGAGAGTCCGTGCTTGGATAGTTTGGAAAAAATGAGGACAGAGGGATTGTGAAATGTTAATTGAAATAAAGCATGTGCGAAGGGAGGTAGGGTCACACGTGGAAGGAAGAGTCACTAGACAGATTTTTGTCCTGGGGTATTTTATAGGTGGTGTGCTCATAGGCTGTAATCGTCAGGGTGTAATCTTCTTTCCAGAAAGAACCCAGTCAGTACCGACATGGAGAAGTCAGCTGTTAGTCTTCTGATTTAATTCCCTTTCAATGCACCATGCTGGGGGAGAGCTTTCTCTAGAAATAAAACTGTCCCGTGGAAGAAGACGGAGAGAGAATTCAGAAATCCTGAGGACAAAGAGAATACTCCCTCATCCAGCTGCTGATCTGAAAAACAGGGCAGCCTTTAAAAAATTGTTTTCACTTGGAAACTATATCAACTCTGCCTAGTGTCTCTGCATAATTAAAACCTGCTGTTTGCATGGCTTTTCAAAGATTTTAAAGAGACTCTCACATATATTTTCTTCAGCAAATTCCCATAATACCATGATGCTGACATTACTACTCTCACTTAATCCAACTATTGTAAGAAATAGGATAAGGGACTTGGCCAAACTTGGGTTGCTACTAAGTGGAGGAGATGGGAGTAGAACTCAGATATGCTGCTGTAAACCCCAATATTTTATTTTTTTTATTTTTCCCCTGTCACTCCACCTTCACTGCTTGCCCATGATGTGATCATGTGACTGAATCAGATGTGCTCAGGAAACCCAATGCTTCCTTCTAAGACCTCTAATTATGTTCTTGGAATGAATGAGAGTAATGTTCCTACATGAGTTGAGATCTGAGGACTGAGTGGGTGTCAAGGTTCACTTCTGAGAGCAATGCTGATCACATTCCCCTCCTTCATCCTTCCTGCCACTCTCTTCATTTCAGCCTCCTGAATGTGGCATCGGGAAGTCTGAAAACATCTCCTAATTAGTCTTCCAGCCTCTGGTTTTGCCTCCCTGATCTCTGCCAACCCAGCTATGCCCTATTGAGGCCAGAGTGACATTTCTGAAATGCAAATTTGGATGGCGTCATTTCTCATCTTAAAATTCTTTGTTGGTTTCTCATTACCTCCAGGATAAAGTGCAAACTCCTCAGCAGGGCAATTACGGTGTTCATAACTGGACAAGTCCCTACATTTTTCCTTCATTTACTGCACTGACACTTACTGATGACCTGTGGATCTGGTGGATAGCAGTGAGAAAATGGACATGACGGGGTCCTGTCCTCAAAGCCCTCCCAGTCTGGAAAAGGGTTTCATATATCCTGGATTTTCTATTCTTGCCACCGTGCAGTCTCTGTTGTCTCCTAGAATATCTTTTCTTTTCTGCAGAACCCCCACGCAGCCCTAAAACTGCCAAACACCAGCCATCCCAATTTTCTGCATCCTGAATCCATCCTATAAGGTAAACGTAAGTTGTTATTTTCTTGACTCTGACAACCCTTTTACAACTCTCAAGAGGTTAGTTTGTTCCACTTACTTTACCTTAATTAGAGCATACCTCACCTGGAATAACAATTATTTGTGCAAATGTTGTGTCTCTAAAGCCACCTTGAGCACCTTGATGGTGGACATGCCACCTTCATCTATTCCCAGTGCCTAGTACAGAGCAAGGCACCAGCTGCAAAATACTTAGCTCCTTAAGAACACAGCCTCGCTTTTTGCATCATGAATCAGGCATTGTTCTGGCTGCACTGGCTGCAAATCCGCCCCTCCCAACCTCCAAATTTTCTCTTCAGTCTTCTCTTGCAGTCTGACTCTTGGGGTTATGTTCCAGAACAATCTGTGGCCATCTGTCCTTCCTCATTCTTTGGAGGCAGTCTTTCCATGGAAGGGTGACTTTGCTCTGTGGAGTATAGCTGGCACCCAGCCAGCCTACCACCAGGCCCACAGTTATTACTCAAGAACAGCTGTTGCTTCTGGAAGATGACAAGAACTTCTTGTTAAAAACTACTGGGAGTACACAACTACTACCCTTCATAATACAGATGCATTCCTTAATTTTTAAAGCTCCTGTCAATTAGTAAAATGTAATTGTTTTTTATAAATTTTAACTAATATCTTCCACAGTACACTGAAGACGTCTTAGAACAGGAGTTATGTTTCCTGCATATTTATATTTTTAGCCTCTGGCAGACACTTTGTCTGTAGTTATTGCTCAATAAAAATGTTGTAAGAATGCATGAATAATAACAATGTAGCATTTATTTACTGAGAGTATATTATATGCAGAGTAGTAAGTCAAATGCTTTGCATCTATATGTTCTCATTTAATCTGTAAAATAACCCTGTGAAGCAGTTATTATATTCACTTTACAGATGAGAAACCTAAGGCTCAGAAAGCTTGAGTAAATTTGCCATGTTCACACATCTGGAAAAGAGATACAGTTGAGTTCCAAAATGGATCTGTGACGCTGCAAATTTCCATGCTTTTATGCTCTATGTTGTGCTTAAGAGGCCGGGAGCTCCATGCATGAAAAATGGCCCAGACTCAGTTTCCCTGTTCTGAAGTCTACCACCAACTAATTCAGGTAGGGGTCAAACTGACCTGGTTTGTACAAGACTGGCGAGTTTTCTGGAATGGGGGGCTTTCAGTGCTAAAACAAGGAAAGTCCAAGGCATACATGGATAAGCTGGTCACCCCAAATTTAGGGCTAATAAGATAGCACTAAAATGCTCAAGATAAAATTCATTTGATCACTTGCTTTATACCAAAGAAAGTGTAGTGTATAGTTTGTGTGTGTGTGTGTGTGTGTGTGTGTGTGTGTGTGTACAAGCACATTATCATATTGTTAGGCGGAAATGGGACATATTTTCGTGTGTCATTTATTTAAACTCCAAAAGAGCAGCTGGCCTAGACCAGAGCAGAAGCAGCTTCGTTTCTAAGCTGAAATTTAGGTATTCATCCTTGTGTGTTGTAGGATGGGAAAATCACAAGCAAAGATACAGGCATGTTCTTTAACTCACTGCACAGATACATCCAGAATCTCATGCTCCCCAAACTAGGCATGTCCTCCACAATCTACACCCCCAGTACAGGCCCTGCCAGAGGTATAAATATTCATGTAGTCACACATTCATGACTTATACATATTAAATCATTACACATAATCATAAATATGCATATCCAAGCTTTGTTGGATTCATACATTATTTGCACCCTTTCACAGTGGCACACAAAGACATCAAAAGGACCATACACACCCATGTATACACACTTTTAACAGATACTACGTGCATGATGTGATTTATCATTCATGGTCACACAAAACAACACATGCAAAGCAAAATATGTCACCACAGAGACATCCATTGATACATATGTGCATACACACTTTCAGAATACTCAACTGCACATGCTCATCTGCACGGAGCAGACCTTTCCCCACTGTGTTATCCTTACTTCCAGAAGCATTTATGTGAACACTAACATACCCTCCCAAATCCGTATATTTAGTCACACTCAGAGGTGTAAGATCTACACAGATTCAGATTCACACATTTACCTCTGTACATTTGTGTATTACCCCTTCTCTTTTTACTGACTTACATCTATACACACTTGTATCAATGTGCGCACGCACACATACACACACAAACACAAAGAATATACCCTAGGCAAGCTCTTGGATTATTGACAAGGCGGGGTATAAAGTAATAAATAAATAAATATAGCAGTAACAAATAAATAAATACATGCAGACACTGAGGTACACATGTATTTAAACTCTATCTTGGATATATCCATGTATATTGACATACATGCATTGTCTACTTAGGTTCTTTCAATTGGATATGTATTCACCAGATGCACAGACACAAAGAATTCTGGGTCAATCATTTGTTTATATTCCTCACACTGCCCCAAATACCAGAGAGAGCTGGTGGGCCTGTTGCTTTCTCTTTATGTCATCTTCAAGGAAAAGAGGATGTTTATGCCTAGACCACTTGCAAATGATGCTTTGTAAGGCACCACTGCCAGTGAGGTCCCCAGAATTAGCAAGGTTCAGGGGGAAACTGGCCAGGGAGGAATGTTTTTCTACTTAGCCAAAAAGATTCGGCTCCTTTGAACACAGACTTTCTGCTCAGATGTCCTAATGCATTCCACATTTGGCCATTAAATCCTAATTGGAGGCCTGCTGGGGAAGGATGGGAGCCCAGCCTGCCAGCATTTCCTGGGTCACATCCCTGCAAGACCCAGCCTGGCCCCCTGCCCTTGTATGACCTGCCCTTTTGAACTCTTAATCCTACCCCTGGTCACAAAGAATTAGGAGCTCAGTTTACTCCTGAAACCCCAGGAATGTCTCCTTTGGTCTTCCTCTTCTCATCTGTTACCTCTACTCCCCACCCACCTTTCACCCATCCGCACACACACGTACACACTTTGTTTTCCTTTCCTCCTCCTTGGTAAGAGGCAAGATGCTTTGTGGAAGCTTAATGGAAAAACTCCAAAAAACCCGAGCCTTTTATGATAAAACAATTGTCCTTGGTAAATGTCAGGCCTTGTATTTGATGATATTTATGACCTTTTTCTCTATTAGTCTGCCATTTTCCTGAGAAATCATGACCCTGGCTGTGTCAGCCTAGCCACACTAGTTTTATAAATAGTAAATGTATGTGCATGAGAAGGAACTCTCCCTCCACAGCCAAAATGACTATCACATCAGATTCAGAGTATATCCCACTAGGTATCAATGAGCAATTAGAGAGATGAGATGAAGATAAAATAACCTTGAAATGATCACTTTAGAAATCCTGGATGATTCTGGAATTAGAGCTAGTCTTAGCTCTGCCACTTGCTGGGTACGCTACTTTGTACAGGTTGTGGTGCATCTTGGATCTGCAGTATTTTTATCTAGAAAAGAAGAAGAATAATAATACCTTTCTTCTAGAAGTGTTGCTGTAAGAATCAAACAAATGAGCTCTGAAGAAAGTCTTTTGAACAATTGAAACATTAATCAAATATCACTAGATTTAAATGATAAAGGGACCCCCTCTTCATTGATAGGAACTTCAAAGTGAACTAAGACATGGGAATAATGATTGCCCTGAAATCTGCTAAAAACTATTTATCATGGCCAATGGCTACAAAATACAGTAAGATAAATTTGAGTTCTAGCTAATAAATAATTTCCTAAGGTTCAGAACTGTAAGAGGATGAAGAGGGGTTCCTTGGAGACAGTGCTTCCCCTATCCTTTGGGCAATTGCCTGCTGCCCTCTGAGAATATCAGTCTCTGGCTTCCTTCTGCTGCTGCAAGAAGTCAATCCTACTTTCTCACAGATGAACTCTGCTGTGGAAAAAAAGACTTCTTCAGTTACTGAGCCAACCCGGAGAAGTTCAGGACATAAGTCAGTAGCTACCAATGTCCCTGCCCAGGAGGGCTTTGAATTAAAGCACAAGGCTAGACCTGGATCCTGAAGCTGCCATCATCACTGCTGAGCATGACTTGTCTTAAAGAAAATAAAGATCCATGCACATGTATGTTTATTGCAGCACTGTTCACAATAGCAAAGACTTGGAACCAACTCAAATGCCCATCAATGATAGACTTGATAAAGAAAATGTGGCACATATACAGCACAGAATACTATGCAGCCATTAAAAAAGATGAGTTCATGTCCTTTGCAGGGACATGGATGAAGCTGGAAACCATCATTCTCAGCAAACTAACACAGGAACAGAAAACCAAACACTGCACGTTCTCACTCATAAGTGGGAGTTGAATAATGAGAATATGTGGACACAGGGATGGGAACATCATACACCAGGGCCTGTTGGGGGATGGAGGGTTATGGGAGGGATAGCATTAAGAGAAATACCTAATGTAGATGATGGGTTGATGGGTGTAGCAAACCACCATGTATACCTATGTAACAAACCTGCACATTCTGGACGCGTATCCCAGAACTTAAAGTATAATAATAATAATAACAAAGAAATACAGTAGTTAAGAACATGGGTGCTTGCATCAGTCATGATTTCCAATTCTTGTTGTATCTCTTACTAGTGTTATGGCACTGAGCAACTTAATTCAGTTTTCCAAGTCTCAGTGTTCCCATCTTTAATATGGGACTAAAGATAAGGCCTACCTTATAAGATCACTGTGGAATTGAATGAAGTAATTCATTTAATGTACCTGACCCAGTCTCTATCATGGAGAAAGCTTTCAGTAAGGCCAGCTTTGGTTGTTATAATGATGACAGTGCTGATGATGAAGTAAATGATGGTGCTCTAAAACAGAATTTTTCTTGATTCACAGTAAACCCAAAAACCAATTGAGTCCCAGAAGAACTCAATTCATGCCTGATCCTACAGTCAGTACACTTCAACTCATTGCTGGCTCTTTTGTGCAAGACTGTCTCTGGTTACGCTACCTCTCCTTAGTTCTGCTTTACTGAGTCCCAAGATCTTGCTAATCCTTATTCACCAGAAGAATGGATCCTGATCCTCTACATTCATCTCACTAGAAAAGGTCCTCATTCTTTTGAGTAGAATTAGGGCTCTAATTCTACAAAGACTCTAATTCAACAAGGGCCCTTCCATTTTCAAATATTCCTAGCTTGAGAGTTATTAACAAATCAGCACTACATGATTTTAAATCCATGTACTTCTTCAAGATTTACAACTGAAATTGTCAGACTCTTCAAATACCCTCAGGAAAAAGCTAGAAACACAATACAATGTAAAGTAGAGATGGGAGAAGCTGGAGGCTCCAAGCACTGTATCCTGGGTATAGGGTGACAAGGAAATTATAAAATACCCTTATTCTTTTCAAGTTTTTATTCTAGAAAAATGAGACACACTAAACATAAAAATGCACAAGTAAATAAATGTGCAAACAGTAATAAGCGTAATGAAGAAAAAGTGGAGGATGCTGTAAGAAAATGATCAATTGGGAAGGAATATCTTATGATGGTACCTCAGAAGAAGCGACTTTTAAGATTAGCTCTAAAGGATGAATAGCCGATGTCCAGGTATAGAGTAGAGGAAGGACCACCACAGATAGAGGGAAAAACATGGACAAAGATTGCAAAACATGAAAAAAGCTGGCCAATTGCAGTAAATGAAAAAAACTACTGCCTGCTAAGTGGTGCTATGAGAGTTTGGTCAAGGGACAAATGCCGCAGAGCCTTGTGCACCAGATTACAGAGTAGCTAAAGGAAGGACCTTTAGCAGAAGAGTGGCAGGATCAGATTTGTACAGGACTACATCCTCTTAAGTCACAGCGCAGGATTTAAACAGGCAACAACTGGTTGCAGTCTTGTAGTGCTACTACTGCTAATGCTTTGTTAAGTTAATGAAGAAGGAGAGGAAAGCTGACCGATGATGGTTGAGGTATGCTGCTTTTGGACTTGTTAGAAAACTATCCAGCAGTCACATATGTGGCTATAGCCACATCACTAGAATCTACAAGGCAAGACTCTTGTTTTGCATAGTGTCACATTCTCAGAGCCTAAAAATAATATGTGGCACATTGTCACCACTCAATGTTTTTGAACTAAATTAATCAGACCTAAAATCAATTTGAGTAATCACCACCAGTGGGTTGCCTCTTCAGCTCCTGAATTCAGTAGGACACCCTTCTAAAACACAGGTCTTCAGACCATCTTACTCCATGACAAAGTGTTCTTAGGTCCTGGCAAGCATCCTTCTCAGACATTCCTGGCTGCTCATTTTTGGGAAATCAGGCCACAGGCTAACACTTTTCTCAAAACTTAACAAAACAAAAAAATATAGTCAGACATTTGAACTGCTTGCTTTCTAGACCAGCAGATAGGAGAAGTTTAGGTAATAAGATGTCACATATTGGCTTCTCTCAGTGTTCTCAAAATATTTTATATCAAGTGAAATTATATTAAGAATGTAAAATTAATCTTCATCTTCATACCTATGTGAACACTTTTAATGATAATATGATAAAAATGAAAGTATTTCTAGCTGAATAACTTGCAAGAGAACAAGAAATCAATTTTACTTATTAATAACATAAAATATATTTTGTGCTGATTTTTAATTTTTCTCTGCATTCCAAATAATTTTAAGTATACCCTTTATCCTATCTTTTAAAATGTGAAATGATTGTTCTAGTAGATGCTAGTTTGTTTAATGTGTTTAGGTGTCAAAATAAAATCCATTTCCAAAATTGTTTAGTTAGTATATTCTTAATCTCCAGAATCCTAAAATCTTGGACCCATAGAAACAAGAGGAAATGCCAGAAAGATAAAAAAAACTTCCAGGGGTTCATGTGTTCCAAGCTGTGAATGGAAGATCTCACACTTGCACAGGTGGAGTTTGTACTCCTGTCATTATTTTCAGGATAAATGTTTAAAATTTTCAACTTCATTTTGCAGTGGAATATAATTCCTATTATTGCATAGTCAATAAATGAAAGAGATAGGATTCCGAGACAGATCTTTCTGGGTCCAAATCACATCTTCTCAGTCACTACAGGCTACTTATAGACTAAAATATAATTATTGAATTAGTGAATCAGTGAATGAATGAATGGATTATTTAAGTGGTAAGTGAAAGGGCCTTAACAAGACATATCTGACTTTAAATCCTGGCTTTGCCAGTTACCATTTTTAGCAGACTGTATTTTATTTTTTCCTAAGTGTTCGCTTCACCATTTCCTTTAAGGGGATTAGACAGTTTTGTCGTTGCCAATGGGAGAAGAGCTGATTCGATGTTCTAGCGCAACTTCAGAGCCATCGCATGGCTGCATAGTGATCTCTCCTGTGAAGATAATATGTCCTGGATAGTGCATTCTCTTTCAGTCTATTTTCTTCAATATGAATATGTATAAAACAGGGCCAAGTCTGACCCACAAAAAAGTAAACATTTGTTGTTCTAAGATTCTAAAATAGTTTTGGTTGTTTATTTCTGCCTCACAAAATTTTTTTTTTAAATCTCAGTGATGCAATATTTATTTGATCTTAGCCACTCAGCCACTTCAAGCCTGAATTTCCTCATCTGTAAATGAGGATAATATGTATCTACTTTATAAGGTAAACATGTGGATTTGATGAGAAAACAAAGTAACTACACAGTGCCAGACACATAACATGTGCTATAAAAAGTAAGTCTCAAGTGTCTTCACTTATTTGAAATGAAGAAGCTCTTCTCAAGCTCATACTGTCAAAGTGCTGCTTTATTGATTTCTTTTTTTTCTTAACTATCCATTCCAATTCAAGCCAACACCATTTATTAAGCATATATTATGGGCAACATTCTTTGGCAGGTGTTGCACCTACAAAGCGTTATTTTCTCATTCATGCTTTCCAGTTGAGAAGCAACAGCAGCAGAAGAACAACATAAAAATTACAGGACAGGTACATAGGTTTCGGGCCTGAAGCAAATATGTGCCACCAAAGAGAATGTGGATTCCTACAAGTGTTTTAATTAAGGGTTTTTAATATGTTCTGAGAGTTCACATAATCAAACCCAGTTAGTGGGCCAGGGAAACCAATCCAGATATTCAGACTATGGGACAGGATTGTTTTAGACTGGTATAAGTGCTGAAATGTGGAGAAAAGTTACCCAACATCACAGAAGTAGAAAGCGGGCAATCAAAGGGAAACATTAAAAATAGTGTTAAGAATATTTCTCAGCAGTAAAATTAAGAGTGGTGTTTCTCAAAGTGTGGTCCTCTGGACGTCTGTGTCAGAAACACCTAAGGAGGCTTATTACCAGGCAAATTTCTCGGCTTTGCCAAGACTTATCTTACTAGAATCTCTGATTGGCAGAGTTAAAGAAGCCACATCTGTATCTCTCCCCAGATTCATTTCAGGATCTTACTTTTGTCGTTGTTGCTGTTTGTTTTTTACTGCTCCATGAGAAGCAGGGCAAACTCATAGGCAGTGTGCCCAGAGTTGGCCTGGAATCTTACATTTTTTTAATACCACTGTTATATTACTTTATTTCTGATGTTTTTCTACCACACATAATTTTTACAAAATAAAATGTACAAATCCTGGATATTGAGTTTGTCATGATTTTAACTCATTTGACCCAACTGAACCTACCTGGTCATTATCACCAGAAATAAAATATGGAACAATTCTATCATCTGAGAATGTTCCCTAGTGCCCTTTGCTAAACTCTTACTTTTGCTCAGAGATAGCTTGTTATTATTGGTTATATTTTCCTGTCCTCGGGCTTTATATAAATGTAATTATACAAAATATGTGTGTGTGAGTGTTTATGTATGTGTATATGTTTGTGTGTGGTTTGCTTAGCTCATCATATTTTTGAAATTCAGCCACACTGTTATAGGTTTAAGAAGTTTGTTCTTGCAAACATTATTCCAAATTATGAATATATTAGAATTTTATTTGATTCCTCTGTTCATAGAGGTACAGGTTGTTTTAAGTTTTAGGCCATTATGCATATGGATGTTATGAACATTCTTATATTAATTTTTTATGGATATCTGTTTTTATTTCTCATATAAATATCTAGAAGTATAGGATTGCTGAGTCATATGGTAAGTATAGATTTAAATTTATATGACATCAACAAACATCTTTGTGTTCCTATCACAGTGTTTAAGGGTGTAATTGCTCTGTATCCTTTTGAGCAGTTGGCATTTTGTCTCTTTTATTTCTGTCATACTAGTGAGCATGGAGTGGCTTAACCTGGTGGTTTTAACTTGTATTTCTCTAAAGAGTAATGAACTTAATTAACCTGTTAGTTAACAATGCACTGCTAGATGTTTGTGTATCTTCTTTTGTAAAATGTTGATTGGAATCATTTCCCTCCATTTTTTTCATGCTCCCCACATTTGGAGAAGCAAAGCTGTGGAGGAAATATTCTGACCTCAGAATCCACAGACTTGGTTCTTACTGGCTCTGCCACAAATCAGTGTGTGAATTTGGGGTTAAGTTTGTCTGTTTGCTTTCTCATCTACAAAATGAAGGTATTAACCCAGATCGTTCATTCACTTATTTTCTCTTCTGTGAAAGAAAAACCAAAGAGGGACATAAGGAAGTGAACAGTGAGATCTGAAAAAATACATGTCTGACCTGCAGCATTTGCATAAAATTCTGCATTGCCATATAAAGCTTAAGTAATTAAAGGCTATTGTTTTGGTAATTATAGAAGCAAATATGTTGAGAATATTCTTATGCTAAAGGCTTTCCTCACCTCTCACCCTTACTCTTCCTGCATCACAATTCAAGTAGTCAATGCTCCCCAACTTCAAAAACTAGGGAAGTAGAGCTGGAGGGAGTGAGCCAGAATGCAGCAGTGAAGGTCCCTAAATTCCTTTCTCCTTTCTGGCCACCTCTGTGAAAGAGAAAAAAGAGTAAGATTGCTTTACAAAAGCAGAGCCGTGAGGATGTGTGCTTTGCTTGTCAGTTGAGGCTCCAGGATGATAAGAAGAAGGCAGCTGCAGGGAAATAGCTGTGTGTGTGTGTGTGTGTGTGTGTGTGTGTGTGTGTGTGTGTGTGTGTAGCACTCTTGATAGCATCCCAGAAATTTTCCATACCCCAGCATGAGGTGGATCAGTTAATTCACCATGTGTACCTAAGACCCAAAGAGGACTTGTAGGCAAGACAACGACAGCACAGGGCTCAGTAAATGTCTTACAAGATCAGCCTCCCCAGGACTCGGCAGGGTCTCTGTTATTCTAAAATCCACCCTGAGAAATATGTGCTGTGATGCTCTTAATTCACTTGGTTTTGCTTTCCTACTCACAACCAGGATAGTTGGAACGATGTAAAAATTAAGTTAATGTATTTAAAAAGTGATATGTTTGATTCGTATAAGATTTTGTGGACTAAAATTTATACTTCTATACAAAGAATTTCTGAAGAGGTGTCCTAAAGCAACATATCTTGCCCAGGCAAGATCCCGTGCAACGAATGCAGCAGGTAATCTAAGAAGGGTGCCTGAGTCAGAACAACCAGAAACTGTTCCCTTACAACACTTATCCATGCTGTCACCATTTTTTTTTAACAAAGAACAATTGGAGGCTAATCCAAGAACCCACTGTAGACTTTTTTTTTCTATAAAACTGCTTGTTTTTTTCTATAAAACTATATATTGAAGACTTACCTTGTCATGGCATATACTCTTAACAAATCCTTTTGCTGTCATCAAAAATGACTAAATTATTGAACATCCTCATGTATGTACACTATTATACATCAGCACACGTTGTCCCATTCCTATGCTGGTAGTAGACATCATAAATCAAACCTGGTACTCTTTCCCAAGAACCTAGAAGTTGCTCAGAATCCTGCACCATTCAGATCTACAGGCAGCCATTGCTAATCGATCTGAGTCATCATAAAAACTGAAACTTCCTTTGGTCCCTTTTACAGACACTTGGCCTAGGTGGCTGAAATCTGGCTATTGGTGAAGAATATCCAACCCAAAATGAACAAAGTATGGTAAAATTTCATAATGAAGTCTATTTCTTATTTATAAATTAGGCATGAGATTTACTATTTCTCCCATATCCAACTTTATCTCTCTAGTTTGACAAGTAGTGCTTCTCTCTACACATCATATATTTTCAAGCAAGGGATAACAAATTCTCTTACTTTATATACTCTTTCACAACTCTTTGACTTCTTATATACTGTTCCCTCTCATTGTGTCTTTTTTTTTTTTTTTTTTTTTTTGAGAAGGAGTCTCGCTCTGTCGCCCAGGCTGGAGTGCACTGGCGCAATATCGGCTCACGGCAAGCTCCACCTCCCAGGTTCATGCCATTCTCCTGCCTCAGCCTCCCAAGTAGCTGGGACTGCAGGTGCCCGCCACCACCCCCGGCTAATTTTTTGTATTTTTAGTAAAGACGGGGTTTCACCGTGTTAGCCAGGATGGTCTCGATCTCCTGACCTCGTGATCCGCCCGCTTCGGCCTCCCAAAGTGCTGGGATTACAGGTGTGAGCCACGGTGCCCGGCCCCATTGTGTGTTTTTTTATGGCACCTTTCCCTCCCACCACCACCACCACCACCACTACTAGGGAGGATCTTCATATGAGACTATAAACTTCAAGATCAAGCTAGTTAAATATGAGCATTTTGCAGGTAGTTCCTGTTGTCACTCAGCTTTACAATCATTGTTCCTACTTCTCTCTACTTCTGAGGCTAGCAGCCTGTAAACTACATCTGTCGGACACCAAATGCCAGCTGTCTTTGTGTTAGCTTATGCCGTGGCAGGGGCCACTGATGGGAGCCTGGAAAGTGAAAGGGAGGAAAAAGCATGTTAATTACATCTTTTGGTGGCACCTTTGGTAGTGGCAGCAGCTGTGCTGGTGGCACATGTGTAGTTGTGGGCTCCTACTCAGGCAGCTAGTCCAACAGCACCAATGTTGTGGTGCAACGATTGTGGGCTCCGAGTAACATCATTCATTATTTTCTTTTTTTTGCAGCTTTTGGGGCAGTCTTATTGTTTTCTGCAGTTACTAACCTGTGACCTTCCCATCTTTGTCCCACCATTCCTTCTCACATCTTTGTAAACAGTTATCTGTTTCAAATTACTTATTTTTAAATACTCAGAGAAGCTCCTGTTTTCCTAATGCATAGCATAAAAAGCAAACAGGAAGATTTTCTTTTATGAGTTGCCTGCAAGGGGTCCTAAGAAGTTGAAATTGTTGTTATGAATCATATCCTGATAGCAAATCCCATCAGGCTCCCACTATTGGGCATTACCATTATTTAAAGCCTAAGCACTTGATCATGCTCTAGAACAAGGGTCAGCAAACAATTCTGTAAAATGAGCCAGACAGTAAGCATTGTAGACTTCATGGATCATGTAGTCTGTGTTGCAAGTACTCAGCTATGCTATTATATCATGAACATAGCCATAGACAATACATAAACAAGTGGGTATGGCTGTTTTCCAATAAAACTTTACTTATAAAAACAGGCAGTAAGCTAGATTTAGCCCCTTAGTTGTAGTTGTAGTTTCTCTGCTCTAGAAAGTTGGAAATGGAAGAAGAGAGGTTGAAATTAATAGTCAATAAGAGAAACAATAATTCATTTCAATCATTCATTGTTATTTATTTATTCAGTTTCCAATTCACTCATTCATCTACCAGTTATTTATTGATGCTGCTCTAGGCAATAGGGATAAAATGGTGAGTAAAATATACACATTACAATGAAGAAATATTTAATTTTATAGATTAAAGCATAAGAAAATCTAATTTCCAATAACTCTGTAAATATCTCTCAAACTCTAAATGCCAAGACTTTTCCTATTAACTTTGCCTCAGCCCTTCTCATGGGCCACCTGCCTTTGTGTAATCCTGTCATGACTCTAACTCCTACTTAAGTTCATGCAATGAAAGGACATTCATTAGACAGATGAGCATTCGCTTTCCAATCCAAGTGCAAGGCTTTAATCAGTCCTGAGAAACACTTAAAACACAAAGAGCCTCTAAATTGCATTATCCCCTGGAAAGATGTGTCCGCTCCTACATGCACAAAACAATTCCATTGTTCTTATCATAGAAGAAACACAAAAGATACCACCAGAATGCTTTCATGTGTCCCCTACATAATGCCTATAATTAAATGCACTATGTACATGATTGAATAAAATTTCATTTACTTTTCAGCTTCTCTCAAATAACACTAGGATTTAGAAGATCAAAGCAACAGGCCATTTTAAGTTTTGAGATTTTGTTTCACAAGCACTAGCATTAATCTATCAAGAACAGAAATATCTTTTATTATTCTCAAAAATAACAGTGGTAACTAAAGTCTCCCCAAATTCATATTTAATCTAATATTTAATTCAAAATTCTTTACACAACTAGTTTCCTCTCATCACAATATGTAGTGTTTTATATAATTTGCATTGTTTTTATCTTTTTACAATGTTTTTACATATTATTTTAATCAATTTCAAAGTTGAAAAACATTATAAGATTAGCGCAAAGAATTGCTGGATCCCCATTTACCCAGAGATGCCATTCAAGTTTTATCATTTTCCTAATAACTTTCTTTATGGTAAAAAGTTCCAATCCAGTATCACACATTGCTCCAAGTTGTCCTATCTCTCTGATTTCCTTTAACTTGAACCAGCCACTCAGCCATTCCTAGACTTTTCTTATGTTGATATTTTTGAAGATCATAGACAAGTTATTTTGCAGTGTCTCTCCATTTGGGTTTGTCCAATGTTTGACCATGATTAGATCCAGGTTATGTGTTTTTGGCCAAAACTTCACACCAGTAATGCTGTGTTCCCATTGCCTCTTTTCTGGTGGCACATGATGCCCATTTGCCTCATTAATATATTAATTTTGATCACTTGGTGTCAGCCAGTTTTTCTACATTAAAATTACTTTTCTCACCTTTGTAGTTAACAGATATTTTGTGAGAAGTTTCTTTGACAAGGTGCAAAATCCTGTTCCAAATTCCATTTTCATTTCCTAGTTTTAGCATCCATTGGTGTTTCTTACCCGAATGAATTCTTTCTATGACAGTTGTCAAAAGATTGGGCGACCCCATCATTTCATCTACATCTATATTATTGGTATCTAAAACCTTATCATCTCTCTATTTATTTATTGAAGACACATGGATTCCTATTTTATTCAGTGGGCTATAATCCTCTACTATCATCATTTGTATTGATGTGCAAATTGTCCCAGATTTGGCCAGTATGAGCCTCTTCTAAGAGGTTTGGAAACCTATCCAAAATGACACAGCTTGTAAGTGCTGGGGCCAGGAATAAAACCTACAGTCCTCATTCCACTGATTTCTAGAATATATATTTAGGCTTTTTAGAATAATAAGATAAACATTTTATGCCTCTATGAATATTCAGAATTAAGTATTCCACACTATCTCCTCTTTAATTTATAGAATAGAAAGGATTTTGCTATGTGAGCAAAAACTGTTGCTTCAAATCACATTCTATTTGTTATGAATTGAGTGTTCGTGGTCCCCTCCAAATGTATATGTTGAAGTCATAATCCCCAGTGTATTTGAAGGTGAGGCCTTTGGGAAGTAATTAGGTGTAGATGAAGTCATGGGGATGGAACCCTCATGATGAGATCATTGTCCTTAGAATCGGAGGAGGAGGTCAGAGCTTTCCCTTTGCACCGTGTGAGGACACAGTGAGAAGGCAGTCATCTGCAAGCCAGAAAGAGAGGCCCTCCCCAGGAGGAGAATTTGCTGGCACCTTGATCTTGGTCTTCCAACCTGCAAAACTGTGAGAAATAAATGTCTGTAGCTTAAGCCACCCTGTCTGTGGTGTTTCATTGCAGTAGCCCTAGCTGACTAAGACACTATTTTAACAAAATTAATACTGACATGATAAAAACAGATTTAAAATAACTAGATTAAGATAATGGAAACAAACCACTATTGGCTCTATAAAAATCATCAAGAAATGCCATGCACACATTTTTAAATCAATGGCAGTAGCTCTTGATGTAGCTCTTTGAAGTTTACAAAATGTTTTCTGGCACATGGTCTTGCTTTAGAAGGGTAGAATTGATAGCATTTGTACATTTTTCTTACAGCTTAGGAATGCTAGGTTTTTATTATTAAAAGTCCCCTTCTCCAGCCAGTTAAGTATATGCTGGGAAGGAAGAATCGCAGGATAATGGCTGGAAAAAGCATGAAGACAGCATATGGGTAACTTTCTCAGTGTCATTCTTTTCTGCTACCATTTACTGATCGTAATTCAACCTGTACTTACTAAAAGTTGCATTGCTTTTTGGGGCAAGTGCATCAGCGTGAGCCATCCCATAGAAAGCTGGGATATGCTGGACCTCATTACAGGAGATGACAAGAGGGTTCTGTGTGTGTTTGCTGCAGCCTCTAGCTTCCAGCTCTCTAGGTTGGCAGGGTCTATATGTCCCACATATCTGTAACGTTCAGCTCTTGTTACCGGTCAAAGTTCTCAGATTTCTTCTTCAGTGACAGCAAGGGCAATTGAGGACTTTGGTCAATGGTGACCATTCTGAAGTCTTACTAAAAGGCAGAAAGGGAAAGAGCACAATATGGAACCAGAGAAGCCTGGGTTTCAACCCTGACTCTGTGCCTTCCTAGTCCTGATGTCATAGGTGAGCGATTTTATTAATCTGAGACTTATTTTTATCATTATCATTTGAAAATGTGGACAATGCCGGAAGTAGTTTTGATTACATTATATACTGAATGTGATATGATTCACACATACCTAATGCTAGATAGCCTAGATAGAGTTTCCTCCAGAACTTCAATGTGTGGAATATTTGGGAAAGGCAAGGTGTGCATTGCGGTGCATTGAAACATCTAGGATTAAAATCATAATAAACAATAAAATGGCTTAAGAATCCACAGCAGAAAGAGCTGATTGACTAGGATGACAGGCAATTATGTGGGGTCATGTGGCCGAGTAGGATTTGGATAGATGGTGAATAAGAAGGGAGAAAAGCAGTGGAACATTCTAGATGGTTTCATATTCATTTAAATGGCAATTAAACAATCATTTGACTGTCTATTAAGTGCCAAAAATTATGTAGACACTTTATTTTTAGGGGGTATGCAGAAACAAGTATAAAAGCTTTTTTAAAAAAATATTTTATCCTTTATTTTGGGTTCTGGAGTATAGATACTAATTTGTTATACAGGTAAACTCATGACTCAGGAGTTTGGGATACAGTTCTTTTGTCACCCAGGTACTAAGCATAGTACCCAACAGTTGCTGTTGTTGTGGTGTTGGTGGTTGTGGTTTTTCTGAACCTCTCCTTCCTTCCACCCCCTCCTTCAAGGAGTCCCCAGTGTCTGTTGTTCCCTTCTTTCTTATACTTTAAATATGATATTAAATAAGACAAGCTCTGTGTTAGTTTCCAGAACTGCTGTAACAAAGTGCCACAACTGGGTAGGTACAAACAACAATTTATTCTCTTATCATTCCAGAGGCTAAAAGTCTGAAGTTAAGATGTCAGCAGGGCCACGTTCTCTCTGAAAGCTCTGGGGGAGAACCCCTCCATGCTTCCTCCAAGTTTCTGGTGGTTTCTGACAGTCCTTGGTATTCCTGGATTTGCAACTGCATCGCTTCAATCTCTGCCTCTATTGTACGTGGCCTTCTTCTCTGGGTGTCTGTCTCTGTGTCTCTCCTCTTATTAGAAAGATGTCAGTCATGTTGGATTAAGGGCCCATCCTATTCCAGCATGACCTCATCTTAATTTACATCTCAATTACATCTGCAGAAACCCTATTTCCAAATAAGCCCAGACTCACAGGTACCAGGGCTAGAATTTCCACTTAATTCACTTGGGGGGAAATAGGACTCAACCACAATAATCTTCCTCTTCCTTAGGAGTTAATACTTGGAGACACAGTCATGGAGAAAGAAAAGATAATTGCAATATTATGTGAAATATACTGTGTTAGATATTTGTTCAGGGTGGCATAAGATGATATAAGAAGTATAAGGAAACATTTACTTAGACATATAAGATGTATATAGATATAAGAAGAATATAGATATATAGAAGTATAAGATATAAGAACTATTTACTTAGCATTGAGGGCATTGTTAGGCAGGCTTTCCATGCTGATGTGTCAGCTGAATACTGAACATGAGATAGAATTAGTCAGGTGAAGAAATGAAGAAAGGTCATCACAAGGAAAAGGAGTAACACACATATGTTAGAATACTTTGTGTATGAAGAAAATTGCAAGCAAAATGTTAACATCCATGGAGCAGTGGGAGTCAGAGGAAAGGGAGAAGATAAAGCTGAGGATCTGATGGAGTCAGAACACAGAGGGCTCTGTCTTATCAAGTTGGGAAGTATAGCTCAGTCTTCCACCACATCTCTACTGAGCACCTACTCGAATACTGTACCTGGTACCCGTGAATCTGGTCTTATTTGGAAATAGGGTTTCTGCAGATGTAAGTAAGATATAAATTAAGATGAGGTCATGCTGGGATAGGATGGGCCCTTAATCCAATATGATTGACATCTTTCTAATAAGAGGAGAGACACAGAGACAGACACTCAGAGAAGAAGGCCATGTATAATAGAGGCAGAGATTGAAGTGATGAAATTGCAAATCCAGGAATACCAAGGACTGTCAGAAACCACCAGAAACTCTGAAGAGGCATGGAGGGGTTGTCTCCCGGAGGCTTCTGAGAGAACATGGCCCTTATAACATCTTAACTTCAGACTTCTAGCCTCTGGAATGATAAAAGAATAAATTGGTGTTTATACCACAAACGTTACAATGGGAAAATGCATAAATTCATAGTACTATGTACAGAAAAATAGAAGTAAAGAATTATATATGAACAAACTGTAATGTTTTCGGAGTCATGGATTCTGAAATCCCTGCCGATAAATGCAAGCATTTCAAGGTTGTTTGGAAAATTCAAAGTGGAGGTTAGGATTCTTGTATACTCACTGACACAGAAGCGGAGCAGGGAAAAAAGAAAAAAAAGGATTTGCAGCGACATGAATCATCTGCCAATCATAGGTGTGAACATTTAAATTACCAGTTTTTCAAGTTACCAATTTTTATTAGCAATAAGTATACTCTTACAAATTAGACAGATATGACCGCCTCTGCCCTCAATGATTTTAACCAGTGGATTCCAAAAGTGTTTCAGGTACTATGATACCTACCCCATATAGAAGACATAAGCATATGCAACTTTTATCACACAGCACAATTTCTTCTTCCACCTCAGTTCTCCGTCTTCATCGGGACAAGGAGACATTCCAGAGAGGGTGCAATTAACAGCATTTTACGTCAGTCTTTCCCCTAAACAAAACATACTGTCCCTTTGCTATCAACGTGTTTCCCCTAAACAAAACGTACTGTCCCTTTACTATCGACAGCTGGCTTTCTGCAGCGTGTCAATTGCAAACAGAGGAGGGCCCTAAGGACTAACAGGCCCATAAGCAGTTACTGAGCAAACAAGGCTATTTGAGGTGCATTACTTTCTCCTGAGCTTGGTGTCAGGAAATGGCAATTCTGCCTTCCTAGACAAACTCTTTTACCCTGGGAGGGCTTGAGCAAGGGGCTGTGAAGGGCCTGCAGCAAGGGGAGGACTTATGAGCACGTGAAGTGCTGAAGCCCACGTCCCCAAACACTACTTAGAAAGGGCCTTATTTTTGGCCTCATGCCCTTCTCCAGTTTTATTTTCACTGAATAGTGTCCTGAACTCTATGACCTTTCCCATTAACACTTGTGGCTAAAATTACATGGCAGAGTCCTGGTGAAGAATGAGCTCAAGCCCTTTCTAAAACCCACGGAGCCATCCTAGATGAGCATCCCTTACCAAGAAGGGAAAGAGATAGAAATTCCCTTGAATAGAACGTGCACCTGAAAGAGAAAGAAAAGAGATGAACATGTTCATCTAGATGTACACCTAGATCTGCTAGATGATATGGATTTAAGGATGAATAACCTCAAGGAGCTTAAACTCCAGTGGGAAGTTCGAGATTTACATAATGAATTCCACTGCAAAGCATTCTATGGCAAAGTGATTTAGCAGAGTGACTGAAGACAGTGAAAATAACAATAGCTAGTGTTTATATGACTCAGTTTTTATTAACCAGTCTTTCTTACAGGCATTATCTTAGTTGATCCTCACAGCATTTCTATGCTTTGTAAGATGGTACAGTTCAGTATTTTCCCATTTGGAAGTTAAAAAAACTGAGGCCTAGAGAGACAAAGTGTCTTGGCCAAATTGAAAGTGTCTAGAAGTGATGTAGGTCTCCTGCACATTTCAAATCACTATGCTCTCATCCCAAGTGAAATGGTATTCCAGAATAGGAAAGGAAGAGTTGGATTCTGCCTGGTCATAAGTAGTGGTAATTTGGTTGTGGTTATAAGTAGATCCTGATGGTCTAGATTATAAAATCTATAACATTTTACAATTTGTCTCTATTCATCTGCCCACGGTATGAGAGGAATATTAAGTAACACAAGACAAGTTTTCCAAATGGTTAGGAAGGTATCTACCTTTTCCTTGATCCACATAAATGTTTATTTAGAATTCTATCTAGTCACTTCTTTTTCTCAGATGCTTTTCCGTTCTCTACACTCATTGCCTACACAATTCAAGATAAGTCTTCTGTGACAGGACACTGGGAATCTCCTTTTATCCAATCAGGAAATTGAACCAAAGGGAAGCAAAACCCTTATTTGGGCAGATCCCAGAATGTTGAAGTAAACAGGAAAATACATAATTAGAAGAGGTCTCCTTTCAAGATGCTCTTACCCGTAGACAAGTGCTATGACTAATAACTTCCTAAAAATACTTCCAAATTCTCATACAGACAGAGCCAGAAACATTTTGTGTTATTGTTTATGACGATATAAATGTTCACCTGTTCAGCCCATTAAAGAGCAAGTCCATAATCTGTAAGATAGGCTAAGAAATCCTATCAGCTCCTCAGTAGGAAGGTGTCTGATTCATCAGATAAACCTACATCTTTACGCTGAATATATATGACATAATAAGGGATCCATTAATTATTTGTTGAAAAAAATGAATATCAAGGAATAAATACTTTATTTGTTGCTATTTAAATTGCCTAGAACTATGAGATATGAAACATACAGTACATGGAAATGCCATGTGGAATGCTTCTAATATCTGACTTGCATTAGGAAAATCAGTATGATATAGACTACAGAGGGCTGAACTGGTGCAGAAGGCTGAAGTTCAAGCCTGGCTCAACCACCAACCTTGAAAAAGCATCTTAATTTGTCTAGACCTCAGTTTTCCTTTATGACATTTCTCCTAATAGTACAGAAAGGTTGGATAACAAATTTATGACATCCCTTTAGCTTCAAACATTTGTTAACCTATTTCATGGTTTGTAATAGAACACTGACAGTCTGACCTCCTTTGATAACAATTTCCAACTGTTTGCCCTTTCAAAGAATTACTGATTATCCCAGGTGAACCTTTTTTTATGTTTGGACCCATAGTGCTTCCTTATAATCATGTCTATAAACAACCACAACTTCTACTTATCCTAAGGAAGGATACTGGTGTTGGCTTCCTGCTTAAAACATGCCTCGGCATCACATCTTTCTTCATATCCTAAGATAGTATCACTATTGAATTTCTAAGTCTTATTTAAAGAGAGGAATTCTGGAAATGACTTGTCCTGGGAGAAGTGAGAGCAGCCCAATAATTAATAGGCCATGAGCAATGTGACTTCCAGCACTTGTTCTACAAGGCAGCTTAGCTTGTTCAAAGTGAGTTCTTTTCCCTGTGATTTATGGGCTGGCTCCTTTCTACATTTGAAAACAGTCACCTGATCTTTGGAAGGCGGAAGGGCAGCTAAAGCAATAACTTTGCCGACTCAAAGGCCATTTGGTTGTAGGCTATTGCCAAAAAAAAAAAAAAATGTCATTGAATGTCAAGGAATAAATATTTTAATTGTTTGGTGCTATTTAAACTGCCTAGAAACATGAGCTATGAGGCAAAGAGCAAGTGGAAATGTCATTTGTGATGCTTCTAATTCCTGACCTTCATTAGAAAATACTACAGATTTCAGAGGACTGAATTAGTACTAGAAGGTGCAGGTTCAAGCCTGTCTCAATCTCTGACCTTGAAAAAACATTTTAATTTGTCTGAGCCTCAGTTTTGAATGCCAGCCTGGAGGTATAGCAGGAATGGAACCATTTTCTGGAGTATTCCTAACATGTGGCAGTCATTTTTTCACAGTTCACCTCATTTAATCCCCTGTGCAAGCCATCATGAAAGTATTAATGTCCCCATATTTACTCATAAGAAAATTAGGACTGGAAGTGACGCCATAACTTCTTTAGGTTATTACTAGTGAAGATAAAGATGAGCTTCAGACTCTAGTCTTTCTAACTCATCACTCTTTCTATAGTAGTATGCAATCTCTTAAATTAAAACCGAATCCAGCAGCACATCAAAAAGCTTATCCACCACAATTAAGTCAGCTTCATTCCGCAAGGCTGGGTCATCATACACAAATCAATAAATGTAATCTATCTCATAAACAGAACCAATGACAAAAACCACATGATTATCTCAATAGATGCAGGAAAGGCCTTTGATAAAATTCAACACCCCTTTATGCTAAAAACTCTCAATAAACTAGGTATTGATGGAACGTATCTCAAAATAATAAGAGCTATTTATGACAAACCCACAGCCAGTATCATACTGAATGCGTAAAAGCTGGAAGCATTTCCTTTGAAAACCGACACAAGACAAAGATGCCTTTTCAACATAGTATTGGAAGTTCTGGCCAAGGCAATCAGGCAAGAGAAATAAATAAAGGGTATTCAAATAGAAAGAGAGGAAGTCAAATTGTCTCTGTTTGCAGATGACATGATTGTATATTTAGAAAACCCCCTCATGCCTGTAATCCCAGCACTTTGGGAGGCCGAGGCGGGCAGATCACGAGGTCAGGAGATTGCCTGATCACGAGGTCAGGAGATTGTAGCCATCCTGGCTAACACAGTAAAACCCTGTCTTTACTAAAAATACAAAAAAGAAATTAGCCAGGCGTGGCGGCGGGCGCCTGTAGTCCCAGCTACTGGGGAGGCTGAGGCAGGAGAATGGCGTGAACCTGGGAGGCGGAGCTTGCAGTGAGCCAAGATCGCGCCACTGCACTCCAGCCTGGGTGACAGAGCAAGACTCTTGTCTCAAAAAAACAAAACAAAACAAAACAAAACAACAACAAAAAAACGATCATCTCAGCCCAAAATCTCCTTAAGCTGGTAAGCAAATTCAGCAAAGTCTCAGGATACAAAATCAATGTGCAAAAATCACAAGCATTCCTATACACCAATAGACAAACAGAGAGCCAAATCATGAGTGAACTCTCATTCACAATTGCTACAAAGAGAATAAAATACCTAGGAGTCCAACTTACAAGGGATGCAAAGGACCTCTTCAAGGAAAACTACAAACCACTGCTCAAGGAAATAAGAGAGGACACAAACAAATGGAAAAACATTCCATACTCGTGGATAGGAAGAGTCAATATCGTGAGAATGACCATACTGCCCAAAGTAATTTAGAGATTCAATGCTATCCCCATCAAGCTACCATTAACTTTCTTCACAGAATTAGAAAAATCTACTTTAAAATTCATATGAAACCAAAAAAGAGCCCGTATAGCCAAGACAATGGACACATGGACACGGAGTGGGGAACATCACACAACAGGGAGGATGGGGGGCTAGGGCAGGGATAGCATTAGGAGAAATACCTAATGTAGATGATGGGTTGATGGGTGCAGCAAACCACCATGGCACGTGTGTACCTATGTAACAAACCTGCACGTTCTGCACATGTATCCCAGAACTTAAAGTATAATTTAAAAAATATAAAACAATAAAAATTAAAAAAAGAAATTACCATAGGCTGGGTGTGGTGGCTTATGCCTGTAATCCCAGCACTTTGGGAGGCCATGGCAGATGGGATCATTTGAGCCCAGGAGTTTGAGACCAGCATGGGCCACATGGTGAAACCCCACTAAAAAAAAAAAAAAAAAGTTTGTTTAAACAAATAAAAAGCTTCCAATCTCTGAATAAAGTGAGAATCAGAAATAAAAAGTAAAAAATTACGTTTATGAACTTGAAGTATTTTTTTCCAAGAGGAAGATATCAGGGGAAGGCAGAGGGGGAAAGATATTAAATTTAAAAAATTAATGCCAAATCTTTTTACAATTAAACCAGAAAACATATTTTCAATATAGTATAGTTTTCCACATTACAAAAGTAATAGATGTTTATTATGAAAAACATAGGAGGAAAAAAACCCACATAAGAGATTCCTAATATTTTGTTATTTATTTTTGACTCTTAGAATAAGTGTATCTTTTAGCCCTTCACATTTATCTTTTCATGACAAAATCTCATTTATTTGGATTGTACTGACTCAAAATTGCTGATAAACTAGAAACAAGCTAGACTACATCTGACATATAAGATAAATTGAATAAATATTTGTTGAATTAACGAATGCATAAATGACATAATCTGTGAACAATGGAGGATTTACAAGCCTTTAGGTAAGATTCAACATATAGAATGAATGCCCGGTGTTCAAGGTTCATCCCAAGCCACCGAATAGACAAAGATGAGATTAAGGATAGGTTCCTTACTTCAAGGAACTTTCATTTTAAAAACTCTACTAGGAAACAATATAAAATGAGCTATAAAAATTGATTAGAATAAATCATAGTGGGATAAAAAAGAAAAAAGTAAGTAAACGCTAAGGAATGCTTGCACTTCTCCATCCCAGTAAATATCAAGACTTAAGCATTTAGATAGGAGTTTAATGAATCTGTTACAATTAACCCTTCTCAGTCTATTACAATGGAAACATCATGTTCATCTGTTTAAAGGAAGTCTTCCCAGAATGAAAATATAGTCTTCTTGTTTTTCTTATTCACTAGAATGTAAGCTTCTTGAAGGCAAGGAAATATACACTGTTTACAATTGTTTCTTTGGTGACTAACAGTGTATAATACTTCTTAAAAATAAGTGTAGCTTAAATGTATGCATGAATGAATGAATTGGATTATCAATTTCAAAGAGTCACAATGATTAAACAAAATAAGATTATGTGCATATAGGCTGCTGTTAAAGTCATCCAGTAGATATTGGTTAAAAAAGAAGTTTTGAAATATGAAATGTGGTAAATGTGGAATGGGATAGTGGAAAGAAATGGAAACCAAGGACAAAGTCTTCCAAAAAAGTTAACATGGAATTGTTAGTTTTTATTTAATTATAATAACCTCATGTCCCAGTGACTCATGGGAAGAATCACAGAGTACAATAAATTGTACTGGAAAAAAGAAGGCAATCATAAAGTGCTTTTCAGCATGAAGACAAATGCTATATTTCATTAGCTGGTCTACAACCATTCACTTAATGCCAAACATAACAAAGTACAGTCTGAAGGATATAATATCTTCTTTCTGGGAAAGAAAAAAAAAGGTATATTGGTCTCTACTTTGTCTTCTGTTCTCTGTATGCATGCATGAGTAATGAGTAAACTCAGACACACACACACAATCATTTATTCATTGTTATTAACTCAGTATGATTGACATTAGAATTAAGGAAAGAACACGTGTGTGTGTGTGTGTGTGTGTGTGTGTGTGTGTGTGTGTGTATGCACATGCGCACTACTCAACATAAATCTGTCCATTCAGTAACCATATTCCAGGATTGTTCTGGGGATCACTGCAATCCCCTTCTCATCTCATTGGCTTCTGGAAGGGCTCCACATTTTGGACTTTCTGAGTTAAGTTTAGACAAATGAGTATACTGTTTTCTTTTGGCCTAAAAGATTGAAAGCATAACCCAATTAAGATCAGTGATAAGAAGTGAATTGTTTCTGAGAATCCTAGGTGTGAACCTGGAAGTTACAGGAACACATTTTATACAAATGAGGAGCCATCTGCAAAACGTGTATGACATTCAATAAAAGGAAAATGGAGGTGAGAATTGGAGAGAAAAAAACTTGGAATTTGATTTTGATTATACTGTAAGAAGGTTTAAACCAGCTACACTTGGAGTACCATTCAGCCATTAAAAAAGAATGAGATCCTGTTATTTGTAGCAACATGCATGGAACTGCAGGAAATTATGTTAAGTGAAATAAGAAAAGCAGTAAGACTAACTTTTCATGTCCTTATTTATTTCTGGGAGCGAAAAATTAAACCATTTGAACTCATGTAGATGGAGAGAAGAATGATGGCTATCAGAGGCTGAGAAGAGTAGTTGGGGGTTACAGTGGGGATGGTTAATGGGTATAAAAATATAGTTAGATAGAATGAATAAGATCTAGTAGCTGATAGCACAGAAGTGTGACCACAGGCAACAATAATTTTTCATACATTTTAAGATAACAAGAGTATCATTGGATTTTTCATAACACAAAGAAATAATAAATGCTTGAGGTAATGGATACATAATTTAACCTGATGTGATTATTACACATTATATGCCTGTATCAAAATATCTCATATATCACATAAATATATGTACCCATAAAATTATAAATTAAAAATTGAAAAAATATACCAGCTATACATGAAGCCATTTATATGTCTGGGCTTTTCAGTTAAATACATTACACTAGTCTCACTTTATTTATGGGGGATATGTTCCAAGATCCCCAGTGAATGCCTGAAAGTACAGATAGTTCTGAAAGATATATATATCTTTACATATATATATGATAGATATCTTTATAAGATATATATCCATCTTGTGTGTATATATATATATATATACACACACACACACACACAATTTTTTCCTATATGCATATGATAAAGTTTAATTTATATATTAGGCACAGTAAGAGATTAACAACAATAACTAATAATAAAATAGAACAATTATAAAAATATGCTGTAATAAAAGTTACATGAATGTGGTCTTTTTCTGTCTCTCAAAATATCTTATTGTACTGTACTCTCCCTTCTTCTTGTGATCGGCCAATCTGATCAGATAACCCAGAGAGCTACTAAGTGACTGATGTGGGGGTAGCATATACAGCGTGGATAGGCTAAGAAAATAGATGATTCATGTTACTAATAGGAAAGAGCAGGACAGGGCAAGATTTCATCATGGTTCTCAGAACAGCATGCAGTTTAAAACTTATAAATTTTTTTTCTAGACTTTTTCTGGCACCACAGTTGACTGTGGATAACTGAAACTGGAAAGTAAAACCATGAATAAGATGGACTATTGCATTTTTTAAGGCAATTTGAATCACTTCTTAATCTCTTATAGCCAAAATGATACAAATAAGACTATAATGTAGTCTTTATCTTAAAGAGCTTACAGATTAGAAGGGAAATCCAATTTGTAACAGATAACTGCCACTCATTGGGATGCTGTGTTAGAGAAATCTACACAGTTCATTTTTGTAAGGCAAGACACACATACACACATATATACATACACACACACACACACACACACACACACACACAGAGATTTAGGGAGAGGCATAGACGATAGACAAAGGAAGGAAGATGCTTGATCTGTCTTTTAAAAACTGGGCAAGATTATTGAGTCAGATAAGAGAATAGAGATAATTTCAGACAAAGGGTCTCATATGCACAAAGGCACAGAGATGTGAAGGGGCCATAAATCCTTCAGTAGGTCTGGATGGTGAACTGGCTTTAAGGAGGGGATGTGAATGAGGTCGAAGAAATAGTTGGTGCCAGATCTTAAATGCCTTGAGTATAAGGAGGAGCCACTGAAGACTTTTGAGCAGCAGAGTGTCCTGAGCACCTATGTCCTTCATAAAGTCCACTTTGGGGAGGATGAATTCGGAGCCAAGAGTGTGAAGGGGGAAGAATTAGGACATCTTTGCATCAACATAAGGAAGAAGCAATGTGAGATTACAGTAAACTTACAGTAGTGAAAGTAGAAGGAAACTCTAAATAGATATATTAAAGCCCATGTCCATTTTATGAAGTTTAACTATCTTTTCTAATATCAATAACCTATTTTGTACTTGCTTAATACTCTTAGGATGCAGTGATGTGCGTGACTAAGATTACAGATGCTGGAGTCAGCCTAGGTTTGTATGAAGCACTGCCACTTAACTAAGTGAGGGCTCTTTGTCAATCACTTTAACTCTCTCTACTTCATTTTCTTCATCTGCATAAAGGGGATGATCTTACTATTCATCTTAGGGTGTTGCTGTGATAATTAAATAAATATAAGTGAAAGATTTAGAATAATGCCTGACATGTGTAACGTATTCAACAAAGATGAGTCGTCATTATTTTACTTTGCATTTACTATTATATCCAGTCTTTACAATGGGTGGGTATCATTAGCCACCACCACTCTGATATTTACAGATGGAAAAATTGAGGTTCAAGCAGTCATATGATTAGCCACATGTACATGTGGCAACTAGTAGCAGAGTTAGGAAGCAATCAAAATAATTTGGTTGCCTTGAAAGCCAGTATTTTAGCCTTTGATGTATGATCTTCCCTCTGTCTAAATTTCCTTGTGACTCTTGAAGAATTAGCTGCTCTTCACTTCACTTAAAGAATTGTATCATTCACAAAGCCACTTACTGGCAGTCCATATTTTTCCTATTTTTTTTACATGACTGTTGACCATCTAGAATGGGGTGCTTGATAGCTACGCCTCTGAGTGAGATTTTCAGTTTACCTGAGAGTAGGGGATTACAAAGGAGTTTCACATAGAGGTGTTAGAAGTAGCCCAGGTGCTGGGGATTTATCAGATTAAGGGCAGTAGTCTGGTGGAGTTACTGATTTTATTATCATTTTGTTGTTGATGATGATGATCATTCTGTTATCAAGTAATTGTTAGCAATTGCTCCTTTCAGGCATGGTGGCTCACGCCTGTAATCCCAGCACTTTGGGAGGCCAAGGAGGGCAGATCATGAGGTCAAGAATTGGAGACCAGCCTCGCCAACATGGTGAAACCCCATCTGTACTAAAAATACACAAAATAGCCGCCGGGTATGGTGGCGCATGCCTGTAATCCCAGCTACTCGGTAGGCTGAGGCAGGAGAATAGCTTGAACCTGGGAGGCAGAGGTTGCAGTGAGCTGAGATTATGCCACTGCATTCCAGCCCGGGTGACAGAGCAAGACACCATCTTGAAAAAAAAAATAATAATAATAATAATTGCTCCTTTCTTTAATCAACTGGAGTATAGAGTGAAAAATGCAGTGGTGGGAGCCTGGATTAGGAAGGTAGTTAAGGCCAAACCATGAGACCAAAATCAGACTAGTGAGTTTGTACTTTAGCATCTGTGCTCTGGTATGTCACCTGAAGCCCAAGGCACTGTCTGAGGACAGCAGGTCTGAAAAGATAATGAAGGTGATGGCTCTCAGTTACCTGTAGGACACATGTATCCCCATCAGAGTTTCAGTTCTTTCATATCAGACCACATGTTGTTAAGGTTTCTATCTTCCCACAGCTCCTGTCATGGAATTTTGGCCAGAGTAGGTATCTAATAAATATTTGTTGAAAAAAAGGATAAAGAATAAGGAAAAATAATGATTACAGAGTTTCTATTTGGAGTGATGGGAAAGTTGTGGAAACAGATACTGGTCACGGTTGTACACCAATGTGAATGTCATTGAGTCGTACACTTAAAATGGTTAAAATAGCAAATTGTTTGTTACATATAAAGATATTTTATCGCAATAAAAATAAAAATATTAAGCAAACAACAAGAAAGTGAGTGAGTGAATGAATGAATGCAAGAATAAGTAGGATAAGGAGGCAGATGACACACACACACAAATGAACAAATGACTGGATTTCCCACATGTTTTCAAGGATTAAATAATTTCCATAGAATGCAAGTGCAAGCCTTAGTCTCACACAGCACTGGATTCTGGCATGCTAAAAGGGAAAGAATGAACTACATTGTTTTATTTAGAAGAACAGCTGTTGATCATGAGCTGTAAATTTTTTCCTAATGTAATGGCCATTGAGAGGAAGCCCTAATACATCACAGAATTTAGCAGTGCCAAAACGGCCGTATCCCTCTAAGGGCCTCATGCGGCTGGCCTGCCCAACAATGCCACTTAAGTGTTCAGAGAAATGCCCAATCCACCCAAACTGGACCCTGTGGTGGGCTGAACTATGTGAACTCACGAGAAATATGCTTCAGTAATCTTCTGTCTTAACAAAAAGGCTTTCTCCAATAAAGACACCAAAAGATAATGCCATAAGCTAAACAGATTAAAATAAATTACAACTTGTTCACATAATTTTTAAAATGATAAGGAAGTCTAGATCCATGCTGCTTTCTCACTTCACCCTTGCATGATTAGGCAGGGGTAATAAGCTGTTGGTAAGAAGGTCTGGTATTTTTTATTTGTTATAAATACTCAGGTCACCAGCAACAGCTGAGGGGTGGTCAGATTTCCATGAAAGAAAGCTGAGAGGAAAGAGTTAATGTGTCTCCTTGACATCAGATGAATCTTGTACCCTGAGTGGGACTCTAATCTGCAACCATCTTCCTTAGATACTTTCCCTTAATTATGAAGCCTGTGACAGGCAGCATGATACAGTGGAAAGAATGTGGAATTTGGAGTTGTTCTGAGTTCAGCTGAAGAGTAGGGCCATTTTGTGCTTTCACCTGTCAAGTCACTTAGATTTTCCAACCCTCAGTTTTTCTCTTGTAATGTGATTGGATAAAGCAATCCCTATCTTTTAGAGAAAAAATACAATAAACACTATTTAGTGCATGGTAGACACAATTAATATTCTGTGAGGCTAATTGAAACAACAGTGGTCTAGGAGTTAGAAAACAGGTTTAATGATGATTCTTTCATTGACTCTCCAATGACATGGAAAAATTCACTTCATCTGTTTAGGTGTTGGCTCTTTGTTTATATGAATGGAAGGGGCCAGATGAGTTTTAGAATTCTCCTTAGCTCTGACATTAAACAAACAAACATACAAACAAAGTCTACCTTTAGACAAAGATTCAGGTGGCCTTTCAGTTTCCTGGTTTTGGTAGTTGACCAAGGTGTTATCACACCAATAAGAATAGAGATCTTAATACTTTTACACGGAGATCAAAATCTCCTCAACATATGCCAAAAGCCTGTTCCAAGGAGAATTAATTTCATTTATTAGTCTGTCTCTAAATTCAATCCTCAAGCAATTTGAGATTGAATAGAATAATATCCTGGATGCCACTTGTAGTATTCTTCAATTAGAATGGTGTCTCTTGCCATCAGGGCCTCTAGAATGGGGACCATAATGGGAGATAAGTCATGAGAATCCACAGAATCTGAACAGGTGGAGAAAATAGTAAGGCAATCACCCTGTCAGCCACACAACCCCACAAATATCTGAAAGTCATCTTGATTCCATCTCGTTTACTCTAATCCACTTAGTTTATCACTCCACCAATCCGGTTGAATCTAACTTCTAAATGTCATTAGAATCCATCCAGTTCTCTCCAATACCTGCTATATAAATCTAAATCTAATTCATTTCTCACTTAGACAACTTCATCAGGTTGTAACTGGACCTGTAGCCTCTGTTTTGTATTCTTTTCAAGTCACATTTCAGCCAGTTGTACTTCACAGCCTTCTGTGGTTCCTACTTATCCATAGAATATAATCCAAACTCCTTTAACTGAAGATGCCTATGCAGTGCTGCACTTCCAGGCCTTTTGTTTTTGTTTTTGTTTTTGTTTTTTGAGACAGAGTCTCGCTCTGTCGCCCAGGCTGGAGTGCAATGACGCGATCTTGGCTTACTGCAACCTCTGCCTCCCAGATTCAAGCAATTCTCATGCCTCAGCCCCCTGAGTAGCTGAGATTACTGGTGTGCACCACCACGCCCAGCTATTTTTATGTATTTTTAGTAGAGACTGGGTTTCACTATGTTGGTCAGGCTGGTCTCAAACTCCTGACTTCAAAGGACCCACTTGCCTCGGCCTTCCAAAGTGCTGGGATTACAGGCGTGAGCCACCTTGTGGGGGGACCCAGGCCTCTCTTTACCATAGTACTGCATCTCCAACCACTCACTCCTTCCCTTGTTTAGCTCCAGCCATCCCAAACTTCTTGCCAATCTTCACATCTGCTACAATCTGACTTAATTTCTGGTCTTCACATAGCCGCTATTCCCTGCCTAGAATACTTTTTCTCCCTCTCTGTTTCTCCTCTCCAACCCCCAACTTTCTGCCACAATAATTCCCACTGATTTTTCTAATCTCATTTTAAACTTCATGACTTCTAGACACTTACTATTTTCCCTCAACCCATCCTCCTATTCACTTCCAAACTAGATTACTATATATTCTCCTATTACTGCTGTAGCTCACATGTCTTTTTAAATTTTATTTTTATTGTCTGTTTATTTGCCTGTTGCAATCTACTAAATTGTAAAAGCAGATATTCTGATGGTTTTGTTCATCAAGGGGTCTCCAGGACAGAGTTCAATGCATAAATGAAGTATATATGCATATTTACATGAATAAATGAATAATAAACAGGACTAAATCTTGTACCTAGTGCTTACTATGTCTTTGACTTTAGACAAATCACTGAGAATCCTGGAAACACTATCTTCAACAGAAAAATTAAAACTAGTTCTCTGACTTCTTTGTTGTTTAATCGAGAGGATTCTGTGAGATCAGGTCTTGGAAATACAAAAATAGTCAGATGTGACATGGACAAGCTAGATTGATTATTGTTATTGACTATGTCCTTCCTCCTGGGAGGCAGGCCATCCTCAATACTGGGAGAAATTGAAGGAGAGGGCCTCTAAATTCTTTGTAGTATAGTTTAGGGAAATGGTTAGCTGGTTGATTGTTTAAAAAAAAATTTCTCTGAATTCGACTTTAATTTGTCAGTCCTATTAGACTGTACCTTCCAAGAAGGGCCATTTGTTTTTGAAAACAAGTTGTACTCTGTGTTCTGTTGTTACTTAACTCACCAGCACCATCTGCTCTGCTGTTATGCCCAATTTGAATCAGAAGGAAAAGGTTTCTTTCTAGTTGGACATTCAAAGGAAAATAACAGGCTCTAAGAAAAGGGAAGAAAATGGAGAATATCTGTAGCCCATCAATTGGGTGATTTTTGTCCCATGTTGCATTTTGTCAAGTCTGCATAAGGATGAGAGTTGGCCTGGAGCCAAGGGTGAGTCAAGCTTGTGTACTGTGGGCTCCGTGCTGCCTGTATGGGCATGCCATTCTAGGAAAAACATGCTGGGCAGATGACGACTTTGTTGGGCTGTTAGAAGAATCCTCTGGATTGCAAAGAAAGGGCAACATGCTTTATATCATCATTGTTAGGGCTAAGTGGAGAGGTGACAAATTCAGTATATCTGTCTCTGGGTATTTATGCATTGATCAGAAAATCACTTCTATGATCATGTATATGTGTGTGTATGTGTGAGACAGAGAGAGAGAGAGAGAGAATAGAAATTGTGAATTTGTCTTGGGTATAATGAAGTTTGTGTATCTGTGTAGTGGATAGTGCAGAACAGAGGGAATAGACAGTCAGTAGAAGAGAATATATGCATGAAGTTATAAACCAACAAGGCAGAGTGCCTTCCAAATATTCTTCAGCCACAGTCAGATTCTGGTTGAAGCACCATTCTCCACTTTCCAAAAAAGGATTTATTTCTTGGAAACTAAAAATGCAATAAAAGCCGACCCTCAATTTCCTATAATAACAACAAGTTTCAAGTTTGGCATTCATATCACTAGGGACAAATCATGTCAAGCAGCCAAAGGAGTCACCACCAGCCCCCACTGAGGCTTGTCCTCAATTCAGCAAAAGATGTTCTTCTAAAGTGACTTGTTCGCTTAGCTCCCAGCTTCCATTTTGCTCATCCACTGAGCTGCCTGCATGGTCCTACCAGTGCCTTCTCTTCTCCCTCTCTTTCTGCTGGGGCCAAGGAGAAGGTGATTTCTCCCAAAGATACTTCCAGCAAAGTTAGCTCTTCCGCCAGAGTAGTTTTTATGTTTAGTGGAGATATATCTTGGGTTGAAAATGAACCATCCCTTTTTTAGTATGTAGTAGGACGATCTGATTATGACTGCACTAATAATGATTGTGAAAATGGGAGAATGGGGTAGAGACATCTGAATGGGTGCAGCTCTCCTCTGACAAGGGCTTCTAATGACTCTTGGGGGTGATTTAAGCTTCTTCCATAAGAGAAGTGTTTTAATTTTCAATTTAGAAACTGCTTTTTTCCTCTAAAGAAACTCAAATTCATCAACATTTTTCAGTTTTTTAGTTATAAATATTACATAAAAATTATATTAACAACAGCACCGCTTCTTGACCACCTGTGTCCTAACTTGTGGTTGATACTTGATGGATGGAGATTATCTTCAATTCTCCCAGAACTCTCTAAGTTGCTTCCAGATCCTCCATGCACATGATTTTGATCTCACATTAGTGCTTTGCAGAGGGCAATTTCAGAGCAAGGAACAAAGGTAACTTTGGATTACCCTAGGGGATGGGGGTTTATTGTGAAAATACATGAGGACACATAAATGCACCAAAACTGTCCTATTTGTTGATGGAGCAGGTATCATGGGGAGAATAGGAAAACATTAGGGACATCATCATTTGTCTAGTAGCCCCAAATCAAATCTTTTGGTCTGCTGTTCTGATGACTCAATTGCTCCTCATTTCTGCCCCAGCCTCATGTTCAACCGTTTCTAAGAAAGAGCAACTAATTGAGCTCTTTGTCACCTCCCTACTGGGTAGAGTTTTTCCTTCCAGGTTTCCACACAGGACATTTGCTAGTCTTGGCTCTTAATTCAAACCCTATTTTCAAGTCATTCTGCAGTGGCAATGGTTATTCATTTCCTATAGAACAAATAATTTATTCCCTATAAAGCAAATCATGGCAACTTATAGTTGAGGAAATTCCTACAGATGCTTTGTTTGTTTACTTGTTTTCTGGAGAGGTTATTGAGAGTTTATCACAGCCTGTCAAAGCCCTTTTAGAAATAAAAGCTCATGAATTCAAATAATGCATCAAAGGCCACATAGCAAAGTAGTTGCATTACCTAGATTTAAATCTAATTCTGTGTCTTCCTTGCTTTGCTTTTCTCATTATGCTTTACTATCTCCACAGTTTTGCAATGGTCATTTATTGAAATATTTATAGGCCTCTGATTCTGATTCTTGACTTAGTAAAGACTGATAGCAGTCATTTCTCATCTTAAGCTAACATGACACAGAAATGCTAATAAAGAGAAACTAAAAAATACAGAACAAAATAATGGTGGATTGGAAAGTGTCTTAGTAAAAAAAAAAAGATATTACCTAGATCCAAGAGGTGACCTAACTGCCTGTTCATATAAGGAAGGTGAGACACTCAGAAAAACATTCAAAGGAATGTAGGAAAGGACTATTCTTATAAATCTGAGGGTTAATAATGAGTCAGGCTCATGGGAGAGGAGACAAAAGCTACTACACTAGAAAAACCCTTCTACCCTCCACTATCAGATCTGCTCTCAGTTTTTTTTCATAATTCAAAGTTAATAAAAAATTTTTAAAATATAAAATATGATGCCTATGTTCCTTAAATAATTCACTTAAATGTAATGTTAATGAAGTATATATATTGGTTAATAACTTGATTTAGGCCCAAGGTTTTCTCATCGAAGTTGGACCTATTAATTGAAGTGTTATAAGGCCGTTCTTATAGAAATATTATATATAATCTGTTATTTTTGTTTATTTAAAGTGAAAGTCAAACTTAGTCCCAGAAAATAAGTTAGATATGGATCTTTTATAATGGCTTCTCGGTCTTATGAAATAAGCTCACCTGATCCTAATTTAATTACACAATTCAGTTGCTTTTAAAAAACAAATTGTACTTATTGAGATTTTTCAAAGCATTCCACTTAGTTTTTTAGCATCATAGCATAAATAATTATCTTTTCATATTCATATTTATCCCTTTATATATTCCATTGAAATACATAATTATAAGTATAGCTGGCATAAACAAGTTTAGAAAAAGACAAAAGTGGCTCTTCATAAGTATATACTCTATTTAAGAAAGCAATGTGCAAATGCTGCTGTGATTGCTGAGATGCCAGTGGTATCTGTCAGTAATTTATAGAGAATGGAGAGCATCATTTAATTTGTCAAACCCCTTGTGTAGAAGTTTGATTAAAAAAAAAAAAACTTCCAACATATGGAAGTTCTAAAATATTTAAATTCTGTATTTCTATTCTAAGATATCTAAAATAGTTAAACTCTGTGTTTTTCACAGAATGAGATCAAGAAGATATATGTGGCCAGGCATGGTGGCACCACCTATAATCTTAGCACTTTGGGAGCAGAGGCAGAAGGATCACTTGAGGCCAGGAATTTGAGACCAGCCTAGACTACACAGCGAGATCTCCTCTGTACAAAAATGTTAAAAATAAGCCAGGTGTACTGGTATGTGCCTATAGTTCTAGGTACTTGGGAGGCTGAGGCCAAGAGTTCGAGGCTACAGTGAGCCATGTTCACATCACTGCACTCCAGCCTGGGTGACAGACCAAGACTCTCTCCCCCACAGCACGCCCCCCCCCCCCAAAAAAAAAGAAGAAGAAGAAGAAGGAATGATGTTGCCAGGCTGAGGAGTGCCAAGTAGAAATAATCCCACACACAACTTTCCCTTAAGTGAGCCATTAAATATTTTACAAAGTCAAGAATTTGGTGGCATAGAAAAGAAAGTCAATTTATCATCTTTATAAATCAATTACCAAATTATTGACGTGTTTTTAAATTATATGAATTTATATGACTCCATAGTAAAAACATCTGCCCTTTACTCCAGATATTTTCTGGGAGTCTTGGGGATAATACGATGAACATATCAGTTAATATTTTCTTGATTGTAAGTGGAAAAACCAAACCAAACCTGAAGGTAGATAAGGACATACACACACACAATTTTTGTAAAGGATACAAGTCTGTTTCAAGAAATCCAAATAAGACTTGAACTACCAGACCCCAAAGTGAAAGTCAAATTCTAAGATGTCCTCAAGATTCCTGCCCGCTTATACACACGCTGTGTTTAATTTCCTCTCATCAAGTGTGGGTCTGTCTTTTGAATATGATGGATAGCCATTCCATGATTATGTTACATTATGTAAGACTCTGTCATCGTACACTAGAAGATGTTGTCCAATTGTCTTCAAAGAAGTAACCTGTTATGTGTGAAAGGGCCATTGTAATCCAAGTGAGGCTGCTGGTGAAAGTAACACCTGACCAATAGCCAGCAAGAAAAATGGGACCACTGTTCTAGAACTATAAGGAACTGAATTCTGCCAGTAACCTGCATGATCTTGGAGGAGAACTCCATGTCTCAGATGAGATTGCATCTCTGGCTGACATGGTGATTTTAGCTGTGTTAGATCTAGAGCAGGAACCCAGATAACCTGTGCCCAGACTCCTGATACACAGAAATTTGAGTTAATAAATTTGCATTGTTTTAAGCCACTAAGTTTGTGGTGCTACATAATGCAACAATACAAAACACTCTTGGTAAGGGAATAACTCAGTTAACTTTGAATGACTTCATTGGTGGTTGTTTAGGAATCTTCCCTCTGGGTATCATATCAGTAACGACTAGTTCTAACAACACCTAATCTGTTTCTCTAGCTCAAAATGTTGAGAAAGATTCTAATCGATGTAGCTGGGGTCAGGTGATAATATATGGACCAATCAACTATGGCTAGCAGCAGAGAAAAACGTTTCTGTAGAAAAAGCATGAGTATTAGGTGAACCACCTCTAATGGTGTAGTGGGGGCAGCTTCCAGAGAAGAGGGAGATATAAATTAGGAAAATCCTCAAGAAATGTTTAGTACATGGAAACCTTGTATTTCAAAGGGTATTCTAAATATCAAAGGTACCTAAGAGTCTTAAAACTGGAAGGGGTCTTGGATTTGTCTCTGAAAAATCACTGATTTTAATGATTTCCCACTTTTGGATGCCAATGAATAGCTTTAGTTACCTTATTATTTTCTAAGCCTCTGATAACCAACCTTCATTTATTAAAAGCTGACATGCTACTTTTCTTTTTACTTTATTCAAAATGTGCACAATGATGTCAATATTTTCTAGAACAGTAACATCAATAGCATTATTTTTTATATATTCTAGGAAATGTTGCATAACTCATGGCTCATTCACCTTACTAACTACATAGATCACTTTAAGTCAAATAATACTAGGTTGAGAGCCACTAGCCTAGTGCAGTGCTTTCATTATATCGTTGTGAAAGTTGTAAAAATTTGACTTTTCTCTCAATCCAAAAATAAAATCCAGACCACCAAATTCTCCTCTCCTTTAATCAAAAATGAAACAGACAAATTTGAAATTTACTTTCTTGAACGTTAACAATAGAGGAAGAATCCTCACTTGTGGAGCACCAGCCAGATGTCAGACATTCAATTACACAGCATTAGCTGATGTTCTCCTTTAAATTCAGCTGTCAGTATCAGGAAATTAATGTAGTGGCCACTTGAGCGCAATTCTCACTTCACAATTCTAGCACTGAGGAAGATAGCCACACATGTTAATAAGGTAAAGATCATAGGTTCAAGCACCCATGTTTTAACTTAATACTCTGTCTATCTTACAAAGGTATCTCACTGGTCACAGAGAGAAGCAAGGAACATTTGGATGGTCCAATAAAAACTTACTGCTACCTCTTGGAAACAGATGCGGTATTGGTGGTATTGATAGCATCGGCTTCCCACATGAAGAACCAAACATGAAAACATGATTCCAATTGCTCATTAATGAAACAGGCATTTGGTTAGGTACATGTGCAAAATCAGGAGTCCTGATTTCTGAATGCATGCCAATCTAGTGTCCAGGATTTAATTACAATTTCCAAGATTTTAATAATAGAGACTCTGAAGGTTTGCTGGACTTCAAATATCCTTAAAACTTTTTTGATGAGTTAAGTGTAAATGAATATAAAACATATGTATAAAATTCTCTTGAAATACATGTGGGTTTAGAAATTAAGGGAAAAAGGACAGCAAACATTGGCCTTAAGACCTGCCAAAACCAAAGCATCTGAAAAAATAGCTCGAGACATTTGGAGAATCACAAAGTGTGGTAAGGTTTAGCCCTCCTTTAGAGAACAAATGAGACTGAAAATGACTTTCTAATGTTTTGGCATGGAAATTCTTTATAAAATTTTGAATATTTACAAATAATTTGATATTTTTACATGAACACTTACACACACACACAGACACACAGTTACTCATACAAGTATTTTGGCTTGGGCTAAGTTCAAGATTCAATGAATATCAACCTTAGCTGGCTCCTTTTGACATTAGCAAGACAAGCTAAAAAAATACACAACTACTCAAGCACATACCACGCACAGCACAATTTTTGATGTGAAAGGGAATATTCAATGCTAACAAATATTATTAAGTTACTGTTTTTATAAAACCTTTCAACGATTTCCCATTACCCTCCCATCCCATCGAAGACCCTAGTTTTCTATGCTTTTTCTGTGTCTTTCTTGAAACAAATTCTACTGCTTAGTTTTATTCTGTTTCCCTATCTACATTCATACTCCAGTGACACTATATTAATTCCCATTGCACTGCTTACAAACACCCATCCTTTCCACCTTTCTTGTTTCTACTTGTATTCTCTTATTGGTCCTCTCTGTCTAGAATGGCCATCCATTTCCTCCTACAAATGCCCTGGTCATTCAAAATCCAAACTCAACACCTCCACATAACCTCTTTCATTATCTGTTTAGGCTCACAAATTTCACCAGATTGAGCACCATTTAAAAATTCTTCCAAGTTTCTGCACTGCATACAATGACAATTAAAACCTACCATTATGAGGACTCCTGGAGAAATCTTGTCAATCATTTCTCCTCTCTTACTGGTTCCAACCAATTTAAGAAATAGACTTGAAAAACCACATGGAAATCAAATACTGTATTAATTTCATTACTGCTAAATCTGGACTCATGAAAATGGTATGGTTTGTTCTACTTTCCAGTCTTATTATTTTAACCCAAAGCTGAAATAAAGAAAAAGAGATCAGAAAGAGTGAGTTAAGATACTCATAATGCTAGGCACATACTGGGACAAATGCACAGGATAGAATCAAATCCTTCCTGCCAAATGTTGATACAATAGCCTCATCATCTCATTAATAAGGTCCAAAAATGAGAACATAGAAATAACGCCTGAGTATGCTTTCTCCAGCTTTCATAGAGTGGAGATCACCCTTTCTTGAAGAGCAAGAATCAACATCTAATTAATCTTTCCCCAAGCAATTCAAGGCCACTGAACTCGAGAGCTAGACTGCCTTTCCAGCTTTGCCCTGCCCTGCTCCTTTACGTATGCTCTGACCCAGCCATACATTTGAGTCCTTGAATATATCACATTATACATGCCTCTGCCCTTTAAAAATATTGTTCTCTCTGTTTTGGAAGATTCTTCTTGTCCAATTGCTACAAATATTCAAATACCTTAAATACTTGACTCAGAAATTCTCTTTTGTAAACTATTTATTGAGCCTTGTGGCAGAGCTGGCTCTTTTTTGCATCTGATCCTTTGATAGCTTGACTATAATGTTTTATAATATAGAACAAACTGGTTTGTAGTTTCCACTTACAATTTTTCTCCCCTAGAAGAGGGTGAACTTCTTGAAAACATAGACTATGTCTTATTTCATTCATCTCTATCACCTGGGTTTGATATACACTATCAATAATTAATATAATCAATAAATCACAAATAATTTTGATTTCAATATTAAGTAGATCTACTTGATATACTGTTTTCCCTGTTCAGGTCAGGGCTGCACTGAGAATTGAATGTGGCTGATGTGGCAGGTGAATAACTTTATGTAGATGAGGGCCTGGAGGTGAGGGATCTCAACAGGATAGGGAATGTGAAAGTCAATAGAGCATATAGTTCTTTCCTTCAGAAAGAAACATATAATCTAGTGTAGCCATTAACTTTCACATGCAGAATACATGATAGATAATCAAAAAACAATAGTGCTTATTCTGAACCTGGGTAAATTAATTCATGTAATCAAAGGTCTTCCATTCAGCAATTAATATGTTCTATCCACTAAATACTAAAAACTGTAAACAACCATCAAGGTTCTAGTGATGCCCTTCCGTGTTCCTGGCCTGCTGCAGTCTGGCTTCCTGCAGAAAGAGGCCAACATAATTTATTTGTTCTTTATTTTTGCATGTTACTTTCTGAAAACCCAGGTTTCTGACCCTCTGGGTTTGAAGAGAGGCTAAGAGGGTAGGAGAGATAGAAGGAGCAACAGAATTCTCACATGACTAATATTGGCATGAACTGTTGTGATACTCTCTGCACTTTGCTGGTGTTTACAGCTGACTCTCTTTCTGGGGTGTTAATGCATTATTGGAAACATCTCCTCTATTACTACTGTCCCCTGCCTGTATCTTCCTTGATGAAAATGATGCACTCAGCTTGGCTGGCCACATATTTTCCCATTGTACTCAGTTTTTGGGAGACTACCTCCACTTTTCTCTCTTTCACAATTAAAATGGAGTAGGACACAGTCATAGTGCTTAATAATCCTAGCACTGAAGTCTAACTTGGATTTTAATATAAACTCATCACTTTTGTGACCTTGCACATGTTACTAAATCTTTCTAGGACTAAAGTTATTCATCTATTAAAAATGGATGCATAGTATTCCGTGGGGTATATGTACCACATTTTCTTTATCCAATCTATTATTGATGGCCATTTTTGTTGATTCCACATCTTTGCTATTGTGAAGAGAGCTGCAATGAACATACAAGTGCATGTGTCTTTATGATAAACTGACTTATATTCCTTAGGGTATATACCTAGTAATGGGATTACTGGGTCGTCGAATGGTAGTTCTATTTTTAGGTCTTTGAGGAATCACTAAACTGTCTTCCATGATGTTTGAACTAATTTACACTCCCACCAACAGTGTATAAGTATTCCCTTTTCTCTGCAACCTCGCCAGCATCTATTATTTTTTGACTTTTTGATAGTAGCCACTCTGACTGGTGTGAGATGGTATCTCATTGTGGTTTTGATTTGCAGTGATGGTGAACTTTTTTTTGTATGACTGTTGGTCACATATATGTCTTCTTTTGAGAAGTGTCTGTTCATGTCCCTTGCCCACTTTTTAATGGTTTTTAATAATTCCTTATAGATGCTCAATATTAGACCTTTGTCAAATGCAAAAATAGTTTGCAAAATTTTTCTCCCATTCTGTAGGTTGTTTGTTCAATCTGTTGATAGTTTCTTTTGCTGTGAAGAAGCTCTTAAGTTTAATTACCTACCATTTGTAAATTTTTACTTTTGGCTGGGTGCAGTAGCTCACACCTGTAAGTGCTCCCAGCACTTTGGGAGGCCAAGGCAAGTGGATCACTTGAGGTCAGGAATTTGAGACCAGCCTGGCCAAAGTGGTGAAACCCCATCCCTACTAAAAATACAAAAATACAAAAATACAAAAATTAGCCTGGCAGGGTGGTGCACACCTGTAATCCCAGCTAGTCAGGAGGCTTAGGCAGAAGAATCACTTGAGCTCAGGAGGTAGAGGTTGCCATAGCCAACATCATGCCACTGCACACCAGCCTGGGCAACAGAGCAAGTGAGACTCTGTCTCAAACACACACACACACACAAACACACACACACACACACACACACACACACATATATATATATATATTTACTTTCATTGCAATTGCTTTTGGCATCTTCGTCAATAAATCTTTGCCCATTCCTATGTCCAGAATCGTATTGCCTAGGTTTTCTTCCAGGGATTTTATAGTTTTGGGTTTTACATTTAAGTCTTTAACCATCTTGAGTTGATTTTTGTATATGGTGTAAGAAAGGAGTCCAGTTTCAGTCTTCTGCATATGGCTAGACAGTTCTTCCAGTACTGTTTATTGAATAGAAAGTCCTTTCTCCATTGCTTGATTTTGTCAGCCTTGTCAAAGATCAGATAGTTGTAGATATTCAGCCTTATTTCTGGGTTCTCTTTTCAGTTCCATTGTTCTATGTGTCTGTTTTTGTACAAGTACCATGCTGTTTTGGTTATTGTATCTCTGTAGTTCAGTTGGAAGTCAGGTGGAGTGATGCCTCCAGCTTTGTTCTTTTTCGCTTAGGATTGCCTTTGTTATTTAGGGTCTTTTTTGGTTCCATATTAATTTTAAAATAGTTTTTCTAGTTCTGTGAAGAATGTCTTTGGTAGTTTAACAAGACATATGGACGCATAGAGGGGAACAACACACACTGGGGCCTATAAGAGGGTAAAGAGTGGGAGGAAAAGTAATGGATACTAAGCTAAATATCTGGGTGATGAAATAATCTGTACGACAAACCCCCATGATACAAGTTTACCTATATAACAAACCTGCACATGTACCCCTAAACTTAAAAGTTAAAAAATTCAAATAATATGTTAATATAAACTTTGAGGAATACAATAAAAAGCAATCATTGTTAATGAACAGAATACATAATGTAGTTATATTTCTAAAAGCAGCCGATATGCAAATAATATAGATATAGTTAATCTACTTTATTCATGTTATAACATTATAAAAGGAATAAAGCTATTTGGTTTTCATCACTTAATATGTAATTATATAAAAATGTAAAAAAGGAATAAATTTTTTTAAAATTAAAGCATTTAAAAAAATAAAAGGAGAGGACACACAGAAGAGAATGCCATGTGAAGATGGAAGTACAGATTAGAATGATGAGTCTACAAGCCAAGGAACACCAAGAATTGCAGGAACCACCAGAAGCTGGGAGAGAGACATGGAACATGAGAGCTTCCAGAAGGAACCAACTTTGCTGATGCCCTGGTTTTGGACTTCTGACCTCCTAAACTGTGAGAGAATAAATTTCTGTTGTTTTCAGCCACTCATTTGTGATAATTGGTTATGGAAGCCCTAAAAACTAACAGTTTCACTATCTATAAAGAGAAACTTACTACCAAAAAAAAAAGGAACAAAATAGAGCTATATGCAATTTTTTAAAAAAATGGGGATAATTATTGTACCTACTGTAACATAGTTCTAAAGAGTAAGATAATGCCTGTGAAGCATATCATCAACATTCAGAAGTTGTATGTTATTATATGTTCTTTTTAAATCAGTTTCTAATTGAATATTGATATGGTTTGGCTATGTCCTCACCAAAATCTCATCTTGAATTGTTGTTCCCGTAATTCCCACGTGTCAGGTCCCCACCAGGTCCCCACCAGGGAGGGGTTCATCAGTTCTCACAAGATCTGATAGTTTTATAAGGGGTTTCTCCTTTTGCTTGGCTCTCACTCTTCTCTATCCTGCCACCTTGTGAAGAAGGATGTGTTTGCTTCCCTTTCCACTATGATTGTAAGTTTCCTGAGGCCTCCCCAGCCCTGTGGAATTGTGAGTCAATTAAACCTCTTTCCTTTTTAAATTACCCAGTCTCGGGTATGTCCTTATAGCAGTGTGAGAATGGGCTAATACGAATATAATATATTCTTTTAAAAAATAACTGTTTCTAATTGAAGTATTTGTTTTCTATCTGAAAATAGAATTTAGATGATAACACTCTTCTCATGATGGTACAAATGACCAGTCGTGTGGACTTAGAACATTTTCTAAGCTTCTTCAACCCAACTATAAAGCAAGCTGTAGTTCATGTCACCTCATCATTCTTATAGCACCAGCAGTTCCTAAGGATGCTTGTTCCGTTATAAACGAATAAGTGCAAGAGGCTGAGTTTAGCCACAAAAATGCACTTAAAACATCTGACCATGCCACAACTGCTAACATCTCACTGGCCAAAGTAGCCTGTTGACCAAGTCCCGCATCAATGAAGTGGAGAATATATTCTACCAACTCTGGTAGAAAGTTCTAGAAAGTCACATAGCAGGAAACTTGGATGTACTGTTTTAGTATAAGTGTGGTGTAAAGAACTGGAAGCAATTCACCAATATAATAGAATCTACCGTGTGCCTATCACACTGAATGTAGAGTGCTTGGTAAATAATTGCTTCTCTTTTCTTCTTCTACATGTAGGATAATGTCCTCCTTTCTTCTAAGAAACATCAAAGGTTAAATATACTTTCCACATTAAGTTAGTGGCTAGCTGGGAGCTGACAATGTCAGAGATGATCCTGTGAAATTATAGAAAGGCATAGTGTGGGTCACCTTGTATGAAGTATGTCAGTTGTAAAGTGACAGCAGAAGCCAGGAATAATACTCAGAAGGGACGATTGAATTAAATGTTAAGTTAAGGAATCACGGTTCAACGGGGTATAGACAGGAAGCATTAATTAAGATGGAGAACCAAAATGTTCAGAAATAGGAGAGCTGGGAGTTAGATTGTGCCAATAAGAAGTAGTCAGGAACAAGTGTCCTGGGTACTTCAAATATCCAGAAGCCACTGAGCTGGAGAAAATCAAGCACATACATAAAAATAATAAGACTTTCTATTTACTGAACACCTACAATTTCACTGGCTCTGCACTAGGCAGTTTATATACACATATATTATCTTCTCCAATGAAATTTGACTTTTCTCTCAACCTCACTCAACCTTATAAAAGTGATACAAATTTAACTATTGATATTTTTCAATTTTCTGGGGGAAATTATTTGAAAATATAGTTCTGAATGATTAAACAGGATGTTTTTACATACACTTACTGCTTTGTCCTACCTACTTGATACTTCAGGCTGTTCACAATTAATCTATCATTATCTTTAGCAAATCTTGAGCACAAGTTCATCATGAAAAAGGAAAATAAAAACAACAGAACATTTACTGTGGTCATGCATCACTTCATTTAGTTATCCCCATATTTCAGCAACGTGGATGGCCTCTGCTCCCCATCCTTCCCTTTACTGTCAGGAAAGCTCAGGCTAAGAGAAATTAAGCATGTCTCAAAGGCTGGACTCTAAAGACTGTATAATTTTTATTACACCAACTCACCAACTTCTCTAATAATAAAATATTCTACCGGTTGAATTCATCAAGAGTTCTAGTTTGTATCGACTTGATTCTCATATATTAAGAGATGCCAAATGTCATTGAATAATCTAAGCATCCTCTCACCAGTTGATAACCAGAAATGCAGTGGTTCTACTTCTCAGCTGAAGTTCATAGAGAGGTAGAGGATACTGTGATGGAAAGCTAAGCTTCTTACACTGTTGCCCTTCAATGTCCATTCTTAGTCTTGTGTGCCATAGACCAATATTTGTTAATAGTTGGCATTTATATAATCTCACCTCTAACCTCAGGGTTTTCTTTAGCAGTAAAATTTTACAATTAAGAATCCACCACTCCCATCCATTCTTATTTCTGCTGCTTCCTGATCAGTTTAAAGGCTTTGCTGGAATTAAAGAAAAGTAGTGCTATTTTAAATTCCAATAATGAAGTTTTAGAATTATATTTCTATTTATTCTCTGTAGCTTGCCTGATGATTGAATTCATCTTTGGGCACATGGAGTGTTTTGATTATTTGTTGGAAAGCTACTAGTAGTTTAGTGAGGTAAGACACTTTTAGTGGATTATTTCTTCAGGCACTAAATAGCACCCTAGAGAACAAAAACAGCTTTAAAGTATCTCATTTCCAAGATGTTTAGATATTGAGGGAATTGGGCTTAGAATTAATTCTTTCCATCCCTGAGAGGTTTCTAGAAAATTCTCTTCCTCATTAGTGAATTAAGTTTTACCCCTTAGAGGTGCATTCTAATTCGAAGCTTCCAGAGATAGTTTATTTTAGGGTAAAGCTTTTGTATGGCTTGTTGGCAAGAAAGACCTGTGTGGAAGTTCCAGTTCTGTCACTTGGTACATTTGGATAACATACACTTAAACTATTTGAGCAGTAATTTTCTAATTTGTAAAATGAGAAGGAGAATACCAAACTCATAAAGCTGTTGAGAAGATTAAATTAGATAAGGTATATGGGATACTTTTCAATATAACTAGAAGAGAAATGTTCAAGGTCAGAGGATTGAGAGGGAATGGTGGTCAAGGGATATTGGAACTCAAGATCTCCTGATGTAATTTTGTATCTCCTACATTAATGGACCCCTTACATCAGGGGCTATTTTCACTGTAAAATGACGTGATCCACCAGTTTACATTTGGCTGATGTTCCTAGGTGTTGTAGGGGTGAAATAGTTCTCTTCTTCCTTCACTAGTCTCTGTCCTTAAGGGTGCGAAATATTACCCAATAGATACATAATATAATTTGTGGTCTCCCCATCACTTACCCTGGTGTTTTAGGAGATATCGTTGCTTCATTCCTAGAATAAATGTAATAATTAATTTCAGCAAGGGTTGAAATGCTATTAGGATTATACACTTGCATCTTTAAATGGTTCAATAGGGCTAAGGAATATGAGAGTTGTAGGAAGTCCCGTGTTGCACTGCCCAGATTCCCTTTCCAGACTGAGGTGCTTTTTCCTCCAAAGACCATGTGTGTTGACTGAGGAGGGCTCATAAATGAGTTCCTTTCTGGAAATTGCCCTCTACTGAAAAAAAAAGTTTTACCCAAAAAGTTAAGCCCACATGCAATAACTGCTTGACGGGTGGCTACAAGGCCTCACCCTATTTCTTCAACAGGGAAACATAATTGCATAAGGTGAATTCATTAACACTGGTATTTATGTCACTTTGTTTTGTTTACTTTCTTGGAATGACTCCCATGTGCTTTATGCTTAACAATACATTGGTGGCCCACAAAATCTTTGAAAAAATTGTCAATTGAGCACAGAAATAGTCTGAAGTTTCCGGGGACTGGACTAGAAGATACCAGGATTATGAGCTGCCCTAATAGGAGGACTGATGGCACCAGAGAAGGTACCCAGGTCACTATGGCAAGTACTTCATTTCAATTACTTAATTGAGGTACTTAAATTCTCCATGTCATGGAGAATTCCCTTGCATGCCATCTTTGAGGAGTGTCCTTTCAAACTCCTTTACCTGGATAACTCTTTGAATATTCTTATCATGAGTCAATGTTTCCAGGGAGTCTTCCATGACTCTCAAAAGCTATAATAATTTCTCCTCTTTTGTGGTATTTATAAGATATAATCATAACTCTTTTGAGATTTATTTCATTATAATTTCAGTCCTAATAGAAGTGCATTCTTATAGCTAGAAACTTGTATCCTCCAAATCATACTGTATGTATGAACATATACATACAATATATGCTCAATCAGTATGTTTTCAATTGAACTAAAATATTAAAAGGCCAACTTGTGTATTTTCATGTCTAATCTAAACTAGATGAGATGAGAACATATCATTTCTGGCTTTACCAAATAGCAAGGAGTTGAGATTTTTGTTTGTTTATTTGTTTGTTTTGTTTTATTTCTTTCTGGAATCCTGTGTTACTATTCTAATAGTATATTTCAGGTAGATGAAACCCATATCTATAAGGTTTTAGAGAGAACAAAGAAGAATTCACCCACTGAGAAATATGCAAGGACATTGATCTGCTCAGTTGAGTGGCTATCACCTTCACAATTCCATAGCAAAACACAGACACCTGAGATCCTTCTGAAACTCACTTTATGACACTAAGAGCCAGTATAAGCTCAAAACTCCCTCTTTTCACTTCCACATTATATAGCAAAAATCTCTACTTTTTCCATTAGAATGTTCATTTACTCACTTCTTTAAAACATTTACATTTTTTTTCCTGTCTAAACATTCTCAGGTCATTTAGTACATTATTCATTTTAATTATGCTGAATTTGAAAAGTCTGGCCCCGTTTATACCCGTTTATACAGCCTAGCCTTTCACCACAAGTCCCTCTCTGTGAGAGTGGGCACTGCTAAATAATCTTATTAGGGAGAAGAATAGATTGAGTGGTTTAATTTACAATTTCCCAACAGATTTCTAGTTCAAATAAAACTGTCTTTGTTTTTAATGAGGTCCTTGTGCCATGTCATGAAATAAGATGGGACACATTTTCAGAGCTAAACATGGTAGGTACAAAACCACAACATTTTGGGGACACTAGGCTACTGATTTATTCTTCAGATCAAGGGACTAAAGTTAAAGCAGTAAAGTTATTATCCCAAGGTCATATACCTAGTTAACAGCAGAAATATGACTAGTCCTCACATGTTATTATTTTGCTTTAAGCAAGTAGTTGTTAAGTAGAAACTTCATTTTTCCTAAGGTCAGAAAATCTTAATTCAAATTCTGTCTCCATCAGGATAGAATATCATGGGAACTTAGCTAACTCAGTTTCTTATCTACAAAATGGTTTGGCTGTATCCCCACCCAATTCTCATCTTGAATTGTAGTTCCCATAATGCCCACGTGTTGTGGGAGGAACCCAGTGGAAGGTAATTTAATCATGTGGGTGATGGCTTTATAAGAGGCTTTCCCCACTTTGCTTGGCTCTCATTTTCTCTCCTGCCACCTTGTGAAGAGGTGCCTTCAGCCGTAATTGTAAGTTTCCTGAGGCCTTCCCAGCTATGCAGAACTGCGAGTCAATTAAACATCTTTTCCTTATAAATCACCCAGACTTGGGTATTTCTTCATAGCAGCATGAGAACAGACTAATACATACACATTTCAAGGTACATAGTAAATTATCCATAAAGATTTCCTGGATCTGAAACTGGGCATTGTATGTGTGGTTTTGCTAAAATCAAATTTTGAGACATTCTGCATTCAAAGGCAGTAAGAGAGATGTGTAATGTTTACGTCACCAGATAAAATTCCAGCTCTCTCCCCAGTCAACTGATGCAAACCAGCAAAACTAAAAAATTATTGGCTCTTAGTTGCTTTATGATCTGAATTTTCCTCATGAGGAAACAAATCTTGAGGTTCTCTCAAGTGCAAAGTGAATATATAGCTACCTGCATTCTGTCAAACTGTGAAGTTATTTGCTCTTCAGCCAGAATAACTCTGAACAATGGGAATTGTTGTCTGCAAGATGTTCCTAAACCCAGAGGTTTAGCTGTTCCTTGTATCTGTCTAGGAGTTTCATAGAAATGCTACTTTCTTAAAGTAAGTCCAAAAATCTGTGGATGATTTTTATTGATTTAGTGCAGGGGCTTGTGGCTTGGGGCATATCATGAAACACTATCCTTGGATGCTTTTTACAATCCCATTGCCCTTAGGACAATCAAAATTGCCTTATTGGCTCAAACTGCCGCAATGGGAGAAATCTACTCACTTAACTATTTCAGGAAGAAGATGGATTTTGATATTCTATTTGAGAATTCAAGGGCAACTATGTTCCTCTACTAGATAAGTTCACTATTTAATATTGTGATACTCTAAATATAGCTTCTAGAACAGTAAAAAACATGGATTATTTGGGGGAAAATTTGTGTGTGAGAGAGAGAAATTGACAGAGAGAGAGGATAATTTCTTCTTGTTGATTTAAATTTCACAAGTCTCCAGTTTACTAAGTGATATGGTTCTCTGCTGCATCCCCACCCAAAGCTCATCTTGTAGCTCCCATAAGTCCCACATGTTGTGGGAGGGGCCTGGTGGGAGATATTTGAATCATGGAGGTGGGTATGTCTTATGCTGTTTTCGTGACAGTGAATAAGTCTCATGAGATCTGATGGTTTTAAAAATGAGAGTTTCCCTGCACAAACTCTCTATTTGCCTGCCACCATCCATATAAGATGTGACTTGTTCCTCCGTGCCTTCTGCCGTGATTATAAGGCCTCCCCTGCCATGTGGAACTGTAAGTCCATTAAACCTTTCTTTTTTTTTTGTAAATTGCCCAGTCTTGGGTATGTCTTTGTCAGCAGTGTGAAAGCAGACTAATACAGTAAATTGGTATGTAGTAGAGTGGAGTGCTGCTGAAAAGATACCCAAAAATGTGGAAGCAACTTTGGAACTGGGTAACAGGCAGAGGTTGGAACAGTTTGGAGGGCTCAGAACAAGACAGGAAATGTGGAGAAGTTTGGAATTCCCTAGAGACTTGTTGAATGGCTTTGCCAAAACTGCTGATAGTGATATGAACAATAAAGTCCAGGCTGAAGTAGTCTCAGATGGAAATGAGGATCTTGTTGGGAACTGGAGCAAAGGTGACTCTTGTTATGTTTTAGCAAAGAGACTGGTGGCATTTTGCCCCTGCCCTAGAAATCTGTGGAACTTTAAACTTGAGAGAGATGATTTCGGGTATTAGAGAAGAAATTTCTAAGCAGCAAAGCATTCAAGAGGTGACTTGGGTGCTGTTAAAAGTGTTCAGTTTTATAAGGGAAACAGAATATAAAAGTTTGGAAAATTTGCAGCCTGACAATGTGATAGACAAGAAAATCTCATTTTCTGAGATATTCAGGCTGGCTGCAAAAATTTGCATAAGTAACCAATGTTAATTGTCAAGAATGTTAATTCTCAAGACAATTTAAAAAAATCTCCAAGGCATGTCACAGGTCTTTATGACAGCCCCTTCCATCACAGGCCTGGTGGCCTAGGAGGAAAAAATAGTTTTGTGTGCCAGGTCCAGGGTCCCTGTGCTGTGTGCAGCATAGTGACTTGATGCCTTGCATCCCAACTGCTCCAGCCGTGGCTGAAAGGGGCCAACGTAGAACTCAAGCTATGGCTTCAGATGGCTCAAGCCTCAAGCCTTGGCAGCTTCCACATGGTGTTGAGCCTGTGGCTGCAAAGAAGTCAAGAATTAGGGTTTGGGAACCTCCACCTAGATTTCAGAGGATGTATGGAAACACCTGGATATCCAGGCAGAAGTTTGCTCCAGGGGTGTGACTCTGATGGAGAAACTCTGATAGGACAGTGTGGAAGAGAAATGTGGGGTCAGAGCCCCAACACAGATTCCCTACTGGGGCATCACCTAGTGAAGCTGTGAGAAGACAGCCACCGTCCTTCAAATCCCAGAATGGTAGATCCACTGAAAGCTTGCACCATGTGCCTGGAAAAGCCACAGACACTCAACTGCAGCCAATGAAAGCAGCCAGGAGGGAGGCTGTACCCTGTAGAACCACAAGGTGGAGCTGTCCAAAACCATGGGAACATACCTCTTGCATCAGTGTGACCTGGTTGTGAGACATGGAACCAAATTAGATCATTTTGGAGTTTTAAGATTTGACTGCCCTGCTGGATTTTGGACTTGCATGGGGACTGTAGCCCCTTTGTTTTGGCCAATTTCTCCCATTTGGAATGGCTGTATTTACCCAATGCCTGTACCCCCATCGTATCTAGGAAGTAACTAACTTGCTTTTGATTTTATAGGCTTATAGGCAGAAGGGACTTGCCTTGTCTCTGATGAGACTGTGGCCTGTGCACATTTGAGTTAATGCTGAAAAGAGTTAAGACTTTGGGGCATGGTTGGAAAGGCATGATTTGTTTTGAAATGTGAAGACATGAGATTTGGTTGGAATAGGACAGAATGATATGGTTTGCCTCTATGTCCCCACCCATATCTCATCTTGTAGCTCCCATAATTCCCACATGTTGTGGGAGGGACCCAGTGGGAGATAATTAAATCATGGGGGTGGTTCTTTCCCATGCTGTTCTCATTATAGTGAATAAGTCTCAGGAGATCTGATGGTTTTAAAAACGAGTTTCCCTAGACAAGCGCTCTCTTTTTACCTGCAGCCAACCACGTAAGATGTTACTTGCTTCTCCTTGCTTTCCACTATGAATGTGAGGCCTCCCCAGCCTTGTGGAACTGTAAGTCCATTAAACCTCTTTTTTTTTTGTAAATTGCCCTGTCTCAGGTATGTCTGTATGAGCAACGTAAAAATGGACAAATACACTAAAGCATAGTAATTTACTTATTCTCTTTTTGTTTGTATGTTTTCTTGTTTGTTGAGATAATAGGATATATACCCTAATGTGCCCACATTTTAAGAACACACTTTGATGAAATTTTATATGTGTCTACACCTGTGCAATCATTTCTCAGTTCAAGAAAAAGAAGATTTCCTGGACTCCAGGAAGTCATCTCCCTTGTGCAACCTGTCAGTCTTACCATTCCCACCACACACATAAACACATACCCAGATAACCACCTTTCAACTTCTACCAATGTAAGTTAATATTGCCTGTGTCTGAAATTTATGTAAGTGGAGTCATATAGAATGCATTCTTTGTGTTTGGCTTATTTTGCTCAGTATATGTCTGGGACAATAATCTATGTTATTATTGTGTATATTGTTACCAGTGGAAGAGATTTGAGTTACCCCAAGTTACCAGTGGCAAATCCCTATGGGTCTGCAGCAACTTTAGTTCTTGCCTCCTCAGAAGAAAGAATTCAACTGAGGGGCATAAAGCAGAAAAAGAGATCAAGGCAAGTTTCAGAGCAGGAGTGAAAGTTTATTTGAAAGGGTTTTGAACAGGAAAGAAAGAAAAATTCACTTGGAAAAAAATCCAAGAGTGCATCTGAAGGTCAAAGAGTGTGTAACCTTGACCCTAGGACTTTATAGGCTCACTTTTTCTCATGATTATTCCCTTAGGGTGGGCTTCCCACATGCACAGTGCCCTTCTTACGCTTGGGAATTAAGCATGCGCAGTATGTTTAGGAAGTTGTATGCATGCCCATCTGAGGCTGTCTTCCCTTTTCTGATGGATTGCACCAGAAAGGTCATACTTCGCCATTTTATCTCTTAAGGCACAAGCTCAGGAAGTTTCTTCTCCCTGACTCCTGCATTCAATGAACACTTTAATGTTAATAGCTGTGGATCATCATGAAAGGCCTCTCCCTGGAGCCCTGGGTGGGCTGTCAAACTATAATTTTTAGAGAGGCAGTGTGATAATTGCTGAACCATCACCTGACTTTCCTGGTGCGTGGAGAGAGAAGAGCCCTCTCCTGCCCCATTTATGCCTGTCTAATTACCTGTAACAATAGCAGTAGTTTATTTATTTATATTGATGTAGTATGTCATTATATGTACATGCTATAATTTTTTTATCCTTTTAACTATTTGTTTAGATTCTTTCCATTTAAGGACTATTATAAAAAAGTGACGTTATAAACATGTTTATAATCATGTCTTTTAGTTGACGTATGCTTTTCTTTTTATTTAGACTATGCCTAAGTATGAAATTGCTAAGTCATAAGGTACTCACATACTTAGGGTCAGAAGATGCCGTTAAAGAGATGTTTCAAAGTAATTGTACCAATTTACACTCCCACCAGAAACGTATGAGGGTTTCAGTTAGTCTGCATCTTCAACCCACTTGGAATTATCAGTCTTCTCAATTATTCTGTTAACTCTTATTTCAGTTCTGTTTATGTTATAAGAGAAAATTTAGGAATATATTTAACAGCGTAGGCTTTGAGCAGAGCTGCCTGAATTTTAAATCTAGGTCTGTTACTTGTCCCCTATTTAAATTTGACTAAGTTACTCAACTTCTTTGTGCCTCAGTTTTCTCAAGCAAGATAAGTCTAATAGGTATACTTACCCCAAAAGGCGATGGTAAAAATTAAATAAATGAGAATTATGTAGCTCTTAGAATAGCACATTGCAAACACCATAATAGTGCTTACGCTCTTTGGGTGAGGGGTATGCTGAACATCCAGACTTTGCCGCTGTGCAATATATCTATGTAACACACCTGCACTTTTTTGCAAAAGGTATTTTTTTAAAAAATAATGTATTCGTTTTAAATTTCAAAACATAATATTTGTTCATTTAAAAAATTAAAATAGCTACTGCAAATAGTTATTATTTGTTATGTACTATGTTAAGTGTTTTTTTGTGGAGAGTAGGAAAGTGGAGGTATGGGGGAAATGTGGCGAGATAAACCTGCAGAGGGTAGCAGGAACCAGACATGGGTGGCCTTATTAAGGAGTTCAGTCTTCGCCATGAAGGTAATGAGGGCACATTAATTTAAGCCAAGTAGTGACATGGTCATACCTACATGATGGGATAGAAATGGAATATGAGGGTGGACAGGATATTAGCTACGTCTTGTAGAGTATTGCTACCCTGCAGCACAGGGTAACACAGGCACTGTGCTCAACCTTTTACAAACATTTTCTCATTAAACTCTGAACCCCTGATAGCATCTCATCATCGTCTTCATTTTACATTATAAGTGGATTGAGTAATTAGGAGAGACAAGTAACTTCTTCAAGGTCACAGAGTTAATTGAGTTGTTGAGCTGGAATTTGAGCCCAGTATGCCTGACCTTTCAGTCCCAGTGGTATTCAGGCCTGAGTCCTGTCTATGTCCAAGCCATTGAACTACGTGTGCCACAAGCAAGACCTCCAATCTCCCTAGCAGCACTCCCAGGGAGGAGTGATCCTCATTTTACAGACAAGAAAACTGACATCTTGATAGTAGAATACTATCCCCAGGGTCATACACTAAAAAGTGGCAGAGCCCAAGTTCAAACTTGTGTGTTTCATGTCTTTCCTCTGGGATGACACTCTCTGATGTGCGAGCTCATAGCAAACAAACTTAAGAAATATTGTTCCCACTCTTATCTAAAGCAGAGGTCAGGAAACTTCTTCTTCTTCTTCTTCTTTTTTTTTTTTTTTTTTTTTTTTTGAGACAGAATCTCGCTCTGTCACCCGGGCTGGAATGCAGTGGCGTGATCTCACTGCAATGGCTCAGTGAATGGAATGGCACAGTGAATGGAATGCAGTGGTGGAGCTCACTGCAAGCTACGCCTCCCGGGTTCATGCCATTCTCCTGCCTCAGCCTCCCAAGTAGCTGGGACTACAGGCGCCCACCACCATCCCTGGCTAATTTTTTTGTATTTTTTTAGTAGAGACAAGGTTTCACCATGTTAGCCAGGATGGTCTCAATCTCCTGACCTCGTGATCCACCCGCCTCAGCCTCCCAACGTGCTGGGATTACAGGCGTGAGCCACCGCGCCCAGCCTAGGAAAATTCTTCTATAAAGGGCCTATTGAGGTTAAAGCAGCTCCATCTTGGATGCTACTCTGCCATGTGGACTTCTGATTAACCTCAGTTCCTGGAATGCCTCTTAGATTTATCTTTTATCTACTGTTCTTTGTGTAAGAACATGCACTTAACTGTAAATCCTGCCCTCAGGTCCAAACAACCTTGACCATAAATCCTAAATCCTCTCCTTAGGCAGATTCATACAGCATTCTTGCCTTTCCCTGACCAGTCAACTTGAATCATCCTACATATTCCTTCCCTATGGCATGGGAGGTAGTGGCATGGGGATCCACTATCTCTTCTGTGGCTGCCTGAGCAAGATATGGCTTCTGTTCATAAGTCCTTGTGAAATATTTCTTTCTAAGAAACTGGATTTGTCAGTCTCTTTCCTCAGCTTTTCAGCTTCCTTGGCCTTTGTGGGTAGGTTTGCACAGGCCTGCCCACCACAGAACAGGACCAGATAATTACTATGTTAGGCTTCTCAGGCCATATTGTCTTTGTGTAGCTACTCAACTCTACAGTGGTAAGTTGAAACATGTACAGGGCATGGCTATGTTCCAATAAAAATTTATTTATAAAAACAGGCAGTGGGTTAGATTTGGCCCATGAGCCATACTTGACCAACTGCTGATATAAAATATCTGAAAAACAAAATTATCTTTCTCTCATCAGTTATGATTTTGGTGCAAAAATTAAATGTATTATGTTATTAATTATTTACCACAACTTATTTAATCATCCTAATTTGTAACTGCCCAATGGGTTCACCTTGCCCAGTGCCTAGACAGAGCCAATTTATCAAGGCAGGAGAATTGCAAGAGAGAAAGAGTAATTAATGTAGAGCTGGCTATGTGGTAAACTGGTGTTTTATTATTACTCAAAACAGTCTCCCTGAGCATTTGGGGATCAGAGCTTTTAAAGATAATTTGGTGGATTGGGGGTGGGGCAACCTGTGAGTCAAGAGTGCTGATTGGTCAGGTCGGAGATGAAATCATAGGGAGTCGGAGCTGTCCTCTTGCACTGAGTCAGTTCCTGGATGGGGTCCACAAGATGAGATGAGCCAGCTTATCAATCTGGGTGGTGCCAGCTGATCCATCAAGTGCAGGGTCTAAAAATATCTCAAGCACTGATCTTAGGATTTACAAATAGTGATGTCAAACTCAGGAGCAATTTGGGGAGGGTCAGAATCTTGTAGCCTCCAACTGCATGACTCCTAAACCATAATTTCTAATCTTTTGATTAATTTGTTAGCCCTACAAAGGCAGTCTAGTCCCCAGGCAAGAAGGGGGTTTGTTTTGGGAAAGGGCTGTTATCATCTTTGTTTCAAACTATAAACTATAAATGAAGTTCTTCCCAAAGTTAGTTCAGCTTACACCCAGGAACGAACAAGGACAGCTTGGAGGTTAAAAGCAAGATGGAGTTATTTCGGTCAGATCTCTTTCAGTCTCAGTTATAATTTTGCAATGACAGTATCAGTTGTGCTTGGAATATTTAATTATATTTCTTCCCCTTCTTCCTCCTTCTTCCCCGTCATTTATTTTGTATAGATTTACCCTAAATAGATAATGCTGCCCCAAAGCCTTTGATTTCACTCATTTTTCCTCCTTTTGAATTATATCCTTGCAATAAATTTTCAGTAGTGGGATTACTGGTAAAAATAGGTATCTGTAGAATTATATTTTCTTTTGAAGCATTCAGTGAGTCTCCCTACTCCTTCATCCTTCCATGATCCCACTACCTTACATATTGTTATTTATTATTATTTAGTCTCAAAAAAATTCTTCCGCCAATGTTTTCAAATGTAGAACCAATGAAGTATTAACCTTAACAAGCAAAATGTCTAGATGAAAGAGTGGAAAATATATGGTAGAAATCAAAATTTGAAATTTACCATGAATGCTAGGAACTTCTTTGCTTGCCCTCCCCAGCTTTAGATCATTTCATTCCTGGGGATTTATCTGATTTTCCTTCAAAGTGTTGAAGGAAATTCATGTCCACATCCAATTCTGCTATTTTCTGAATGATCTTCTTGTAGCCTATTTTTGGATAAACAAATTTAAACCCAAAGGAAGCAATGTCAGTGTTTCTTTGATTTTCTTGACTTATTAGGGTATAAAAGGTTTTTTTTTCCAATAAAGAAATATTTTATGTCAAGTCTGAAGTAATGACAAAAATAACATTGGAACTATCAAAGAAAAATATATTAAGATAATTGATAATGAGCCTGTCCCTTCTATCTTAGAATGATCTCCCAAATGTGTAACTTTCTCTTCTCTTTCACTGCCTAAATAAGGCTCTCCTCTCATGAGACTATTATAGTAATGTTCTCTTCTATGTTCTCTTTGTCCTCAGGTGTTCAAGATCTAATAATGCTACAAAATCCAACCAGACCTGTCTTCCTAAAAATCCTATCTGATTACGATACTCCTCTGTGTGAGAAATCTACTGGCCCCTCAGTGCCTACAACATAAGCAGGCTAGGCTCGGTGGCTTATGCCTGTAATCCCAGGACTTTGGGAGGTTGAAGTGGGAGGATAGTTTGAGCCCAGGAGCTCAAGACCAGCCTGGGTGACATAGTGAGACCTTATCTTATTTATAAACAAATAAATAAATAAATGAAAAAAATACGTATTACAAGCAGGCTCTCTACAATCTAGAACCCACCTATATCCTCTGCCACATCTCCCATACTTCTCTCTAATCAACCCCCTCAACAACTTCACAGAAATGCTTACCTGTTCTTTATTATGTTTGCTCTTTCATAAACAAACATGAGTATATAATGCATGTTCCAAAATAGCTTGCTAATGAACTACTTAGAGAGACTTGGGTGACTTGTTAAAAACTCAAGCTCCCAGCCAAACTCCATATAACTTGAATCAAAACCCTTAGGCTTAGAGATTAAGATTTTATTTTGTAACAAGTCCTTTAGACAATTCACTTATTCATTTAATTTGGAAACCACTGGATATGCTGACTTGTGTTTTGGAATGCCACTTTCTCACTTCTGACAAATTTTAGGTCATTATTTAAGATCTCATTTAAACTTTACCTTCTGTTGCACATTTTAAAAATAGGATAGAGCTCATGTAGATGTTCTTTTAAAAGAAACACACAAAAGAATACAGGAAATTTTGATAGATATGGTTAGTGCTATGATTGTTGTAATGATATCACAGGTGTATGCCTATGTCCAAATTCATCAAAATGTATAAATTAAATATATGTTTTCTACGTCATTATACCTCAACGAAGCTTAAAATAATAAATACATTTTGCTTCTTTTGGAAAGAATTTTCTAGCACAGAAAATACCAAATTACCTTCTTACTCTCCTCTCAGAACACTCTATCGTTATACCTTTATTATCCTATTGGATAATATGATACCTAATATGTAATTAGATAATAGAACAGCATATTGCTATTGTATTCTTGCCTCCTCCTTTTTTTTTGCTCTGTAAGAATTCACTCTAAAATGCCCTCTTTGTCAATATGTGTTCAAGAAGAACAGTGGGCAGAAAGTAGAATGAGTTCTGCTGAAGAGTTATCACATGACCAACTCTGATCTAGACATTATGGAGAAATCCCAGGAAGGTTAAGGGTGAAGCAGCCCCTACCTTTAAGGAATTTGTAAGTGCCTTAGAAAAGCAGTGTCCCATTCTCCTTCTGGGTGTTCCACTAAGCCCTATGTTCACTTCTGTCATGGCACATACTACCAGTTTACTGCACATATATGATTTCTTGAATGACTCTCTGAGAGAAACTTAGGAAGCAAAAGTTTCTCAAGGGCAGGACCTGAATAACTCCAAAGCCCATTTAGTGTCATCTTGAGCTCAAGATTAGTTAAGTTACTGTGCCTCAGTTTCCTCTTTGGCAAAACTAGAATCACAGTAGAAATATGTGCCAAGTTTTTGTCAGTATTAAATAGTAAATGGCATATTTCTTAGCACATAATAAACAATGAGTAAATGTTGGCAATTATTAGCAATATGTTAGCATTTTCTTCCTGAGAGGTTCCCTAAGTCGTCTTTGAGGTCAGTCATCTGACTTCTGAATACTAATGTGTTGCTGGAACTCCAATACTCAGGCACTGCTGCTAGATCCATCCTCAGGCATCTGTTCTGTTCTGAAACACAGGAGCCCAATAAGATCCCAAAACCACCCCTTCCCTTCCCCTTCAGCCCCATGCAGCCTCTAGAGTACGATTAAGTCTCGCTGAGTTAAGACAAAAGTGCTCTGTACACAGCACTGTATAAACATAAGATATTGCTATTATTTCCCTCCTTGCCTGGGCTTTAAATTCTTTGTTAGCAGAGAACATTGTGCCACATACACTCAACCTATTCCTTTTGACTTCAGGAACACAAACAATGGACCATAAAGCGCGCCTGAGAAGAAGCGAGCATAAAGTCTTCTGCCCTAAACTGTGAACTTCTCTAGAATAGCATAGATCATGCTGAGAAAACAAGAACTAACTCGTGTTGAAGGCTTAAGCGTTGCCCTTTGGTTTACTGAGGAAGTCCTGCTCTATATCTGTCCAAAGACTTGAAACTGCTTCTAAATTAACTGTTTTCCTCGGAGCACACATAATATGCTCTCTGTACAACTCTAAGATTTAAACTTTTTTCTCACTGTGGTTCAAAAACTTATTTAAAATTTATACAAGGCATATCGCTTAACCTTGCTATGAAAAAATTGCCCTATCTAAAACAACCGAGTGTAAAACACAAACCTTTTTTTTCCCTTAAGGTCAGGATGCAAAATTCCTTATCAATAGTAGCCAGAGCCTCAACTACAAGGTAAGGAAAGAAAAAAGACCCAAAGAGCTTCAGATGAACGTCCTATATCTCTGAAAGTGCATAGGAGCTGAGAGTATTTCTCACACAGGACTTGTTTCATTGCTTCCTGTAAGTCTTATTTTTGCACTTTCATAATCTGCTTGCATTTTGTGAATTCTATAAGGATGGTAAGCCTGCCTCATTTACATTGTAATCCCTTGAAGAGACTTATTAGCACAGTATATTCTGCTTTAGGGACTATCAATAAATATGCACTTAAAGAAAGACCATGACCAAATGCAAACATTCTTGAGATGGTAAAGTAGCCATCAAGATTCAGCAGAAATTAGCTTTGGCTTTGGATCCTTACCATGGGCACAACTATGATCAAACTATCGTCATTCATATACGTTAGAATTAAATGAGTAACTTTAGGTGGAAATGCATAATATAGTATGTGGTTCATAAATAAGCTTTCATCAGTGCTGGTGTCTTTATTGTTTTCTTTCTGTACTCCCTTTTTCCTGTGCTCTCTTCTCACATTTTTTTCCCTTCCTCTATTTTTCTTTATCCCTCTGAAAAACATTGGTCAAAGACACTGTGAAAGCTATATAAGCCTTTTAGTGGCAGGGACGGAGAGAAATCAGGAGGCCAGTTGCAAAGACACTATTGAGGGTTTATTCAGGGTAGATATAAAATAAGTTAGAAAGAGGCCCCTGACAAAAATACAGAGGCATGGAAATTGAAAGATTCTTCCCCTTTAATTTCTTCATATCTAGCATCATACTTTCCTCTGCTTGTAAATGGTAGCCCAGTTTTCCAATACTTCCCATGACTGCAGGGCACTAGAAGACAACAGTTAAGGTGACCCTGCAGATCAGGCCAAAGGGGTTGCCTTATTACTTGAGACACATATATGCATACCCTCCCACTTTTATTCCCCCCGCTAAAGGACTGGAAGCACTTTCCTTTTATAACTAATACTTCCAAATTTCTTCATTCTACTCATTGATTTACTGCTGCAAACTTCCTTTGAGTGTTTGATCATCTATTAACAAATTATGTATTTTTTTGTAAAACACCTTCCTCAGAAACACCTCAAGTGGCAAAGTAGAATTTTGATTTAAACAATATTCTTAGCCCACTCACTGCCTTGTCACGACAGAGAGCCACAGCACCAAAGAGGTATCTCGTCATCTTCTGCACAAATTGGAAGGAAAACTGCTTCGGGCTTTGAGTGTGAGGTGGGAATTATTCATGTACATTTCATGTACACTCTGAGGAAATGCCAAAGAAGAAGGAGGACCAGGGAAGTCAGAGACTGAGAAGGATAAATTATTACAGAATGAATCATTACACTAATAATTAAAGGAGGAACTAAGATGCTAAAAGAGTTTATGGACAACCTTCAATTGTTCATCAAGTATTTGGTAAATTTAGGCCATAGAGAGAAAACTAAGAACATGAGCTTGGACCGCAGACTGTTTTCCAAACTGTTATATCAATTCATATTTGTATGAAATTAGTAATTACTTATCTTCTGCATGACCTTTTAACCTTATACATAAAATAAGAATAATAATAGAACCAATCTTGTAGGGTTATTGGGAAGCTTAAATGCATTTGTGCATGCAAACATATTTAGAAGATTGCTTGCCACGCAATACTATGTATCAGCTGTAATATTAGTGTTATTAACATTTTCCAGAATTGTTGTAAGACGAAGAGAACATATTTTATGAAAAAAAGGAGGGTAGAGGATTTTAAACTTTAGTTGATATGATACCATTCTTTTTTCTTCTCCTCATTCTATCTTTTTTTCATGGCTCACACTTTGCTGCTGGATTTAAAAAACAAAGGAGGAGTCAGATGAATGCATTGGCATTTTCCAACATTGCTAACTGGCATGGACATTCACTTCCCTCACCCCAACACATGCTTGCACAGAGCCAAATATGTATATTGATAATTTCCTCTATGCCAAGTATTTTTATTTGTATTAGCTACCTTATTTAGTCTTTAAAGCAATCCAGTGAAGGAGGCATTGTCTTCACCACTTTAGAGATAATGACCCTGTGTCAGAGAGGTGAAAGATCCTGCCCAAGTTTAACCAGCTATATATGGCAGAATTGAAATTTCACCCTAGGTCTCTTGTGTGAACTTCAGAGCCTTTGCTCCCTCTGGCATATTGATGCCCTAGGATGACTCTTACGGTTCTGGCTCTCTAGGTGCTTCTATGTATAAACTGCAGGCGTCAATGCTCTAGAAATAGGCCATCCATCAGCTTGTGCCATCTGTAAGGCTGTGTCTCAGTGAGCAATGCTCAGTTCCAGTTGAGAAATTCCAATCCTGCAAACTCATTAGTTCTTCTTTTCCAGTACTCGCCACACCCCAGAACTGCTTCCATAGAGCTCCACCTAGTGCCCCAGGGCCCTGCGAGGCAGCAGGGGTGGGGACTACCAACAAAGGTGAGACTTCTACTAGGTTCTTTCTCAGCAGCCCTCCCGGTGGTACTCAATGTCAGAAATATTGGAGGACAGGGAAGCCTAAGAGAAGAAGACTGTGACTCTACTACCCCTGATGACTCCAAATTTTCTCAACCCTGAAAGAAAACAATCTCTTTTAGATTCACAAATTATACATCTTGTTACCCAAGTCAGCTATCTTTCTCACCCGCCCATCTCCTTTTTTTTCGTTTGGCTGCCTTTTCTCATGCTGTCTCCTCCTGGAAAACTCTGCGTATCTTTAAGTCTGACTAGTACCTACTCAACACTCCAGATTCCCTGAACCTCAAGATTGTGCTAAGTGGTGCTCTATTCTGTGTTCATGGGCACTCATTCTTTCCTCTATTTTTACATATCATTTAATATCAGAATTATCTGTTTAGGTGTGTGTCTTACCTATCAGATTATAATTTCATGAGGGCTAACATTTCGTCCCACTTATTTTTTCCAACTTTTCATTCAGAAAAATTGCAAATTGATCACACAGTTTAATGAAAATACCATTTATTTTTGTACCACCAGCTTTTGCCAGTGTCTAGAATATATGAGGTCCTCATCAAGTGAACTGAATGAGGATTATAGGCTTTTAGGTATGGAAGGTGGCTTAGAAGCAGAATGTAATCCCTCTCATCACACAGATACAGAAATTGAGACCCGGGTAATTGACAGTCTTCACCATTTACATGGCATATATTGGTTTGGGAGAAATAGGAGGACTAATGGATAAAAAAATCCTTACTGCCCCATTTTCTGTACCATAGCTTTTATTGTAAGGCAAACAGAGAATGTGCAGGGCCATGTCACAGGCATATTATTATATGGACTTGCAGTCAGGGGGCACTTTTCTTCTGACCTCTGCCACTAAGTAGCTAGCTATTTGACTATGGGCAAAGCCCCTTATCTTCTCTGAGCATCTGACCTCCAATAAGTATTCCATTATATGTCTTAGCTGCTTCATAGCTTCTTGTGGAAATTCAGATTACAAAATCTAATTAGAAAATATTTGTAAAAAGTGTATGAATACATGAATATAGATGCAAAATGTCATTGACAAAATATTAGTAAATGGAATCTAACAATGCATTAAAAATTACACACTATGACCAAATAGGATCTATTCCAAGTATGCAAGTTAGTTCAACATTTGAAAATGAAATAGTGAAAATGATGGCATCAAGAGGCTGCAAAAAATTATATCCTCATAATAGATGGAGAAAAAAATTTATTCAATGACATTCAAACAGCCACTTAGGATAAAAACGCTCAGAAAACTAGAAATAAAGGAGGACTTCAACTTGACAAAGAACATCTACAAAAAAGCCTACAGCTAATATTGTATTTAATGGTCATAAACTAGAAACATTCCCTTAAAATCGAGAACAAGCCTAGGATGTCCCCTCTTAGCCCTCGCATTCAACAGTGTACGGCAAGTCCCAGCTAATGCAATAAGAAGAAAATAAACAATAAAAATAACAATAAATACAATATAACAATAACAATGTAATAATAACATAAAAATAATAAAAATAACTGATTGAGAAGGAAATAAAACTATCTTTATTTGCAGATGACGTAATTGTTTATGTAGAAAAATCCCAAGGAATCAACAAAACAACATAAAAAAGAAATTCTAGGAACTAGTAAGCAATTATAGCAAGATTATAGGAAACAGAGTTAATATGCAAAAGTCAATTGCTTTCCTATAAACCAACTAAGAAAAAAAGGAATTTAAAATAAAAAAAATGCATTACCATTTACATTAGCACCCAAGAAAATGAAATACGTAGGTATAAATTTAACAAAATATGTACAAGATCTATATGAGGAAAACTACAAAATTCTGATGAAAGATAACAAAGAACTAACTAAACAAAAAATTATATGTTTCTGGAAAGATTCAATGTTGTTAAGATGTCAGTTTTTCCCAAATTGATGTGTAGATTCAATGCAATCCCAAGCAAAATCCTAGCAAGTTATTTTGTGGAAATCAGTAAACTGATTGCAGAGTTTACATGGAGAGGTAAATGATCCAGAAGCCAACACAATGCTGAAGAAGAACAAGCCAGAGGACTGACACCACCTAACTTCAAGATTTCCTATAAAAATACAGTGATCAAGCCACTGTGGTATTGGTAAAATAATAGACAAATTGATCAATGGAACAGAATGGAAACCCTGAAATAGACCCACTTGGGTACAGTCAACTGATCTTTGACAAAAGAGGAAAGGCAATTCAATGGGGAAAGAATACCCTTTTCAACAGATGGTACTGAAACAACTGGGCATCCATATGCCAAAAAAATAAATTTAGACAGACATTTTATATTTCACAAAAATTAATTCAAATGGATCATAGATCTTTCTAAATGTAAAATATAAACATAAAATTTCTCAAAATAGTATAGAAATGAATTTAAGACAGTCTTGGGTTTGCTGATGGCTATTTAGATACAACACCCAAAATCATGACCCATAAACAAAAAATAATTATTAAGTTGGACTTCATTAAAATTAAAAGCATCTTCTCTGTGACATACACTTTTAAGAGAACAAAAAGCCACAGACTGAGATGAAATATTTGCAAATCACATATCTAATAAAGGACTTGTATCAGAAATATACAAAGAACTCCTAACATTCAACAATAGTGAAACAAACAACCCAGTTAAAAATTTGACAATAGACTTCAACAGATACCACACCAAAGATATACAGAAGGTGATTAAGCATATGTAAAAGATCTTCAATATAACATGTAATTAGAGAATTGCAAATTAAAACAGCAATGAGATGCCATTGCATCACTGTTAGAACAGCTAAAATCAAAGATATTGACAATACCAAATACCTCTGAGAATATGGAACAACAGGAACTCTCATTCATTGCTCGTGGGGAAACAAATTTTGGGAAACAGATTAGCTGTTTCTTACAAAGCTAAACATAAGCATATGCTGTCATTGCTTTTCTAGGTATTTACCTAAATGAATTAAAAATCTAGTGCACACAAAAACCCATACATGAATGCTTATAGCAGCTTTATTAATAGTTATCAAAAATTGAAAGCAACTAAGATGTCCTTCAAAAGGTGAGCAGGTAAACAAACTGTGGTACATCCACACAATGGAATACTATTCAGTGATTTAAAAGAAATGAAGTAACTCTTACACATATTGTGAAATCAAGGAAGTTAGTCTGGAAAACCTACGTACTATGTGATTTCGAGTGCATAACATTCTGAAAAAGAAAACAGGAATGTGATTTTTCCCTCACAGGCTGACATACTCGTGCTCATCCACTCTTAATATTTTGCTTACATAAGAAAAGCAATATCATGATTTGCTAATCATTCACCTAACCCTTAATGTTAATATTTGTTAAGTAGTTTTACATTCAAGAGCATGAGGGATATTTATGTATATATTTAAAATAATGCTTTTATTGGTTTTAGTAATGAGTTTATGCTGGTATCAGAAAACAAATGAGAAAGTATTCCTACCTGTTTTTTATTTTCTGAAAGAATTTGTGGAAGATTCATACTGCTTTTTCTAATGTATTATATCTAATGTACAATTGACCACTAAAACCATCTGAGCCCAGAGTTGTGTGTGTGAGTATGTATGTGTCCTTGTGTGTGTAATTCTTTAATGGACATAAGGTTACTCAGGTTTTCTGTTTCATTATTTGTCAGTTTTGATTAGTTATATTTGCCAAGGTATTAGTCCATTTCCTCTTGTCAAACTTATTGGTGCAGTTATTAAATAATAATCTTATTCTGTTAATATCCGGAGGATCTATAGTAATAACCCCTCTTTCATTCCAATATTTTTTATCTTTATCAGTTAGCTAACTTTTTATTATTTTTAGTGATTTCTTTAAAGAATCACATCTTATTTTTTCCTCTACTATTTTGGTTTTTATTTGATTGATTTATGCTCATATTTACTTATTTATTTTTACTTACTTGGAGTTTATTTTGCTTTTATTTTCCCCTAATTTCTATGGGTGGGACCTTAGCTCATGGTTTTATTTTTAAATTTTCTTTTGTCTTTTATTTTTATAGATGGGGCCTCACTGTGTTGCACAGGCTTGTCTTAAACTCCTGGGCTCAAGCAATCCTACCATCTAGGTCTCCCAAAGTGCTGGGGTTATAGGTGTGAGTCACCACACTTAGCATGAATATTTTAGACTTTACCCTTCTAATGTATGGACTTATATTTGTCAACTTCTTACTATTCTTTTCTTTATTGTCATCCTTCATTCTTTAGTATATTTTCTTTATAATTCTGTTCAAAGTATTATTTTCATTGTGCTTTGTTCTTTGACTGGTAGATTATTTAGAATTGTTTTGATTAATTTTCAGATATTTGGGGTTTTGTAAGTATCTTACTATTAGTGACTTCAAATTGCATTACATTGTACTCAAATAATACGATTGCATTTTTTTACATTTATTGAGACTTGTCTTGTGGTCAAGCATGTGTTCTTTCTTGATGAACATATATTGTGCATCTAGGTGAGGCATTGTGTTCTACAGGTCTTAATTAGTTTGTACTTGATAGTGCTATTCAGATCATTTCTGCATTTACTGTTTTTTTTTTTTCTAGTTGTCTTATCCATTGCTGAGAGTAAAGTATTAACATTGTCTTCTTTGATTGTGGAATTGTTTATTTATCCCAGGAATTCTATCAATATTTGCTTCAGGTATTTTGAGGCTCTGTTATTTCAGGTATAGTTGTGATTATGATGAATAATGGGTTGACCCTTTTATCATTTTGAAATGATTTTCTTTACCTCTTATAATTCCTACATTATAACTCTTTTTCTAGTTTATGTATTGGTAATATAGCTACTCCAGCTTCCTCATGCTTACTTTGTAATAATTATAAATTGTTCTGATTCAAATTACTCCAAGATTTAGTGACTTAAAACAACATTTATCATCTTGCAGTTCTGTGGGTCAGGGATTAGGAAGCAGATTAGTTGAGTGATTTTGCTTCAGGGTCTCTCATGAGCTTGCAACAAAGCTATTGGTCAACAATGCAGCCATCTCAAGCTCCACTTGGACTGAATAATCACTTCCAAGTTCACTCAAGTGGCTGTTGGTAGGTCTTAGTTCTTCAAGGCCTGTTGAACTGAGAGTCCTGAGTTCCTCACCATGTGGGCTTTCTATAGGATTGACTGGGTGTCCTCAAGATATGCCAGGCACCTGGACTCCTCCAGAGCAAATGATGAGAGCAAATGAAGAGACAGAGAGAGAGAGAGAAAAAGAACCTATGACGGCAGCTGTAGATATTTTATCATCTAATCTTAGAAGTGTCATCCCATCTTTTCTGTTTTAGAATAAGCAGAATTACTGACTTGCTTCTGATAAGACAGAAGCAAGTCAGCAATTCCAGCCCACCCTCAAGGGGAGGAGATTACACAAGGGCATGAATACCAGAATACAATGGTCTTCAGCAAACCATCTTAGAGACTACCTACCACATTGTTTTTATCGAATATTTTTTATGTTATTTACTTTCAGTCTATCTGTGTTTCATTTTAAAGTGTTTGTCCTGTAGACAATATATAGCAGATTCATGTATTTTTATCAATCCTGAAAGTTTTGACCTTTTCGCTGGAGTATTTAAACTACTAATTTTAATGCAATTATGGATATGATTGAAGTAAGCCTACCAGTTTATTGCTTTCTGTTTGCTCCATCTTTTGTTGTGAGTTTCGTTCCTGTTTGCTTTTGAATCATTTGAATACTTTTTGTTTGTTTGTTTGTTTTTTGTTTTTAGACGGAGTCTTGCTCTGTCGCACAGGCTGGAGTGCAGTGGCGATCTCGGCCCACTACAAGCTCTGCCTCCCAGGTTCACGCCATTCTCCTGCCTCAGTCTCCCAAGTAGCTGGGACTACAGGCGCCCGCCACCATGCCCGGCTAATTTTTTGTATTTTTAGTAGAGACGGGTTTTCACCGTGTTAATCAGGATGGTCTCAATCTCCTGACCTCATGATCCACCCTCCTTGGCCTCCCAAAGTGCTGGGATTACAGGCATGAGCCACCGCACCCAAACTTGAATACTTTTTTAGGATTTAATTGTAATGTATTTTTTGGATTTTTAACTTTACCTTGTTACATAATTTTTTAGTGATTGCTCTAAAGATTAGCATATGTATTCTTATATTTCACATTCTACCTAACGTTAGTATAGCTCCCCTTGACATAAAATGTAGAAATCCTGCAACGTCTTTTTTGTTCTATGTGTTATAGTTGTCTTTAACATATATACATATAATACCAACAACAAAATGTTATAAATTTGCTTTACATAGTCATGAGTAAATTAAATCATTTAATGGGAAAATGAAATCGTCTTTTTTTTTTTTTTTTTTTTTTTTTTTTTTTTTTTTTTTGAGATGGAGTCTCGCTCTGTCGCCCAGGCTGGAGTGCAGTGGCGCTATCTCGGCTAACTGCCAGCTCCGCCTTCCAGGTTCACGCCATTCTCCTGCCTCAGCCTCCTGAGTAGCTGGGGCTACATACGCCCGCCACCACGCCTGGCTAATTGTTTGTATTTTCAGTAGAGAACGGGGTTTCACCGTGTTAGCCAGGATGGTCTCGATCTCCTGACCTCGTGATCTGCCTGCCTTGGCCTCCCAAAGTGCAGGGATTACAGGCGTGAGCCACCGCGCTTGGTGGAAATCGTCTTCAATTTTTAACTCAGATATTTACTACTTCCAATGCCCTTCATTCATTTTTGAACAACGAAGATTTTATGTCATATTATTTCTTTTCAACCTAAAAAGCTTACTTTGTATTCTTGGTAGTGCATCTTTGCTGCGTACAAACTCCTTTAATTTTCCTTTATCTGAAAATACCTTTATTTTGCTATCTCTTAGTGTTTATGGTTTCTGATGAGTCCTCTGTATTAAAAATAAAATGTTTTGTTTTTCTCTGTTTGTAAGATTTTCTCTGTATATGTGGTTTTCAACATTTTGACTTTAAAAAAATTTAAAAAATCAACAACAACAACAAAGCTGATTTAAATCATAAACTAAAACCAGATGTAAGCTACTAGGGTACATCTATGAAGCTGGCGTTCACAGTGATCTAGCTCAACTGACTGCACTGGGAACATCTACCTCCTAATCTACTGGGCAAAACAAGGGTAAGAACTGTGATTACCAATGTGTTTGTGGTTTGTCTTTTCTAAGCGAAGTTACCCTTAATATGAAACATATAAAAGAGGAGTATCATCGAAGACGCCTTAGACCTTAGATCCTATTCCAGATCTGATATCCATTAAAATGGGCAAGCCATCCTCCCGCTTTTGGCTGCCAATTTCTACATGTAAATCTGGGAACATCTAATAGATAACTAGTAAGCACTCTTTTTCTCTCTAATGTTTCTAGGACTCTTTAAATCTACAGAGGAATTCATAGCGGAAAATCGCTGCATATATTTTGCTGACATCTCTTACAAATCCACATTGCTGCATTGTGCTAAGGAACACAGATGAAGGAAAGGGGAGATTTTCATCTTCAACCAAATAGAAAATTAATTCATCTCTACATGAGTTCCTTGACTATGTTACTCTTCAAATTAAAGGGTCTATCATATCCAGCGTCCTCAGATGAATTTGTGGTTTTATATTTTTTCTTAGTGGTGTACAGTCTGTCCCTACATCTTATTTTTTTAGATAGTTAAAGATGTGCCTCTTATGTAAACACACTCTTGTAGCCTTAGTGAGAGAAAACACAGTGACCCAGGCAATGATGAGCTTAGGCCAGAGATCTTCTTAATCTGAGTGAATCTATACTTTTGCTTTTTTGATGTGCTTTAATTTTTTTAACTATAGTCACCCAAGTTGTGCAATCCTTTGACCAACATCTCAACAACACCAACCCTTGTCCCACACCTCCCTAGCCCCTGGTATCCACCATGGAACATTATTTCTATGAGATTTAAGAGTAGGATTAATTTCTGTAGGAGCTTTTGGTTCATCTTAGATAAAAAAAATATATATATATATAGATTGGTAGACCTACAGATTGTACTGACAAGTTTAAACATTTCAAATCAGAAGAATTAAATATTTTAAAGTTGCCTGAGAGCTCAGTTTGCCTAATTTACTAAAATAATTTAAGCCCACACCAAGGGAAAAGAATGGAAAAGAAGGTAGAGTCTTTTCCTAGTATGTGTGAGGGGTTGGCTCCACGACCCTCATGGATACCAAAATCCAAGGATGCTCAAGTTCCTGATATGAAATGGCATAGTATTTGCATATAAACTACACATATCCTTCTTTATACTTCAAATCATTTCTAGATTACTTATAACACCTAATATAATGTAAATGCTATTTAAGTGTTTACTATACTGTATCATTTTTCTTTGTATTATGTTTATTGCTATTTTTGGTCCACTATTGGTTGAATCTGTAGATGTGGAATCTATGGAAACGGAGGGCCTACTGTATTAGTTATTGAGGACTTGCTATGTGCCAGGCCCTTTATATGCACTATCACTTTTAATCCAGACCACTGTAGGGGATAGCCATATTTATTGGTACTTTAGAGACAAATTGACATTATGGCTTCAAGATATTAAATTAACTTACTCAAGGTCACATAGTAGAGTTTATATGCTGTTGTGAGTAGTTTGCTTATAAACTATGCAGGCAGGATTCAACCCCAAATCTCTGTGGCTCCAAAGTACTTCTTTTTCTAATTGGTCATGTTTTCTCCTGCTCACAACACTATGGTTATTACCAAACTAGGCTAGAACATGAGTTTCATGATTCCCAGACAAGCGCTTTTTCTAAATGTCTTGTTGCCCCACCTTTGACTCTCCTTTCTTAAGTTTAGAGTGAATTTCACCGAAGTCCAAAGATGAGAAAAAAAATTAGTGATCCATCTCTAATAATAATGGTTAATATTTATGGAGTGACTATTATGTGCCCAGGATAATGTTAGATGATATAGATTAGTGTATTTATTTCTCAAAGGAAGCTTTTTGTTTCATAGCATAAATGTTCTTTTATATAGGTGGGAAAACTGAGGCTTAGAGAAGTGAAGTAACTTGTCAAAAGACATATAGTTTTTAATGTCAGAACTTAAATCCAGCAGTCCGCCAAATTTAAGGTTTTTTTTTGTCAATGTATGTGTATGTAGTATAATTAACTTAAAGAAAATATAGGCCAGGCATGGTGGCTCACCCCTGTAATCTCAGCAATTTGGGAGGCCGAGGCAGGTGGATCAAGAGGTCAGGAGTTCAAGACCAGCCTGGCCAACATGGTGAAACCCCGTCTCTATTAAAAATACAAAAATTAGCCCAGTGTGGTAGCACGTGCCTATAATCCCAGCTACTCAGGAGGCTGAGGCAGGAGAATCTCTTGAACCTAGGAGGTGGAGGTTGCAGTGAGCCAAGATCATGCCACTGCACTTCAGCCTGGGCAACAGAGCGAGACTCCATCTCAAAAAAAAAAAAAAAAAAAGACAATACACAGAACTTAAGTGTATAGTTAGATAACTTTTTCAGAAATGTATACATCCATGTAACTACCCTACCAATGAAGATATAGAGCACTTCTATTATCCCAGAAAGTTTCATCATTCCCATTTGCAGTCAATCCCCAATCCTAGCCTAATAAAACTACTAACATGATAGATTTCAGCAGAATTGTGCCTGTTCTAGAGTTTTTATATAAATGGTATTATATAATATATATACTATTATGTCTGACTACTTAACTAAATGTGTTTAACAGCAAGTCTGTGAAAGATGATTACTAAGCCATTATATGAATATACTACAATATGTTTATACATTCTCCTATTGATAGAAATTTTTGGCTGGAAAGTAAATCTGCTGTGCATATTCTTGTAAGCATTGTTTGGACATATAATTTCATATTTTTTGGAAACATATCTGGAAGTGGAATTTATTAGTCCGGTGGTAGGAATGTCTTTAATTTTATAAGAAGCAAGTTTCTTAACCATTTTTTTAAAATTACTTCACATTTGCATCAGCAATGTAAGAGTTTTATTTCCTCCACAAACTTGCCAAAATTTTTAATTTTAGTCATTTTAGCAGGTGTGAAGTGGTATCTCAATGTGGTTTTAATTTCCATTTCCTAGAGACTAATGATGTTGAATTGAGCACCTTCTCTTGTGACTCTTGGTCTCTTGCATGTCTTCTGTGAAGTGCCTCTTCAACTATTTTGCCCATTTTTTCTTGCATTATTTGTATTTTTATTCTTGATGTAAATGAGTTCTTTAAATATTTTGTATATAAGTTCTTTGTCATAAATACGTACTGTGCGTATTTTCTCCAATTCTGTAACTTGCCATTTCTCTTAAAGGAGTCCTTTGATGAACAGAAGTCTTTAATTTTGATGAAGTCCATTTTTTCCACATTTATGGTTAGTTCATTTTGTGTTTGTCTCAGGGATAATTGCCTATGCCAAGTTTGCTATGATATTCTACTGTTTCTTTCCAGTATTATGTATATAAAATATATATTATAGGCTGGGCATGGTGGGTCATGGTTATAATCTCAGCATTTTGGGAGGCTGAAGTAGGAGGATTGCTTGAGCCTGGGGGTTTGAGGCCAGCCTGGGCAACATAGGGAGACCCCTATGTTGGGTAAAATATTTTTTAAAAAAATAAAAATTACCAGGGCATGGTGTTTCATGCTTTTAGTCCCAGCTACTTGGGAAGCTGAGGCAGGAAGACCACTTGAGTGCCAAATGTCAAGGCTGCAGTGAGCCATGATCAAGCCACTGCACACCAGCCTGGGTGACAGAGTAAGAAATATTAAATAAAATAAATAAAATATTATAATTTTAGCTTTCCACCTAGGAAAATAATCAATCTTGAAATAATCATTTTGGTTCATGAATAGAATTATTCTATCCCACTATTTTGAGATGACATTCATTTTCCCATTAAATTGTACTTACAGTTTTGCCATAAATTAATTAATTGCATCAATGTCTGTCTACTTTATGACTTTCTGTTATTTTCCATTGATCTGTTTGTTTAGCCTCACACCAGTATCACACTGTCTTAATCTTAACTATAGTCTTAACTACTGTAGCTTTAAAATGTCTTTAAATTAAATAATGCAAATCTGCCAACTTTTTTTTCTTTTCAAGATTGTTTTAGCTATTCCAGGACCTTTAAATATCCATATCAATGTAATAAAATGCTTATCAATTTTTACCAAAATGTCCTGCTGAATATTTAATTGGGATGGTTGAATATGTAAATCTATTTGAGAAGCATTAACATCTTAATAATATTGACCTTCCAATCCATGAACCTGGTATAACTCTCATTTTATTTACTACTTTAACTTGTCTCAACAATGATTTTAAAATTTTAGTGTAGCAGTCTTGTACAACTTGTGTTAAAATATTTCAGAAGGATTTTATGCTTCTGATGCTAAAGTAAATATTAATTTAAAAATTTTTAATTTTCTATTGTTAATTGCTAGGGTATAGAAATACAGGTGATTTTTATATATTGACCTTTTATCTTGAAACATTGTTGAAGTCACTGTTCTCATGCTTATTTATTTTTAATACACTATAATGGATTTTAATGTACATAATCATGTTGTATGCAAAAAAGAAAGACAGTTTTCTACTTCTGTCTTATAATTTATGTCTTCAATTCAACAAAGCTTCTTTAAATCTAGCACTCAAAAGATTTAAATTTACAAATTAAAATGCATATATTTATGGGGTACAACATGATGTTTTGATGTATGAATACCTTGCAAAATGGCACAATCAAGTTAATCAACATATCTATTACTTCACATACTTATATTTTTTGTGGTAAGAACATTTAATAGCTACTTGGCAATTTTTAAATGTACAATGTATTGTTGTTAACTACAATCACCATTTGTACAATAGATCTCCTGATCTCATCTAGCACTATTTGACAGATTAGTCGTAAGATATTATTTTTATTTTATCCATTTCTTCATCTATATCACAGGATCAAAAGTGCTTCATGTCCTTCTATATGTCTATTTTTTAAATAATTTTTATTTGAAGCGTGACATCCACACACAAAAAAAACCCTATATCGTAAGTGTACAGCTCAACAAATACTTACAAAGTGAAGACATCTGTATATTACTAAAATTTTTACCAGTACCCAAAAATGCCCATTTATGTACCCAGCAATCATTATCACCTTCTCACTATCTTTATTTCTTCATTAGTTTTGACTGCTTTTATATTGTAAGTTTTTCCTCTGAATTAAATCATTTTCATATGCACATTTTATGTCTTTTGACGTTTAACCAAATATAACAAAATTCATTCATTTTGTTGCATATAGCAGTAATTTGTATATTGTAAAATATTTCATACCATAATTTATTTACTACACTACTTATGTACAGTTGGCCCTTAAACAACATCAATTTGAAGCACGTGGATCGCTTATTCACAGATTCTTTCAATAAATACATTGGAAAAAACTGGGGGATTTGCAACAATTTTAAGAAACTTTCAGACAAACCACATAGCCTAGAAATATAAAAAAAAATTTAAAGTGATGATTCGAAAACATAAATTATTTTATTTATTTATTTATTTATCTTGACGGAGTCTTACTCTGCTGCCTAGGCTGGAGTGCAATGACGTGATCTCAGCTCACTGCAACCTCTGCTCCTTGGTTCAAGTGATTCTCCTGTCTCAGCCTTCCAAGTAACTGAGATTACAGGTGCATCTCAGCTTCCCAAGTACCTGGGATTACAGGTGCATGCTACCACATCCAGCTAATTTTTTTTTTTTCATATTTTTAGTCGAGACAGGGTTTCACCATATCGGCCAGGCTGATCTTGAACTCCTGGCCTCAAGTCATCTGCCCGCCTTGCCCTCCCAAAGTTCTGGAATTACACGCATGAGCCACTGCACCCGGCCCATGAAATATATTTATATACAGATCTATTTTATCATTTTTACTACCATAAAATATATATGAAACTATTATAAAAGTTAAAATTTATCAAAGCTTACACAAACACTTACAGACCATACATGGCACCATTTGCAATAGAGAAAAATGTAAGTGTAAGTGTGCAGTATTAAATCATGTCTGTGCAAAATTTATTGTAGTATGTACTGTACTTCTGTAATAATTTTGTAGCCACCTTCTCTTGCTATAGTTGTGAGTTCAAGGGTTCCAAGTATAAATGCTGTGTAACTCTAGTCATCTCTGCATGAGCAGTTCATCTCTCGAGTAAATTGTGTATCACAGTAAAATGTGATCTCTCAAAGTTCTTGTGTATTGTTCACTATGTTTAATGCAATACCATAAATCTTGAATAACACTACGGAACACACATAAAGTGCCACGAGTTTTACTTCCAAGAAGCAAAGAAAAGTTCTGATATTACAAGAAAAAGTTGCATTGCTTAATATGTACTGTAGATTAAGGTCTGCAGCTGTGGCTACTGACCATTTGAAGATAAATGAATTCAGCATAAGAGCCATTATAAAAAAAAGTAAACACAAATTAATGAAGCCATTGCTGCAACCACACCAGCAGGCATAAAAATCTTGCACTTTTTGGTGAAATACTTTTTTATCTTGTATTGAAAATGCTGCTTTTATGTGGGTGCAGGATTTCTATAAGAAAGGCATACTTATAGACTCTAATATGAATGCAGAAAAAGTGACATCATTATATGGCAACTTAAAGCAAAAGCAAGGTGAAGGATCTAAAGCTGAAGAATTTAATGCCAGCAAAGGATGGTTTGATACTTGAGATTTGGCTTTAAAAATTCAAAATAATAGAAGCAGCTTCTGCCAATCAGGAGGCATTAGACAAGTTCTCAGATGCCATTAAGAAAATCATTAAGGTTAAAGGATATTTGCCTGAACATATCTTTAATATAGATGAAAGTTCCCTATTCTGGAAGAAAACAAAAAGCCACAAAGGACATTTATTAGTAAGGAAGAAAAACGAGTGCCAGAACTTAAGGCAGAAAAAGACAGGTTAACTTTACTGTTTTACGCAAACACATTCGGGTTAATGGTCAGGACTGCCCTTACCTATAAAGTTGCTAATCCCTAAGCCTTGAAGGGAGAAGATAAATACCAGCTGCCAGGATTTTCACTGTACAAGAAGGCCTGGACAATAAAAATCCTCTTCTGAATTGGTTCCATCTATGTTTTGTCCCTGAAGTCAGGAAGTATCTTTCCAGTAAGGGAGTGCATTTTAAAGTACTTTTGATACTGGAGAATGCCCCTGGCCACCAAAAACCCCATGAGTTCAACACTGAAGGCATTAAAGTGGCCTACTTGACGAAAAACACAACATCTCTTATTTAGCCTCTAGACCAGGAGGTCATAAGGACCTTTAAAGCTCATTAAACATGGTACTCTATGGAAAGGATTGTCAACACTATGGAGGAGAACCCTGACAGAGAAAACATCACAAAATTCTGGAAGGACTGCACCATTGAAGATGCCATTATTGTTATAGAAAAAGCTGTCAAGCCAGAAACAATAAATTCCTGTTGGAGAAAAACTGTGTCCAGATGTGCATGATGTCACAGGATTCATAACAAAGCCAATCAAGACAATTATCAAAGAGGTTGTGAATATGGCAGAAAAGATAGGTAGTAAAGGGTTTAAAGATATAAATCTTGGAGAGATTCAATAACTAATAGACACCACTCAAGGGGAATTAACAGAAAATGACTTAACGGAGATGAATGCTTCTGAACCAGTGCTAGATGGTGAGGAAGAAGACATAGAAGAAGCAGCTCCAGAAAACAAATTGATGTTAGACAATCTGGCAGAAGGGTTCTGATTATTCAAGACTGCTTTTGACTCCTTTCATGACATGGATCCTTCTATGATACAGGCATTGAAACAAAAGCAAACAATAAAAAAAGGATTGGTACCAAAAATTTAGACAAAAAGTACAACATATTTTCATAAAGTTACACCAAGTGTGCCTGCCTCTCTGGCCTGTCCTTGCATCTTCTCAACCTCTTCATCCTCTGCCACTCCTGAGACAGTAAGAACAACCCCTCCTTTTTCTCCTCCTTGTCAGCCTGCTCAACATGAAGATGACAAAGATGAAGACCTTTATAAAGATCCTCTTTTACTTAATGAATAGTAATTATATTTTCTGTTCCTTATGATTTTCTTAATAACATTTTTGTTTCTCTAGCTTACTTTAAAAATACAGTATATAATACATATGACATACAGAATATGTGTTAATCAACTGTTTATGTTATTGGTAAGGCTTCTGGTCAACATAGGGTATCAGTAGTTAAGTTTTGGGGGAGTCAAAAGTTACATGTGGATTTTCAAATGCATGGAAGGTTGGCATTCCTAAGCCCTGTGTTGTTCAAGGATTAAATGTATCTATTTTACAGCTCATTTATCTATTTATTTATTCAAAAACATATTTATTTATTATATTGTTGAGGGATACTTAACCTTTGATGCTTACAATTTCTGAGTAATACAAAGACTGCTTTTGTTAATATTTCAGTGTGCATATTTTGCTGAATACTTGTACAGATTTTTTTGTGAGTACAATGGAAATATTGAAAATTCTTATTTGGAGGGGTGGGTATGTTCATCTTTAGTAGATACTGCCAAAGAGTTTTTCTCAAGAATTAAAAATTAACACAATTTTTAATAATTTGAGTTAACTGATTAACTGATATTAATTAAAGGAAAGGTAATTCATATTGAAACAAAATGAAAGTGTTCCAGAGAGAATTAAAGAAATAATAGTGAAAAAAACAACATCAAACAAATAAATGATCTGGGAAGAGTGGGCCAGGGGTCCTATCTGGCCACATCTGGATCTGAACTGCAGCTGCCTCCATGAGATGAGTCATGGCTGATCCCAGTCACTTCAGCTCTACCTGGATCACTTCACTCATTTTATTTTTCTACTCTTCCTCTACAAGCTGCGTTTTTCTGACTACAACAATTTGCATCCTACAACTCCATAGAACATATTACGAGACTTTTGAAAGATTCCCTCTTTTCCCTTGGTTCTGCAGCACTTTCAGGTATGTCTTAGTTTTCTTAGGTTCCTGAGAAATAAGATGGGGTGTACACAGCCAATTGGAGCCATACTTCATCAGGTTCTGTCCATACACTTGCCTGCTTTTCTTCCCTAGTCACCCTGCCTGTCCATATTAAAAACACAAAGCTCATTTACTTCCATCTCAGTTTTCTTCCTTTTGCCCTTGGGGCTCCATGCCGAATTTGATCAACACTTCACTGCTAGAGATCCTAATAAGCAGGAAGTTCCTAGATCCTAAATTATATCTTCCAATTAAGTCTTGTCATCCAGAAGATCACTTCATGAGGGAACAAAGAAGAGAGAAAGGGAAAGTATTTTATTATCTCATCAACTCTGTTCTCTGGTTGATTTCTCACTCCTTTTGGAACATAAATTAATTTGAAGAATTTTGGCTTTTAGAAAATGGGAGATAATTTATCAATTAGAAGACAAGACAAAGGCATCAAGCCTGAAGTTCAAGTACCAGCATGCTATCCTGGGAGCTGGGGATGTGGTGGCTGGTGTTTTTAGATGCAGGTGGAAAGACTGCTTTCAATCTTAGTACTTGGAAGTTTGGAGGACAATTGACCTTTATCAATAAATTAAGCACAATATGTGCAATACTATATAATATAAATTCTTGCTAAATATAGTCAAAGTGCGAAAAAAATGGGCTATAAAGGGAAACCAGTAAATGATGCTTTAGACCATCAGATATGAAAAATTTTATGGAAAGGTAGGTTACTTTTACCTTGTGCCTTTCAGGAATTAGTGAGGCAAAAAAGAATGAAAAGCATTCCTGACAGAAAGAACAGCATGAACAAAGACACAAAAAGACACAGAACAGAGAATACATAATGTACTTGGTGAATGCACACTCCTGAAATACACTCTCCATCTTCTTTGCATTCAAAATGGCTTGACCTTCACTGCAAAGCTACCCTAACTACAACCATAACACATTTTTGTGTTCCTGCCTTAGGGCCTGCATGCTACCTCCTCTATCTTGATCACCATCTCCCTGCTTTCACCAACCTCAGTCTTCCTAGACCTTCTGGCTTGAGCTGAAATGCCACTTTCTTGCAGAACTTTTTCCTACCTATTCATTGTGAAGCAGGCCTTCTGTGCTACTCTTTTTCATGCATCTCAATCTCTTTCTTCTAGGATTTAGCATAATTTGCAATTATAGATGGTCTTCCACTTACAGTGGTTCAATTTACTATTTCTCAGCTTTACGATGATACCCACACAACTGCTCTGTTTTCCACTTTTAGTACAATATTCAAAAATGACATGAGATATTCGACACTTTATTATAAAATAGACTTTGTATGCGATGATTTTGCCCAAATGAAGGCTAACGTAAGTATTCTGAGCACATTTAGGGTAGGCTAGGCTAAACTATTATGTTCAGTATGTTAAGTGTATTACATGCGTTTTCCACTTACAATATTTTCAATTTATAATGGGTTTATCAAGATATAAACTTATCGTAAGTGGAGGAGCATTTGTATGTGTTTGTATATTTATTTATTGAATATGAGTCTTGTGAATTAGCCTGATAGCTCCAAGATGGTAGAAACCATTTAAAATAATATTTTTAAAAAAAACAGTGTCCCCAGCGTTTAGCACAGTGCCTAGATTACAGTAGGTATTTAACAAATATTTTTATGAAATTACACTTTGGCTCTTTTGGATCCTATGGTAACAGTCAATTTGTGGATAGACTCAGTTTCTGAATAATATAATTCACCAATATATCCATAGAACTCTGCATAGTACACACTAGATCTACAACACAGCTCAATGGATTCTTATTTACCCTATTTAACATTTTGTGCTATCTTTTATGACGGCTCTGTATAACTCATATGGACTTACTACCCCTAGAGGGTGCAATCCATGATTTGTACATTCTTTTATCTGCAAAGAACCTAGCAAAACATCCTGCACAAGTTGCACTATTGACCTGTGAAATCATACCAGTTCTTAGTAACTGTGACAGACCTGAGATACAGTCAAGCCTAACAGAGATGTGAACGAGGCAGAAGATCAGTCAGAAGTGGAATTGGACACGAAGAGGAGGCCTTTTATATTGTAGTGAACATTGATTGCATTTTGAGGAAAGCATCTCAAATAATTCTCAGAAAAAGGTTGCTTCAAACCAAACTGAGGAAAATGAGTCCCCTTAACCCAAGGCAATAGATTTATGCTTCTGAAATAATACACTGCTGGTCTTCAAGGACCATGACTCACACTCTTGTTTTCTTCGGGGATCGACAGTTCTATACAGTGCCTAGGGAAACATTCTATCTCGTGGAGTTATGAGTCTCAGGCACTTCCAAAGTCCTTAGCTACCTGTTAATTGGGGCTCTTAGTCTCAAACTTCTGCCCTGAGCTAGGTTTGGGTACCTATCAAGAGTACAGTTTCCAGATTGATCAGATGAAAGTATGAGACATCTAGTATGTTTGGGAATATACTTATACTAAAGAAGTTATTTGTGTCTATCTGCAATTAAAATTTAACTGTGTTCTTTGTTTTATCTAGCAATTCTAATCCACAGGACCTTCTGGCTTGAACATATAATTGACTTGTTCTGTGTAGATCTTGAGTGCATGCCTAGGAATAAAATGTGTACATCAAAAGGTGTCTTAAGTCAAGAATTTAGCTTTGAGAATTCTAGCTGTGGAGGAAACAATATGAAGACACTAAGGCAGGGGGGTCCCAAATCCCCAGGCCATAGACCAGTACTATGGGTGGCCTGTTAGGAACTGAGCCACACAACAGGAGGTAAGCAGCAGGTGAACAAGAGAAGCTTCATCTGTATTTACAGCTGATCCTCATTGCTCACATTATCACCTGAGCTCTGCCCCCTGGCAGATCAGCAGTAGCATTAGAGTCTCATAGGATCATGAACCCTATTGTGAACTGCGCATGTGAGGGATCTAGGTCGTGTGCTCCTTTGAGAATCTAATGTCTGATGATTTGTCACTGTCTCCCATCACCCCCAGATAGGACCATCTGATTGCAGGAAAACACGCTCAGAGCTCGCACTGATTCTACATTATGGTGAGTTGTATAATTATTTCACTATATATTAAAATGTAATAATAATAGAAATAAAGTGGACCATAAATGTAATATGCTTGAATCATCCTGAAACCACACCCACTCCAGGTCCATAGAAAAATTGCCTTCTGCAAAATTGGTCCTTGGTGCCAAAAAGGTTGGGGACTGCTACACTAAGAAATTAAATGTTTCCATTTAGCTCTTAGCTAAAACTTCATCCTGCAGAGAAAGCATCACAGCTATCCTATATGAACATGGTGGTCTTCGTGTGGAAGAAAATGCAAATAATAAAACTTTAAGATAAGACATATGATATGATATAATAAGAATAAAAGTACACAGACACACACACACACACACACACAGAATAAACAGTCAGACTTCAGTTTGGCCAAAAAGTCTAGCTTTGAAGGGAAGGGTGTGGAAGCTAAAGTTAAGGTCTACCTCATCTTAGATGACTTCTAAGATTCTGTTTCTCTAGTGCAGCGGGGGTCAGCAGCCATAGTTAAAAAATAATAAAGTTCAAAGGGAAAAAACAAAGCCAAACAAAAGCAAAATGATATTTTGTTAGAGAGGGACTAAAAGTTTTATTCCGAGTCATGTAGCCAGGGCAAACAAAAGAGTGTGATTCTAATTATCAGTAAGATAAAGAAAAACAGTTGCTGCTCTGGAGAAGCAAAGTCATTCCTGGTCCTTAGCCCTAGGGGAAGTTTCTTCCTTGAACTCCCAGAGAGAAGATGCTACATAGTTTACTGAGTAATGTCTTCAACATCAACTCTATAGTCAGTTAATTTGTTCTTTAATTCATTGATTCATTTAAAATTTTTTGAGTGTCTCCTCTGTGCCAGGCATTGTTTCCACAACTGGAGATACAACAGTGGACAGAATAAAACTCCAAGCTCATGGTGCTAATATTTTGAATAGGAATATGTTTGACCTAGAATATCTCATTTTATTACTTTTCTCCCTAAGAATACAGTCATGTTTTAAAAGACTTTATTTTCCGATCTTATTGAATATCTCCCAGTCTAGATGGCTTCATAGCAATGGAGTCAGAAAATTCTACTGGTTGGGCAAATGTGGCCAAACTTATATCCCTGACAGGGTCCTGATTGGGACCCACTGTTCTAGAAATGGGCTAGAGCTTTTCACATCTGGCTCGTTCACATCTCAACTCTGTATCCTATCTTGCCTCCGTAGGTTCTTGCAGGGTCTTCAGTATTTACATGTTTTACATCACTTCATCCTCACAATCATTTTAGGAGATAATAAAAATAAGACCCAGATAATGGAAGCAACTTCTGGAGGCAACTTATTCTAGCTAATAAGTGGTAAAACTTATGCTGCTTTCTATTATACCATCTTTAAATGCTGGTTGACCTCCACCATCCAAGAGTCCTATGCAAATCCAAACTTCCTAGTTATGGCCAATTGACACAAGACGAGCCTAAGACCGGACCATGGTACTTCCAATGCTAGCAGCTGGACTCAGCATGGACTGACTTGTCAGACAGATGTGCAAGTGTGAATACTTTCTATTTCAAGTATACGTTGTAACCTAGTGGGATGGAAATCTGGGTGTGGTTAAAACATAAGACGTTCCTCCTGATGTATTGCTATGCTGTGGAATCTTGACTAAGAGAGACAGAAGTGAAGACTAGCTTGTCTTTGAATGGTGAGCCTGCCTTTACTCTCCCAACTCCAGGGACTCAACGCCCCCAGGCTGCTTCTACTCCCTTACCTCTGCTGCCTTCAGCTATTCTCATACCCAAAGCCCCACCCTAGTTCTTACGCTAACCTCTCTGTAGAACCTACTGGTTATCCAGAGACACTACTAAGAGTATGGGTATGGCCTGGCCCTCAGAGCTGGGTAAAAATTTCATATTCTGAGATCTGACTCAGCCAAACATAATGTTGATAAGACCTCATCTCACACTCTGCTTTCACTAAGATAATGGGACTCCTTAATAGATCAAGTTGTGTTACTAATGCTGGAATCTTTTTCCTTACTTCCTTCTCACTTGGTTACTTTTCACTTGTGCTTCAGGCTTTGCTTAAGCAATCATTTACTTGTGGAAGTAATTTTGGACTCAAACTGTAGTAGCCAAAAGCCAAATGTGGATATTTAAATTCATATTAATTTAAAAAAGAAAACGTTTAAAACCGATTGGCAAATTAATGATTGCTAAAGGGATTCTCATAGTTGTAATTAATTATAACCTTTTTTAAATTTTTTATTTATTTACTTATTTTTTTGAGATGGAGTCTTGCTCTGTCGCCCAGACTACAGTGCAGTGGTGAGGTCTGGGCTCACTGCAACCTCCACCTCCCAGGTTCAAGCGATTCTCCTGCCTCAGCCTCCTGAGTAGCTGGGATTACAGGCACCCACCACCGTACCCGGTTAATTTTTGTATTTTTAGTAGAGACAAGGTTTCACCATATTGGCCAGGCTGGTCTTGAACTCCTGACCTCATGATCCACCCACCACGGACTCCCAAAGTGCTGGGATTACAGGCATGAGCCCCTGCACCTGGCCAATCTATTTTATTGTACCTAGAATTAGCTATTTATCCACCAGAGTTCTCCCTTACTCACACGAACACACTGTACCCTCCTCCAACAGTAGCATTAAAAGTATTTAACAGTATTGGGAATTGAATCCACATAGCTCTTACAGATACCATCACTGTTCACATTTTCTGCGAGAGTTAACTCACCTCACCATGCTCAATCTTGATACAACTGGCTTCTTTTTTCCTGTTGCCCCTATTAACCCTGCACTGTTTCAACCCTATGTCCGTCTAAACCTTAAGAGTGGGAATCACATCTGTTTATTTGTGCATCTCAGCCACCTAGAATAAAGCCTCACACATAAGATGTTCTTAAGGAAAAAGAATGAAGGAAGGAAGGAAAGAGCTAGAAAAGAGTTAATAAATGCTTGAGTTGCAAAGTAATTGGCTCAAACTCACAGAGTTAGTAAGTGAAGAGGCCAAAACAAACTGAGATCATTTGGTTCTCAACTCCTTAAAGTGGAGCCTGAATTCTGACATATCATTTTTCTCAAGGTTTAGGGAATTTTTGTAGGAAAGTTTAGCCCCTAAAAGAATCTTCTTCTGGCTAGAATGTACTCAATTCAACAGACAAACATAGAACACATATACTTGTTCCAAACACCATGCTTCACTCTAGGAATACACTCATAACACAGATGTTGCCCCAGCCCTCTGGGGAGCTAGTAGTGTTGAAGGTCGTGTAAACCCACACAGATTTTATTAATAAAACATGGTATCCAAAGATGATATTGTGTGTGTGTATGTGTGTGTGTAATACACAGTTAATGTCAAATATCTTTAATCTATCATGAGTAGATTATAATCTATTATAAGGAGATCACATATAGAGAGAATGTTTAAGTTGATGTGTAAAGAACTGTGAAAGTTTATCCAACAAGGTAATGGGAATAGGGATGGCAGGAAGAAGGAACAGTTTATGCCACACGATATACCATGGCAGTTATGTGAAGATGGAATCATATTTGACAGGAGAAAAAAATATCTTAGAGCATAAATGTGTACAGGAAAGTGGAGGAAAAAGGCATAAAGGTAAAAAAAAAAGATGAAAAAAGTAAGGGGGCCATTTAGAAAGGGCATTGGGTACCATAGACCTGTGCCAAGAGACACATACCTGACCATTTCTCTCTTTAATGCTGATGGAGGAAATTTGAAGCAGGGAGGGAATTTCTTGGAAAATGAAACAAACTGTCTTATCCACTCAATTTTCTACATTGTAACACAGAACACACATAGGATGGCAGGTACCCTGTTAGACTTTTTGCAAGTTGACTAGATACTTCTTTTTTTGCTTAGTTCCTGAGCACCTGGACAGTGGATATTCATAAGCAAATAATAATGATGACACATTACAATTTTACTATGCACTTTACAAGACAAGCTTATTTGAAGGCACATTTGTAATTCCTCTGAGATTTGGTTTACATACATATGTATATAGCGTATCTGACACAACACCGTGTGTGTGTGTGTGTATATATATATATATGGTGTTGATACCTATCTCGCAGGGTGGTTGGGAATTTTAAGCATACATAAAAGTTATGCTACTACAAAGTAAGATTTATCTAAACATAATAGTTTTTACAGGACACATAAGAGTATTCCATATCACTTGTCAAAATCACTCCATTTATAAGCAATAATAGTGACTAACATTTTACCAGTGCATACAAATGTGCCACAAACTGTACTGAATGGTACACAACTTTTAGGTAAAAAAAGACAAGATTATCATCATATTGCATTTTGTAGATGAGAAAACTGAAGATTAGAGATGTTAATCTGTCTAAGATTATATATCAAGTGGGAGGCAAGAACTAGGATTTGAACTAAGAAACGCTGACCCAAGGCATATGTATTTAACCATTATACTAACCAGCAAGAAACAGAGCTTGTGAATTTCATCTGCCAACTTGTATGTGCTCTGACAGGTAAACAGTAGTATGCTTGAGCTAACAACTCAGGTTGCGTTGCTTGCAGCCCAGGGCAAACCTTTGTAAGGTCATTGAAAAATGTATTTCTTTGTAACTCTCTAGGGTCTGTGGGTCCAGTAGGCTGCTTTCCTTTGTGTCAGATACACATGAAGATATGTCATAACACTCTCCCTTCATACCTCTAGGGTCACTTAAAATGGACAAATATACAACGCTCCTGTAAGGTCCAAACAGCCAGGCAGATAGGGCTGGGAGAGCAACGTGACCCACAACTACCTTCACATTCCTGAGAGTTGCAGACTGCTCCTGTCTTCCTGCTTCACACCATGCAACAGTAAGAGACTGTTTATCATTGGTCAGTTTCCATGGCAACTACTTCCCCCACAGCACTATCTTTTTATTATAGGAGTTGCTAAAAGGATAAAAATATATGGAAAATAATTAAGAGTTTTATTGCATGCATTCTCTAGAGTATGGCCGGTAGAGGAAAGAGTGGAAGCAGAAGTCGGTAAGACTGTAGCGGGAAATCACAGTGCCATGAGCAATTTTATTAATACAAAAGATGTAATCTCATAACCACAGTAGAGTGTAATTTCCTGTCTCTGCTGTGGGAATATGTGCATTCTTATTTTTACTCATGGATGGTTATGGGCAGTAGGTGAAAGATGTTTTACACCTGGTACTTTAGTATTCGACATGGTTCTGTCTGGATTAATGAAACTAGGTATTCAAGGTATTTAGTTGGTGACGGCCATTGAACCAACAAAAGCCACTGTAGTCCTCGTTCAATGTTGGTCAATGAGACACTGCTTCACATGGGGCTTAAAGTTTTAGGCAATAAAACCTCCTTTTAGGAGCTTTTGTGAGGTGGAAATGATCACCAGATTAAGAGTCAGGACACGTGTTTTCTAACCCCAGCTCAATAATTTAACTAGCTCTATGACCCAGAACAAGGTGCCCAACCTATCTACTCCTCAATTTCCTCATCTATAAAGATAGAAGGTTGAATTTTATGGTTTCCACCAGCTCTGAAAATCTTAGAGTCTGTAGATTTGAGTTCTGAAGATCTATGTCAGGGTGGCAAGAATAGAAAAAATAACCAGGAAAGCTCTAATAATAACAATAACGGCTATTTTCTGACAAAATAAGATTTTGAGGGTAGGCACATGAGCTCTGTCTTCACGGTAATATTTTGAGGGAGTGGTTATTATCCCCATTTTGCAGATGAACAAGCTGAAGATTGGAGAAATGCACTCATTGTTCAAGACCACCAAGTTGATATGTAGCAGAGGTAGCCTTTAAACTCAGGTCTCCTTGACTCTAATGCAGACAGGATTACATCCGAATCTGGGAATGGGAGACAAAATTATAACTGATTCCCAGAAACCCCTTAAACACATACATGCAATATCCTGTATTGTGTTAATCACCAGGCTCAATACATTGAAGAGAAAAAAGTATCCTATTACAGAGAAAACAAGACTGGCAGAGGCATCTCTTGCATCTTTTTTTTTTTTTTTTTTTTTTTTTTTTCAGATGGAGTCTTGCTCCATCGCCCAGGCTGGAGTGCAGGGATGCCATCACTGCAACCTCAGCCTCTCAGGTTCAAGTGATTCTCCTGCCTCAGCCTCCCAAGAGTACCTGGGTCTACAGGCGCATGCCACCACACCTAGCTAATTTTTGTATTTTTAGTAGAGTCGGGGTTTCACCATGTTGGCCAGGCTGGTCTTGAACTCCTGATCTCAAGTGATCTGCCCGCCTCGGCCTCCCAAAGTGCTGGGATTACAGGTGTGAGCCACTGTGCCTGGCCTCTTGCATCATTTTTATGTGCAGTCAGGAGGTACCTTGGTAGACGCATCTATGAGAGCAGAACCTGATAATTAGGGAAACCAAGTTCAGGCTCAGTGCTGTAATCCTCCATCAGGTCTCATCACTTGAAGACAAGCAGCATATTCAATGTCCTCTAAAGGACAATAAGGTTTCTTGAGGATAGAGTTTCTGTGATCTTAGCACCTAGAAGAGAGCCTTGCACACAGCAGGCCATCAATAACATCTGAATAAAGGATTAATGATGTTCCAGATCTAGGAATCAGTCATTTATGATTCTAAGTTACTGATCTTAATTGGTTGTCTTTGGTTGTTGTGCTGGAATCATATTGACTGCAGTAGGAATGGCACCAGGTACAAGAGGCTGAAGAAGAGTCCTGAAGCCAGCAAAGGAGACATAGGGTTTATTGAGGACTTACATATAGGGACGGTCCAGTGCAGGCAGGGTGGAGAGGAGAACCACAACCGCTTGTAAAAAGCATGCAGTTTATACAGCATTTTCACTTAGCACACTCCCTCTAACATCCTCCATCTGGAAACCTTGGTTTAACCTAAACAAAGGGTCTCAATCCCCAGTATGACCCGTGTTCCATGGGACAGGCACGTGGATCAGGTGTTCCTCATAGATCAGAAATCAATCTCCCATTAGTCACTCCCAAATTCCTTAGCTTGTACTCTCTAAATCTCATCAGCTTTACTTAACTTTGGAAGCAGGAGCATCATCTGTGTTTCACCAGATGCCTTAACCAATATCAAAGAGTGATATACAGAGGTAGGTTTCAGTTCAGAATGGAGAAACCTTCTCTAACAATGTACCCTTTTGGGTGATGGTTACACTAGTCACTATGCAGCATACCCATGTAACAAAACTGCACTTGCACACCCCTAAATCTATAAAAATAAAAAATAATTATAGCCTAAGAATTTGAACTGCTAAATTTTGACATGGATTACCAGCAAGTATGGGACAGCTTCTTCTCCAGGGATCTTCAGAAAAGGAATTAACCTGTATATCATTAATATCATTAAAACATTGCTTTCTTAGAATGGTACAGGGATAGGTAGGAATGGAATAGGAGATAAGTAGAATAGGTGAGTCCTTAAGGTAACTTCCTGATCAGTAGTTCCAAGTAATGGGGAAGAATGCACAAAGGAAGGAAAAGTAGACCAATGCTTGCAGAGGGCGGTGTGTTAACAGATGGCAGAGAAAACCATGGCTGCTTAGTTTTTATGCAGCTGTTGTTTAAATCAAAGTGGATGCTTTGCAAACTGAAAGCCATGAAACAGACGCAATTAATGGGGAATTGAAGGCTACAATGTGAGGTGATATGGAGTAAGCCTTATCTTCTTTATATTCATTCAAGCTTCCAGGTGCAGACAAATGACATCTAAATGTACCAGAAGATCTTGCTGATATAAGTTCAGAGGAAATGCAAATCATCTTGTAGAATCATGTAGAATGAAGGGTATTAGGAAAGTGAAAGTGGAGAAGTGTTACTCCAATTTCTAATAAGGAAAAGCAACTAGATTATAGAACCAAACAACAGATGAGATCTTTTATCAAACCCAGGAAGGATTCTGGCACAGAATACACTGAACTAAAAGGGGCTCCCCAAAATTCTGCATAAGTTAACTGGGAAAAACTTAAGCCTTTATTTCCCAGGTTGATAAATTCATTAAAATATTTAAACAGGAGAAGGGTGTAACTTATATTGCCTTGATATTATCAATATATGTGACCAAATCTCTCCTTCTATAGCCTTATGAACATGTTAGAAAGTGTATGCTACATAAAGCCGGTCATACCTGTTACACTAACCCTATGAAGGTCCTATTTTCTTCCTATTAATAGATACATTTAGTTACTGCCCAAGCTAACACAGCAAGAATTGGAGGAGCCAGATTTTAAACCCAGGTAATCAGACTTCAGGATCCATGTGCCAAGCCACTATGTGATAATGCTTATTCACTTTATAAGATGTAAACAGCTCTTGATCCAATTTTCAGATTTGCCCTTTCTTCCAAATAAACATGGAACTTGTTGCCCATTTGTATGTCTTTTTTTTTTTTTTTTTTTTGAGAAATTTCTATTTAGGTCTTTTCCCCATTTTTAAATCACATTATATGATTTCTTGCTATTCAGTTTCATATATGTTTTGGGTTTTAACCCCAGATAATACTGGAAAAAAGGGCAAATGACAGAATCAATATTCAAACATATGTGGACAGATTTGGAATGTGGTTGGTTCAAACCTTCGTAAAAAATGGAACAGAGTTAACCCCTTTTCACTTAACCAACATTTTCTAAATTATATGTATCGGTTTTTTACTAGATACCATGGGGAGACAAAGCTCATTAGTGATTCCTTCCTCCATGAAGTTTCCATATAGTAAAACTCATGCTCAGGGATTAAGACAACACAAGGAGTATCATAGGGTTATGAATATAAACATTGCAGCCAGCCAGAAATGGCTTGAAGCCTCACACCAACTACCAACCATATGAACTCACCCACTTTACTTAACTTTGGAAGCAAGAGCTCCACTTGCATTTCACCAAATACCTTAATCAATACCAAAGAGTGATATGCAGAGATAGGTTGCAATTCAGCATGGAGAAATCTTCTCTAACAATCTGAATATGAAAAAATAAAAGCTATGGCTGATTCCATATTTTGACTATTGTGAATTGTGCTGCAAGGAACATGGGAGTGCAGACATCTCTCTGACATACTGATTTCATTTACTTTGAATATATACCAGTAGTGGTATTGCTAGATTATACAGCAGTTCCTTTTTTAATTTCTTGAGGAAATTCCGTAGTGTTTTTCCATAATGGCCTTATTCATTTACATTCCCACCAACAATGTACGAGGGTTCTTTTTTTCTCCAAATCCTCAGTAACATTTCTTAATTTCTTGTATTTTTTATTATAGTCATTCTAACAAGTGAGAGGTGACATCAATTTGTGGTTTTAATTTGCATTTCCCTAATAATTAGTGATATTGAGCATGCTTTCATAACTTGTTAGCCATTTGCACGTCAGAAATATCTACTTAGGTCTTTTGCCCATTTTTAAATCAGGCTATATGTTTTCTTGCTATTCAGTTTCTGATATATTTTGGATATTAACCCCTTATCAGATGTCTCTTCACTCTGCTGCTTCTTTTCCATTGCAGAAGCTTTTTAGTTGACGCACTCCCATTTATCTATTTTCGTTTTTGTTGCCTGTGCTTTGGGGATCAAATCTAAAAACTCATTGCCCAGACCAATGTCATGGAGCTTTCCCCTACATTTTCTTCTTGTAGATTTATAGTTTCAGGTCACACTTTTAAGTCTTAAATTCATTTTGAGTTTATTTTTGTATATGGTGTGAGATAAGGGTTTACTTTCATCAATGAATGAACAAACAAAGAAAATATACACACACATATATATAATACCATATACATATATATGTGTATATATATACACACACACATACACAATGAGTACTATTTAGCCTTAACAGAGAAGAAAATCCTCTTATTTGCAACAACATGAATAAACATAGAGGAAATTTTGTTGAATAAAATCAAAAAGGTTCAGAAAGATAAATACCACATAATCTCGCTTATATGTAGAATCTAAAACAATTCAATTTAAAGGAACATAGAGTAGGCCGGACGCGGTGCCTCACGCCTGTAATCCCAGCACTTTGGGAGGCCGAGGCAAGTGGATCACGAGGTTGGGAGATCGAGACCATCCTGGCTAACATGGTGAAACCCCGTCTCTACTAAAAATACCAAAAATTAGCCGGGCATGGTGTCGGGCACCTGTAGTCCCAGCGACTCGGGAGGCTGAGGCAGGAGAATGGTGTGAACCCGGGAGGGGGAACTTGCAGTGAGCCGAGATCGCGCCACTGCACTCCAGCCTGGGCGACAGAGCCAGACTCCGTCTCAAAAAAAAAAAAAAAAAAAAAAGGAACAGAGAGTAGAATGGTGTTACCAGGGGTTGAGGGTTGTGGTAGGAAGAGTGAGGAGATGTTGATTAAAGGACACAAAATTTCAATTAGATAGCAGAAATAAGTTCAAGAGATCTATTGTACAATAAGATGACTATAGCTGATAATAATGCATTGCATAATTGAAAATTTTTAAGAGAGTATAAGTGCTCTCAGCACACACCAAAAAATAATAAGTATGTGGGGTAATGCATATGTTAATTAGCTTGATTTACTCATTCCACAATATATACATATTTCAAAACTGCATGTTGTACATCATAACTATGTACAATTTGTGTCAAAATATTTAAAAAACAAAAGCTATGACATCCTAATCATTGGATGCACTGACTTGGGAATTATATTATTATCTTCATTGATTTTAGACTATTTTATTAGATTAGTTAGTGTCCAAGATAACTCTCAACTTTGCATCCAAACATAAGATTCTAGTATCCAGAGTAATTGGGAGATTGGTGCAGGTTTTCTGATCAAAATTAAGCCTTGAAAATGAAGGTTTTGGGATTAGCATTGTGGGTATATCTACCAGGTTTCAAATAATAGCAATAGCAAATAATGTTTAGAGAGCTCTTACCATTTGCTGGAGCACTTATTGGGTGCACATTACAAATCTGAATTAATGAATTCAAATAACAAAGTATGGAGAACTTATTATATGTGCCCCACTGTAATGGGATCCAGAAACTTAACCAGGAATAAAATACCTGTCATCAAGGAAAGACCAACACCATCTTAAAGTAGAAGCTCACAATGAAATGCTAAACCATGCTTTCCCAGTAGAATCCAGTTCAGAGCCTTACCAGAGTGTACTCTCCATCTACATCACCCTCCCTCTCTTAATATCCTAGAAATCTTCAGAAAAATGTTCAAACCCTTCACCCCTTCCTCAATTTTCCAAGGCAGAAACTCCCTCTCCTTTCTGGCTTTATTTTTTTGGTTGTTGTTCCTTTTAGCTAGTTCTTTTGGAGTCACTCTCATCAATACCAACTGATTCCTTTCCCTTGTATCTCCTTCTTCCCCACTCCTCCAGGGAGCTCAGTAGTACAACTTGGTGAAACAGTAGAATGAGCACTGGCCTTGGGCATAGTATCTGGGTTCAAATCTTGGCTCTGAACTTTATATCCATAAGACCTTGAGAAAGATCTTAAATGTCTCTGGGCCTCATCTATAAAATGAAAGGGAGCAGTGTTTCCAGGCTAGAGTGATAATGCAAAGTGATTTTATCTTGAGAGATTTATCCAAGAGTCAGATAGATGGGGATCAAATGTACCTGTTTATTATCAATAAAGCTAGGTAGGAGACTTAGCTAGACCTATTGCCAGAATCAAGATTTTCAATACAATTCCTCTGTGGAATGACTGACCTTCCCATAACAGGCTAGACTAGTGCACGAAGGAACTGAGAATGTGTGAGTCTCAATACCAACCTACTCTGAAAAATAAAGGAGGAAAGAAGCCTAGGTAATGCATACTCAATACCTTACCAATTTCAGGGACGCTCTAAATAGTTACTCCTCCCTTGGGAAGAAATGAGAGCAGGAGTGGAAAGAAGGGCCACTTCCAAAAAAACAAATCAAAGAATCTGTTTTATAGAGGACCCAGACACAAACTCAAGAAGGAGAAGAAAATATTTCCTCCTATATAAAACGGCAATAAAAGGAAAGCCCGATATAGGATGCAATGGTATTCCAAGAGGGACACAAAAGGAGCTTAGCTGGTGGATGTAATGTACAGGAAAAAGAGGAATATTTTCTACAGGTAAATACCTCAGTAGAATAAGCAATGTCATAAAATCTAGCTAGTCCCTGGTATTGTACAGGCAGACAGCAGCAAAGATTTAAGAAAAGTCACTTCGATTATGGATGATGATGTTATGGGGAGAGATAAGAAGTCTGGATAGTGAGAAATTTTGTAATGAAGATACCCATGTCCAGTTTTTTCTGATTGTTTGTTTTTTTCAGGGACAGTTATCGATATTGACTATCCCTGTTTTGTACAGTTTGATGTTTGCCAGCAAGCGTACCACATCTTAAAATTTTTATTCACCTAATAGTTTTGCTGCAGAACAGTCAGTCGAAAGGCATTATTCAGAGGGCAAAGCATTTAAGAGAGGCCCTTTATGCCAAAATATCCAAGTATTGCAACTTTAGATACTTCCAAACATATTATTTTAATATCATTATTATTATGCTTCTGCTTTAAATGAGATTTTGCCACAGCTGGCTTTTTTCACTTGTTGTTTTTGGGTTATAATAGAATATAGTAGCTTCCAAGGACAAAAAAAATCAATACACACAGCTAAAAATACCTTGCTGTTATCTCAGCTTGCAGTTCTGCCAGCTTTAAAAAGAAAGAAAAGAACACTGGAGATAGGTTTTCAGGCCTTGGCATTTAGGATTCTATTTGATGATTTCCAAATCAATACACCAGAAATATCCCCAACATCTCTCTGTAGGGATGGCTCTCCTGCCTTGTTTTTCAGTATTACAAAACCTCTACTACTATGAGGTAGCTCTACTTTTCATTTCTCCCCATTACCTCCAACTTTCGGATATTTGCTCGTAAGTCTGGATGTGGTAAAGTTCTATGGAATGGGTGTATGCCTCTGTGTGTCAGGGACTGAAGAGGCACGTGTGTACTCAGTGTTCCCAGAAGCTTGGTTTCAAAAGTTAGGGGAGGCTGGGAGTCATGCCCAGAGCACAAGAAAAAAAAAGAAGTACTCTTTTTCTCAGTCCCTATCCAGGCGATGAGAAAATTTGCTTTTGGGGATTGGTCCAAACTCTTTTCTGGCTTGCAACATTTTCTCAAACTGGGGAACTTATTTTCTAGTAAATATCCCCTTCTTTACTGCTGACAGAAGAAACTGGAAGTCAATGCGGTTAATTTCAAATTTAACATGATTTAGTTTAAAAAAGCATTTACTAACACCCTTCCTGGTGTCCAGTGCTTTTTCAAATCCTTTGGGGAACATAAAAATTCAGCAAGACTCTTACTCCTTTACAAACAATTTAACATGCAAATTGTTTGCATCAAAGTATGAGTGTGAGTGAGTTTGTGGCAGGAATTCAAAGGAGAATCTATGGTAGAGACCATCTGGATTGGCTTTTCGGAGATGGTGAGTGTGATGGGACTTAAAGGACATTATCTTTTTCTTTTTCTTTTTCTTTTTTCAAGACAGAGTTTCTCTCTGTCACCCAGACTGGAGTGCAGTGGTGCGATCTCAGCTTCCAGGGTTCAAATGATTCTCCTGCCTCAGTCTCCTAAGTAGCTGGGACTGCAGGCGCACGCCACTGCACCTGGCTAATTTTTCTATTTTTAGTAAAGAAGGGTTTTCACTATGTTGTCCAGGCAGTCTCGAACTCCTGACTTCAGGTGATCCTCCCACCTCAGCCTCCCAAATTGCTGGAATTACAGGCGTGACCCACTGCGCCCGGCCAGCATTTGAACAAAGTGGAGACCATGATGTGAGACTTGTTGAAAATAGCAGGTTGTTGGTCCTTCTGGAGGACTTGAGGAGAGTAGGGGCTGGACTTACTGTTTCAGGTTCTTTAGGGCAGTTGCTTAAATGCCATTTGGAGCCAGAATTGAATATTAGTTTAACAAATGACCTCTGAAATCACACAGGCCTGAAATTTAAACCTGGGTTCTCTCCTACATTTTTGAATAATTTAATTAACCATCATCAACCTGAGGTTACCAAAATAGGTAAATAATATGACATAAGGCAATATTTAAGATAAAATGATATAATATCTTCATTTAACCAATAACCTTGAGGCAGACATGTAGAATTTTAAAAATTCTCGGCACTGAGGTATGTGTTTACACAAAACAGACAAAAATCATGATAAAAATTGTCTGGTACATGGTCACCAATCAATAAATGATAGCTCTTAGCTTGATGCATTAAGCTTTATGAGAGAGAGGCTGAGGTTTCCAGAATTGAAATTAAGAAACATACATCTGTCCTGAGGGAATAGGATGGAGTAGGGACAGGCAGAAAGCTGGAAGGCAGAGAGACTAGCTGAGAAGCTATCATCACAGTCTTCCTAATGAGTGTCACGACTGTGCAGGCAGTGGATAAAAAGTGCTGAGAAGCAGGGTCCAATATGGCACATTTGCCCCTAGAATTTTATGCCAATAGATCCAGGAATAGTTCAGAGTTTGCAGACCTGCCCATCATGAAAGAAACATCACTAGACTTATCATTGAGTATGCATTAAGGCATCTTGACCTTTATTTACTTTTGAGAACAGCAGTTTTCCCAGGATCTCAGTTGAGAAAGAGGCTTATAAATAAACCATTTTGCCTGTTCACTGAACTAGACTGTCATTCACAAGGAAGTGCTGACTCAGTTGATGCTGAGTAAGTTGGAATGTTAACATGAAGGTCTTTGAGGGTAAAAAAAAAAAAACAACACTGCTCTTCCATTAAATTAGAGGAAGTAAAATTGAAGGGGCTGTAGTTTCAGCTCATTAAATGATCCTCAGTGTATTCATCAAATGCCTTGTCAAGAGTTTTATTATCAACAAAAGGATTATCTTTTCTCTAATCGTATATACCTTAGAGTCTAGCAAATTGCTTGTTTTAAAGGTAAATAATCTCCTCCCTTTCTGCAACGGTAGGACATTTTCATTTTTTCAGTCTTAAGTGTACTTGGAGAAATTAAGCAACAACAATAGTAATAGCAAACAATGTTTGGGGAGCTCTTGCCATTTGCTGGAGCACTTACCATGTGACAAATGTACTTCACACATCTGAATTAATGAATTCAATTAAAAACTACAGAGGACTTACTATATATGCCCCACGGTGATGGGATCCAGAAACTTAACCAGGAATAAAAGAATACCTGTCGTCAAGGAAAGACCAACACTATCTTAAAGTAGAAGTTCACAATGAAATGCTAAACCATGCTTTCCCAGTAGAATCCAGTTCAGAGCCTTACCAGAATGTACTCTCCATCTACATCACCCTCCCTCTCCTAATATCCCAGAAATCTTCAGGAAAATGTTCAAACCCTTGACCTCTATTTTGCAAGGCAGAAACCACCTCTCCTTTCTAGCTTCACTTTTTTGGTTTTTGCTCCTTTTAGCTAGTTCTTTTGGATTCACTCTCATCAATACCAACTGATCCCTTACCCTTGTACCTCCTACTTCCCCACTCCTCCAAGGAGCTCAGTAGTACAAGGTGGTGAAACAGTAGAATGAGCACTGGCCTTGGGCATAGCATCTGGGTTCGAATTTTGGCTCTGAACTTTATATCTCTATGACCTTGAGAAAGATATTTAACACATCTATAAAATGAAAGGGAGCAGTGTTTTCCAGGCTAATGTGATAATGCAAAGTGATTTTATCTTGAGACATATATCAAGAGTCAGATAGATGAGAATCAAATTTACCTGTTTGCTAACAATAAAGCTTGATAGGAGACTATAGCTTGAGCTATTGCCAGAGTCAACATTTCCAGTACAGTTCCTCTGCGGAATGACTGGCCTCCCTGTAACAGACTAGACTAGTGCATGGAGGAACTGAGAATGTATGAGTCTCAATAACAACTACTCTGAAATATAAAGAAGGAAAACAGCCTAGGTAATTGATCAGGTTTGGCTTTGTGTCCCCACTCAAGTCTCATCTTGAATTGCATTCCCATAATCCCCACATTCCATGGGTGAGACCCTGTGGGAGGTAATCCAATCATGGAGGCAGTTTCCCTCATGCTGTTCGCATGATAGTGAATGCGTTCTCAGAAGGTCTGATGGTTTTATAGGCATCTGGTATTTCCCCTGCTGGCATTCATTCTCTCTCCTGCCGCCCTGTGAAGAGGTGCCTTTACCATGAGTCTGAGTTTCCTGAGGCCTCCCCAACCATTAGGAACTGTGAGTCAATTCAATCTCTTTTCTTTATAAATTACTCAGTCTCTGGTATTTTTTATAGCTGTGTGAGAACAACTAATATAGCAAATTGGTACCAGGTAATGGGATGCTACTATAAAGATACCTGAAAATGTGGAAGTGACTTTGGAACTGGGTAATGAACAGAGGTTGGAACAGTTTGGAGGGCTCAGAAGAAAATAGGAAGATGCGGGAAAGTTTGGAAATTCCTAGAGACTTGTTGAATGGTTCTGACCAATATGACCAATATGCTGATACTGATATGGACAATAAAGTACAGGGTGAGGTGATCTCAGATGGAGACGAGGAACTTTTTTGGAACTGGAGCAAATGTGACTCTTGCTATGCTTTAGCAAGCATTTTGTGCTTTTAGTGGCATTTTGCCCTGGCCCTAGAAATATGTGAAACTTTGAACTTAGAGATGATTTAGGGTATCTGGTGGAAGAAATTTCTAAGCAGCAAAGCATTCAAGGCAAAGCAGAATGTAATAGTTTGGAAAGTTTGCAGCCTCCGTGCGATAGAAAAGAAAAATCTATTTTCTGAGGAGAAATTCAAGCTGGCTGCAGAAATTTGCATAAGTAATTGAGGAGCCAAATGTTAATCATCAAGACAATGGGGAAAATGTCCCCAGGGCATGTCAGAGACCTTCACAGCAGCCCCTCCCACCACAAACCCAGAAGTCTAGGAGGAAAAAAATGGTTTCTTGGGCTTGGCCCAGGGTTGGCTCTTTTCCCGGGCCTTCCTGCTTTGTGCAGCCTCAGGACATGGTCCCCTGTGTCTCAGCTGCTTCAGCTCCACCTTTGGCTAAAAGAGGCAAATATACAGCTCAGGCCATTGCTTCAGAGGGTGCAAACCCCAAGATGTGAAGACTTCCACCTGGGGTTGACCCTGTGGGTACACAGAAGTCAAGAATTGAGATTTGGGAACCTCCACTTAGATTTCAGAGGATGTATGGAAATGCCTGGATGTCCAGGGAGAAGTTTGCTGCAGGGGCGGAGCCCTCATGAAGTACCTCTGCTAGGGCAGTGCCAAAGGGAAATGTGGAGTCAGAGACCCCACAGAATCCCCACACAGGGTCACTGCCTAGTGGAGCTGTGAGAAGAGAGCCACCATCATCCAGACCTCAGAATGGTAGATCCACCAATCACTTGAACAGTACACCTGGAAAAGCTGCAGGCACTCAACACCAACCTGTGAAAGCAGCCAGGAAGGGGCTGTAGCCTGCAAAGCCACAGGGACAGAGCTGCCAAAGGCCATGGGAGCCCATCTCTTGCATCAGCATGACCTGGATGTGAGACATGGAGTCAAAGGAGATCATTTTGGAACTTTAAAGTTTAATGACTGACCTATTGGATTTCAGACTTTCATGGGGCCTGTAGCCCCTTTGTTTAGGCCAATTTTTCCCATTTGAAATGGGTGTATTTACCCAATACCTGTACCCCCATTGTATCTAGGAAGGAACTCATTTGCTTTTGATTTTACAGGCTCATAGACTGAAGGGACTTGTCTTGTTTCAGATGAAACTTTGGACTTGGACTTTGGGTCAATGCCAAAAGGAGTTATGACTTTGGGGGACTATTGGGAAGGCATGATTGTGTTTTGAAATGTGAGGACATGAGAATTGGGAGGGCCTAGGAGCACAATGTTATGGTTTGACTCTGTATCCCCACCCAAATCTCATCTTGAATTGTAATCCCCATAATCCCTATGTGTCATGGGAGGGATCTGGTGGGAGATAATTGAATCATGAGGGTGGTTTCCCCTATGCTGTTCTCATGAGAGAGTGAGCAAGTTCTCACAAGATCTGACGGTTTTATAAGCATCTGCATTTCCCCTGCTGGCACTTGTTCTCACTCCTGCCATCCTGTGTAGAGGTGCCTTTTGCCATGACTAAGTTTCCTGAGGCCTCCCCAGCCATAGGGAACTGTAAGTCAATTAAAGCCTTTTTCTTTATAAATTACCCAATCTCTGACATTTCTTCATAGCAGTGTGAGAATGGACTAATACAGGAATGCATACTTAATACCTTAACAATTTCAGAAACAGTGTTTCACCAGCTAGTGTTATAAGCCTATGTGATTTCATATGGATAGTTATATTATAGATACAGATATACATATACATATACATATATATCAATATAGAGATATAGGCTTATGCATGTATATATAGAGAGATTTATATATATATACATATATATATATCAATATCTGCCTATATCATTAGTAACAGATAAATCACAGTCTGCATTTAGGTAAATTATGTACTTATTTGCCTATTTAACATTCTATTTCTTGCCATAAAATTGCAAGTTCCACAAGGACAGAAAATTGGCCTGGCTTGTTATTGTTCTATTGTCAATGCCTAGAACAGTGTCCGGAACACAGTAGGTATTCAATACATTTTTTTAAATTAATGAGTGAACGAATTGTTGATGCACAATAAGTACATAGTTTCTCTCTGAGTTTCATGCAGACACAGAATTTTTTCTTCTGTTCTCCAGCTGTGACTTATTGGATGAGAATTGCATAATCACACTAATTGACTTCATAACAAATTTATGATTTCCCATCTCAGCCAGACTCTAAGTGTTTCTCGATAATCCTTTAACATGGGTCTACTCAATTCGCTTTCATTTATCCAAGGAAGCTACTTCTAACATCACCTTTTCCCTTGACTTCTTCAGTCCTCCAGTTCACTTGCCCTTCTACCCATCTACAGAGAAAAGTAAAAGTCTAAGAGATCACTCAGCCTTTTTTCTCCTCCTGTCTCCTTTAGACCTTGTCCCAACTGTCTCCCATCTCCTACTTTCAGTTTCTCATCTTCCACTCACTCTATAGGATAATACCCTCCGATAATCTCTGATAGAATTCCTCAAAGACATTAACACTTACTGGCTTTACGTGAAGGAAAACAAAGACAGACTATCAAAAGGAAAGAATGAATGGTAGTACTTTAAGTATTAACACGAAACTTGCAGGTAGCAAGAATCTTGGCCTAAGATTACAAAAATCACTCTTAACTAACAAAGCTACCCTTCTTGGCATCACATGGCCACTGAGATCTAGAAGAAACAAAACATGAATATTAGATGGCAACAATATCTTAGATTTACATAATCCATTAACATACTTGCACATCACTGAATCACAGGACAATCCCTTAAAGACAGAGATAGGTGTTATTATCCACATCTTATAAATGAGAATATGATGCTTAGATAACTACAATGACTTGCCCAAGGTCACAACCTTCTTAACTTTAATTGTTGCATCTGGACACCAGATCTTCTTACCTCTAAGCCTCAGGGTCTCTCCACCTGACCACACTGATCCCCACTGGCCTTAGTCAGTGTCACAGAGTCACAGGCCCCTATTTTATGTCCCAATTTTTGACCTAGGTCTTTCATGGCTGGATCCCCAAAAGGATATGATTCCAAACGCATCTAGTGTAAGTGCACACTCTCAGGTACCAGACTGCTTTCAAACCCTGTCTATAACATTCACTAGCTGTGCAATGTTTGGCAAGTTCCTTAATCCTCATCTGTAAAATGAAAGTGATAATATCTGAACATAATACCTTTATCTGAATAGCAAATGATTTAATACATGTAAAGCACTCAGAACTGTGCCTGGTATAGAGTAAGGACTCAATACATGCAAACTACTCCTATGGAACCAAGGACTGTGTAATGAGGTTTCCCTCTTCTTTTCTTTCCTCTATATAATATTACAAGTTTACCTCGAAAAGTAGGTATGCAGATATACATCTATCAAGAGCCTGCTAAGTGACGCCTTATTTTCCCTTTGCTCTCTCCTGATGTACTTTGTTTATTTTTGAAGTAATTGATGCAATTCTTCCATTCCACTTTGGCAGATTCTTTAAATGGTGGGTCACTACCAAGGTGTGCCTGGGTTGATCCCCTTTATTTTCCTATAAAGCTTTCTCCTTTTCTTGCCTTCAATTATAATCAAGGGAAATGTGACAGGGAGAATTTCCAGGAATAGTCCCAAGATCCAATGCCTTCATCTTTGGAACTTTTGAATTACTTCTATAGTTCTGTTATGCTATACGGCACTGTTGATCTTAAGAGGAAAGTATCTGGATGGCTCTAATATGATTACAGGAGTCTTTAAAAGAAGACAATTTCTCCAGGTGTTTACAGAGATGAAGACAGAAGGATTCAGAACATGAGAAGGACTGGTGTGCTTTTCCTGTTTGAAGATATAAGGGACCACAGGGGAAGGAATGTGGGCAGCTTCTAAGAGCAAAAAATGTCTCTGGCTGACAGCCAGTGTCTCAGTCTGTTTGTACTGCCTGACACTGGATAATTTATAAACAACATACATTTATTTCTCATGGTTCTGGAGACTGGGAAGTTCAAGATCAGGGCACTGGCAGGTTTGCTGTCTGGTGAGGGCCCAGTCTCCACTTCTAAGATGGTGCCTTGAATACTGTGTCCTTCTCCAGAGGGGACAAGTGCTGTGTCCTCACTTAGTGGGAAGAATGAAAAGACAAAATGGTCCTTACTAGGTTCCTCCATCCCTTTTGTAAGAGCACTCATGCATTCATATGGGCAAAGTCTTCATAACCTAATTAACCCCCCAAAGGCCACACCTCTTAATACTGTTGCATTAATGATGAAGTTTCAACATGAATTTTGGAAAGGACACAAACATTCAAACAATAGCGACCAGCAAGGAAACAAGGACCTCCATCCTGCAACTGCAAAGAGCTAAATTCTTCCAATAACCCAAATGAGCTTGAGAACAGATTCTTTCCTGAGGCCTCTGAACAAGAGAACAAGAGTCCAGCTGGTCCAGGCTTTGATTTCAGCCTCGTGAAACTGTGAGTACTCCCAGCTAAGCCTGCCTGAAACTTTTGGCCTGCCAACCCATGAGATAATAAATGATAAAAAATAAAGCAATAAATGAGTATTGCTTTAAAATGCTAAGTCGATGTGTAATGAGGGTAGTGGTACGGACAATAAAGTACAGGGTGAAGTGATCTCAGATGGAGATGAGGAACGTTTTTGGAACTGGAGCAAAGGTGACTCTTGCTGTGCTTTAGCAAAGAGACCGGTGGCATTTTGCCCTGGCCCTGGAAATCTGTGAAACTTTGAACTTGAGAGAGATGATTTAGGGTATCTGGTGGAAGAAATTTCTAAGCAGCAAAGCATTCAAGACAAAGCAGAATGTAATCATTTGGAAAGTTTGCAGCCTCCATGCGATAGAAAAGAAAAATCTATTTTCTGAAGAGAAATTCAAGCTGGCTGCAGAAATTTGCATAAGTAATTGAGGAGCCAAACGTTAATAGATGAGAATCAAATTTACCTGTATCTCATGTAATTTATGGAATACTGTACTGAAAGTGAAAGTCAGAACGGCTGTAAGGGTAGCTTGGTTTCTACTGAATGCGTATGACTTCTGCACCATTGTAAAGTTGAAAAATTATCAAGTCGAACCATGGTAAGTTGGAGAACACATAGACACATAGAGGGAACAACACACACTGGGGCCTACTGGACGGCGGAGGGTGGGACCAGGGAGAGAATCAGAAAACAATAAGTGATGGATACTAGGCTTAATACCTGGATGATGAAATAATCTGTGCAACAAACTCCCATGACATGGCTTTAGCTATATAACGAACTTACACACGTACTCCTGAACTTAAAAGTTAAAAAAAAAGATAAAATGCCTATAATAAACTGCCAGAAATAGGTAGGATATATGTGATGGACACGGTTTACCGTGATCATTTATTCTGGCAGTGACAGCAAACTAATACAGCCAGGAACCTGCCCATTCACCCTTCAGGAAAATATCTGTGCTCACTGAAGGGAGCTAAACTCAGGGTGCTTTTCCTATCATGTGGAAATATACAGTCTTTACTCTGAAGCTGATGCCTCCATTGAGTTTCTAACAACTGGGGATGGGGAGAAAGGAAAAGAAAGAAATGTCTGAGACAGACACACTGCATAATTGCGGCCTGCAGCTGGGTGTTTGTACCTTGGCAATAACACTACTGCTATTTGTACATAACATAGGTAGAAATATTCTTACCTTACACTTTGGGTAGTTGATTTTGTAGAGAAAAGTGTTAAGAGCATCAACTCTGGAGTGAGGTGTCTTTTGCTACTTCTGGCCAGTGGTGTAACCTTGGATAAAACGCTTGGCCTTGCCTAACCCTCACTCTTCATATCAGTGGAATGGGGAGAGAAATAGCACCTAATTTAATGGTCTGTTTTGAGGGTTAAACAAGAGAATGTTTATGAAGCACTTCCTTCAATACCTGGCACCTACTAAGTGTTAACTAAATGGTTATAATTATAGTTACTCATGTATTCATTCAAAAAGAATGTATTAATCAACTGCTCTGTGCCAGGCATTGCTAGGCAATGTGAGAATACAAATCTGAAAGAGGAGCAGTTTCCACCTTCAAACGTCTCTCAGCACAGCGCAGTGTCCACATGTGTCCTTCACATTTATTCGCATATGTAAATTTTCCCGAGTGTGGACATGTGTGTGTTGGGGGTGCCAGTGGTGTGAATTCTGCATTCTCTGAAAGTGCCAAAGAACAAAGTACCACATTCAAACGTGAGGGGAGGTGGGGCTGCAGCCCCAGGTATCCATCTTTCTCCTTCTCCCGGAGGCAGGCGGCTGTGTACTCTGGGAACACTGACGATGTGGCTATTAAATCATTTCAAGTGGTGGAGCTGGGAGGTCCTGGCCAGGCCCTCCCCCACAACTACCCTATTCTGGCACAAAGAGGGGTGTTATGTCTCACACATACCAACCAGCAGGCCACAGGAAAAGGGCTCCCCTTGCCAAATAATTTTGCCCAGTCCTCCTCTCACACAGGGGAAGCAAAAACCGATCCATTAGCTTGGTTGTCTGGGAGTCCCAGAACTCCTCAAAACAGATCCATCAGTTGAAAGCATAAATATTTACTTTGGGCTCATCTGAATAACCCAGAACAGGGACTCTGTTTTTTATCAGTAATAAAAAACACTCCCACCTAAAGTGGGATTTAGAGCTTTTTGTCTTTCAATCTTGCCTGCCTAGAATCACTCAAACTTTCTGTGAGAGACTATATCAGGATTTCCTCATGGCCTCCAAGCGGGGCTGGGGGCCGGGGGTGCACATGAGCACAAAAGGAATGCTCTCACAGGGGAGCTGTGTTTTCTTTTACTGTGAAAAGTATGTGTGGCCTCAGCCTGGCTCCTAGTACACAGGTAACTGAAATATTTGCCCTTGGGAGAGAAAGCGCAGAATGTTCTCTTAAAATGCTCCAACTGGTGAAATAAGAGATTTTAGATAAACAGCTTTTGAGGGACCCCATTTCCTGAGCTATGCTTTGATCACATGACAACAGCGCCAGCGAAAACACTTTGTTATCCTTTCAAGGGAGATGTTCGAGAAAGAACTTCTGCCTGGGTCATGGAGGTGAGGATTTGGGCATGGTGGAGGGAGTGGGGGAGGGTGGGAAGAGGGGGGTAGGGTACAAGAATAAAAGGAGATGGGATGGGGCTGTTCACAGGCAAATCTGGAGAGTTTGTCTTTCACACTCTCCAGCCCTACTTTCCCTCCTACATCTCTCCCCAGCCCCCTTTCTGGAAGCCAGACTGACCTGGCAGAAAGAGCTCAGATTCAGGAAGCAAAGTAATTGTCTTCAAGCATAGGCCCAACTTAGGCCTGGTGTATAGATATTCAGATAATGTGAAATGAATGAAAAGGTTCTATCATTCTTACTACCATGCAGATTTTTTTAACCCCACCTGGCTTCAATTTCTTTATCTGCCTCACGGGTTAATAATGCTTACCACCAGAGGTGTGTAAAGGTGAATAAGCAAGCAGATAGTGTATGTACCTAGCACAGAGACTGGCCCACTAAATTTTAACATTAAAAGATGTCAAAAGACAAAATTACAACAGATCTAATTGACATTTATTCACAATTCATCAATCAGGGTGGCCTTCATTTTATAAAATAGAGTGAGAGTTCCCATTGGGCAATAGCAGAACATGGGATTTGTAAGATGGGAACAAGGAAACAGAACAATACAAACATACCCACACACACACGTATTTAACATCAGATTACTTCCATTTACTTTTTTATAGGTTTTAAAGCCGAGATGGATTCCTTATTACTCTGACTCAGGTAGACTGGAACTTCCGGTTTTCAGAGAAAAAGATCTGTCCGTTTCAGGATTTATCTGTTTCCTTACAGTTTCAGTTTGATTATGCGGTATTTAGCATGAGTGACTCCATTTTGGTCTGGTCTGGTCTGTTGAGCCCTAGTATAGGAGCTCAGTCCAAAACAATGGGCTCCCATAATTTTGTTAAAAAAGGCTTTGGAAACTGGCAAATGTACAGAAACCAGACTATTTGAAAATCGTCAGTTACTCAGGTTTGCAAGTGTGCAGTCAGTATAAATAAACAACTTCCGTTGAGAGTTTTTGATGCACCGAGTCACTGGCCTTCCAGAATGACTGTTATAAAGGCTAGCTAGCTTTATCAAGCTGGGCAGAGGCTGCCCGTGACTCCAGTGCTATTTCATCTCCTCTAGACATGATCAGGAAATTGTCATTGCAGCAGTAGAAATAGATGGGGAAGCACTTCTCTAACAAGGAAGATACATTTTGTCTCGATTACCACAATGGAGACTGTTGTACTAATTCACCAACATGGTTTAGGCACCTCTAGCAGTACAGTCATTCGTCTCTTAACTACAGGGATTGTCCTGAGAAATGTGACGTTAGGCAAGCTTATCATTGTGCAAATATCATAAAGTGTTAGATGGTCTAGCCTATTGTACACCTAGGCTATATGGTATAGCTTATTGCTGTTGGGTTACAAACCTGTAAAGCATGTTAATGTACTGAATACTGTTAGTGTAATGAATATTGTAGTATACTGAATACTGTAGTCAATTGTAACACAATAGTAAGTATTTTTCCATCTAAAAATATCTGAACATAGAAAATGGTCAGTAAAAATACAGTATAAAAGATAAAATTGATACACCCGTACAGGAGCATCTACCATAAAGTAGCTGTGGGTGAGTCAGTGAGTGAGTGGTGTATGACTGTAAAGACCTAGAACATTACTTTTTTTCTACTTTAAAAAAAAATAATTTCAACTTTTATTTTAGATTCAGAGATACATGTGCAGGTTTGTTACTTGGGTATATTGCATGATGTTGAGGTTTGAGGCACGATGAATCCCAACACCCAGGTACTGAATACAGAACCCAACAGTTAGTTTTTCAACCCTTTCCCTCCTTCCGTTACTCCTCCCTAGTAGTCTCCAGTGCCTATTGTTGCCATCTTTATGTCCGTCAGTACCCATTGTTTAGCTCCCAATTATAAGTGAGAACTTGCAATTTTTAATTTTTCATTCCTACATTCTCTTAGGATACTGACCTCCAGCTGAATATGTGTTGATGCAAAGGACATAATTTCATTCTTTGTAATGGCTGCATAGTATTCTGTGGTGTATATGTACCATATTTTCTTTATCCAATTCACCATTGCTGAGCACCTAGGTTGATTCCATATCTTTGCTATTGTAAATAGTGCTGCGATGGGCGTATATGAGTGCATGTGTCTTTTTGGTAGAACGATTTATTTTTTGTTGGATATATACCCAACAATGTGATTGCTAGGTTGAACAGTTGTTCTGTTTTAAGTTTTTTGAGAAATCTCCAAACTGCTTTCCACAGTGGCTGAACTAATTTACAATCCTACCAGCAGTGAATAAGTATTCCCTTTTCTCCTCAACCTTGCCAACATCTGTTGGTTTTTGTTCAGGTATTTTTAAAGTAAACATTAAGGGCAAGGTTCCTGATATTACAGAATTTATATCCTAGAAGAGGATACAGGTAACAAACAAATAAATGTGCAACTTATTTCAGATATGTTAGATGCTAAAGAAAAGAAAATGTGATAGATGTAAAGCTTCCTTTAGGACTGTTTTCATTCATCTATTTATCCTGTTATTTATTCATCAGTGCTTATCATGCACATAATTTTTTATGTTAAAGATACAGCAGTGATCCAAGCACGGCTGCATTAAAATAAAAGAAAATACAGCAGTGAACAAGATATAATTGTTGTCCTCAAGAGCATACATTAAGCCGAGGAGTCAAAAGTTAAATATTAAAATAATATTGATTATTTAAAGGAGAAATACAGGGTACTATGCGTATAAAACAAGGCATCATACTGTAGTCCTAGGCTGTCACAAAATGCTTCTTGGTAGACTGTTAGAGCAATGGTCATCAATGAATTATATGTGTTCTGACTATACCCTTGTGAGGTCCCCTTCTGCAATGACTATGGGGTTGGCCACATGGTTTTCTTTGGTCAATGGTCAATGAGATATAAGCAAGCCTGAAGTGCACAGAGGTATGAAAAGCACTGTGCACTGGGGCTTGTCTTCTCTTGCTGCTGGTAACTCTTCTGCTACCACATGCAGAAACTCAGGATGACCTGCAGGATATATGTTGCCCCACCAGCAGCTAGCACCCATGGCCAGGTGTATGAGTGAAACATCTGCCTTGGCTTGAATGTGGTATTTCCTCCAAAATTAATGTTGAGACCTAATCACCAAAGTGATGGTATTAAAAGGTGGGCCCTCTAGAAGGCTATTATGTCATAGGGTCTCTACCCTTATGAATGGGAGTGGGTGCCCTTATAAAAAGGCTTGCCAGAGGGAGTTCATCCCTTTATGTCCTAATGCCAATGGCAGCAGCATTCAAGGCATCAATTTAAAAGCAGAGACAGAACCCTCACCAGACAATGAAGTTTCCAGCAACTTGATCTTGAACTTCCCAACCTCCATAACTGTGAGAAATACATTTCTGTTCTTTATAAATTACCCAATCTGTTGTATTTTGTTATAGCAACACAAAGGGCATGATTTCATTCTTTTTTTATGGCTGCATAGAATCAAATCATTCAGCTGAATTTGAGATGACAATGGCTGCAGCTGCATAAATGATCCCAGGTGAGACCAGAAGACCTATCCAGCTAATCTCAGCCCAAATTATGACCCAAAGTGTCATGAACAAATAGAATGGTCATCCTTTTAAGTCAATAAGCTTTGGGATGGTTTGCTATGTGGCAAAGGCTAATTGACATAGAAAAAATACCTAGAAGAGTGCTGCTGTCATAAAACCTAAAACAGGAGTGATGAGCTTTGGGAATGGACAGTAGGTGGAGAACGAAAAAGTTGTGAGAAAGCTGTTATTTACATCTTGTAAAGTAGTGAACACAACTTTTTTATGGTCTTGAAAAGTGCTAAGGAAACTGCCTTTGGAAATTGGAAAACAGTTGATTTGTGTTATGCAGCAGTGTCAAATTGTCATCTGAGTTAGCTGAAAGAAAATATTCCTAATGAATTTGCAGATCTGGCTAAGGATATTACCAGGAAGAACTTTGAAAGTGACAATTGGCTTCCATTAGCTGCATCTGAAAAGGCTGGCGAAGCATGAGATGAGCTAAAGAGAGAACTCTTGAGATTGCAAGCAATATTCAAAGGAATTGTAATGTAATCAGAATTTTCTACATTGAAAAATAAAACTGTTTCACAGCTTTAGTCTCTCCAGATAGCAATAAGATTTCTTATGTAAGAAATGGCCTCAGATTAAAGATCAAATCAAGAGTGTGATTTGATATAACTCCTTGTTAAGATCCCTAAAAGATTGAAAGTTGTACTTAGTAGACCCTCTCAGCTAAACAAAATTGCTTTTAAAAATCTTAATTGCATGTTCCCATAGAAGCTTAATCTCAAAACAGCCCTAAAATGTAGTGGGAGAAGGCTTTCCCAAAAAGAATTTTGGCTGTGGATTTTGAGTACTAGACAAAGGGATGTAAGGTGATACATAGCAAACCCAAAAAGGTTTTAAGGAAGTTATACAATCTGAGATTAAAGGAAATTGAGACCGTCCTCTGGACCCTTCCCCCTACCAAAAAAAAATTTTTGTTTTTGATAAGAGGCAGCCTGAAAAAGAAAATAACTACTTTACAAAATTTTTATAGCATGAGGTGCAAACTAATGCAGGAACAGAAAACCAAACACCACATGATCTCACTTATAAGTGGGAGCTGAACAATGAGAACGCACGGACACAGGGAGGGGAACAAAACACACTGGGACCTGTCTGGGGAGGGCTGTGGGTGGGGGAGAGCATCAGGACAAATAGTTAATGCATGCTGGGCTTAACACCTAGGTGATGAGTAGATAGGTGCAGCAAACCACCATGGCACATGTTTACCTATGTAACAAACCTGCACATCCTGCACATATACCCCGAAACTTAAAATAATAAAATAAAATAATAATTTAAAAAAAGAGCACAGGCAAATAGTAGTTTATAGATCCAATCCCATGAGCAAAACCACAGTAGGGGGCCTGACAACACGTACTTGGCTTTATTTTATGATTTATTTTATGATTTGCCTCCCATTCCTTCCTCTTTTGAATGAAAGTACTATGAATGTTTTGTTCCTGTTTCATCATTGTATATTACATATATGAGGGTAGGTAACTTGTCTTTTCATTTGTCATGTCTGAATCAATGGGAATCATAGCCTAGGAGCTACCCTCAAGAAGCTTCATCTGTATCTAGACCTAATGTGGATTATGAGATTAACAGCTTTGGGTCTGATATCATGATTGAATGACATTTTAGGGCTCTCCCTAGGGTGTTAATTTATTTGGCATGTTAGAGGAAAATGAACCACTGGAGTCAAAGAGAAGACTGTAGGCCTCTTATGCATCATGCCTCCCTGTATGTATGTCTTGGGTAATTTCTTCCCATAGTGGCTCTGGGCTTGGCCATGTGACTTATTTTCACCAATGAAACTTTAGGAGACGTGATGCAAGCAGTCACTTGAAAAGTGTTTGTGCATTGGGATTTGCTTTGTTTTGCTGCTGGGGACCCTGCACCCATGTGAAGAATCATGGGCTAGCCTGCTGGAAACACATGACCCAGCTAAAAGCCAGCACATGCCATAGAAGTGAAACGTAAACTGTCTATTCCTAGTTAATCTTCTGTATGACTGAAACTGCATCAGTGATCCAAGGGGCCAAGCAAAACAACTGCCCAGTCCAGGTTGTTGACCTACAGTTTCATGAGAATAAGTTGGTGTTTTAAACTACTGGGCTTTGGAGCATTTTGTTCCTCAGAAAATGCGAATATGGCTTTCCCAAGGTAAAGATATTTAAATCGAGGTATGAAGGTTCAGTGGAGATTCATTACACAAGGGGGAAGAGGAGCAATATTCCAAATAGAGGGAATAGCATGCATAAAGAAGAACCTGAGGAAGGCATGCAGATGCTAAGTTTGAATGTCTAGAAGAACATCAAAGTGGCTAGGACTAGAAGAGTGAAAATAGTATGAAATAAGTTTGGTGAGGCAGAAGTAGCCAGATTACGCATGTCTTCTTTATTCATCTGTTATTGCTACAATACGGCTGCATAATAAACCACCCTAAAATACATTGACTTGCCACAACTATTACCCATCATACTTCTGCCATCAAGTTTGGGATTAACTGCCTAAACTGAGCTCAGCTACACAGCTTTGTTTCAGAATGGGAGTGAGTCCGGGCTTGGCTCCTCACTGTGGTCTGGACTCAGGTCTTGTCTACATGTTTTCATGCTTAGGCCCAGTCTGAAAGGGCAATAGCTGCCTGGAAAACTCTTCTTATGATGATAACAGAGGTGCAAGAGAGAGACCTAACCCTAACCCCAACCCAGCAAGCACATCTATGTTTTCATCTCATCTGCTACTATCCCTTTGACCAAGGTATGTCACATGAATGATTTCAAAGTCAAAGCGAAGGGAGTACTTTCTGCTCACAAATACATCTCACAAAAGTGAGTCACACTGTTCATCACAGCATTATTCATAGTAGCCAAAAAGTGGAAGCAATCCCATTAGAATGAATTTTAAAAATTTATACTGGTACCATAGAATACTCTTCAGCAATAGAAACAAAGCACTGATACATGCTACAACATGAACTTCAAAAACATTATGCTAATGAAAAAAGCTAGATACAGAGGACTACAGATGTGTGATTCCATTTGTATGAAATTTCTAGAAAAGACAAATCTAGAGAGACACAAAGTCTATCAATAGTTGCCTAGGGGAGGCAATGGGGATTTACTGCAAATAGGCACAAGGAAACTACATTAATGGAAATGTTCTAAAACTGGACTTGGATGATGATTGTACAACTGAATCAATTTACTAAAATTTACTGAACTGTTCACTTACAATAATCAAATCTTGTGGCATGTAAATTATATCTCAATACAGGTATTAAAATGTGTAACTAATGGACTGAATGAACTATGTTATGTTTATGACAATGAAACATATTCAAAGGCACTATTAAATGATTGACCTGATACAATTTGGAAATGCTTGCAAAGCTCTAGCTGACTACTGTTTTTCCTTAAGCAATTTCTGAGGTTAATTATTTTTTTTCTTCAAAAATATCACATGGAATTTTAGAATAATTTTCTTTGGTTATTCAGCTTTGGTTGTAAATAGTAAACATATTTTTAAATTGTGTCCTTTGAGCTACTGCATTTTAAGTTAGTGCATGTGGTAAAAAAAAAAAACTTGGCACACATAAAAGCAGCTGCAATTAACGAAGCATGCCTTACTTATTGACTTTTCATATAATGTGTACAACAGAAACATGCTCTTACAAACAGGTCAAGAACTACAAAATGTTCACTAATTGCTGAAATTTGTTCTCTGTTTGTAATAAAAAATGGATTTAACAATCAGAATAGCTATTCAAGGGGTAATAGAAACAGGAAGGAGAGGCCTCTGTTATTAGCTAATCTAGCAATTACCCCAAATCGGAGCTTATGTTTTACATAAATATCAATGGAGTTTGTTGAGGAGGTGCAGCTGGAGAGGTGAAAGCAGCTGCCTACTCTAATGCAAATTCCTTTGGTTAGGAGAATGCACTAACATTAGGATCTAGGATGAACTTAATTCCCTAAGTGGAAAAATGCCTAGTTCTGTCACAGGCCAACAGCAATTCCTCACACTTCCATTCCAGCACATGGAGAATGTGCCCGTTATGACATCATCTCATTTATGAAGTCCTCCAAGTTATTGTTTGCAACTTGAGCATCTGTACTGATACTAGGTAACTGTGCCTGAGATCTTGGCCCAGGTGAGCTCAGGAAATTGTTTCCTCTGTACCTTCTTTTCATATTTTTTTTTCCCCCAAGAGGGGAGTTTCACTCTTGTTGCCCAGGCTGGAGTGCAGTGGCGCAGTCTAGGCTCACTGCAACCTCCGCTTCCTGGATTCAAGCAATTCTCCTGCCTCAGCCTCCTGAGTAGCTGAGATTACAAGCACCCTCCACTATGCCCGGCTAATTTTTGTATTTTTAGTAGAGACGGGGTTTTGCCATGTTGGCCAGGCTTGTCTCGAACTCCTGACCTCAGGTGATCCACCTGCCTCAGCCTCCCAAAGTGCTGGGATTACAGGCGTTGAGCCACCGCGCCCGGCCCCCTTCTTTTCCTATTAAGAGACTTGGAAGCGAGTTATGAAATGAACAATGAGCACAACAATAACTAAATGTCACAGCTTACCAAATGTCACAGGCATTGCCTCTAAGTTAATATTTATTCAACAAATATTCATGAAGAGCTTTTGTGAGCCTCATTCATTCTGCTAGGTGCTGTATTCATATTATCTCACTCAAACAACTGGCTTGGAAGAAATTCTGCTTGTGGTTCTTAAGGAGTTCATATAATCATTTGATTCTCACAATTTTGTGAAGTCTGTTAAATTAGTAAAAAGCCAATGAAATAATTGAGGACTAATAGAAACAGAAGAAAAAGAAAGGGGGAAACATGCTTATTGAGCATTTATCACATACCAGAAAGAAGGCAAAATAGAATAATGATACAAAGTGTGGTCTTGGAATCAAAGGACCCAGGTACAGAAGCCAGCTTTACCGTTTACTACGTGGCCATGAGCAAATCACTTCAACTTCCAGGGCTTACCTTTCCTCTAGCTTTCCAGCACAAATGGTAATATCTTTCTTAGAGGGACATCATGAAAACAAAATGAAACATCAAAAGCAATAAGTACAGTGCCTGGCACATGGTCCATGACACATAAATGATGGTTGTTATTGTTACCTTCAAGGTCATTGCATTGTGATTCAACCTCACAAGTACTCTATGAGCTAGATACAATTATTATCTCTATTTTACACTTGAGGCCATGAAACCACAGAGTGACCAATAACCAAGGTCACACACTGTGTGATGGATCCAGATATCACATACCTTCAAATCCTGTTCTCTTTCCACTATGCAAACGCTTAATGATTAGGGCCAAGTTATTCACCACTAATAGTGTTGTCATTCTCACTGGAAACATTACCCTTTTCTAATTTACAAGAATTCTATTATTACCTTACATTCTTTTCATATTAATGCACTAAAATACTGGCTATGTCAGAAGAAGGGAAAAGCAAAGGACTAATACACTGAGAACCTGGGCAAAACAGCTATCTCCTGTCAATACAGATCATGGCATGATTAATATGGCTAGGTCAATCATAGCCATGACTTCTAGTAGTTCTTTTCTTGTGTCATCTCTAACTTTTATAGTTCTCTTTATTGGCTTGGTAGAGAAAACAAGACAAAACCAGCCAACCAACCAACCGAGAAACAAAATAATACATCAGCTAGGTATGTGCAGAAAAATTTGTTAGATTTTGGATTACTGTGTAACTAAGGCAGGGTGAACATACTTGATGAACATACTTGATTTTATTTTGTGTTCAGTTTCCCAAAGAGTATATGGAGGTAAAATAAAAACAATAACCATTGCCAATTTTGTTCTTGCACATGCATTATCTGTAAAGCATAATACAGCCTTAAAAGCAATTTCCTTCACTGCAGATGAGAAAACTAAGGCTCTAAGAAGTTAAAGGACCCTCCCATTATTGTCACAGATGATGCACTTAGCATCAGTGATGATGATGAGTATATCAGACTGATTTGTTGTGGAAGAAACACTGGGTTTAGAGCTGGGGCACCATGTTTGAGATATGCTTATTTATAAGGCCCATGTGATCTTAGTAAAAAGCAAGCCACCTTGCTGGGCCTACATTTTCTTATTTGTAAATGAAGGCAAAGCATAGCTGTTTGTCTCTTTAGTGTCTTCCATTTCTCCATGAATTTTGTGTTTAGATCTCAAATGTCACTGGGAGCTAAAGGTTGTCCTATAACTGTCTAGTTCACTCATATATGAGGTTCTGTTACCTTTATTTCCAAACCAATACTTTTGGTAAATCTATGTAGCTGACAATCACAAGGAATGAACTACTTATCTCCACTGTTATGTTTGACTAATTTCCTTTTTCTGGAGAGAACTGGAGGAGGAGGCTGCTGGAATTGTCTTCAGCTCTTCAGTGAACTGCTAATTTGAAACCACAGGGTGCTCTTCCAGAAACTGCAGTCTTGCACCTGATAACCATTTTATGGGAATGTGCCTTGGCCCTTTAGTTGTGGTTCCCCACAAAATGCCATGATGAGTGACATGCTTCCAGCAGATGAAAGCTCCATGGGGGTCTGGGCCAGAGACCTCTGACTATGTCACTTGGCATTTGCTGATTTCTTTCTACTTTCTGTATAAGTGAATGTCCCTGAGCTACACTTTCATTTGGATGTTTAATATTTCAATGAAATTCACATGTGATTAAGTGAAAATGCTATCTCCAGAATGCTGTAAAGTAGACCAACAGAATTAGAGTTTAGCATTTTTTAGGAAGATGTAGGCAAGCTTCTCAACAACGGACCATTTATTTATTTATTTACTTTGGAAGAGTATTATCTTAGCAAAAATCTACACTTCCATGAGCACTGCATTCTTATTCTCTTTCCAGTTAAGGCAGGGAGTAAAGTCAGTATTTAAAAAGGGACAGGAAATGGAAAAATAGTTGCCAAACCCCAGGAATCTAGTATGCACTTAAAAATATATAATATTATCTTTGAAAGGCAGTTTAAAATGGTGAAGAGCCCTGCCTCTGAAACTGCACTGGCCGGTTCAAGTCATAGCCCTGCCATTAAAAATTCCCAGGACTTTGGCCAAAGTATTTCACTTTTGTGCCTCAGTTTTTGCATCTCTAAAATGGGAATACTGATAGTACCATATAAGGTAGTTGTTAAGAGTACAAAGACCTCTGAGATTATGAAGCATTTATGATTTCTCTCATAGTACACTACCTTCCATGCTTATGGCTCTTAAATGACCTAAAATTCGTAAGAAGCAAGAAATATGTTTATTCCCTATTTAATGAGGGCTTATTCTATAAGTAATATGTTAGGTGTAGGGAAACAAAGATTAAATAAATGCACCACTTACCATTCAGACCCTTGCAGTGGGATAAGAACACACACACACACACACACACACACACACACACACACAATAACAATTATAAGTCTTGTGTTTATAGGAAAAACATACCAGTGTGAGGGGTATTTTGTTCTTGGATTTGCTGAGGAAATTATATTTGGCCTGTATATGAAAGAAAGATTGGTGATTGGGCATTGCAAATAGAAGAAATAGCACTGACAAAGACAGGAAGGTACATGATGTCTTTGAAAGCATATTTGCAAAAACAGCCTCATCTTTAGTCGATCATGTGCATGACAATCTCACTCATGTTATTTAAATACCCTAACAATGGGGACCATTTCATTTTTGTACATCCTTAGCAGAATATCTTACATTATAATGCAAGTACAAGAAATATTTGGTGAATTGCTTTGAAATAAAAATGTGATTTAGATAAAAACTGCTAAAGTATTTCACAGGAAAGAGTGGTTCATTCCATTCTGGGGGTTTCATGGAGTTTTAAAATGGATTGGTATGGAATCAAGAGGGTTTTTTTTTAAGTTAATTTTTGGTAGAAAGGAGTCAAATTGGAGCAAACAGCATGAGAAAATGCACTTTTAATGTCACTCAAGTTATTTTTTGGGCTCTAGGAGGCACATAATTAGATATATGTATACACTGGTTCTGGTTCTATGTTATTCATCTCTTCTTTGGCCAACTGTATTTCCTTTCACCTTAAAGAGGTCCATAAGGAGCTCTCAACCAAGTGTCCTATTCTCATTTTACAGGGATGGGCACAAGATTCAATATTGACCAATCAGGGTATGACATCTTACTGGCATCACTAATTAGTCTGGGCAAGGGCAGGTGACCAAATGAGACCAATCAGAATCACCCCTAAGATAATATGACATTATTATAATATATAGCCTGTATATTATAATGTATACTAGTTACGAGATGATCCTTTTCATTTTCGATAATATACTATAACATTCTCACAACAAATGGGGAGAGTCTGTCTGATAATGAGGAAATAAATCAGGAATTGGAAGTTTCTACGAAATTTATGACCTTCTGTCTTCAAAATTTCTCCACCAGTTACGTCAGAGAATAACGTAACTCTCTCTCTCTCTCTCCCTCTTCTTCTCCCCTTCCTCTCTCTCTCTTCCTCTCCTGTTGATTTGTATGTTGTTTCTGCACTTTCACATAGAATAATCTTTCCCAGTATATGATGAGTGGCAAAAGCTGAAGAATCATCATTTTGAGAAACCATTATTTGGGAATCAGAGGTTCAGGTAACATGTGAACATAAATTCTTGCAGGTGTGGCCTTAAAAGCAACTGAGCAAAGAAGCCAGAAAACCAGAATTGAACCCACTGTGAATAACTGACTGGTCAATGAGGCAGAATCTAATGTTGCTCTATTCTGTTAAATATACGGCCTCACACCAGGACATAAAAGTCATGCCACACAAATAACAAGCTACAAAGACTAAATATGTAATCTTAGTCTTTAATGGCCACTTACTATTTTCAATAATTTTTTACTCATTCATAATCCAGTCATTAACTTATCATTAGGGTATTCATTCAGTGAATAAGCTCACAGCCAATTTGAAGAATGTAGGAGAGATGGGATACATTCCAGAAAATGGGAGAGCTCCTGGTTCTAGTACTAGTATATTAGAAATTATTCTCTTCAGTTTTCTGAAGTCCCCTGAAGCATACCTCTAGCCAATGTTTCTGCCAACTAGTGTTGAAACAATTTTGCAATCTTCCACACTGTAGTGATGTCATGATGTCTTTCTGTTAGCAGTGTTGAATCCATGTGAGTCTATAGCATCCTCAATTCTTGCCTCCTCAGAAGAAAGAATTCAACTGAGGGGCATAAGGCAAAGGGAGAGTCCAAGGCAAGTTTTAGAGCAGAAGTGAATGTTTGCTAACAGGTTTTAGAGCAGGAACAAAAGGAAGTAAGTACACTTAGAAGAGGACCAAGTGTGCAAATTGAGATCAAGTGCATGGTTTGATTTTTGACTTGGGATCTTATATGTCAGCATGCTTCCAGGGGGTTGCGTATCTCCTCCCCGATTCTTCCTGTCCGCCTGCGTGGTGACCTCCAGCACTTGTGAGGGGCTGCATGTAGAGTGTGTTTACTGACATTGTACACATGCTCGCTTGAAGCATTCTTTCCTTACCAGTCAAGTGTTCCTAGAAGAAGGTCACATACCAGTTAAAATCTACCATTTTGCCTCTTAGTGTGCATGCTTGAGCCCACTGGTCCCACTCCTAAGATCTTATTGGGAAGCTGCTGATCACCAGCTTCAGGTGTTTTCTCTCCATTGGGAGACTGCCTGTTACCTGGTGCCAGCTGCAACCAATTATTATTTTAGACAGATGGTTCAACAACCAACTGACCATCACCTGGTGGTTACCTGACATTCCTAGGGGTGGTGGAAGCCCCTGTCCTGCCCTGCTCATGTCGACCTGACCACCTACTCCAACACTTCACATGGTCAGAGGACTTGTACCAATTTCTAATTGCCCTCTCATCTTTACCATCTATTTCCTCAACCATATACTTGAAAAATAAGTTAACATGCACTCTGATACCCGTTTAGCTACTTTGTAACACATCCACATTATCTCTTACACATCTTTTGTCAGCCTCATCACTTAAAGAATATCCAGAGTATAAGTGGAGAAAGTAAAGCTCATAGTAAAGTGAATAAGATGTGTTGCACATTGCAGAACATCCTCAATTCACATTAACATGGTAGAACATCATTGCCTGAGGCTATTTATAATGTGGCTCACCAAAACCCATTGCCCCAACTAACTGGCTGAAAGCACAAGTGATTAAAATAAATATTAAAGCATACTGTAGCATGTTGAGATACTATGTATAAACAAAAATATTGCAGAAACAAATAGCTTTTAACTAATCAGTGTTGTATGGAGAGTCATTCCAAGGATGTATGTGTTTTTATTACAAGTGAAGGAATTGCATTAAGAAAAACCTGAAGGTAGACAAGAATAAAGCTTTATGGAAAAATAGTTAGAAACTCAGTTAAGTTAGAGTAAAAGGTGTGTCCAGGAGAGGAAAGAGAAATATATTTGGAAAGACATTTAGAGGGAGAAAGTTTTGGGTGTGCATTGCCAACCTACTGTGTTGAAAAGATATATGAAAATAATAGAAATTCGCCCTCCTTAACCAAATGGACTTCACTCCAGTCATTTACTATATACATCTGCTTACTATGCATATGCATGTGATTCATTATAATCACTAAATATAGGTATGGCTCAATTTTCCTCTATTAATGTGTGATACACAAGGTAGGAAAAAAGCTTAACGCAGACACTGCACACTGAAACTCTCCAATTTTCACATTAATAACATCAGAAACTTGAATGAAAATTGATCTTCCAAAGCAAGATTCTTCTGCTTAACAATACCTGGAACATATCAACCCCTTCTACACCCCCCAATGACATAGTATATTTTAAACTCAACTAAAGGGACTGGTTGAGAAAAACTGAATGATTCCATTTATGGAATGACTTATAAAGTACTTACTAAATAGTTAACAAAAACAGACAAGAAGACAGTTAACATTTTACTGTGTGTCAGTTTCTTAAAACGTAGGTATATATGTCTTAATGTAAGGAGAAACACCCCCTCCCAAGTACATGTCTATATCGTTAGTAAAGATATAAGTCATCTTATATGATTATCTCTCAATTACTTTATGTTGCAGTCAATACTACCAATTAGGAAAGATAATTATACAGAATTCACCTAACAAAATCAGTAAAAAGAGAAGGTAGTATTCCATTTTGCAATTGTAAGTTTTGAATAATGTCATAAATAAGCCTTTTAAAGATTACTCACAAAGAAATACAAAAAAACTACTTTTTAAAGATTTTAAATATGTATCTACATTATAAACGAACAATTTTCTCAATTTTGTATGACTAGATTATCTTCGACATAGTATAAAATACACAATAAAAGCATGTTTTGCAGATTCAAAAACATTATGCTATATCTCAAACAATTTAGAGGAGGAGATAGTATGCTCTGGAAAACTATTAAATGACTTTAACTGTCCCTAAAGACTGTGAAGGAACTGATGTCAAAGTCTCTTATAAAGAGTTTGTGTAAATTTTTAAATGAACAAGAAGTGTAAAAAAAAAATTCCAAATTAGTATATTATTTTATATGTCATTATTTATGTGTAACAAATTATTAAATTTTATAAATAGACATTAGATTTTAAAAATATATCACTAAAATTCGTATATTTGATTGCCCCAAAACATTCTTTGAACTGTCTCCTTGAAAAAAACAGGACACTGCTTTTTATTCTATTCTGGCATAAATGATAATTTTGGCTTCAATAAAATATAAGGCAGTTGGTGAAATCGTTATCCTCATTTTATGTATGAGAATAAAGAGTGTTCTCAGAAGATTCACCAAGGTCATATGATTAGTAAATGTCAGATCCTACAGTCAGTTTACCTGACTACAAAGCTTATGAATGTTCCTCATTCTATTCTTTCTCTCTAGGAAAACAGAACCCATTTGTACAAGCAGGTAAGAGTGTGAGTGCCTACATGTGCACAATGATTATCATTCAAAATATTTATCAAACAGAATGTCATAGATAACAACCAAACAGAATGGATTCCTGACAACTGGAATGGCTGCAATGTGTAAATATGTGGTAGAGCTGTATCATGTGCCCTTAATAAATATCAGTCGTGTCTATGAGTGCACGTGCCTGTGTGTGCAGGCACACTCCCTTAGTTCAGGTGATATCTTAGGTGTATTCCCTCTAATTTCCTCAAATTCAATTTTAAGATCAAAACTTTTGTCATCAGGTAAGGACCTACTATATATGTTCCAGACACACTGTTCTTGACATTTATTACACATGTTCAAATTATACCCCATACACTCCTTTTAAAGATGCTATGAGAGTGTGAATTTAGTTTTGTCCTTCATGTCCTCTTCTAGCATTAAACGTTTTTTGGCTACAGATGGCCAGGTTAGACTCAGTTCTAGGGTCTTAATTGCAACATCTTTCTCTTCCCCTATCAACCCCTTTGTTTCTTTCTGTTGTCTGCGTGTCACAGGAAGCATATGAACTCCCATTGCATGAATCCCACTATTATACTGAGGGCTAAACTGAATATTTCTTTAGGCTCACATCATTTCTTTTTCTTAACCTTTGATTCTTCTTTCTTTGGAAGCTGCTTTCTCCTACACATTCTCCCTTTGAAAATAGGGGCATTCAATTTCACTGCCATTCCTTTAGCTCTTTCTTACTCTCTGATATTGTCTGAATATTTGTATTTCACCAAAATTCATATGTTGAAATCCTAATCCCCAAGGTGATGGTATTTGGAGGTAGGGCCTTTGGGAGGTAATTAGGTCATTAGGGTGAAGCCCTCATGATTGGGTTTCCTGTCCTTAAAATAGAGGCCTCAGCGAGTGAATTCTCTCTTCCACCACAAGAGGATACACAGAAGGTGTCATCTCCAAATCAGGAAGTGGGTCCTCATCAGACATCACATATTCTGATGCCTTGATTTTGGACTTTCCAGCCTCCAGATCTGTGGGAAATAAACTTCTTTTATTTGTAAGCCACCCAGTTTATGGTATTTTATTACAGCAGCCCAAACAGACTAAGACACCCTCTATCTCTTTGAAATGATTCTCATTATAATAGTCACAAGCTCAAGAAAAAAAGCCACTTTCAGGAGCAAGGATAGGATATCATTCCTTAGAATGAATAAAGACATACATATCCCTTTTTCATTTTTTCTTTAAAAAAATTTTTTTTCATTATCTCTTCCTTGTGATTTTCTTACATGTATACCCCTTAAGGTATTATCTGGACCTTCACTTTTGGAGCAATGAGAACAGATATGGTCTTTGGAAATTTAGATTTTCTGGCACCTGTCTCCTAACTTGTATACCTTGTCTCTCTTTTTTCTTCCTACTGGTGAACAATATTACATATTAGATTAGAATGTGTCTATCATTACTAATCAGCAGTACAGCTCTTTAAGTTTCAGTTTCTTCACAGTAAAATAGACATAATAATACCTCCCTTTGTATTTAGATGTGAGGCTAAAATAAATAACAGATACAGAATGCTTAGTAATTGTGAGCTTCTACTTTAATTATTATTTGTCATTGTTCTGCTTTCTCAGCATTCTCCTCTTCCTCCTCCCTCTCTTCCTCCCTCTCCTACTCTGCTTCCTCTTGCTTCTTCTCCTCCTCTTTCTCTTTCTTGTTTTTTTCCTTCTTCTCCTCTGCTTTATCCTCTCTGGCTCCTCTTTGTTCTCCCTGTGCTATTCTGCAGAATTAATGTTAAATTTATCTGCTGAATTTGCTTGACCTTGCACTGATGATATTTACCAACTAAATTTGTCTAGTTCTCCATATATCGTTTCTGCTCTAAGATATAACTTGTACTCTGACCACTTTAGTCCAGTATATTTATTCTACTTCTCCAACACCCAAAAGTGTTGAGTTTTGTGCCAAGTGCCATTTTAAGCTCTCATGATTATAGCAATGAAAAAAAAAAAGAGTAGCCTCTGAGCTCAGAGAACTCTAATGGGTAGAGAAGGAGATATACATAAGCACATAGAGGATGATACGTAATGATATGATTTGGTTCTGTGTCCCCACCCAAATCTCATCTCGAATTGTAATACCCACATGTCAGAGGAGAGAACGGGTGGGAGGTGACTGGATCATGGGGACAGTTTCCCCCATGTTGTTCTCAGGATAGTAAGGGAGTTATCACAGGAGCTGATGATTTTAAAAGTGTTTGGCAGTTCGCCCTTTGCTCTCTCTCTCTCCTGCTGCCATGTAAGATGGGCCTTGCTTCCCCTTCTCTTTCCACCGTGATTGTAAGTTTCCTGAGGCCTCCTCAGCCATTTGGAACTGTGAACCAATTAAACCTCTTTTATTTCTAGATTACCCAGTCTTTGGTGTTATCTTTAAGGCACTCTGAAAACAGACATGTAATAATGAGGGGAAAAAGCAGGGTAAAGAAGGCAAATGGCAATACATAGCAAATGATATCTATCATGTCTCAAAACACCTTAGAGCCTAGTTGTGTGACAGATGAGTAAATAGACAACTATTAAGCACCGTGATAAATACTCTAATAAAGATGTACCCAAGGTATTATGGGAACAAAGAGAGGGAGCACTCAATCCAGCCTGGAAAGACTAAATAAAGTTTCTGAGAGGAGGAGAATCCTTATCTTAGCCCTAAAAGGACAAGCACAAGTCAATAATATTAAAAGATATACAAGGAAATTTCAGAGCAAACAAATGATGCAAAGGCACAAAACAAGAAAACAAAACAAAACAAACAACAACAAAAAACAAGGTATAAAAGGAAAAGAAGAAAATGTGCAAAAAGTTAAGAATATGTAAATTCATTACAGTTATAGGGCTATAGAAAAACCTTGCTGAAGTTTAATATAAGCACCCCCACCTTAGTGCATATCTGCCCTTCTCTTTTTTCTTTTTTCCTTTCTTTCTCTTTTTCTTTATTTCTTCTCTTTCTTCCTTCCTTCCTCTTTCATTCTTTCTCTATTTCTTCTTTCTTCCTTCCTTCCTCTTTTTTTCTTTCTCTCTCTCTCTCTCTCCTTCCCACCTTCCTTACTTCTTTCTGTCTTTCTTTCTGTGAATAGCAGTAAACTCTAATTCCCAGTGTCATATACTTTCAATAAGGCAATTACTCTCTTCATTTCAGGAGGGCACATGTGTGTCAGGACTGGCCAGGCATGGTATTCTATACAATAATTTTTCAATTCAAGCTGAGTCTGAATTGCCTTTTTATGTCTCCCTCAAATTCATAGGTTGAAACCAAATCCTGAGTGATGGTATTAGACGGCCTTTGAGAGGTGATAAGGTCATGAGGATGACCTTCATGAATAGAATTAGTACTCTTATAAAAGAGATCTCAGAGAGACTCCTCATCCCTTCCAACAGATGAAGTTACAGTGAGAAGACAGCATCTACGATGAACTGGGCCCTCATCAGACCCCAAATTTTTCACGCCCAAATCTTGGACTTCACAGCCTCCGGAACTATGAGAAATAATATTTCTGTTGTTTCTAAACCACTCAGTCTATCATATTCTATTACAGCAACCTGAACAATATAAGACAGAAAATTGGGACAGGAAGTAGTGTGATGCTGCAACAAATATCTAAAAATGTGGAAGTGGTTTGAGAACAGGGTGATGGGTAGACTAGAAGAGGTTTGAGGTGCATGCTAGAAAAAGCTTACATTAGCATGAAGGGAATTTAAAGGCAATCCTGGTGAGCCTTCAGAAAAAAAAAAAAAAAGGAGAGCTGCAGAGAAAACCTCAATCTTCCTTTAGAATATCTAAGTAGGCTGGATGTGGTGGCTCACACCTGTAATCCCAGCACTTTGGGAGGCCGAGGAGGGGGGATCACTTGAGGTCAGGAGTTCAAGACCAGCCTGGCCAACATGGTAAAACCTCATCTCTACCAAAAAAAAAAAAATTACAAAAATTTGCTATGCATGTTGACACATGCCTGTAGTCCCAGCTACTAGGGAGGTTGAAGCAGGAGAATTGCTTGAACCTGGGAGGTGGAGGTTGCAGTGAGCTGAGATCATACCTTTGTACTGCAGCCTGGGTGAGACCCTGTCCAAAAAAAAAAAAATCTAAGTAATCCTGAGTAGAGCCTTTGGTGGAAATATGGATAGTAAAGACCACTCTGATAGATCTCAGATAGAAGTCAGAAGCATGTTATTGGACAACGAAGGAGAGATCGTCTTTCTTATAAAGTGCCAAGTAAGTATGCTGTATTATCCTGGTGCCATGGTGTTTTATGGAAGGCAGAACCTGCTAGTTATAAAATTGAATATTTGCCTAAGAAAATATTTATACAAAATATTGATAGGATGACCTGGTTTCTCTGGACTGTTTATAGTAAAGTGTGAGAAAAGAGAAAGAAATTAAATATGAAATTTTTCATCAAAAGAGAAGCAAAACTTAAATATTTGGGAAATCCTTGGCCTACCAATATTGAAAGGAAAAAGAAAGCCTGCTCAGGAGAAAACACAAAGGGTGTGGCCAAAGGACTATCAAATGAGATTATTCAATCATCTAAATGGAAGCTAGGAGTTTTTGTCTAAGACAATGGAAAAAGCCTTTCCCCCTCACCCCTGCCCCAAGGCAATTCAGAGATTATCAGAGGAACCACCTGTGCCTGAGGGACCACGCTGCATCAGCACCTCACATCACAGGCTCTGCTCTTTGCATCTGGTTCCATGTTCTTCAATCCCCCAAGCTTTGGCTTTGGCAGGCTCAGGTACCATGTGGGCCGAAATGGTTGCTGCTTAAGAAGACAGAGGCATTTGACTGCATTCATATGGTGCCATTTCTGCTGCTGCACAAGTCACGGGGCTGTGGCTGCCTCCATCTAGATTTTGAAGGATGGAGCTCCTCTCTTACCAGCGATGAAGAGGGGCAGGGTTCGCTACACACAATGGATTGCTATTTTCACTTTAATTAATTTTATTTTAAAATAATTAAAAATTAGATAAAATATCTTTCATACTTATCACTTTAAAATTTCTTAAAATATTTATAACTTTATGTACATTTAACTTTTTGTCTGGGATCATATGTCATTTGCCTAAAGAAATTTTTAAAAATATCTCTTTCAGTGGAAGTAACTGGTAATGATTTCTCTTAGCTTTAGTGTTTTAAAATTCTTTATTTTATGTAAAGGCTTTTAAAGCCTATTTATAGAAAATTTTATATAAATGTGTATAAAATAACACATATTAAATTATGTATATAATACATACATGACATAGGCATATTATGTATCTTTTTTCTTCCCTGAAGTACTTTTAAGATGCCACTCCATTGTCTTCTGGCTTTCATATCTTCAATTACAAGTCTACTGTAATTCATCTATTTGCTTCTTTGTATTCATTGTGTCTTTTGTTTTTCCTCTCTAGCTTCCATCAAGTTTTTGCCTTTATCTTTCATTTCCAAAAGTTTTAATGTGGTGTCTATAAGTGTTCTTTTTTCTTTTTTGGTATTATCTTGCTTGAAATAATCTTACTCTCTTAGATCTACGATTTGATGTATTTTGTTAGTTTTAGAAAATGTATTTCACCCTCATTTTCTCTTACTTCTCCTTCTGGAATTCCAACTTACATCTTAGACCTTTTGAAATTTTCCCACAGGTCTTGCATGCTGTGTTCTTTTTTGTTTCTCCCCCTCTCTCCCTTTTCTTTATGCTTCAGTGTGGGTTATTTCTATTGATTTATCTTTGGATCACTGATTTTTTCCCCTGGCCATACTGAATCTACAGATGAGCCCATCAGATGTTTTTGTTTTCATCTCTACTGCTTTATTTGTTTGTTTGTTTCTTAGATTTTTCATTTGTCAAAAGATTGTAGTTTCCATGACTCTTGAAATTTCCAATCTGTTTATGCATGCTGTTTATCTTTTCCTCCAGAAACTTTAACATTTTAATCACTATTATTTTAAATTACCTGTTGGAAGAGTTCAACATCTGGATCATCTCTGAATCTGATTCTATTAATTATTTTGTCTCTTGATATTTTATTTTTTGGCTTTATTATATACCTTTCCAGTTTTGAGTAAATATACTTTGTGTTCAGAACACTGTAAAAGTAAGTAAATAGCATTCCCTTGACTTTTGGTTTCTGGGGGGTTTTTATATACTTGGACTAAAACACACTTTGACTTTTATTTGTTTAAAAATTTTAGCTGAATTATACGTAAGCCGCTTGTATGATACTCCATGTCTTTTATCTCATACTTTGCCACTAATGAACAAGTGTTTGTGTCTCACTTCTCAGTAGAAAAAAATTGTCTTTCCTTGTATTTTAACCTATGTGGATGATCTCTAGCTTTATGTTTTACTGGTTTAGGAAAAAATTATTATTTTGTACTTTGTCCTGTACAAAGTATATGTAAGCCTGAAGTTGTCAGTGGCCATCTTGTGACTGAGTAGGAAAAGCTTGCATGATAATAAGGCTAAAACAAGAATTTAGTACTGAGACAACAGAGAAAAAGATGCATTCCTTTTTATTAAAGTAGGCTGAACAATACTCTTCCTAGTTTCATATTTTAGGTGGAAATGTAAACTCTCTCATTTATGCTTTTAAAAAATATTTCTGGAGAACACATGTTGTTTCACTAACCACTCTATGTACTAGTGTAACAAGTTTAAAATTCCAGGTCCTCACTTCAAGAAACTCATAGATTTGGAGGACAAACATATTTCATATTTTAATTCAACTTGGTAAATGCTATTAAGGAAATATGGAGCAAACAGCTATGGAAGTATGGAACACAGTGAACAACTGCATACGGAAGGCATAAAATGGATGATACAGACAGTTACATTTGAGTTGGACTTTAGATAAGAATTCTTATCTCTGTTATGAAATATTCATAAAAGAATGTTACTCAGAAGAAACAGAATTTGAGAATGTAAGAAACTGTAAAAAGTCTGTTATGTCCAAGGAATATTTAGAAGTTTAATGTGGCAGAAACACGGAAGCATGGAGGAGAGGATGTGTATTGAGTAGGAGTCATGTATGGAACAGGACTTAAAAGGAATACCAGATGGTGTATTTTGTTATTATTATTGATTTTTTGATACTATATATGGGATGCACAAGTACTTGATAATACTTGCTGGGTAAATAGATGCAAGTATAATACGTTTAAGCTGAATATCTCATTTTTCCCTCAAGGATCAGTCTTCCCCTTTTTATAGAACAGGTAATTTATGCCCATTCTTTCTACCTTTTTTATCTACTAGTAATTTCCTATTCCCATCTCTCTTGAATGTTAAATTTTAAAATTCATTTATATCACATGAATATCTGTATTTGGAGCTTCTCATGGTAATTGAAAAAGCTGAAAATTTTGGCTGAGATTCTTAAATGGTAGTGATAGCCTGGGACTGAGGAGTGGTTTCCTCCTTTAAGAAGGTTATGTGCAGTCCCCATCTGGCCTGCTTCACAATGCTGACTTTAATTTGTAGGATTTAGAGTTTTCTATCTTTGCTCTGTTATCTTCAAAAACCCCTCCTTTCTATCTGCTTTTCGCTATTCCCAAGCCTTAAGCAGGCCATTTTGCCTGAGGCATTGTACCTGCCAGGACTGTTTTTAAATGCTCAAAATTAATGCCATCCCAGAAGTTAGAGTTTACAAGACACATTCAGGATTTTATTTGTCACTCATCTGGAGAAGTGGGCATAGCAGATATGGAAGGTATTCCCTTTATGCATATGTGTTAAATATGTACAGAAACCGAGGCCTGTATCACAGAGCTAATGAATACAAAAATTGAGCTAGAAATTCACCTCTTTTGTCACTTAGTTGCAGACTCTTTCCTCCAAGACACCAGGTTTCAGATTCTCAGCTATTTTTATGTACCTCCAACCACCACTAAGCAGTCTATTCTTCTCAATAGTCTCCCACCTCGCTGCCTTTCCCCAGGTTTCCACACATTTTTGGTTTCCTTGCTCTGTCTTTCTCACTAACTTGAGGTAGCACGGAATAAAGAGAATGCAAGTTGTTTCTAGTAGTTTAAACATTTCTTCTCCCCTCCAGCTCCAAAAACAAAAGCTGCTGAGTTTATGAATTTAAAAGTAGAAATTAGGCCAGTAATTATAGCTTTGGAGTTGAGGAATTTTCAATGTTTTTTTTTTTTCCTAGAATTATCATCTTGAAGTTGAAACCTGAATTCCCTATCTTCTTCTTCTAGTATTTTCACATGAGAACTACAAATTTATTTACAAAGCATGCCTAATAACCATTAGCAGGATAAGTAAGGGAAGTCAGTTGACATATTATTTGAGTCTGTCTTTCAAAACATCATAATACCACACAGTATGGATTCTCAAAGGAATCAGAATGTTGCCTTTTAAGCAAGACAGGTTTTTAAGAAAAGATTTTCTCCCTTACACAGAGGAAAATTAAAAATTCAGACAAGATCAACTCAAATAGGAATAATGCAAAGATTTGCCATTTGAGTGGAATAGGGGTCGCTCGCCTTTTAAATAACATTATTTATGAATTTGACTTTGGCTGGTCTGTGATTAAATCTTTTTTTTTCCTGGCCAAATATTTGTGACAGGAAAAATGGGAAAATTTTTTTTTACTAATTTGATACTTCCAGAAGTATATTAAATAGAAAGAACTGACCTCATGAATTGAAGGGACATCACATTCAGAAATTCATGGTGTCATTCACAGCAGCCCTCCTTGCTTCCCTGAGCTCTTCTACACCACTGATGATGTTTCTCTGTTGGAGGAGATTACAGCATGGTACAGATGAAAATATGAATTGATCTTTCTCTTTCATCACTAAAAAAATACACAAGTATAGTGTCCAAAGCAGTAATTTACATCAAATAAAATTATTCTGGGTATTATATTTTGCAAAATTTATAATTTTATGTCAAAAGGTTAAGAAAGGCTATAGGTAATTTCTTCACTTAGAATAGTTTCAGGATCCAGAGTAACATGAATATGGATGTGTGTAATGGCATCTGGCATCTTTTATTCTCATCACTTTATCACCTTCCTGCAGTTTCGACCTCATACTGGTATCTTCTCTCAGGCCTTGATAAGGTGCCACAAAATCAGGCCAACCTGTGATATCAAATTGAATCACTCCTGCATACTGGATGGATAAGTTATGTCATGTTTTTCAAAGTAACAGTAATAGTCTAGCTTGATTGATTGATTGAACCATAATACATTTCTGCTTCAGCCTCTTTGAGTTGTATTTTTGGCCATTGTGTGATTCATCCAGCCTTTAGAGCAATGTGCAACAACACAGTTGGTTCTCAACAAGTATATACTGACTAATGTATGAAAGATCAATTTGGGGAGAATTATCATTGAGACCCAAAGGACATGGAGGTGGAATATATTTTCCCCACTGGGTCTTTCTTAACCCTAAAATTCTATGGGTGACTGCTTTCCAGGACACCTCTTGGAGGCTTCTTTGAACTCATGTTCAGAACATTCAGGAATGGCTTAGGCATCTCTCTTCTGTTCATTCATCATCATCCTTGGTTCACTGCTGTGTAGTAAGCTGAGTCTGTAAATCTCTTTCAGCAGCCTCAGGCACGGGAAGTTGGCCCATAGAAGTTCCAAAAGAAAAAAAAATTACCCAGCATATAAGACACAGAGCAGGAAGCCAAACTAATGGAGGAATGTCCTCAGCTTTCACAGGAAATTAATTTCACTCTGCCTCTATAAAAAGTAACAGATTTGATCCCTTGTCCCTCCCCACAACCTTCTTATCTAACCTCCTGATGGAGGCTATGGGAGAGCCAGGGGGACAAGCTCAGGCAAGGAAAGACAGGTCACTTTTCAAGAAAATGATCATTAGAAACCAGTTGGTCTCAGCCAGAGGCTGCCAAGAATAGTTAAATCTAGTGAGGTGCTGAATTGGACAATTTTGAGTGAAGAAATTCATAGCTGTTACTAATGATTACAGAAGCAAAGTGTTTCTTTCTGATAAGAAACAACAGACTGGGAAGAAAAATTAGGTTCAGGCTGCTTTTCTCACTGTGCCTATTTATCAAAGGAAGTTCAGATATTGTAGGTCAATACTTCGATTCTATTTTGATGATGTTTCGGAACTGAAAGGTTAAAAAAGACTGAAAGGCAACCCATGGTCCTAGACACTGAAGTCTAGGCCTTAGGCCAAATCCTTCCAAGAACTGGTTCATTTGCATTTTTCCTTGCAGCTCATGGCAGCTGGAATCTGGCGGACCAGCCCAGGAAACTGGCTGCTGAGCACCCTGGGGCATCTCCAATAACCTGGATCCAGTCCTGCTGAGCAAAAAAGGAACATGTTCAGATGTAAGGTTAGACCCACCAAGGATCAAAGCATTATGATGAATAAAGGGCCCGGGTGATAGGATACCACCTGCGGTCAGTGCACACGAGAGGCACTAAAGTGAGGTGGCAGCCCAAACTCGGAAGAGTTTGACCAGCCCAAACCCTGAGGGAATTACTCATGCCTCATCTATGGTGCCTCTGTGAGATCCATGAGGCCTGCGGCCACTTTTCTCTAACTTTTCATTCTGTCTTCGGTGCCTCGCACATTTCTTGGCAGGCATATTTGTTGATTACATGAAAAATGGCTAAATGAATAAATGACTGCTTCTACTGCTTCTGACAAAAAAAACAGAAAATATTTAATACTCTGAGATCAAGAAAGAATGAATGAATGACTGCATTTTATAAAGAGAAAGAAAATATTAAAGCTTCATGATCAAGATGGAGTTGGAAAATGTTTTTAGAGCACTTCAGTAAAGAAATGTTTCCTAACATCAGCACACTGTTGTTTTGGTTTACAAAGAGCGTTAGCATTTAACGTATGATTTGCTCATTATAATCTTAGGGGTCAGGCAAGCCAGACATGCTTTCCTTTATTCACTCAATCAATACATAAGTTCCTGTTGTTGCCAATCAGGTTGTTAGCAATTTGGCATACAGAACTGATTAAGATATAATCTACTTCCCTGCCCTCAGAAGCTCGGTCAAGTAGGGGATACACACACACACACACACACACACACACACACACACACACATATATAACTACAATAAAATATTCATTTAGACAAATAATTATGATAAAATGGTGAGCATTAATGGAAGGACTAAGAAAGGATATATAAGTCATCGATTATTAATAATTTGCCTATAGGAGCTGGAAAAGTTTCATGAAAGTGATGGCAAGTTAAAGGTAGAAAAGAAATTTGGCAAATATCCAGAGGTGAGGGAAGGCTTTCCAGAGAAAGAATAAATACCAGCCATTGTTTGATACAATAGAACAGAAAATACTTGTTGAACAGTGGCAGAATTTGAGTCTAGAAAAGAAGTTTGAGGCCAATCATCAAGGGTTTGGAAATATCAAGCCTGAAGCTTGTCTTGCAGACCATGAGAGTGATGTAAAAATGTTAACGGGAAGGTCGGTATAAGGTGTTCAGATTTGCATTTTATTTTCCTGATTTTGCAGACGGGGAATCTTAGCAGTAACAGTTAAATGACTTTTTCTGGGTCACAGGGAGAGTAATAGAAGAGCCACATTTTTGCTGGGCTGGAAATAAAATGCCAAGTATAGACTTCCTGCTTGTTGCTTAATCAGTAGAGACAACTTTTGCCATGTGGAAAAAGAGTTCATTATAATCAGACTGGAAATTCATGTACCTGAAAATCTTTAGAAGGGAAAACGTAGGGGAAGGAACAAGATGGAATTGCAGATACAAAACAATTCTTATCAGTCTGAGTCTGTTTTACATTTTGTTCCAGATTCTGCAAATTAGCCCTGACACAATGAATCTTTGTAAATTAATGAGGGTAACAGCGGGAAAGAATCAATCAGCCACTCTTGTTCCAAAACCCTCCTTGGTAATAACCTGATATGAACCTTGGAGTCATGACCCCAGACTAATAGCTTGCTTTGTACCCTTTGAACAAAACAATTAAATAATCACATTCCTCTTGGTCCAACTTCCTGAATGTATTAATTAGATTAAAACACAACTTGTCAGGGTCCTTCGAGAGGAAGGGGTTTGCTGGATTTGTTTTCTCTCGCCCTCCAGCTTCCAAAGGCATGTCCTGCTTTCATGCAGGGGGAGCTTGTTACCTGCCTAGGCAAGCAACTTTGACACACACCTGGTCTCATTCCTTCTAGACCTGCCCTCACATGCATCCTCTCACCTGGACTCCACCACCCAGGGCATTTTTCTTCCTCTGCAGGAGAAACATCCACCTCTTGGTTCCAATTGTGTTACAAATCCTCTCTTAAAATATAGAAGCCAGTTGATAACTCTTCTTGGCTCAATTTCAGCATCTCACTCATCCATCTATCCATTCATCCACCCAATCTTTAGGAGAGGTGGGCTCAAATCCTGGTTCTGCCATTTCCTATCTCTATGATCCTAAGCAAATGGCTTAAACTCTTTTGTGCCTCAATTCCCTGGCCTGTAAAATGGGGATGGCAACAGGACATATGTTTTGTGGCTTTTATGAGGATTAAATGGGTTTATTTGGTTTGAAGTGATTCAAATAGTGCCTGGCTCACTTAAAGAGCTACTTCTTGGTACTAAGGTTTTTGGGATTCAAGTATGAAAATGGCACTATCTCTGCTACAGAGCACTAAAACACAAAACAAATCCAACCATACATCAGGTTAAATGCAGTGGTACACGCATGTGGCATCCTGAGGGCACAGAGCTACCAGGATGACAGCAGCCAGACCCAGCGGCTCCAGGCCCAGGCTTCCTCATGTGCTTCTGCTCTTCTTGCAATTGTCTTCCCAGATACCCGAAAACCTTGTTCCCTCACTTCAGTCAGGAGATAGGCCTTTTCTGAAGCTTCAACCTAAAATAGCAGCACACACTGCACTGCATCATCCTCGGTTCTCTTTCCCTGAGCTATTTGGCTTCATAACTGTGTGCCAAGCCTGTATATCAAACCTAGGTGCCCAACACTTATGTATAGAGCCGGAGTGTGTATATCAAGCCTATATACCCAAAGCTTATGTGTATAGCCTGTGTATCCAACACCTATGTCTCCCCTCGGCCTATGGGGTGGAGTGTATGGAACATGGCTGTGCTGTGGCCAAGAGGGCATAGGCTGAGGTAAACATCCTGCGTGACTCAGCGAGTTTAGAGTGCAGGCATATAACTCCACCTGTGATCACACCCATGTAGCCATAACATGGGAAGGCCATCCCTTGGCCATAAGCCACTATTTTCTGTAAAAGGTATAATTGCCGGCCAGGCACAGTGGCTCACCCCTGTAATCCCAGCACTTTGGGAGGTGAAGTTGGGCATATCACAAGGTCGAGAGATCGAGACCATCCTGGCTGATGCGGTGAAACCCCATCTCTACTAAAAATACAAAAATTAGCTGGGCATGGTGGCACACACCTGTAGTCCCAGCTACTCGGGAGGCCGAGGCAGGAGAATCGGTTGAACCTGGGAGGCGGAGGTTGCAGTGAGCTGAGATCATACCACTGCACTTCAGTGTGGTGACAGAGTGAGACTCCATCTCAAAAAAAAAAAAAAGAAGATACACTTGCCCTGCTGACACTGTACAGGTGCACTTGTGCCCAGAGAGAGAAAGAGTTAAGCTGCTGACCCTGTAGGAGAGCCGGCCATGCAGCTATGTGTGGCAGTGGCCAGGGCAAGCAGCTGAGACACAGCAGACAGTGTAAGAGAGCTGCTGATGAGAGAGTTGCTGAATAAAGCCATATTTCACCTACCTACGGCCCTCCAAGTGTTCTTTCAGCTATCTGCCGTTCATCTACCCACTCCCTTCGGACCTCAGCATGGGCTGGAACCTGACCCTGAACCTAACAATAACATTCATCACTAACTGGCATTATTTTATGTATTTTTCCATTCATTTGTTTGTATCAGTTGTTCTCAAAGGGTGTTTTCTGGGCCATGGCCATCACCTGAAAACCTTTTTGAAATGCAAATTCTTGGACCCCACCCCAGAGCTAGGAAATGTGTCTTAATAGTCACCTGCAGGTGATTTGGATTCTTACTAAAGTTGAGAGACCCTGGTTTACAGTTTGTCTCCACCGGGGAATGAAAGATTCCTGAAGCAGGTACGTTTTCTGTTTGCTGCGGTAACCCTGATACTTAGATCTGTCTCTGAGACATCATCGGTGTTCAGGATAAAAGAATGATTGAACAAACAGATGATTCTATCTTACTTGGTGGCCAAGCCAAAATTAGCATCCAGCCAGTCCTCTATCACTCAGCTCCTTTTCTTTTACAACCTAGCCGCAAAAGATAATTACAAAGAAAAAAACCCCAGTGTGCCAATATCAAAAGTTAAGTTACTTATATTCAAGTTAAGAGGTGGTGAATATTTTTTCTTTTTTCTTTCTTTTTTTTTTTTTTTATGCTGGAGAAGATCTTTTTGCTGAAGAAGATACTTAGAAAATGCTTAGTATTTATATATGAAGGGAAATATATGAATAACACACTATCAGAAGCTTATCAAAACGCTATTATCTGAGCACAAGTTGATGTTGAAGCTGGTTTCATAATGTTCAGGAGATGTGGAATGGAGGAGCTTGACAGAAATCCAGTTTGAAGATGTCTGCATCAAGTAAAGCAAGAAGAATTCTCATACCTGACAAGAATATGTCTGTATCCACCACAAACAACCAACGGGAGGGGTGGAAGGAGGGAGAGGGGAAAAGATACAGGTGTATTACATGATGTTTCCCAAGGAAGCAGTCACTTTCTCTTTCACCTGTTGAGCACCATGGCAACAAATCTGCAGCCTGTACCACCCCTGCAATCCTGAGCTGTATCCATGGCAAATCAAGAAGCCAAAGAGAAGAGCAGCAAAAAGCGTTACCTAGAGATATGGCTGAAGACAAGGGCAAGAGCACTTCAAGAGGTAACTCAGTAAACAGAAGAGCAGTAGATCCACTTCTAAAGAAGAAATTGAACAAATCTGAGTCTGTAATTACATGTCAGTGGGGAGGGGTTGGGAAGTCGTGGAATGAGGCTACAAATTACATTGAAGTCCAGATCCTTAGCAAAGACCAAAAGCAACATGAGATGCAAAGCCGTTTGTTCTAGAAGCATAAAATGTTGTCTCCCTCTCTTCCAATGTTTCCTGTATTTGGTGTAAACTTATTGCACAAACAGCAACAATAAGTAAAGGGTTGTTTTCTCAAGCCTTGCTGTTACCTCCTTTAACATGGGCTTAAAATTTTGTTTTCTTCAGTCATTTATCTTACTTTGTATAAATGCAATAGATTCTGAACTTATACTACTTTAATATATTAAAGTATATTCTATAATTTTTTACTTTGTAATATTTATAAAGTAAAAACATATGAAAAGTTCTTGGTGTTTGGCACTCTTTTAGAAAAGATAGGCTAGGTTCTTCAGAGATAAGAAATCTACCCCTTTAAAATGACTTGTTTAAACAAGATTTACTCTTGTTCAAGCTACATGTTGAATGAGGTTTATGGAGGGGATTGAGGCTGTGCCCCACATAGTAAATACAGGGACCCAGCTGAATCCCCCTAATATCTCAACACCTGCCCACATGGTCAACACAGAGGGAGAAAAGAGGAGCGAATCCATCCAGAAGTGACACGTGTCAGTCTTCTCACAACCAGAACCAACCACATGCTCCTCCAAAAGGGTCTGGAAGGTGGGGCACCAGATGAATAATCAACCTGCAGTTACTGTTTCTGCCACAGAGACTTAGGCGCTCAGTAAGTGGGACTGAAAAACAAGGCCTGGTATCTACCACTTTTAAGTTTCATTATGTACCAAGCACTGTGCTGTTAACAATGCATTGCCTCATTCAGCATCACAGCAATCCTTGAAACTGTGTGTAACTATATATATATATATTTTTATAAGAAAGGAAACATAACTTGTCCAGTCTCTCACTTAGTAAGTGGCACAGTCAGGATGTAAATAATACATCTCGTACTTCACCCCGCACCTCCACCCCACCTTTAGAGAGCGCTTGTAATAGGTAAAGGCTCAGCTTGAGAGCATTTGATAGTCATTTCCAAGGGTAGACTTCCCTGACCTCAAGAGGTCAGGTTCTCTTATTATTTTATTCTCATTGCACTCTATGTTTTTCCTTTAGACACTTGTCCTAATTTTAATCATTGGTTACTCTCTGTCTCAGTCATAGGATGGAAGTTCACAGTAGAAGAAAATGTCACTAGAGCAAGAAAAATACTTGTCTACTGACCATACATTTCCTCCATCAGGCATGGTGTCCCCCACACAATTAGCAATCAGTAAACGTGAACAAATGAGTGACATTCACTTCTCTGCTCCCCTCTCATTTTCATTCTTCTGATCCACCCCCAACTCAAGCATGTTAACATTTCAAAAATGCTACACTTATTCTATGTTACCAAACCCTTCACGCCTTCCCATTGCCTCCAGCATATGGTTCCAACTCCATCTGGTGTTAAAACTCTGGCCTCAAACATCTTTTCCAGATTGATGGGGCATGTTCCAGTAGCTGGATCCACTGTTATAACCCATATGCTCTATCCCCTTAAAATACCTGCCTAGTAGACTCTCCCTACCTTTAAATGATGATTTTAATTTGGAACTAGGGATTTAGAGGCTCTAATTTGTAATGGAGAGGAAAGAGAGCATTCTAGATGAGAGGACCAATATAATCAAAGGCAAGGAGCTTGGCAGAGGTTATATTTCAAAAATGTAAAGATTTCCAGTTAAAACTGTAAACTCAAGTTTGGTTTTGTTTCCCAGACTCCTGGGTTAGTAGCCACTAGCTACCTTTTTTGTTTGTTTGTTTGTTTTTGTTTTTAAGTGGAGATGCAGTCTTGCCGTGTTGTCCAGGCTGGTCTTGAACTCCTGGGCTCAAGAAATCCTCCTGTCTCAGCCTCCCAAAGTGCTGAGATTACACACCAGTAATCTGAGGAGTGAGCCAACGCACCAGTCCACACTAAGCTATGTTGATTACTGATACCCTCCATTCCTTTTTTCCAAAGGACAACGTTCCCATAACAACCTCTTTTTAGATAACAACTTTGCCTTTTTGAAGGTTGGAGGTGCTTGGGAAGGTGGAGAGGAACAAAGTGAAATGGAAGTAGTTTTTATTGAGCCACTGAGTGCCAGGCCCTTTGCCAGCTGCCTTTTGTAACACTTTTGCTTCTATACATTAACCCTTAAATGCAACACGTTTTATCTCCACTTTACAGAAGACAGGATTAAAGTTCAGTGCTTTATAGTCAAATATGAACAAAACCAAATGACAAATCAATTCTCAGACTTAGGTTTGTCCAATATTCAAGATAATGCCAATTTTAGTCTGCTCTTGTTACTCCAAGTGTGGTCCTGACAACCCCAAACATGAACACCGTGTAGGAGCTGAATAGGAACACAGAATGTCAGGGTTGTCCCTAGGCCTACTACCGAGTCAGAGTCATGCACAGGGTCAAGTTTGAGATGCACTGTGCCATACCAGGGGTTTCTTTGCTGCACACGAGAATCTCTTGGAGGGTTTTAAAATAAGCCCAAATTCTCAGCCCCACCCCAGACCAATTAAGTTAGAATCTCTGTGGGTGGGCCAAGGAGATCAATGTGTCTTAAAAGCTCCCTTGCCCTCAAATGATTTGAATGTGCAGTCAGAATTAAGAACGACCGCTCTGCACTGTCCTGCCTCATTGTGGGTAAATATATTAACAGAGCCCCCTTATTATAAGAGACTTGGCATTCCTCAATAGAGGTTACTGACATATGTTCTGGTATTGAAATAAAGCCCAGGACACAACTGATACCATGAGGACTATTAATTGCTGTTAATGTAACTCTGAGAGATGCCAGTTTTCCATGTTCAGCTAAAATAAATAAATAAATAAATAAATGAATAAATAACTGAAATCTAATGCTTCTTTGCTTTGCATTCATATTTCAGACAGTTTAAAGGGGGACTGATAAAATCATGTTTTCTAAGTATTTAACTCCCAAATTGCCAAAATACTAGTAAATGCCAAAGAGGTCTTTAAAACTCCTCTTCCTTGTAAAAAGGGAGCAACAACTTTAGTTAGAGGAAAGATAGTAATAGGTGGTAAAGTATAATTATTAGAGTCTACAAATTAAGCCCCTAAAATTATACTGGCTTCTTATCTTAGGATAACGAGATGGAAAAAAATGTTTATTCTTTTAGTATCTGGTAGGATGTTCCTCTTCTGAAAAGACAAGTTGGTATCATGAAAATATATAGAAAAAAGCCCCCTTGGAGTAGGTGATTCCTAAGGCATGTAAAAAGGATTCATGCTGTGGCTTCAGAGACAGAGAACCCATCTGCTTTATAGCAGGCAAAGAGCTCAAGAGCAAAGAGCCTGAGGGTGAGAAGGAGAGAGAAAAAGAGTGAGGGGAAGACAGAAAGAAAGGAAGAGGAATTCTATGTGCTCAGTGCCTTAACCCCTTACAATGAATTGTAATCTGATGCTAGGTTTCTTTTAGAAAGTGGTACAGAGCTTAGTTCTGATTTTGGGTTTACATGGGACCAGTTCGGTGGTAGGATGTGAAAATATGATTATTAGTTCTTGGGCTTTTGCTAAAATCTTGGAGAAGAATTTAGACATCCCTAAGCTTTGTAAATTTGAGGGTTTCTGGAAATGAATCCTAAAAAAAACAACATTCTGACTGGCTTCAGCCTGGTTTATCAGGCAAATATGTTGTTTTCTTCTTTGCATTACTATAGTAACATGTGGAGATTTTGTTGCTATAGTTAGCTGCTTGCCATCTCCACCAAATGGAAAGAGGCAACTCCTAAAAAATTTTGGAAGTTTTGAAATAATCAGGAGTTTATAACACATTGTGTATTATGGGTTTTTAGGCAAAATGGGAGCACCCCCAAAGGGGTAGAGATAGAGTCTTCCAAAATGCCCCCATCCTCAGAGGACAGCTTCTGACTATATGTTGCTTGTTAAGGCCACATGACCCTATCAAGTTTTCCTTATTCGCTTCCTTCAACAATCCTCTGCTAGGGTCTGGTCTCCCCCGCAGGGTCTGAGGAGGACCTGCCTCCCATACTCGCATCAGATGAGCCACTAATCACCTTTGAGAATGAAAGAAGTCTTTCCCATAGAGCAACTCAAAGCACCAAGAGACACAGGTAATTGAAAGCCAAGTTCCAAACATTTCAAAAGGGTTGAGCATCCAGCAGTTCAATTGCCCAAAAAGATAGCCAGGGCTGGAGAAAGACAATGGTAAAATGTCAAAAATCTTAGGCTGTGTAATGGGTTGAATTCTGTCCCCTAAAAAGAAATGTTCAAATTTAAATCCTTGGAACCTCAAAATGGGACCATATTTGGAAATAGGTTCTTTGTAGATGTAATTAAGTGAAGATGAGGTCATACTGGACTAGGGTGGGCCCTAAATCCAAGGACTGTTGTCCTTATCAAAAAAGGAGATAGTACACACAAAGAATTAAACAGAGAGGAAGGCCATGTGAAGATGCTGGCAGGAATTAGAGTTATGCTGCCACAACCAGTGAGTGCCCGGAGCCACCAGAAGCTGGAATTGGTTGAGAAAGGTTTTCCCTAAAACCTTCAGAGAAAACGTAGCCCTGCCAACATCTTGATTTCAGACCTTTGGACTCCAAACATGTGAGAGAATATTTTTGTTGTGTTTAGTCATCCAGTTCAGGGTCATTACTACAACAGCTCTAAGGAAAGAATACAGGCCAGGAGTGAAATTTAGTGACCACACAGCTATGCAGCTAGAGGCAGACAGGTTATATTTACTCAGCTATGTTTCTTTGGCTGTCGAGTTCACGAATTTCATAATAATCATTACACTGCATTGTAAATTCTTCTCTATATATTTCAAGCCTGATAAGAGAGACCGTGTTTGTCTTGCTCATGGTTTAGCCCCAGCAGTAAGCCCAGTGCCTGCCACATACCAGGTGTTCCATAAATGTGTCCAGTTGAATCAGTGGGTTGACTTGGATCACAAGCAGAGGGGATGGAAGAGGTTAGCACAAAGATCTTTCTAATGCTGAGTTTCTCTGCTATAGCAATAACTCAATAGCAGAGAAACTCACCAATTTGCTTTTTAAAATACCTGGCCTCTCACACGTCTTCCCCATTTTTGTTCCGCTGCATTTGGGAGCACAGTCTGTACCCTATCTGTGTGTGCATTACTTCAATATCAGGCAGAAATGATCTCTCAAAGGATCCTGGCATTGCTGTGTATGCCAAGGGTTACCACAGTATGCATTGGCATCCTCCAGTGTACATAATCTGGCTGCTGCCAGCCATTGGGATTCATCATCCTGACTACTCACAGGCCTCTCCTTTCAAAAGCCAGTGGGCCTGATGGATGAGATGGCCTCTCCCAGGGGGCTTTGCCCGCCTGTGCTGCAGTTTTGCAAGTCTAGCAAGAACTGGCTTTCATTTCAAGCACGTCTCAAGGATGGAGACGTTTAGAGGGGAAAGCACATTTGCAAAAAAGGAAAGACCAAAACTCCAGATAACAAATGCACCTTAAAATCAGTTTCATGTGCCTCCTTTATAACATTCTGCCCCAGTCTAACTCCCTTAAGTCAGTACCTAGATGGTAGAGTTGAACAACAAACACAGTTTGTAATTAATAAAATATAGGGTTCTGTATGTTTGTCTGTTTTTATAGTATCCCATTTGTGGTTGGTAAGGAGAGGTGAGGGTTAATAAGTCAAATTGTTTCATCAAATAGGGCAAAAATCTATTCAAAATAAATAAAGGATACATGTGCTGTCACACAGAAGTTGTGCGCTGGTAATGGCCAAGCTGTGCCCTTGTGTAGACATGACAAAGAACAGCTGCTCCCTCAGCCTAGCTATGGATCTTGGCTCTTCCACCCGGTACTAGTGTCATCCCGGCAGGAAAGACTCCTCAAAACTCCTCAAGGTTCCGTTGGCATACGTATTTACTATGAAGAATAAACCAGGGTTACAGGCACAAGACTCACAATGTATTACACAAATGATTTTCCACATTGTAAAAACAAATCAAGTTCAGATTCTAATATTTAGACAAAAATAGAAAATTATATCCACTACCTCTCATATATTTAGTAAGTATATTTCTCTCTTTCTAGATTTGTAAATATCCAAAAAAGCCAATACATGGTAATGAACACATATGTGTATCACACACAAGTGTGTGTAAAGTTTTTCTCACAACAAACTGGCTTATTTCAAAGCAAAATTTCCTCTAATAAAGTAAACTCATATAATGCTTACAATTAACATTTATTCATTCAGGATCATAGCGAATATTAATTGTGTTAATGAGTGCAAATACTTGGAAGACTTCCGGATGCATAGAAAAAGTTCAATAAAGGTAATTTATTATTATACTTGTTTGTATTCTTATTTATTCAACTAACTACAGGCAATTTTTTGAGCATCTACTATTTAAAACACAAGGAATAAGAAAGGAGCTGCCTCTGTTCACTTGAAGCTTAGAATTTAGGGGAAAGGCCAACACTAAACATTATCATTCTCTCTAATCAATATAATCCAGAAGATGTGTAGTCCCACCAGATGAGCACTTGGGTCTCCAGGCCACCACAAGTCCCCTGAAAAAAATCATGGAAAGGGCCGGACGTGGGCGGCTCACACCTGTAATTCCAGCACTTTGGGAGGCCAAGGTGGGTGGATCACTTGAAGTCAGGGGTTCAAGACTACCCGGCAAACATGATGAAACCCTGTCTCTACTAAAAATACAAAAAATTAGCCAGGTGTGGTGGCACATGCCTGTAATCCCAGCTACTCAGGAGGCAGAGGCAGGAGAATTGCTTTAACCCAGGAGGTGGAGGTTGCGGTAAGCCAAAATCGCACCACTGCCCTCCAGCTTGGGTCTTCATCTCAAAAAACAAAAACAAAAACAAAAACAAAAACCGTGGAAGGAAACCACAGCAACAGCCACTGAATGTCCTCTCTTAACTCTCCTGCCAGGTTCATGGTCATTTCTGGCCACTTCCAGTGGGCTTTCAGGCTACATTTTTTGCAGAATTATATAACTCCTCAGCAAACGTTGCATTTGGAACTCTGAACAAAGATGGAAGACAACTGGCCACCAGTCCACTCAGGCTTCATTTACTTAGAAAGTTCAGGAGAGCCAGTTCTTCATAGCTCTTGGTCCTGATGTTCAAAGATTTCCCCTCACAGGTAAGCCCCTCTAACTTTCTCCCTACTTAAAGTCTTTCCTCTCTAGACATTCTCTCAAATTATTCTGTGTGAAAAATCACTGAGTCCAAACAAATAAATTCCCCACCTCCTGTCCCCAAAAGAAATCTGCAAAAAGATTTGCTCCTCCACGGGTCTCTGGAGGAGCACTGATTCTCCTTCCCTACCTCCATCACCCCATCCTCCATTCTTAGTTCATTGAACACTGGGCAGATAGAAGTTCTATATTTCTTCATGGACAATCTCAAATCACTATCAACCTTCATATAGCACTTCCTTTTCTTTGAAATTTGCTCAATCCATTATCAAATAGTGAATAATTTTCATTTGTCCCACATGTATTTGGCCCTTAGACCAAATCTATGTCTAAGGGTAACACATAGGATTTCAAAAACAATCAAAAGCTGTTTCTATAGTCTAAATAATGCGTCTGCAAAAGGTTTTCGTGTATGTGTGTTTGATGGTGTGGCGGGGATCATCTTTGTATTTGGAAAAGGCCTAACCTAGTTGAAAGTGAGCAGTAGCTGACATGTAGGTGCGATGGTTAATTTTACATGTCAATTTGAGTGGGCCATGGGGTGCCCAGATTAGACACTGTTTCTGATATGTCTGTGAGGATGTTTGTGGATGAGATTAGCATTTGAATCAGTGGACACAATAAAGCAGATTGCCTTCCTCAATATGGTCGGGCATCATCCAATCTACTGAGAGCCTGAATGGAACAAAAGGTCAGGGAAAGAGGAATTCATCCCTATTTTTTCCTACCTTACTGCATGAGCTGGAATATTTCATGTTTTTATGTCTCAGATTGGGATTTGCATCATCAAATTCTCCTGTTCTCTGGCCTTCAGACTCGGGCTGAACTATAATACCCACTTTCCTGGGTCTCTAAATGGAAGATGGCTGGGCTTCTGAGCCTCCATAATCCTATGAGCCAGTTCCTCATTGTATAAATCTTACTGGTTCTGTTTCTCTGGAGGACCTTGACTAATACAATAGGCAAAAACTCTTGAATTCACAAGTTTCACTCTCTGCCCTAGTGTACTGCAATCATGTATCCTACTTATCAACATAGATCATCTTTTATTAAGAGCTATTGAGGAGTTGGTAACTTCTGTAAAATAATAATAATTAACAATGTTTCCCATGAGAATAGATTTGTATTGCGATTCAGTGTAATTATGCCCCAGGCCTCCTTCTGAACTATAAGAGCCCTAACAAGGGCTAATTTATATTGATTTGTGATGTATCCAGCCAGGTCCCCCTTCCATCAAGGGGTAATAGAACAGGAATTTGTACCAGCTTTCTTCCATTCTTGTTGGTCACTCTGCCACTTTCTTCCTTGCCGGCATTTACTACTTTCTTGACGATCTCTATAATTCAACAGGACTTTTGCCAGGCATCACATCACAGGTCTAATGTTGCCATTAGCAACTTCGGCATCTATGTTGGTAATTCATCACACTGTCTTACTTTAACTTTCCTTCACCTTCCTGATTCCAGCAGGCATCACATCCACTCCATTTCAGGAACATTTTCTATCAGAGACAACTGAAACCACTCCTCTTCTGAAATACGTTTTCCCATTTCTAAGACATGAAATGTCAGCCTTTCAGTCTGGGACTATAACTCCCTCTTCTTTGATATTTCTCTCTTCAGTGTTTCCACCAAGGCTACTTTGCATTTTGAGTCTCTGAAACTTTCCCTTTTCTCCAGAACAACTCTAATCTCTCTCTCTATTTCCTGTGACCCATATGAAACCTATGTTCCTTGCCACATCTCCAGAGAATCTTTAATGTCCTTAGGCTACATTTCCACTTGTCCACCCAGGTACCATGCAGGCTACAGAAGGTGCCCCAGCCATGAGGATCAGCACTATCACAATCTTAGAGTCTCTAATGAAACCAACTAAGCATTTCATTATGGGGATTCCTTTGTGGATTTCTGTTCAGCTTCTCCTCTCATTGCCCCCAATCAATTTTCTCAAATTTTCTCCATCCTTTGCATGACCACTGTTAAAATCTCTTTTTTTTTTTTTTTTTTTTTTTTTTCAGTAAAAGACTTTTGCTTTCTTCTTTAAGACTAGAATTTGGTTCAGGTCATCTGATTCATCTCATTCTTTATATTCTAAGATGACGATTCCTAATATTGTTTGTATGTTGATTACTACAGAATATGTTTCACAGCCCACAGTTTTTTTCTTTCTGTGTATCCCCATTTGTATATCCCAAAACTGGGCATTCAATATTTAATACACTATCACCTTATAACCTTATTTCGTCTTCTATAATATTTCTACTATACTATGTGACTGACTTCAGGATGCCTCTAGATTCTGCATGAAGAACCTGATTTACTAGCAGAAACTTTTCTCTGACATATTCAGAGACTTGTATAAAAGGATATTATCATTGAAGAGGCAAATTAAAGTCTTTTGATTTGAAATGTCTCATTTTCTCTGTTAAACAACTATGGTAAAATAAACACATCATATGAGAGCATTTGTGTTGTGATGAAGGAAAACATTATACATCAGCTAACACTTGCTTTAAGATCAGGATACCACATTCTAGCTGTAAGACGGAGCTCTTCTATTAACTGACTGTATGGCTCTCTACAAGTTATTTCTACTTTCCAGACCTTTAGACAATCATGTGAAAATTAAGGGAGTTGCATTAGATGATCTCTGTAATTTTCTTTCAAACAAAAAACATTTGAACATTGATGTTTCTATCATTTGAGCTATTTAGTAGAGTTTGCTATGTATTGTACACTCTGGTAAGTCCAAAGGAAGGCAGAGAAAATATAAAAGAATATTGAAAATTGTAATATTTGCATTTGGATTAAAAATACAGTTTATTGTGACACCAGTGAAGAAAACTTTATTCCAGTTGTAACTCTGCCAAGAACTTGGTGAATATCCAGAGGTGAGATAGTGCCTTCACTACATACTGCCTCTGTTTTTCCATGTATAAAAAAAAGGGCATTAACAGTTGATCTGTAAGATGCCTTAGAGTTCTGGATGCTATTGTCTAGTGTCAGGGAAAGATTAAGACATTAATTAATTCAAGTATAAAACACAGTGGTACAACATTATCCCCCACAATCACTGGGCTGCTTCTAGTCTAAGGATATAGATGCTGAGTAATCTATTCAGCCACCTCCTTTTGAATGCTTGCTTGAACTCTGTGGGAGCTGAGCCAACTCTTCAGTGTTCTTCACTCAATGGCTTGTCAGTTCCTCCTTTAATAGCAACATTGCACCCTCAATGAGGTGCTACGGCATTTTTTCCTTGCAAGATGAAAAGAGGTGGTCATGGAACTGGCACAGCTCTGGGATGTAGACATCCTTCCAAATCTCTTTTTTTGAAGAGCCAAATGATTCATTCAGGAAATGTTTGAGTGCCCAGTACAGAGGAAATTAGAAAGATTATCTCTTCTAACCTCCATCAATCTCTCCCATTCTCTTCTTGTTTGCATTTTAGTAGCTCTCAAAGGGTTTATTATCCATTTCTTCAAATTTCCTTTTACTAGTGGGAAGTATAAACTTACAGTTTCAGTAATGCACATTCTCACTTCTGAAAAGTTAATTGGGGAAATATATGGAAAATGTACTGTTCAAAGTACAGTTGTGTGCAGAAGAGGGGCCCCACCCTATGCCTTCACATATGTCCAGTAGCTTCCTGATGCATTGGGTTTCAGTGCCAGCAAAGCTCAGCTTCAAAAGCTTAGATGACTTCACTTCCCTCTTCTCTTGCCACTGCCTCCACACTTCTTAGCTGCTAAGCCCATGCATTCTTCCAAAAAGTCTTTATTGAATAGCTAAGAGACAGCATGGTGTGATGGAAATGCCGTTGGATGTCCCAGGGGTGACTTGAGTTCACATTCAGGGTCCAGATTTGTTAACTGTGTGACCATGGGATAGCTCTTCTTTTCTGTGCTTCAGTCTCCCCATCTTTAATATTTTATTACCCTGCTTGTAATTGGTCAATACTGTACAAACTGATAACAATTCTAATTGACCAGAAACTTTTCTCCAGCTGTATTGAAGTAATTGACAAAGAAAATATATATTTAAAATGTATTGTAATTGACAAAGAAAATATATATTTAAGGTATACAACATGATGATTTGATATACATATACATTGTGAAATGATTACCATAATCAAGCTAATTATGACTTAAAAAAGTCTGAAACTTTGTGTGGACAGAGACTTCCCAACTCACTTAACTCATTTATCTTTATATTTCTAGATTTCTAGTTTCTGGCAAATGCCTTACCCACAGTAGGTATTCACAGAATTGATGATTTAATGGATAAACCTGAGGCTTCCCAATCTGTTACAACTAAGGCTGCTGAGGGATCATGAGAGACAGGCAATAAGGGTCAGATGGAAGAAATTTCTTCAACTGTGGCAAAACACACGCACACACACACACACACACACACACAATTAGTAGCTGATATAGGCTCTCAACTGAGTGGCTCCATCAACAGAAGAAAGCTAGCTTCTGTCTGTACCATCTATTTCCTTTAAAAACGTGTAGGGTTTTTTTCTACCTTTATAATCATCTATCCTTATTAATAATTATTTTCTGTAATTTTACATAAGAATAGAAGATTGGAGACAGATCTACAATTGCATTTACCTGAGACTCATATCCTCTGTGGATGAGTCTGTGAATATAAAAATGTTAGTGATTTTTGCAATTATAAAAAGAAACCTAGCAAAGGAGAGGCTATGAAAGCCAGAGGACCAGTTCCCCTTAGGCTAGGACTAGAGATTAAACCACTTTAACACACAATGCTGCAGATTTGAGTCCCAACGAAGGCTCCATCCCAGTTATCAGATAACTATAATAAACTACATCCAAGCTACCGCAATATTACAAAAAAAAATCTTCCTGAAACATTGCTATGATTTAAATATGTCCCTCAAAGTGCGTGTGATGGAAACTTAACACCCAATGCAACAGTGTGGAGAGGTGGTGCATATAAAAGATGGTTAGGTCATGAGGGCTCAGCCTTTATGAATAGATTAATGCCATTATTATGGGAGCGGGTTAGTTATCACAGGAGTAGGCACCTGACAAAAGGACAAGTTCAGCCCCCATCCTCTCTCTGTCTTGTGCACTCACTTGCCCTTCCACCTTCTGCTATGGGATGACACAACATGAAGGCCCTTGCGAGATGTTGGCACCATACTCTTGGACTTCCTAACTCCAGAACCATCAGCCAAATAAATTTCTGTTCACTGTAAGTTATCCAGTATGTGGTATTCATTTATAGCAATACAAAATTTGCCAAGACACATCTTAAGTGGTGTTGTCTTATCCAGTAGCTTAAGCACTGGCTTTGATATAGACCGGTTTGTGTCAAAACTTAGCCGTGCCACTTTCTCAAATAGTGTTTTCTGGGAAGTCACTTAATTTTTCTAAGCTTGAGTTTCCTCATCTATAAGTGGAAGACAAAACAACAACAATAATAATAAATATATTCAATTAATGAATGGTAGCAAAAATCAAGGTGGTAGATGGATAGCGCATTTATTTGAAAAATTCTACCTTCTCATATGAGTCAATGATTGTTGTGACATTGAAGCCATGGTCTTACTTCTGGGGCCCCTCACTTCGACTGGGGAAGCCAGATGTAGTCTCATGAAAAGTCAAATAGAAATGTAAAGAAACAATACAGGAGATGACATGAGCCTGTGGCAGATTAAGTGCTAAGTGAATGGATGGAATCTATCAAGCTGTGTTTTCACAACTCACTGCTGTGCCTGGCTCTCAAGGAGCCATGGTTGCTTTAAGTAGCTGCCTAGGGGTCCATAAAATGTTTAAGAGCTTTGTCCAGTCCCACAGAGAGAACTTTAAAAGTTTAAATGGACTTTATCCCAACCTCAGATTTCAGTTGAATATCTATGCAAGGATTCAGTTTAGTATCTTTGAGAGATTAAGGAGTCTCTAAGGGCCTCCCTACTAGTCCCAGAATCTTGGTGGAGAAAAATTCACTGGCTCCATTTCAAAATTAAAGAGACAGGTGCTCCAAAGTGATCGTCTACTGACATCCACTGCAGGTTGGATGTCAGGCACAGTGCCAGCACATCTCTTATTTGGAAAATGAGTACTTGGACATCATCCTAACTTCCCCAGAAAAGCTTGCACAACTTGATACCTTGCAGAAAAGTAACCATGAGCACACCACTGACACTGTTGAGTGGTACTGATAAAGACATATCTATAGCAATGATCTATTCATAAAATTTATATATTGAGAGCTACAGTAGGCCACAAACTTTGCTAGTCCCCCTTAATATGTCATGACTGACAAGAATGAACAAGAGCTTTGTGATCTAGGTATTTTCTTTCTTTTTTTTTTTTTGGAAAAGGGAACAAACTCAGAGAGATTCTATGACTTGCCCACAGTTGCTGGGCTAGCTAGTTACAGAACTCTAATTCTGTCCTAAGTATTAATAATATTTACAGTAGTAATAATAATAATATAAATGAAAAGAAAAATATCTAAGTGGCCAACCACTTTGCTCAACACATTATGTGATTTAATTTTTATAACAATTCTATCCTTTAGGTACTGCCATTCTCATTTTATAGTTGAAAATGGGGCCTTGAGATTTGTAAGTACTTTGCCCAAGGTTATGTAGGTAGTGTGTGGTTGTTTCACTCTCAAGCATGTGTCTTTTACACTATTCTACATTGCCATTAAAACATAATTTACAGTCTCTGTATGCAAGAATGCTGCCATTTCAACCCGGAGCAGGCTGCCTGGTAAAGCGTGGAGGATTTGTCTGAGGGTGGGTGGAAGAAACACACTATTTAAGCATGTCTGGGTAAAGGGTATGCAGGGAGGGATTTCTTGTGTCCAGAAGCTCTGCCATTTGTCCAGATAGTTCTGAGGATGCAAGACAGCTCCTCTATGTTTTACTTCTGTGGTTTCTGAGCTCACAGCTGGAGTGAGGCGGATGACCATGTAAAGAACAAAGCATGGGCTTGATAGTCCTGCTCAGGCCAGGGATCACAAACCAGTGGCCTGTGGCCAGTTCTAGCCCACAGACAGATGGCTTTTATTTTATCAGGACAGTGTGTGAAAAAAGGAAATGATTTAAGGCTTTTAAAAATCAGGAGATTTTGGCCAGGCATGATGGCTCATGCCTGTAATCCCAGCACTTTGGGAGGCAGAGGTGGGCGGATCACAAGGTCAGGAGTTAGAGACCAGCCTGGCCAACACAGTGAAACCCCATCTCTACTAAAAATACAAAGAAATTAGCCGGGCATGGTGATAGGCGCCTGTAGTCCCAGCTAGTCAGGAGGCTGAGGCAGGAGAATCGCTTGAACCTGGGAGGCAGAAGTTGCAGTGAGCCAAGATCGCACCACTGCACTCCAGCCTGGGGCGACAGTGCAAGACTCTGTCTCAAGGAAAATAATACTAATAATACTAATAATAATAACGTAAAAATCAAGAGATTTTATATGACAATCCAGATCCAAGCCTCTTTTGAAAGAAAAAAAAAGGAAATATTTGCTATCTCTGGACATACACACCTGCATGGCAGTGGTCAGGGCCCTGGAGAAGAAGGGACACTCTGTTTGCCACCACAATGTTCTCCCTGCCTACCTTTCACTTAGAGGTTATCTTGTCCTGTTGATAGTCGAGTTTGGCATCTCAGTTCCTGAGCTAGCTCTGCTATTAACTAGCAAAGAAATATAGGCAAATCTCTAACTCTTTCTACAAATAGACAATAATTTGATGAAGTCAGTAGTTTTCAAACTATTTTTGAGCCATGGATGGCTTTCTGTTAATAAAACTTTCCCTTGAAACTCAATACATAAGTGTAGCGCAGGAAGAAGGATATTTACAATGAGTAGAGGGAGCTAGAGGACCAGCACCGCCCTCGCCCCCCACTCCTGGAAATAGCCCCTAAAGGAACTCATTAGTACACCCAAGTTCTAACTATCACAGATTTCACAACTAGACTGGCTCATAAGGCTGCCTTAAAGCTGGGGGTACAAGGGTAGACAGGGTATTTCCTATGGGGAATCTGCATAGGAATCTTTCATGGGCCTCTGATCTCAACTCTTATTCTATTCCTTTTTATTTCATTTCTCTTTTTGTTGTGTGTGTTTTTTTAAAGGTTTTGATTTGGTATGCACAGCACCCAATAATATATTTTATGTTTTAAAAATCAAGCTCTAATGTACATGCAGAGAAACTCACCATTTATTTTACAATCATACAATTTTTTTTTTTTTGAGACAGATTCTCACTCCGTCACCCAGGCTGGAGTGCAGTAGAGCTCCAGACTGCAACCTCCATCTCCCAGATTCAAGCAATTCTCCTGCCTCAGCCTCCCGAGTAGCTGAGATTACAGGCACACACCACCATGCCTGGCTAATTTTTGTATTTTTAGTAGAAACGGAGTTTCACCATGTTGTCCAGGCTGGTTTTTAACTCCTGACCTCAAGTAATCCACTTGCCTTGGCCTCCCAAAGTGCTGGGATTACAAGCATGAGCCGCTGCACCCAGCCAGTAATGCAGATCCAAAAAATGCCTGCTGTCATGTGAACACCACTACCATCAAGATATAGAACAGTTCCAATACCCAGAAACATTTCCCCATGAGTACTGGCCATCAGTTCCCAGTCCCTGGCAACCACCCATATGTTTTCTATCCCTATAGTTTTACCTTTGCAAGAATGGCATGTAAATGGAATACAGTATAATGACTTTTAAATATGGCTTCTTTCACTTAGTGTAATGCATTTTGAGATTCATCTATGATATTATGTGTATCAGTAGTTATTTATTTTTTACTGCTAAGTAGTGTTCCAATATAGGGATATACCACAGTTTTTTCATTCATTCACTAGCTGGTAGCTATTTGAGTTGCTTCCAGATTCTGATGGTCAGGAAGACTAGAACTTTTACAAGCACCCACTTACAGGGTTTTGGGTGAACATAGTTTGCATTTCACTTGAATATTTACCTGGCAGTGGGATTGCTGTATGTTGTCTAGTATGTGTTTAACTTTATAGAAAACTGCTAAAGCGTTTTTCAAAGTGGATGTACTCTACTGCATTCATATCAGCAATGTATGAGAGTTTCTGTGGCTCTGCATCCTTGTATCCTTGGTATTGTTGAGTTGTATTTTTTTCCCTTGTCATGCCATTTTAATATGTATGTAATAGTATCTCATTGTGGCTGTAATGCACATTTCTCTAATAACTAATGAGATAAGACACTTTTATGTATTTATGTCCATTCAGATCTTCTGTCTATCTTTTATTGGTTTGTTATCTTCTTATCGGGGTTTGAGAGTTCTTTATATGTTCATGTCCTTTATCAGATATGGAATTTGCAAACATTGTCTCCTACTCTGAGGCTTCCCTTTCCATTCTCTTACAGTATCTTTAGAAAAGCCAAAGTTCTTAATTTTGATCAAGTCAAATTTATTTTTTTTTTTTGTTTTATGGATTTTGATTCTTTGAGTCCTATTAAGGAAATATTTGCCTAATCTTAGCTCATAAGAATTTTCTTATAAGTTTTCTCCTAGATATTTTACAGTTTTACACTTAGAGGTATGACTTACTTTGAATTAATTTTTGTATAGGATGCAAGTTGTGTTTTCGAGCATGGATGTACAAATGTTCCAGTTAAAAAGACTTCTCTTTTTCTATCAAATTGCCTTCACGCCTCTGTAAAAACCTAATTTGACCTTGTATGTGTGACCCTGTTCCTGGACCCCCAATATTTTGAAATGAATAAACTTCTACTTAAACATAAGATGTTTTGTGGACATATAGCCCTGATTTCACTGTGTGGCAGAGGAAATAAACCAAATAGGAGCTTGTGCAACCTGAAATCTGCCATGGTCTCTAAGAGTAATGGAGAACCTATCATATAATATAATATGGGCAAAATTAGAAAGATCCTTAGCTCAGCATTAGAAAATGTGAATTAGAGCACTGGTTCTGCTACAAACTAACTTCAGAACATTTTACAAGTCATGTATACTGGTTATTTCTGACACAATATTGAGAAAAAGAGCATGTACACAATTTAGCTCAATACCAGAGACATAGTAAGCATGCAAAACATACACAGTGCCATAATTATTAAAATATTATCTTGGTCGGGCGCAGTGGCTCACGCCTGTAATCCCACCACTTTGGGAGACTCAGGTGGGCGGATCATCTGAGGTCAGGAGTTTGAGACCAGCCTGACCAACATGGAGAATACAAAAATTAGCTACTGAATTCTCTACTGAAAATACAAAAATTAGCTGGTCATGGCGGCACACGCCTGTAATCCCAGCACTCAGGAGGCTGAGGCAAGAGAATCGCTTGAACCTGGGAGGCAGAGGTTGTAGTGAGCCGAGATCGCATCACTGCACTCCAGCCTGAGTGACAGAGTGAAACTCCGTATCAAAAAAAAAAAAAAAAAAAAAAGAAGAAGAAGAAGAAAAAAGAAGGAAAGGAAAAAGAAAATATCATTTCTAAGATCCACCTTAGCTGTAAATTAGAAATCCAACAAGGCGTACTGGAATCAAGAGGCCTCATTCCAAGGTCCCTATAGATAGGGTCACTCTTCCAAGTGATTGTGTTAGTAGAGTAGGAACACAGCTCAAAGTCTGACCCTCGAAGCTATGCTACCTCTTAGGAGGTGAAGCCAACCATCAGGCAGGTGCTCACCTAGTGCCTACAGGCAAGATGAAGCAGTATTTTTCATACTTTAAACAGGCAAGTATTAATTCCTACTATGATGAAGGTGTGGCTTTAACTGCTAAGCAGAGAAAAATTAGTAAAATCTTGCTGTTAAAGACCTCATCTACTAATTGTATGAACATTTCATTTCAATATGAGAAGCTCATTGGTGAGAGGTATATGATGACCTTTGGAACAATGGAAAAGAATGTAGTGCCCAAAGAAAGCATAGAAGGCATATAGCTTTATAAAAACTATTATATAAACGGATTTAGTGATTCTCTAAGCTTTTTGGATGAAAAGTCCTGAATGCAAAGTGATCCTTAGAAAAAGGTAATTATTTTCTTTTAATATAATAAAACTTTTCTTATATCAAACGTTAATTTTTTTAATTATAAAGTAAAAGTAAACAAAAAGGCTGAGCACAGTGGCTCATGAGGTCAGGAGATCAAGACCATCCTGGCTAACACAGTGAAACCCTGTCTCTACTAAAAATACAAAAAAATAGCTGGGTGTGGTGGCGGGCGCCTGTAGTCCCAGCTACTCGGGAGGCTGAGGCAGGAGAATCTCTTGTACCCGGGAGGAGGAGGTTGCAGTGAGTTGAGATCGCACCACTGCACTCCAGCCTGGGTGACAGAGCGAGACTCTGCCTCAAAACAAACAAATAAATAAACAAACAGAAGATAAAATCTACCCAAATCATACTAAAAACTATAAACATTTTATAAATATTTAAATATCTCTCACATACAAATGATTGTTTTCTACTCTGCCTTTTTCATTTTAGAGAATATGGTGATTCCTTTCACCTTGTATTATTCTTATGTCATTGCAGAAGCCACTGTACTTTGCCTACAAAATTACATGTGTGTTTGTGTGTATATGTGTCTATGCTTGGTTCAGCATTTAACATATGATTTAGTTTGACAGGAGACCAACTTTTCTGGAATATATCTTCAGAGTTAGAGGAGCTTTGCCAGTATTTCAGGAAAATTTCCATGAAGCAGTGTCTACCTACGACAAATGTTTCCAGCCACAATAAATCATGGGGCCACAAAAATATCAGCCATCTTCCAATAACTGCCTTTTGACCTTACAATGCAGGAACAAATCATTAGTGTACACAATATTGGTTCATGGCTAGCTAATTCCTAAAAGGCCTAGTTATTGCATATAATATTCATACATGTAGAAAACAAGGAAAATTCATTGGTTCAATCATACAGTTCCATCTATTCTCGCCTTCATTCATTCATTCATTTATTCACTCATTTATTCAACAAATATTTATGAAGTACTTTCCACAGTTCAGGTTCTGGAATGGCTTTTGGTTGTCCTGGCTTTACTGAGCCTAAGCTTGAGACTGTATATAATGTGTCTTTACATTGCTTGGACTATAGACTTGGCTTTGGAAGGATCCATGCCTCTGCCATTGAACACTTAGAGCATTTTAGAATGAACACTTTTTTATCCACACTACAATCTCTCAGTCTACATTTTTTCTATTTCCCCTAACACTAATCTGTCACAAAGTTGTTATGCCAACCAGGGTAAAAAGGGGATAATTCCTTATATCTTTCTTTGCTAGCAAGGCTAATTACTAAGTAACTATTTTGGATTAAAGAATTTTTAAATTTCTGATGGAAAGAAGAATATTACAGTGTTTCAAAGGCTAGAGTTTACTCCAATGCTAACAAATACACAATACTTTAAAATAGTTTTTATTTCCTATCTATGGCAGGCAGAATAATGGGCTCTACAAAGATATCCATCTCTTAATTCCAGGAACCTGTATGATAAGTTATGTGGCAGGGGATGGGAGTTGGGGATTGTTGTTACAGATGGAATTATGGTTGCCAATCATCTGATTTTGAGATGTGAGATTATCCTGGATTATCTTGGTGTCCTCAATATAATCACAAGGGTCCTTATAAGTGAAAGAAGGAAGTAGCAAGAGTCAGAGCAAACGCAGTATGAGAAAGACCAAATTATTCCTGGCTTTGAAGATGGAAGGGAGCCACAAGCCGAGGAATGTGGGCAGAATGTAGAAGCTGGAGGAGGCAAGAAAATTAACTTTTCCCTAGAGCTGACTGAAGAAAAGCAGCCCTGCTGACACATTTATTTTATCTTGGTGAGACTCATTTTCAACTTCTGACCTCTAGAAATGTAAGGTAATAAATTTGTATTATTTTAACGGTAACGTTTGTGGTGATTTGTTGCAACAGCAGTATGAAACTAACACAGCCGTTTACAGAGGACTTGTTCACTTTAAAATTATAAATTGGTATAAATTTTATCATATTTATATTTTCTGTGTCTTTTAGGATGTTATGTTACTTTTATTCCTTTATCCTATTAATATGATAGATTACTTTGATTGTGAAATGTTAACCTAAACTAGCATTGAATTTAAATTATTGTAATTAGCCTTTTTATAAAAGACTCAATTGGATAATATTTTCTTTGGGAATTATATATCTGTGTCCATGAACTTTGCCTACTTTTGTACCTTTACTTAAACTCCTTCAGATTATTTGCAGACTTTGTGAGTGTCATTACAGTGTAAAGGTGACTAATTGGGGTTGTGCTTATCTTAAATTCTGTTCTTGTTACATATCTGCTGCATGATTTTGGCCTAGGTCTCTAGCCCATCTCTGTATCACAGGATCTTGCATCTAAATAAAGATAATAATATTTAGACTTAACTTTTAGAATTGTGTGGATTAAATAAGGTAGTTCAAGCACTCAGCATAGTTTCTGGAACTTAGAAAAGTTCAAAAACTACTATCGTGAATAGTAATGTTATCAGTATGAGGAAGAAATTAAAACTGATTTTTTTAACTTTTATTTTAAGTTCAGGGGTACAGGCACAGGTTTGTTACATAGGTAAACTTGTGTCATGGGGGTTTGTTGTACAGATTATTTCATCAGCAGCTATTAACCCCAGTACCCATTAGTTATTTTTCCTGATCCTCTCCCTCTTCCCACCTTCCACCCTCTGAAAGGCCCCAGTGTGTGTTGTTCTCCTCTATGTGTCCATGTGTTCTCATCATTTAGCTCCCACTTATAAATGAGAACATACAGTATTCGGTTTTCTGTTCCTTGTGTTAGTTTGCTGAGGACAATGGCCTCAACTGTTGAATTAATTTCAGCTATTTATTGCACACACCCTCTTTCCCTAATCTCTACTTGAAATTTCCTTTAGAATTTAGGATAGAAGGTTGACCATTGATGTTTTTCATACCTGCTTCAGTCAGATATGTGGAAAGAAACTAAGAAGCACATTATTAAAAAAAAAAAAAAAGAATATGTAAATCCTTTTTATCAATGGGACCACCTATATTTTGAGGAGAAGGTAGCTTTTTTCAGGTTTTCTGAATCCTTCACTTCTCACCTCAAGAGTAAGCCAGTTACCTGGTGAGAGGCTTTCACAAAACACACATTCACTGTTTCGTAAAATAGATTGAACTTACAAAATTGACTCCTAAGTTGCTTTTCATTTCTGGCCTGATGTAGTTAGTCTCACTTTCCATGCCTTGATCTTGGTTTTGAAATCTGGGTTGGAGAAAAAAAAATAGTATGGCCAAATGATTTCTGGCTTAGCATGACCACCCCATTGATGATGCAGAAAGAAAATGAACCCTTTGTAAGGCATGTCAATAAGGATAAAATTCAGCTACAATAAAACAGAAAAAACAAGAGTGGCTTAAATCAAATGCATTTTTCCCTCCATAGAGAAGTCCAGTTGGCATTCTAGAAGGTTTTATATCTCAACTCCGTGATATCAGGGTCTAGGCTTCTTCCATCTTTCATCCTTAGGATGTGCTACAACCTCGTAATTCAAGATGGCTGCTTGAGCTTCTGCCATCATGTCTACCTTTCCAGCAGCAAAATGGAGAAAGGGGAATGGGAACTCACTCCTCCTTTAAGAAGAATCCCTCAAAGTGGCATAAAACATTTCACTTGCATTTCAATGGAGAGACCTTAGTTACATGGCCATGATTTGCTTCAAGAGAGACTGGAAAATGTAGTCTTTTTTGCTAGGTGGTAATATGACCAGCTGTAAGTAAAGCTTACATAACTAAAGAAGAATGCAGAATGGTTGTCAGAAGGTAGCTGATAGAGCCTTCCGTACATGTGGATATCTGGGTCTTCCAGACTTACCCAGCTGCCCCAGCACATAAACCTGTTCTTAAAATAGGAAGAATGGGTTCACCTATTCACATTCTCCTCTTCCTTTTCTTTTGCATTAAAAAATGTCAAATGCAAATTGTTTCAAAAACAAGGATAAGAATTCTGGGAGTCTAAAATGGCATGCAAAGAAAAGAATTTGTTTTCTTTTCTATTCATATCCATCATCACTGACTTCATAAGCATCCTCTTTTAAAAAAAATTGTGTATTAATTCAGAAACATTTTTAACCAATGGAATTATACTATAAACACTGTTCTGAGCTTTTTGTTTTTGTTTAAATAACCTTAGCGTATTTGTTTTTTAAAGGTTAGTTAGAGATCAACTATGAAACTGCCTTGCTCTGGTACATCTTTTTTCCTCTGTACACCTTTAATCATCTTGCTTTCTTGATCATGGGTCTGTTCAATTTTTTTACTTACTGGGGATAGTTTTAATAATTTCCCCTAGATTTATGAAAGTGTTATGGTGTCTCATGAAGTATACTCCTACAATAATTTTAATCCCGTTATTCTTAATATTGCATAATTTTCATCTATCTCTTTGTCATCTATCAGATTAAGAAGTTAAACAGAATAATGCATCTATTTTGGTAATTATTTATTTAAGAACTCGCTTTTTTAATCTTTCATACTCCTTTTACCTTGTTTTTGTGGAAACATATCTTATTCTATATTGAGACATTGCAAATCCAGCTCATTCTTTTTTATAGATATATCGTCATTTATTTTAGAGGTGTGATATAATCTATTTAACTAGTCTCCTATTATTAGCTATGGAGCAAAATGTAAAGTCCTTTATCAAATCTGTTTTCTCAGTTTCCTTGTGAGTACACCCATGTGACTGATATCTGACCAATGGAATGTAGGTGAAATTTACATGAGCCTCTTCCTGCACTTGGTGACTAACATGTGCAACTACCTTCTTTTTCCCTCCTTTAGAAATCTTAGAAGTCCAATAGTAATAATAGCTGCTGGTACACAATGGAATAAGGCCACATCCCTAAATTATTATTTGGTGTCCCCAACAAGTGACAACATCTAGACATGAATAAGAAATAAACTTTGATTGTAATAAGTTTGATTAATAAGTTTGTAATAACTTTGATTGTGATTTATAGGTCGATTTAATAGTTTATTTAATTAAGATAGGATCGTAACTAATATACAAAGAGCATGAAAGGTACATTATTTTATACATGACTAAATTCGAATACATTTAACTTGTAGAATCAATTCCTGTAGGTTATCTTGCTTGATCAAACTGTGTTTAGTTTTTAAGGTAACACAAATCTGTCTTCCTAAGAAGCTGAATCAATTTACACTTTTATGAACAGAATATTTAACAATTCTTACTGTATTAGTCCGTTCTCACACTGCTATGAAGAAATACCAGAGACTGGGTAATTTATAAAGAAAAGAGGTTTAATTGACTCACAGTTCCCCATCACTGGGGAGGCCTCAAAAAATTTACAATCATGGTGAAAGGCACCTCTTCACAGGGCAGCAGGAGAGAGAATGAGTGCCAGCAGACGAAATGACAGACGCTTATAAAAGCATCAGACCTCATGAGAACTCACTAACACGAGAACAGCATGGAGAAACTGCCCCCATGATTCAATAACCTCCCAGTGGGTCCCTCCCACAACATGTGGGGATAATGGAGATTACAATTCAAGATGAGATTTTGGTGGGGACACAGCGAAACTGTATTATTCCTCCTCTGGCCCCTCCCAAATCTCATGTCCTCACATTTCAAAACACAATCATGCCTTCCCAACAATCCCCCAAAAGTCTTAACTCATTCCTGCATTAAGCCAAAAGTCCACAGTCCAAAGTCTTATCTGAAATAAGGCAGGTTCCTTGCACCTATGAACCTTTAAAATAAAAAATTTAGTTACTCTTGGGCATTATGGGGGTTACAATTCAAGATGAGATTTGGGTGGAGACACAGAGCCTAACCATATTACTAACCAATGTGGTACACTGGTAAATTATTTGATCTTTGCCAATCTGATTGTAAAAAGTGGTAGCTAACAGTTATTAGGTGAAGCTGAGTATCTTTTAAGACTCATGACTTTCATACTTTTATTGACAAAAGTAATCTGTTTATAGACTCCGTATTTCATGTGACTAACAACTGTCATTCTATTCATGGACGAGAACAAAACATTTAAATTTGTTACAGCATCATAACCCACCTAAATATTTGTTAGGTTTAGATTCTCTCTTTTCCCATTGTGCTACATTTTGTTACCCATTCTCATTTTTCCACCCAGTTCCAAGTAAAAAAAAAAAAAACAACTTATATTTTATTGGACACACATTAAACTTATAGATTATTACATTTATATGTTAATAGAGAACTGAAAGCTTTATATCACTGAGTCTGTTTAAAGAAAAAGTTTGTGTAAATTGTTTTCAATACATCAGCACTCTTCCTAAATTCTGTTTCTATTTTTTAAATGGAGATTTTTATTTTTTCTAAGTCTACCATCATTTCACATAGAAATAATGACAATTCCTTTTTTTTTTTTCAAATCTTTAAAACTATTTCTTCTTCTTGACAAGTGTCATTTACTATGACTGTCTGGAACAAAGCTAAATAATAATGAACTAGTAGTTAACTTTGCTTTTTTGCTAACTTTAGTAGGTGATGTCCCTATTCTGTTTGGTTCAAATGATGCTACATCTGGAAGGTATTCTTCAGGGGTAGTCATCTGGAGGTGTCAATTTCTTAAGCTCAAAGTTAATGTTTTCTTTTTCTTTTTTATCTTTTTCTCACTTTTGGTTCCTTTTGATAGCTTTTGGGGAGAAAAAATATGTAAACATGCATTTACTCGTCATATTTCTTGAAGTCAAGACCTTTCACAAACCTGTTTGAAGTATTTTATAGTTCCTGACATCTTTTACAATAAATAATTAGATGGATAGCTCACAGATTGTTTTGGGATCCCCAACAGGAAGCACATTCGTGTTTAAAGCTGAACTCACTCACATAATTATGTTTATGTCAACTGCAAGCAGAGAGTTTTTTAATTATTATTATTGATGACTTCTACAGAGGATTTCCTGAGAAATCCACATATGTTCTAAATCAATTGCATTGTCTCCAGTTAGTCCCAAAATACCATGACTGAACCCAAATCAGGGAGCCTAGGTAGAGGCTGGCTTCATGGCTAATTAATCTTTTTCAGAGGAAGTAAAGTAACTTAAACAGTGACAAGAGTGAGAAGTGGTGCTACGGCAGCAGGAGCCTTGGGCATACCCCTTTCTCCCAGTGAAGATAGCAAAGAAGAGAGAATACAGATCCTGTGAACTTTCTGCCTCTCAGTGGGAAGGAAAGTGGAGGCATTTAGTTCCTTTCACCAGAAGATATCAAGATATGTGGCTCATGACCTCTACTTGCCTGAGAAAAGGAGCACAGAGGCCTGGGTGGAACATGGGCTGTGTGAATCTTGAGGGTTGCTATGCTAGAAGGCCTGAACACCGGGAGGCCCTGTGCTAGAGGAGCTGTGGTGGGTTTAAAGAGAACAAAACATGGTTTCTTTCTCATTGGCTTGCCAATTCATTTGGTGAGAAAAAAAAGATAGTTGATTGGAGCCAAAGAGTTTCTGTTCAGCATTTCTTAAGAGGCACTGGGCTAGTTACAGGGGTGTAAACTTGAATGAAACACAAGTATATGAGTGTCAGCTGGACACAGATAAAGACAGGTCTTTATAGAATCCAGAAAGGGAGGTGGAGATAATCACAGATTGACAAAACAGTGTTACAAGTACTTGGATTCCAATAAAGAAGAAATGGTGCGAAAAAAGACAAGGCCAGACAACCTGGTTTGTATAGAGTAACTAAATGTTTTGCAAAAAGAAGTGGCACAGAAGAGGTCTTGATGGATGTCTAAGAGTTAGATAGGAAAAGGAGGGTCAAAAGGACTTACTTTCTAGATAGAGGAAAGATCTACATGAACATGAACAAAGTAATAAAAGGTAACGCTTCATATAACCTAGCTGCATGCTAGCCACTCTCTTTAGCATTTTAGCATATGTAGACTCATTTAATCTACACAACAGCCCAGCTATAGAATGACTTGAGATCAACTCCAAAGAATGCATCATGTTACTTGGTGAAATGGGAGTGGAGAGATGCAGAACATGGGGCAAAGAGGGAGATAAGATTTAGATCATGGAAACGTAACCAAATTTGGGGCTTGCACTCATGATGGTATAACAAATAATACTGAAGAGTATTCATTGAGGGTGAAGGGAGCATCTAAGAATGCTGATGTTTACTGATGAATTTTCTTATTTTTGAAATGGGGAAGATAATCATCTTTCCTCTGTCTACTTCACAAGATTATTTTCAGAATCAAAAACAAACCTATCAACATTAAAGTGCTTCATAAACTGCAGGGTCTTATACAAAGGTTAATTCTTATGATTTGTAGAGGAGGACGAAGAAAGAGGAATTTATCTTCCTCCCATTTTCCGAAGTGATACAATAGCAAGTTGTTTGCATAGATAACCACAAGGTCTCAATAACCCGAGAAGTTACTCTTAACCCCAAAATTTTGGCTGTAGCCAGTCTTGCTCTTTGAAGAGAAGAAAAAAAAAAAAAAACAAAAAACAACACTGTTGGCTCTATTCAAGGTTTCAGGATCTTTCTCTCTGAAAATAATGCAAAGAGCATACATAGTTCAACCTGATTTTTTTCTTTTAAATGGAAATGCAGGCCAGGCAAGCAATAAACTCCTTTCCCCTTTGGACATTAAAATGAAAAACACACAGAGGGTCTTCCAGCAAGCATTTATAAAACTTCCAGACATAACTCTGTTAATCAGTTAACAAAGTGGATTATCGTCATTCATATTGGTTTTGCATTGTATAGCTCTTGGAATTCTTCTCCAGACATTATTCTCCAGTCGATGGTCAAACTAACTTATATTGAGGGACTATAATGTGTGAGATGTTTTACATAAATTATCTCCAATCTATGCAACAGCCCTGTCAACAAGGCCACTTTAACAAGGCCACATCACCAGAAATGATGTGGATTTTGCAGGTAGACAGACATGGCTTTGAATTCCACAGAGGGATTCAAAGCCATGCCTGTCTAACTGCAAAATCTATTTTCTTTCTATCAAACCAAAACAGGAATTGACGTAACCAAGAACTGTATTCCCTCTCTGCTATTTTCTAGGTAGAGCTTTGGATAACACCATCAAGTTTCCTTGGTCTCAATTTTCTTATGTCTACAATAAGGCGATTGGACATACTTATCTTTCATATTGCTTCTCCCTCCAACAGTCTATGAACCCTCGGTTCAAATTATGTACATCAATGCTGAAGGAATACAACCCCACTTCTTATCCTTGTTACCCATCCCCCTAGCCAGCCCAAACAGCTGAATCAAGCCTGGCAACCAGGAAGGTGACAAATGTCACATTGAGGTCTCTCCAAAATCAATATGTAAACCTCAGCTAAGATTTTCCATATGTCCTTACCCATAAGGGATATGAGGAAAACAAACACAATCTAAGGAAAACTTCAGCGCATTAACTCTGCACCTGATTGGGAAACATACAGAGTTTTTAGATTCCTTTCAAATGAGACTCAGTGGCTAACAGCCAGAAAAATAAAATGTTAAGCAGACATAAGATGGAGAAGACAGATCTGGAAAACTCTGGGGTAAAAAAAATGTTTAAAATAAGAATTGGGAACAGCATCTGAGGAAAAGATGAGACACACGTATAAACTCTTCTGCACAAATAGACATCTCATATAGAAAACTTAAAACGCTGGTATTTTTTCAACACGCCCTTTTCTGAGAAGTTGAAAAGGCTAGACTGTCACAACGAACTTCAAATGCAACTTCAGTAAATTCTAATAAATAAGGATGTACTGACCTGGAACTCACTCCTCTCAAGGGCATTACTATCCAGAGGAAATGCTTTCAGCATGAACATTCTGGATGCACTAAAATGCAGTAAGATCCAGGATCACTATTCTCAGGAAGGGAAGCCCTTGGAGCATGGCTTGTGGTTCCAAGACTTCTCAGAAATAGCATTTATTTCCCTCCCATTTTCCAGCCATTTTCTCCCCAAAGTCAAATGATACAAAGAGCTCTTCTGCCTAATTACCCCAGTAGTGACCATTAGGAGGGAGAGAATATGCATTTTAATATATTCTGAAGGTGAAATAACTCTTGATGCTTAATTATCCTATCTCTCATAGAGTGGGTCTTTTGACACATTTTAATTGAAGATAGAAGTTAGAGGACAATTTGGGACCTAAAGTTTTAAATGTATGACATGGCCTAGAGGAAGAGCCACACTGATTGAGCACCTACAATGTGTAAGGCATTCTGTAGGATGTTTTCTTAAATCATTACACAACTTTATTAGGTAGGTACTGTGTTGTGTTTTATACATAAAGAAACAAAGGCTCAGCGAGCTTGATGTGAGTAGTCCAAATCTATACTTCTTTTTAGGGTATCACCATCCTTACTATTAAGTCCTGGATTAAATGACAGTCTCTCACTTCTATCCTTAATAGCTCATGCTTAGGCAAAATTGGAACTGCTAGCTGTTTCTTGAATTCGTCCTTTTCTCTCACGCCCTTATCGTCTTTGTAAATGTTTTTACCTTTGTTGGAAAAGCCTTCCCTGGATTCCTCCACTGTCCCTTTTAATCCATCGGCTGAATCTTCCCCGACTTCCCCAGAGAGGGTTAGACTCTTTTTCCACTATGCTTCCACTTCCTGAATTCATCAGATAATTTCCAAAACAGCAGTGTAACATATGGGGTTTATTTTTGGCTCATAGCCCAATCACAACTAAATTGTCCTTTGACAGCAGGATTGTATTTTTTAATTTTCATAGCTCTGTGGCACCAAGCATTAAGTAAGCACCCATTATAACTTTGTGGAAGGCAGGATGAGATGTTGGGAGGAGGAGAGGGAGGAAGTTTGGGAGGGCAAAAAGAGGGGTAATGAGGGAAGGTCAGGAGAAGAAAAAAGAAAGAAGAAAAGACAAAATTAAAAAGGGAAGCAAAATAGAAAGGAAGGAGCAGAGGGAAGGTGATATGGTTTGGCTCTGTGTCCTCACTCAAATCTCATCTCAATTTGTAATTCCCATATGTTGAGGGAGGGACCTGTAATCCCGACATGTAGAGGGAGGGAGGTGATTGGATCACGGAGGCAGTTCCCCCATGCTGTTCTCATTATAATGAGTGAGTTCTCACAAGATCTGATGGTTTTATAAGGGGTTCTTCCCCTTTTGCTTGCTTTTCTCTCTCCTGCTGCCTTGTGGAGAAGGTGCTTGCATCCCCTTTGCCTTCTGCCATGAGTGTAAGTTTCCTGAGGCCTCCTCAGCCATGTGGAACTGTGAGTCAGTTAAACCCCTTTCCTTCAGAAATTACCCAGTCTCAGGGAAGTTCTTTATAGCAGTGTGAAAACAAACTAATACAGAAAGACAGGTTAGAAGAGAGGCTACTTATCTATTAAAGCATTACAGCTTACTCCAAACTTTAGTGTCTAAAGTAATAAACATGTATTTTCTCACAATCTATAAGTCAGGGGTTCAGAAGCTGATGCATGGTCCTGGCTCAGGCTTTCTCAAGGGGTTGCATTCCAAATAGCAGGTGGAGGTGTACTCATTTGAAGAATTGGCTGTGGCTGGAGGACCCTTCTGCAGGATGCCTGACTCACAATGGCTAGCAAGCAGGTGTCGGCTACCAGCAGGAGACTTCAGTTCTTCATTGTAAGGACCTCTAAACAGGGCCACTTGAGAGTCCTCATCATATACCTGTTGGCTTCTCCACAAAGCAAATGATCAGACAAAAGAGAACAAGGAGAAAGCCACAATGTCTTTTATGACCTAGGCTGGAAGTCTCGCATCATCCTTTCTGTCATATCCTGTCGGTTATTCAAGTCAACCTTATTCCTTGATGGACAGATCTACACATAGGCAGGCGACAGAGACCACTGGAGGCCATCTTGGAGATGTGGTTAATTTACACATTGATCTACATTGGTGGTTAATTTAAAGATACTGCCTGTGATTGTCCCAGAACATTACAATGCCAATACAATCATATCATTTTATTTCTTTTCCAAAACATCAGGAGTGCAGATATAGAAGGGGACCATGCTGCTAATCATTTTTGGAGGTAAGCATAATATAAATTACAAAGAAATAGATAACTGAATGCTAAGTCTGTTGAAATACTCCAAGTAAACTGGGGTTTGTTTATTCAGTTAATTTCTGTTTCCCAGAATTCTCAGACTGCCTTTATGGATAAAAGATCTTACAGTACCACTACCAAAACAGTATGGTAAAAAAGAAATATGTACATTATTTGGAGCTGACAGTGCTCAATTTGACTCTTGATTTAACGACTTATTGACTGAATTATCTGGCTAAATTTTTTGAGCTCCCTCAGCCTCAGTTTTCTCTATAAAATGGATCTAATACTGCCAATAGGATAGTTCTGAGAATGTGCATCATAGCACCCATAAAATACCTTGCACAATTCCTGAAGCATAAGAGCTGCTATTTGTTTCACCCTTTTCCTTATTTCAGATAAAAAAAGAGAAAAAATTCATGCAGATAATTAGATGTCTTGTCAAACACAGCACAAACATCTAGATATTTGAGAATATCTGCATGTTTACAATCATAAAAAACAGAGCATTCAGAGTAACTGCTTCTTTCCACTCTTTGTTTAGGTGATTTTGGAATTAAGCAAAGGCAATCCCATTTTCATAATACCAAATCAGACAGGACAGGAATAATATTTACAGTGAAAAGCCAAGACAACCTTGAAGTTGAGAGTTGCAGAGGCCTTCATGATTGTAGCATGTTGCTTCTCAATGCTTCCTCCTCGCATTAGTACCACCTGGAGAGCTGTTAAAAATACCTATGTGTCGACTTTGTTCCCAGAGTTATCACTGGGTTTTCCTGAGTTTGTTCCAAGAGTTATCATTGGGTTTTCCTGGGTTGGTTTCTCAGGGCTCCCTGGATGATTTTAATGGTCAGCCAGCTGGAGAAGCACAGATCCAGCACAACCCTCTCATACAGCAAGCAACATAGTGACACGGAGGCTAGATATTTCAAACTCTTTTCCCAGAGCCACTGCTATGGCTTGGCTCTGTGTCCCCATTTAAATCTCATCTGGAATTGTAACTGCTATCATTCCCCTGTGTCATAGGAGGAACCCAGTGGGAGGAGATTGAATTATGGGGGCAGGTCTTTCCTGTGCTGTGCTTGTGATAGTGAATGGGTCTCATGAAATCTGATGGTTTTAAAAACGTGAGTTTCCCCGCTCAAGCTCTCTTTTTGCATGCTGCCATCCACAAAAGATGTGACTTGCTCCTCCTTGCCTTCTGCCATTATTGTGAGGCCTCCCCAGCCATGTGGAACTGTAAGTCCAGTAAACCTCCTTCTTTTGTAAATTAGCCAGTCTTGGGTCTGTCTTTATCAGCAGCATGAAAACAGACTAATACAGCCGCAGTCAGATTTCATTATTTTTTAGTTCGATTTATTTGATCAACAATAATTGAAGTTATATTAGAAATAAATGCTGACTAATAGTCCCTAAGGTTTATTACCATTGCATAGTTTACTAAAGCATGTTCAATTTCATTAATTCTCTTGATCTTCAAAAATAACTTTATAAGATACATTGAAGTGAATATTAATTAGCTCCACCTCATAAATGAGCAACTTGAAGCTGAAGAAAGCAGAGTAAACATTGCAAGGAATGAAGCAAACAGGTAGCAGAGACAGGACTTTACAGCAAGTCTTCCAATTCCAAATTCTTTATTGTTCAGTTATGCACAAAGAAAATGTTTAAAAGTGCTGTTTACTTAGGGTCATATATAGCCTCTTCCCTCTCACGAGTCCTCATCCAAAAGAAATGGTGTGAACTGTAGCAAGTAGAGGCTCGAAGTTCCAAATTCAAGGGCTGTACAATGGCTCTTAAAGAGTGGCCTCATATTTGAAAAGCAATTTTCTTTATTTTAGGTCACTGTTAACCATCCCGTAATGCAAAACCCTTTGCATCAGATTTTGAGGAAAGAATAATTTTGACTGCACATTGTTTCATCCAGTTTCCAAAGCAAGGAGGTAGAAACTGGCTAATGCCATGCTCAAAGGGATGATTTTCCTCTTCACCAAGACACAGTAGGAAAGCAATGAGGGGCCTGAGACATTGTCTCTGTTTCCTGTGGCAGATGTAACAGAGTTCCAAAACCCTGGAGGCTTGATGCAACAGAAATCTGTTCTCTCACCCTTCTGTTCTCTTACTATTCCTTCTTAGCCTCTGCCAGCTTCTGGTGGCTCCAGGTGTTCCTTGGCTTATGGCTGCATTACTCAAGTTTCTGTCTCTGTCCTCTATCCTTATTGGCTTCCCTTTTCTATTTGTGTCTTCTCATCTTTAGTTTTTATTGTTTTGTTTTGGTTTTGGTTTTTTTTGTTTGTTTGTTTGTTTGTTTGTTTTTTGAGATGGAGTCTCCTTCTCTTGCCCAGGCTGGAGTGCAGTGGCACAATCTTGGCTCACTGCTGCAGCCTTTGCCTCCAGGGTTCAAGCAATTCTCCTGCCTCAGCCTCCCAAGTAGCTGTGATTACAGGCATGCACCACCATGCCTGGCTGATTTTTTCTTTTTGCACTTTTAGTAGAGATAGGGTTTCTCCATGTTGGACAAGCTGGTCTTGAACTCCTGACCTCAAATGATCTGCCTGCCTCGGCCTCCCAAAGTGCTGGGATTACAGGCATGAGCCACTGCACCCGGCCTTCTTTAGTCTTTTATAAGGACACTTGTCGTTGCATTTAGAGCCTGTCCAAGTAATTTAGGGTAAATTCATCTTAAGATCTATTTGCCAAGCCATGTTTTATTCTAAATAAGGCCACATTCACAGGTTCTGGGTGGACATAACTTTTGGGAATCATGATTCAATCAACTACAGAGGTATTTTCCTCTTATAAATTGCTTTGGTCTGTTTGCTTTTTAGTCATTGCTGGCATGCAGAAAAATTCTTAATGATTTGAAGATTTATTTGTACCTAGCCTTCTTCCTGAGCTCTCTTTTTAGTTCTTATTTTTAAGTGATGCTTAGAATGTCTAGAGACAATCTCATCATCTGCATAAATGATAATTTTGTTCCCCCTTTTCCAATTCATGGCTGCATTTGACATTCATACTTTTAAGACATGGTTCTCAAAAAGCAAATTATCTTAAGAGCAGGTGTAGGAGTTATTGCTGTCAGTTAAAGGAAATCAAATTTGTCAAGGCAAAGGAACAAAGTAAGAATGTCAGGGCAATTCAGGGCATAGACTTAAAGAGCTGCGACATCTTTGAAATTATTAGTTTCATCCATTGTTTTTGCCAATGCATATGACAAGGCCCAGCTACTTGAAGATACTTGCACAAGGTCACTCAACAGAGAAAGAATTAAACACACACAAACACACACACGCACACACACACACACACACCCCTCCTCTCCTTTCAATCTATAGTACCAAAATGATACTTTAAATCTGAATATGTAACCATGTTACTCACATAAAAATCTTCATTAACTGACATGTTTTTAAGGGAAATCTACCATGGCCTGGACAGTCCCGCCTGTCTCTCCAGCCTCACTTTAGGTCTCTCTTGCAGATTTTCCCTCTGCTCCGGGCACAGGCTGTTTTTACTTCCCTGAATCTGCCAACCTGGTCTCAGGGCTTTCACATATGCTTTTCCTTCTGGCTGAAGAAATCTCCCTTTCCACACTTCTATCCTTTCCCCTTCCAGCCCCTGCTGTCTGTTTAACTAATTCTATTGCCCAAGAGAAGATGAGTCACCCCTTCCACCCAGATTAGATTGAAGCCATACTTTTCTGTCTCATTGGAAATCTAAAGATCATTAATATCAGGTGTAACAATAGCAATTAATTAATGCTGCATATAATTTATTGGTTCAATATATGTCTTTCCCACTAGAGTGTAAACTACATGAGACCCCAAACCAAGTCTGTCTTGTAATATCCTATATCTTACAAAGTACCTAGCTCATAGGATGTACTTAATCTTAAAAACCGATGAATGAAGAAGACACTCATTTTTATGCTTGTCTCAATAATATCATAGCCTTTAATTATTTGATCCTTCAAAATACTCCATTCCCTTCTGTATCTGCTATTGCTATGTATTCCCTAAGTTCTTTCTTTCTCATTTCTAGCTGCTTGAGGCAGGGTGGTTATTTTAGAATATCACCTAATGCTTAAACAGCATCAAATACTAATTTTAGATACTTAAAAGCTTCAAAAAGATTGTGTCAAAAATGCTATGAGCACAGTCTGTTACAATTCACAAAAATGTATCTTAAGGAGTCCCTTCTTGGTGGCCTTTATTTAAGCTATAATGGGAATAATAAACTTAATAGCCAGTATGTTAAAAATGTGTTCTTCATGGGAGGCATTTATTCTCAACTCTCACTTCCTTCCCAGACCTAAAGGATCTCATCTTTCTTGGGTATAGCACAAATTGAGGAACCAGACAACCTAATCCCTTCTGTTGTTTTGAAGTTTTTGTAGGGCATGAGCCATCTTCCAAAACTGATCTAAAGCTCGAAGATTTTCAATATGAGAATATTTAGTGACCCTACAAATAGCCCAATTAGATACTGTTCTTATTTCATATTCATGCATGTAAAAACTAGTAATAAAATACATCAAATTATATTTTTCAAGAAAGCAATAGAGTATGGTAATTATTTCAGGAAGAACTTGCCAAATTATTTACAGGAATTAGAGAAAATGTCCGCATTCTTAGCATCTCTCACACAGCATTAAGTCTCTGCTACAAATTGCATGGCGTGAAGGAAAACAAAATCCTATTCCAAACATCAGGTTTCTATTCTCTTGCGATATGTGTAAAATGTACCCATAAGGAGTTCCTGAGGGTGAAATCCTTCTCCCTTCTCACTGGTAACTTTTTAAACTGTACGATGATTACTGAATGGCACCAGAATTCCAGCCTTAAAAAGTTATGCATAATGCTTCTTTTTTGTGAACTTATTATATAGCCAACTATTCATATGGGATATGTTCACAAGTATTAACAATAATTCCTCACTATGCTGCTATACTGGTCATATTCCACATGGAGGGAAAGCTATCTTTAATGCTAAGTGCATAATAGAGAAGAGGGAAAGATAATATGGAATATAGTCTATCCAGTGGACCCAGATGGAAAGGAAACAAAAATTGACATATGGTCAAGAGTTAAAGGAACTGGAGGTGAGTATCCTGGAACTGACAGGTAGATACCTGAAAGCTGCCTGCACACACCTGAAAAAGAGTTAAGAGAAGAGGGTTTAGGGTCTTTATTTTTAATGCCTGACTAGGGAAAGACTCAATGGATAAAAGCTATAGAAACACAAATTAATTTTCTTTGACCCAAAGTATTCTTAAAGGCAGCCCTTAAAAATTCAATGGATGGCTCAAGAGGACATGGACAAGAACCCTCCAGCACTAGCGAAATTTGTCAGAACTTTCTTATAGGAGATGTAAGCGTCATACACAAGGATGGCTTAGATCAGTGATATTTAAACCATAGGCTGGCAGGTCAAGAAAAACATGTAAGCAGCCAGGCATTTGGGTCTCCTGTTTCTGTTTGTTTGCTTATTTGAATGTGTTCCATTCCTTGTCAATTTTCACAGTAAAGAGTTTGTGTTCAAGCAACTTCTTATGGTCACCAGTAAGGATTTTTTTGAATTTTGTTTTGTGTTTGTTTTGTTTCTCAGTATCATTTGGGACTTGTAGATTGTGATGTACTTGAAGTATTTCAATGCACTGAAGTCATTCTTCTTTCTGATTCCGCAGTGTCCTACCTTAGGCCAGTGAGAGCTCTTTCAAACTGTCTCTTGTGTCCTTTTGATGTGACTCCATTAGTCTTTGAGTGTCCCTTTACCCTCTGGCATAAGAAGCGCCAGGCTCATCTAGTGTAGTCCCTGCCTCAGACTGGAATCGGCCATTTCTCCAAGAAGCCCTGGCTCAATTTAGTCAGGAAGGGATGCCAAGGGGCTGAGCAGATCTGCTTACATATGCTTTCCATAGAGAAGTTTGGGTAAGAATTTATTTGAAAATAAGGAAAAATTCTCCTATAAAAATGGCTGGAAAAATAGCCATCTAGATAATTTTTTAAATCCATGCTTATTCTCCTTTCTGTAGGAGGTAGCTAAAAAGAAAAACAAACTAAAAACTAAAAATGAATAAATTGATCAATCCCTTCTTCTTTGAGTGACTCTAAATACAATAATTCCTAAAATGGGAATTCAACAGCAATTTTTTTAAGAGACAGGGTTTCACCCTGTTGTCCAGGCTGGAGCACAGTGGCACCATCATGGGTAACTGTAACCTCAAACTCCTGGGCTCAAGCCATCCTCCTGTCTCAGCCTCTCCAGTAGCTGGCACTACAGGTACACATCGCCGTTCCTGGCTACATTTGTTTTTGTTTTTGTTTGCACAGATGGCTGGAGTCTCACTGAGTTGCCCAGGCTGGTCTCAAACTCCTGGCTTCAAGTGATCCTCCCAGGTTGGCCTACCAAAACACTAGGATGACAGGTGTGAGCTACTGCACCTGATCTGGAAACAGAATTCTTTTGGACCTGCAATATTGGTTATAGGAGTTCCTTATAACAAATAGTTTGTTACCCTTGTGATATTTTGTTTTAACACTTTGTAGTATGTGTTTAATATTTTTAAAGACATGAAACACAGCCTACTGTACTTGGGTTACTGGAATACTCCCTCTATCACAGCTTTTCTTCCGAAGTCAAAGTTAACCAGCATCCACAGTTTTGTGTTTTTTATTCCTAGGACTTTTTAAATGCTGATCTTATGTATATGAAATTACTTTGCATATCTTAAATCGTATTTACATTGTATCATATGGTATATATTATTCTTTAAGATATTTTTTTCTTTTTCTTTAGCTGAACATTGCTTTTTAAATCTAGCCTGCAAATTCATGTAGTTCTTATTTATTCAGGTTAACCCTTGCATTGTATTCCATTCTGTGAAAGTATCAGAATTTATAATAGTGGTATTGTTAGTCTCACATAAGGCTTTTTAGTGTGTTTTCAATTTGTTTTACTATAAACACTGCTATGACAATGCATTCTGGAGCATGTTTCCTTGTGAACCTGAGTGAGCTTCTTTCAATTATTTACATAGGAGAGAAATTCCTAAGGTACACAAGATGCACATCTTCCACTTCAATGGATATTGTAGAATTGTTTACACAAACATGATTCATATTCTAGCTGTTTCATCTATGAGTCTTTGGGCAAAGACCTTCATAGACCTCACTTTCTTCATCTGTAAAAAGAGGATGATAATAATTACTCACATCTCACTACCTAATTTTCCTAATCTGTATGATTCTCATACAAATTAAAAGTTATGAAGATTGTATGTGTTCTCACTTTATACAAAAACTAAATAAAAATCATTTACGTAAAGCAGCAGTAGCTAATAGGTAATTCACCCTTTTCTCTGTTCTCTTTGCCTTAGCTTGAGGAATGATTCTTTAATTAGACATTAGTTGGGAGACAGATGACAGAGAAGATTCCTTTAGGTCTCCTCAACTCACAGTTTGTGAACAGCTGCCGTATCCAGTGTCCACCTAACATATGGGTGGAATTTGCAAAAGTTCCTGGATGGAGAAATATATTGTGTAGAATGTTCCTCTTTGGGAGAATTTATAACAACTTTTCCTAAACTAAAGCCTCAAATCTTTATTATATTCTGTTAATGACTCAGTGGACTTTTGGCAGAAAGAGCTAGTTTCCTTTGGTACAAACACTTTTATAGAGGGTTCTGATTAATCTATCCGATGGTCTAAAATCAAAATAACATATGCAATCGTTGGCTGAAAAAGCTCACCCGTGGTGTTATAACAATAATTCCTCTCCTTGTTTTCATATATAACCTTTTGGAAACATTCCTGTTGGAGCCAAAATTTCTATATTTTGGAAACTTGGCATATGGATGGATGATGGCTGAAGTATGCCATTTATTTTCCTTTTGGGGAGGACTAGAGAAAGCAGAATAGTTGTTACACTACTTTTGAAAGTAAAGTTTGTAGGACAACCCAGTTTAATGTGGAATAAAGCCCTGTTCTTTAGTTTTCATGTCATAACACATATTCATTTCTAAACATTTTTCCTGACCACCCAATTTAAAGTAGTTGACATCCCCAGAAGTCACTTTCTCTAACAGAGGTCAACACACTTTTCTGTGTACTGCCAGACAGTAAACATTTTGGACTTTGTATGTTATATGGTCTCTTTCTGTTGCAACTACTGAACTCTTCCATTGTAGCACGAAGGCGGCTGCAGACAATATGTAAACAGATGAGCATGACTCTGATCCATTACAGCTCTATCTATGGACACTGAAATTTAAATTTGCTAAAATTTTCACATCACAAAATATTATCCTACTTTTGATATTTTTCTAACACTTAAAAAATGTAAAAAACAATTCCTAACTCACAGACCAAACACAACCAGGCAGTAGACAGAATTTGACCAGTGAGCTATCATTTGAGACCCTCAGTTCCACATTACTTTTAGAGAGTTTTTTTAAATGTCACTTCTTAGCATCTAAACAAATCTATTTACATATTTATATTACTTCTATAGTGTCATGTGCTAAAATCTAAGCTCTTGTATTAGTCCGTTCTCACACTGCTATAAAGACATACCTGAGACTTGGTCATCTATAAAGAAAAAAGGCGTAATTGTCTCATGGCTTCTGCTTCTGGGAGGCCTTAGGAAACTTACAATCATGGTGGAAGGCAAAGGGGAAGCAGAAATGGCTTACATGGCTGGGGCAGGAGGAAGAGCATGAAGGGAGAGGTGCTACACACTTTTAAACAACCAGATATCATGAGAACTCTATCACAAGACAGCACTGGGGGATGAAGCTAAACCATTAGAAACCACCCCCATGATCCAATCACCTCCCACCAGGTCTCACCTCCAATATGGGGGATTACAATTCAACATGAGATTTAGGCGGGAACTCGAAGCCAAACCATATCAGCTCTGTCCCTGTGAAAGCAGGGACATTATCTGTCTTATTCAGCCCTATGTACAGCACTGCAGTCACTCAGTAAATATGTGTAGAACGTATACATCTGTAGCTTTCAGGCAAATCAGTTCCCCTACATGAAGTAATATCTTAACATGGATAGAATATTGAATTCTCCTAGTGATTTTTTTTTCAAATACATTTTATATGTACTATAAAATGCAATGGTTGCAATGGTGAAGAAACAGTATAGGAAAGTATTTTTTAAACTTTGGAGTTAAGAAGACCAGGCTTTTAATCCCTGCCCCATCAGTTGCTGTTTGTTAAGTTAGTTGCTGAATCTGTCTCAATTTTATCAGCTCTAAAAAGAGAATATTGTTTCTTTTCATAAAATTCATGGTGGGGTTTCTGTTTGGTCTTTGATTTTTTCCCTCTAAGCCCACTCTCCATCTTCCAGAACCTGTTCTGGACACCGACAGGTCCACACATAAGGACTACACCAGTCGTCTGTCTTGTATTCTGGATTCTAGCTGGGTTTTACCAATGGAGAGAGGGAGAAAATGAAACCAGCCCAATTGTTTACGGTTTCTTTAAATAAACATAGAAATTGATCCTCCCAGTCTTAAAACTTGAGAAAGTTACATTTGTCTTACCTGAGTTCCTTTCTCAGGAAAGCAACCATCAGGCCTCCCAGATTGTATCAAGGAATTGAAACTTAGCAGATCATGGCTTTTGGACAATGAGATGCCATACGCCTCATCAATCACTATTTCCTAATCATCCACCTGTTTCCTGTTGACCAACTTCTCTTCTTTACCTCTCCCTGCTTCCTATTTTCCCACACATAGTTACATTTTTTCCCTGCTATATAAACCCCTAATTTTAGTAAATCAGGGAGATGGTTTGAGACTGATCTCCCATTGCCTCACCTGCAACACCTGATGAAAGCCTTCTTTCCTGGCAATACTCATCATCTCAGTGATTGGCTTTCTGTGTAGTGAGCAGCAGAACCTAGACTGGACCCCTGGTGTTTTGTAAGAAAGAATGAGGTAAGAATATTTATTCCTTTAGTTTAATCTTAGGTCTCAAAGGATAAGGTATCAAAGTGTTCCTAGAAGAAAGGTGTCAGCTCACAGAATTACAAATCTATTGATGCCCTATGATGCACTGGACTTGATAGGTCCCCCATTAGTGGTTCTGGTAACTTTGGTCATAAGTGTGCAAACAATCTTCTTAGTTCCAGGATACTATCTTTTCCTATACCTTGCCCATGGTATAAAAATACTCTTTATTAAAATCTCAAACAATTCAAAATTCCTTCTGAGTCCCTGAACTGATCTCAGCAATTTAAAGAGAAATTGCTTGCAATTAAATGGTAGCTCTAATTAAACTATTACTAACCGAAAATCTGGTTGCCTTCTTTGAAATTGCATTCAAACAATAAATGATTCCCCTCAATAATATAATAATTTTACATTTCTCTGCAGTTACAAACTGGAGTGCCCAGAAGCTACATTGTCCCACCTTGCTGAAATATGTATAAATACATATATTATATATATATATATATATATATATATATATATATATATATATATTCACACACACACACATACACACACATATTTTTTTTTGTAAGGTATTTAAAACCCAGAAAATTTCCATCAAAATCTGAATTTTCAAATCTCTTAGACAGATCACCTTTCTGGCCACATCATTCTGGTGCACTTTATGACCATTATAAATGGGAGCTGAGCAGCAGTCACACTATCTATGTTGACATTTTACTTGATGAGTAGCTTTGTCCCCACCACTCCTGAGTACGCAGTCTTTCCAGTTTGAGGTTTTATGTGAGCTACCTGGCCCCTGGGGACATTTTCTTAGAAAAATAAGAGGCAAATTCATCAGCAAAGTGGGATGCTGGAGAAGGAAGTGTTGGTGGTTTTAAGAGAGCAATGGTGTATTACAGTCACTTAGGAGAGTGGGAAAGTGAAAAGACCAGCAGGAGAGTGGCAGGGAGGGGCACAGCAGGATTGCAAGGTGGGACTGAAGGTCCTCTTGGAGTTTTTGGCCATAAGTGGAACATACAACCCATGAGCAGAGCTGTGTGCATTTATCCAGTCTCTTCAACCTCTTCGGGACAGGTGTGGGAGAGACAGTAAGTTGGATTTGATCAGGCTGGGAGTTTGCCCTGAGAGAGCCAAAAAAGTAATAGAGTCAGAGAGATGAGGCTTTTTGTGAGGAAGGGAAGATAATGCTAGGTCATGGAATTTGAGTGGATCAAGGAAGAATTGAGGACTTGAAGTGGGGGTGATGGACAGTGGAAAAGGGGAACCTCCTGATTAAGAACACTCACTTTGTGCACTGCAACCAGGCTGCAGAAATTCGAATCTCAGCTCTACCCACACTAGCTGGGTAAGGTTAGCCATGTTACTTGACCCCTCTGAGCCTTTGTTTCCTCATGTGAGATGAACTGCAAGATCCTTCCCCTCATAGGGGTGCTGTGAAGATTGCGAAGATGCAATGCACACACACACAGACACACACATACACATACACAGACAGATTGTCTGGCACATTATAAGTGCTACAAAGATACTTTTTCTTCCCTACATTGATTTTCATTTTAAAAAACACTTTCACTTATTTGTTCAATTGCAAAATATTTATTGTTTACCTATGTAACAAACCCGCACATCCTGCACATGTACCTTAGAACTTAAAATTAAATTTTTTAAAAAAGAAACTACTAATCTATCTTCCAAAGTAGCTATATCTTTTGCATTGCTACCAGTGAAGAAGAGTTCTTGTTGCTCTACTTTTTTACCAGAATTTTGTGTTGTCAGCGTTTTGGCTTTCAGCCATTCTAATAAGCATACAGAAGTATCTCACCATTGTTTTGATTTGCAAATCCCTAATGGTATATAATGCTGAGCATTTTTTCATATTCATATTTGCCATTTATGTCTTATTGTTGGATGTCTGTTCAGATCTTTGCCCATTAAAAAATTGGTTGTTTTCTTAAAAAATATTTATTTCTTGAGTGTTGATAGTGTAAAAGAAGATTAGGTGGTATTTTTTGGGGGGCCAGAAAGAAAAATCAGGAATGAAGCTGATCAGAGACTGACAAAGCATCTTTAAGGCAAGCAGGAAGGACAAGCCCCGTAAAGGAAACAGAGAAGGCTCTGGATGGGCGGTGTTCCTTAAAGGACTTGGTAGGTTTTGGACACGAAGCAAGAAGAAAGAGGCAGCTAGTATGTGAAGGACAGCAGAGGCTGCTGAGCCCGGGATTTCATAGATTTGTCTGACATTGCCTTTGAAGCAGAGACAGGCATCGTCCCAAAGGCTGATTCATGGAGAGAATTTCTGACAGTGTGCCAGTCCAAGGAAGGAGATGTTTTTGAAGAGGTGGAATTTTTCCTTACTAATTAGTTTTCGTTTTTAAGAAAAAAATATAAGGCATGTACTTGGTAAATATTTCAAGCAGTAAAAATGGCTGTAGAATGATGATAAACGTACCATCCTACTCTGGGTTCCCTTCCAGAACAATCATGGTTGCCAGTTTTCTCATATCCAAGAAAAAAATATTCTCTTCAATTTTAACATGTTTATACATATATTTTCAAATATATCCATTGAAATAAACTACAATACATTTCGCTATTTTTCAGTGGTGGGGATTATTCCAAATAAGTCCATCTACAAAGTTTTCCACATTACGTGCTATCATGCACTTAAACAGTCCCTTGTGGTACAAATTCATGTGTTTTCTAATCTTTTGCTCTTACAACCAAGGTGACCAGAAAACTCATGATCGTAATTCTTTTGTACTTGGGCTGGTTGCCTGTAGGATAAATTGAGATAGTTAGATTATGCACTTTGCAAAAAACTGTGTATTTAGAATACTGGTAGATATTGCCTAATTGCCCTCTAATAACATTATACCAAATCAATACTCTCACTAATGATGTAGGATGGAGAATTGTTTCACAGTCTCATCAACACTAACAATGTTTCATCATTTTCACTGGATAAAGTAAAAATACTTTTTATTTTATTATATTTCTGTAATTTTGAGGGAAGTTAAAGATCTTTATGTTGAAAATCCAATTGCATTTATTTATTTTTCTGAAGAACATATTTGTTCATATTTCTATTGAGCCAACGTCTTTTATTATTTGTAAAAAAAATTATTTGTTATGGTCCTCAGTTCTTTGTCTACTATATATGCTACAAATATTTTCGAAGTTGTCTATATACACTGATTTTGTTTATAGTATTTCTAGATAAGCAGATATTTACAATTTTTTTTTTAATTATACTTTAAGTTTTAGGGTACATGTGCACATTGTGCAGGTTAGTTACATATGTATACATGTGCCATGCTGGTGCGCTGCACCCACTAACTCGTCATCTAGCATTAGGTATATCTCCCAATGCTATCCCTCCCCCCTCCCACCTCCCCACCACAGTCCCCAGAGTGTGATATTCCCCTTCCTGTGTCCATGTGATCTCATTGTTCAATTCCCACCTATGAGTGAGAATATGCGGTGTTTGGTTTTTTGTTCTTGCGATAGTTTACTGAGAATGATGGTTTCCAATTTCATCCATGTCCCTACAAAGGACATGAACTCATCATTTTTTATGGCTGAATAGTATTCCATGGTGTATATGTGCCACACTTTCTTAATCCAGTCTATCATTGTTGGACATTTGGGTTGGTTCCAAGTCTTTGCTATTGTGAATAATGCCACAATAAACATACGTGTGCATGTGTCTTTATAGCAGCATGATTTATAGTCCTTTGGGTATATACCCAGTAATGGGATGGCTGGGTCAAATGGTATTTCTACTTCTAGATCCCTGAGGAATTGCCACACTGACTTCCACAATGGTTGAACTAGTTTACAGTCCCACCAACAGTGTAAAAGTGTTCCTATTTCTCCACATCCTCTTCAGCACCTGTTGTTTCCTGACTTTTTAATGATTGCCATTCTAACTGGTGTGAGATGATATCTCATAGTGGTTTTGATTTGCATTTCTCTGATGGCCAGTGATGATGAGCATTTTTTCATGTGTTTTTTGGCTGCATAAATGTCTTCTTTTGAGAAGTGTCTGTTCATGTCCTTCACCCACTTTTTGATGGGGTTGTTTGTTTTTTTCTTGTAAATTTGTTTGAGTTCATTGTAGATTCTGGATATTAGCCCTTTGTCAGATGAGTAGGTTGCGAAAATTTTCTCCCATGTTGTAGGTTGCCTGTTCACTCTGATGGTAGTTTCTTTTGCTGTGCAGAAGCTCTTTAGTTTAATTAGATCCCATTTGTCAATTTTGTCTTTTGTTGCCATTGCTTTTGGTGTTTTGGACATGAAGTCCTTGCCCACGCCTATGTCCTGAATGGTAATGCCTAGGTTTTCTTCTAGGGTTTTTATGGTTTTAGGTCTAACGTTTAAATCTTTAACCCATCTTGAATTGATTTTTGTATAAAGTGTAAGGAAGGGATCCAGTTTCAGCTTTCTACATATGGCTAGCCAGTTTTCCCAGCACCATTTATTAAATAGGGAATCCTTTCCCCATTGCTTGTTTTTCTCAGGTTTGTCAAAGATCAGATATTTGTAGGTAAGCGGCGTTATTTCTGAGGGCTCTGTTCTGTTCCATTGATCTATATCTCTGTTTTGGTACCAGTACCATGCTGTTTTGGTTACTGTAGCCTTGTAGTATAGTTTGAAATCAGGTAGTGTGATGCCTCCAGCTTTGTTCTTTTGGCTTAGGATTGACTTGGTGATGCGGGCTCTTTTTTGGTTCCATATGAACTTTAAAGTAGTTTTTTCCAATTCTGTGAAGAAAGTCATTGGTAGCTTGATGGGGATGGCATTGAATCTGTAAATTACCTTGGGCAGTATGGCCATTTTCACGATATTGATTCTTCCTACCCATGAGCATGGAATGTTCTTCCATTTGTTTGTATCCTCTTTTATTTCCTTCAGCAGTGGTTTGTAGTTCTCCTTGAAGAGGTCCTTCACATCCCTTGTAAGTTGGATTCCTAGGTATTTTATTCTCTTTGAAGCAATTGTGAATGGGAGTTCACTCATGATTTGGCTCTCTGTTTGTCTGTTGTTGGTGTATAGGAATGCTTGTGATTTTTGTACATTGATTTTGTATCCTGAGACTTTGCTGAAGTTGCTTATCAGCTTAAGGAGATTTTGGGCTGAGACAATGGGGTTTTCTAGATAAACAATCATGTCGTCTGCAAACAGGGACAATTTGACTTCCTCTTTTCCTAATTAAATACCCTTTATTTCCTTCTCCTGCCTGATTGCCCTGGCCAGAACTTCCAACACTATGTTGAATAGGAGCGGTGAGAGAGGGCATCCCTGTCTTGTGCCAGTTTTCAAAGGGAATGCTTCCAGTTTTTGCCCATTCAATATGATATTGGCTGTGGGTTTGTCATAGATAGCTCTTATTATTTTGAAATACGTCCCATCAATACCTAATTTATTGAGAGTTTTTAGCATGAAGGGTTGTTGAATTTTGTCAAAGGCTTTTTCTGCATCTATTGAGATAATCCTGTGGTTTTTGTCTTTGGCTCTGTTTATATGCTGGATTACATTTATTGATTTGCATATATTGAACCAGCCTTGCATCCCAGGGATGAAGCCCACTTGATCATGGTGGATAAGCTTTTTGATGTGCTGCTGGATTCGGTTTGCCAGTATTTTATTGAGGATTTTTGCATCAATGTTCATCAAGGATATTGGTCTAAAATTCTCTTTTTTGGTTGTGTCTCTGCCAGGCTTTGGTATCAGAATGATGCTGGCCTCATAAAATGAGTTAGGGAGGATTCCCTCTTTTTCCATTGATTGGAATAGTTTCAGAAGGAATGGTACCAGTTCCTCCTTGTACCTCTGGTAGAATTCGGCTGTGAATCCATCTGGTCCTGGACTCTTTTTGGTTGGTAAACTATTGATTATTGCCACAATTTCAGCTCCTGTTATTGGTCTATTCAGAGATTCAACTTCTTCCTGGTTTAGTCTTGGGAGAGTGTATGTGTCGAGGAATTTATCCATTTCTTCTAGATTTTCTAGTTTATTTGCGTAGAGGTGTTTGTAGTATTCTCTGATGGTAGTTTGTACTTCTGTGGGATCGGTGGTGATACCCCCTTTATCATTTTTTATTGTGTCTATTTGATTCTTCTCTCTTTTTTTCTTTATTAGTCTTGCTAGCGGTCTATCAATTTTGTTGATCCTTTCAAAAAACCAGCTCCTGGATTCATTGATTTTTTGAAGGGTTTTTTGTGTCTCTATTTCCTTCAGTTCTGCTCTGATTTTAGTTATTTCTTGCCTTCTGCTAGCTTTTGAATGTGTTTGCTCTTGCTTTTCTATTTCTTTTAATTGTGATGTTAGGGTGTCAATTTTGGATCTTTCCTGCTTTCTCTTGTGGGCATGTAGTGCTATAAATTTCCCTCTACACACTGCTTTGAATGCGTCCCAGAGATTCTGGTATGTTGTGTCTTTGTTCTCGTTGGTTTCAAAGAACATCTTTATTTCTGCCTTCATTTCGTTATGTACCCAGTAGTCATTCAGGAGCAGGTTGTTCAGTTTCCATGTAGTTGAGCGGCTTTGAGTGAGATTCTTAATCCTGAGTTCTAGTTTGATTGCACTGTGGTCTGAGAGATAGTTTGTTATAATTTCTGTTCTTTTACATTTGCTGAGGAGAGCTTTACTTCCAAGTATGTGGTCAATTTTGGAATAGGTGTGGTGTGGTGCTGAAAAAAATGTATATTCTGTTGATTTGGGGTGGAGAGTTCTGTAGATGTCTATTAGGTCCACTTGGTGCAGAGCTGAGTTCAATTCCTGGGTATCCTTGTTGAATTTCTGTCTCGTTGATCTGTCTAATGTTGACAGTGGGGTGTTAAAGTCTCCCATTATTAATGTGTGGGAGTCTAAGTCTCTTTGTAGGTCACTCAGGACTTGCTTTATGAATCTGGGTGCTCCTGTATTGGGTGCATATATATTTAGGATAGTTAGCTCCTCTTGTTGAATTGATCCCTTTACCATTATGTAACGGCCTTGTTTGTCTCTTCTGATCTTTGTTGGTTTAAAGTCTGTTTTATCAGAGACTAGGATTGCAACCCCTGCCTTTTTTTGTTTTCCATTTGCTTGGTAGATCTTCCTCCATCCCTTTATTTTGAGCCTATGTGTGCCTCTGCACGTGAGATGGGTTTCCTGAATACAGCACACTGATGGGTCTTGACTCTTTATCCAACTTGCAGTCTGTGTCTTTTAATTGGAGAATTCAGTCCATTTACATTTAAAGTTAATATTGTTATGTGTGAATTTGATCCTGTCATTATGATGTTAGCTGGTGATTTTGCTCGTTAGTTGATGCAGTTTCTTCCTAGTCTTGATGATCTTTAATTTTGGCATGATTTTGCAGCGGCTGGTACCGGTTGTTCCTTTCCATGTTTAGCGCTTCCTTCAGGAGCTATTTTAGGGCAGGCCTGGTGGTGACAAAATCTCTCAGCATTTGCTTGTCTGTAAAGTATTTTATTTCTCCTTCACTTATGAAGCTTAGTTTGGCTGGATATGAAATTCTGGGTTGAAAATTCTTTTCTTTAAGAATGTTGAATATTGGCCCCCACTCTCTTCTGGCTTGTAGGGTTTCTGCCGAGAGATCCGCTGTTAGTCTGATGGGCTTCCCTTTGAGGGTAACCCGACCTTTCTCTCTGGCTGCCCTTAACATTTTTTCCTTCATTTCAACTTTAGTGAATCTGACAATTATGTGTCTTGGAGTTGCTCTTCTCGAGGAGTATTTTTGTGGCGTTCTCTGTATTTCCTGAATCTGAACGTTGGCCTGCCTTGCTAGATTGGGGAAGTTCTCCTGGATAATATCCTGCAGAGTGTTTTCCAACTTGGTTCCATTCTCCCCATCACTTTCAGGTACACCAATCAGACGTAGATTTGGTCTTTTCACATAGTCCCATATTTCTTGGAGGCTTTGCTCATTTCTTTCTTTTCTTTTTTCTCTAAACTTCCCTTCTCGCTTCATTTCATTCATTTCATCTTCCATTGCTGATACCCTTTCTTCCAGTTGATCGCATCGGCTCCTGAGGCTTCTGCATTCTTCATGTAGTTCTCGAGCCTTGGTTTTCAGCTCCATCAGCTCCTTTAAGCACTTCTCTGTATTGGTTATTCTAGTTATACATCCTTCTAAATTTTTTTCAAAGTTTTCAACTTCTTTGCCTTTGGTTTGAATGTCCTCCCGTAGCTCAGGGTAATTTGATCGTCTGAAGCCTTCTTCTCTCAGCTCGTCAAAATCATTCTCCATCTAGCTTTGTTCCATTGCTGGTGAGGAACTGCGTTCCTTTGGAGGAGGAGAGGCGCTCTGCGTTTTAGAGTTTCCAGTTTTTCTGCTCTGTTTTTTCCCCATCTTTGTGGTTTTATCTACTTTTGGTCTTTGATGATGGTGATGTACAGATGGGTTTTCGGTGTGGATGTCCTTTCTGTTTGTTAGTTTTCCTTCTAACAGACAGGACCCTCAGCTGCAGGTCTGTTGGAATACCCTGCCGTGTGAGGTGTCAGTGTGCCCCTGCTGGGGGGTGCCTCCCAGTTAGGCTGCTCGGGGGTCAGGGGTCAGGGACCCACTTGAGGAGGCAGTCTGCCCGTTCTCAGATCTCCAGCTGCATGCTGGGAGAACCACTGCTCTCTTCAAGGCTGTCAGACAGGGACATTTAAGTCTGCAGAGGTTACTGCTGTCTTTTTGTTTGTCTGTGCCCTGCCCCCAGAGGTGGAGCCTACAGAGGCAGGCAGGCCTCCTTGAGCTGTGGTGGGCTCCACCCAGTTCGAGCTTCCTGGCTGCTTTGTTTACCTAATCAAGCCTGGGCAATGGTGGGCGCCCCTCCCCCAGCCTCGCTGCAGCCTTGCAGTTTGATCTCAGACTGCTGTGCTAGCAATCAGTGAGATTCCGTGGGCATAGGACCCTCTGAGCCAGGTGTGGGATATAGTCTCGTGGTGCGCCGTTTTTTAAGCCGGTCTGAAAAGCGCAATATTCGTGTGGGAGTGACCCGATTTTCCAAGTGCGTCCGTCACCCCTTTCTTTGACTCGGAAAGGGAACTCCCTGACCCCTTGTGCTTCCCAGGTGAGGCAATGCCTCGCCCTGCTTCGGCTCGCGCACAGTGCGCGCACCCACTGGCCTGCGCCCACTGTCTGGCACTCCCTAGTGAGATGAACCCGGTACCTCAGATGGAAATGCAGAAATCACCCGTCTTCTGCGTCGCTCACGCTGGGAGCTGTAGACCGGAGCTGTTCCTATTCGGCCATCGTGGCTCCTCCCACCTCAGATATTTACAAATATTAACATGTTATATTTAATAGTCTTTGGGGGATTCTGAATTATATATCTTGCTTAGAAAGAACTTACTACTGCAAGATTACAAGAAAAAATACATTTTCATCTTAATTTTGATTCATCTAGATCCAAATTTTTATATAAGTGATAAATTAAGAACTCACCTTAATTTATTCTTTTCTCAGTAGCTTGTCCCACCAGTATTGATTGATTATGCAGTCTTTAACAAACTGATGTGGAGTGCTGACATTATCATAATCTAAATTTTTACATTATTTGAGTCTCACTCAAGACTCCACACTTTTCCTTTGAAATTTCTACTCATCCACTAGTATCAAATTTTATTACTTATGGAAGCTTTATAATACTATATAATAATGTTTCCTTACCTTTATTTTTCAAAATTTTCCTGGCTAATCTTTATTTGAACTATAAGTTCAGCATGTCTAGTTTAATAGAAAAAATTCTATTGGTAAGTTTCTTGGAATCACATTCAATTTATGAATTAACATAGGATAAATTAGCATCTTTACAATCTTGCATTAATTTTACAAGAACTGGGCATGAATTCCCATTAATCCAAATAGTATTTTATGTTTCTTGGTTCACAGTAAAAGTGTTTTAAAGTCCTTTCTATGCCCTATGAGAGCATTTAGAAAGTTTATTCATACAAAGCTAGCACATTTCTATTTACCTCTGTTTCTAAGGATTTATTTCTTACTTTGTGTCTTTTATTTAATGGAGATTTCTTTGAGTAACATTAAGTACAACCTACGTGAAAATAGTAAAGCCACCAGGGTTTTAGAAATTAATTTCTAAATTCTCCTAACATGCTTCCATTATTTTTAAGGATTTACCCAGTTGATAATTTTGAGTTTTCCAGGCTTATAAAATTTTCTAGGTATTTGTAAATGATTGACAATTTTTCTTGTCTTTTAGAATTTTTAAACCTCATATTTATTTATCTTGCCTCGATTTATTGGAAAGAATTTTGCACAATATATTGGGTAATAGGGATGATAGTCAACATCTTTATCTTGTTTCTTAGTTTAATGAAAACATTTTCGTGTTTCACTGTTAGACATGTTGCCAATTAAATGATTTTCGAAACAATATTTGACATTTATTAATATGTTTTATTACATTTCTTATATATTCTAGAATATTATGCTTTATAATCAGGTTTTTAAATTTATTTGCATAAGGTTAAGCAAAATTGTGTATCATATATTTTTTAATTTTATTCTTATACATAGTTGTTTCTAATATAGTTATTTCTGTCTTCTTTGGCTTCTATTGTATTATATCTATTTCAATATAACTTTTAAGAAACAAGACTGGATCATTTTTCTTAGTTTGATTTTGTTTTTAGTTCTAACAAAGATATTCCATGTATGTAGGCATGTTGGTAATAATTCCTACAATCTCTCATTCATCTTACATTTATTGACTACTTTTGATGCATTCAACATTACGCTATGTGATGTAGACAACAAAGAGGCATTCAAGTTGCTTCCTTTTAAAGAGTTTAATCCAGTGGACATGTTCATGAGTAATTAAGGTATAAGAGTAGTATCAACCTGGGAACTGATGAGAACATTGAGAGATTTAAAGTCTCTAAACTAGGTAGTAGCAGAGCAAGTACTTAAACCTGGTTCTCTGGGGCATCAAGATAAATCCTACATAGGACTGTGTCTTCAAATATATTTGTGAGATGTATTTTTTGAGAGATATACTTTCTGAAGCTTTATATATCTGATAATTTCTTTCTGTTATTTTAATAAAACACACACACTAACACACAATACCATATTGGTTTGATATAGAGTTCTCGGATCGCAATGTCTATCTTTCATAATTCCATAAACTTTTGGAAAAGTCCCTGGTCAGTCTTACTTGTTCCTCTGAAAGTAATCTGTTTCTTCTTACCCCACGTACCATGTTTTGCATTTAGAATTATTTTTATTTTCATGACTTTTTGAAATTCTAAAATTTTACAAAATATTTCCCTACCATAGTCTTGATTTTTAAAGTTTTTACCTAGACTATGGTGAGTTCTTCCAATATGTATATTCTGATTTATTTTGTACAGAAAATTGTATTTATGACTTTCACTATAATTTTCTTTGATTTTTGTCTGTAAAAGTATAAAAGACTAGGTAATTAAAAGCGCTCTCCCACTTTTAAACAGTGGAATCTGGATAACCCATAATTTCTAGTTTATTGCTGAACTTCCTGAAGGTAAGCATAAGGGGCAAAGAACTTGGAATACCAGCAGGAGCTGTGCACTGTAAGGAAAGACTTTGTTTACGTCGGGGGAAATTTTGATATCAGCACTCCAGAATGCAGAACATTCTTAAAAGAAAGAGGGAAAGAGAAAATAGAAAGTTAAAGGGTAAGAGACATAAAAAATGTAATGCAAGATAGAATATACATGTAATCAGCATCACAGAAAAGAAAAATTGAGACAATGGAGGAGAGAAAATATTAAAGCAATCATGGCTAAAAATTTTTCCAGAATAAAGATTAAATACACATAGACAGAAAGCACAAAATATATCAAGCAGAATTAAAAACTCATATATACCCATAAACATTCTAGTGAAACTTTAAGCTATGAAAAGTCAGGTAAAATCTTAAAAACAACCTGATGCAAAAGACAAATTACCCAAAGATTTTCAATTAATCTGATAGTAATCCATACAAACTAAACCAATACTGTTTTTAACTGGTATCTTTCCTTCTCATTTTTCATATTTTATTTCAGAGTCAAGTCTCCTTTCATTTTATTAAATACTCATTTTCTGTTTTCTGAAGTCAGTCCTTTTCTGTTTCGATTTTCTCAGCTTTGAAAAGGCGCCGCTTTCCTTGTTTTGTGCTAGATAAGTAAATTGTTTGCCAACTTTAACAAATTAGACCAAACTTTACCAAAAACGTCTGGATTAAATTTTCTCACAAAAAAATTTATAATCAGACTGAAACAGCACTTTCCAACAATGTAGCTGCCTCATGCACAGATGGAGACAGAAAGCATTCCGTAAGCTTGTAATATTCTCCCAAATTAATAAAGCATTGGTCAACATCTCTATTTTCACAGCTACTACAATCTTGTATAATTTTTTAAATTTCCACAGTTCATTGGGAAAGCTGATGAAGGTGAATCAGACATCTTTAAAAACAAAAATACACTAAAACTTTCCTTATCTGTTTTCCAAACTAAAACAGTAAGAACAATAACTATTTCATCACCACATAAAAATGCTAGTGCACACACAGTTCAAAAAACAATAGTACTTTTCCTGAGTAATTGGCTTGTTGGATCATTGCATTAAAGGCTGTATAATTGGCCAAGTTTCTCTTTTTGCTCTCCCTAATACTTGTGAAACTCATTTAGCAGCAATTTTTCTATTAGGAGATTTCTAGGAATCCAATAACCAAGAAAGTTAAAGGAAAAATAATAGATGCTAAGCATCCAGGGCAGTAAGACTGGAATATTTGAACAACAAAAGCAAAAGCAACAAGGAAATGACAACTGACATTTATGAAGATCTTATTATATACTAGGCACTTTACATGGAATTTTCCACTTCATTTTTACAATAAGTGTATGCACTTTATTTTACCTATCTGTGACTGAAATTTTAGGCAATTTGACCTCCTCTCTGCATTTTATGTATCCAGTATTACTTTTTCTTTAGCCAAGAATTAAATAAAATTCATACATGATTCTTTAATTCATTCCTTCAATTCTTCATTTAATAGATATTTACTGAATACCTAGCATACTACGCACCGTGTCACCTATTGCAGATACACTATGAATAAGTTCCATGTCTTTGCAGAGCTTATGCTTTGGTGGAAGACATGACAATAACAAAATGTAAATGAATGCATAATGCAATGACGGATAAGTGCTAATAATTTGAAAGGAAGGCAGATGATGAGATGGAGAGATGATGGAAAGCCTAATTTAAAGAGAGTATCAGGACTTCAGCTGCACTAAGGAGATGAGAGCAGACTCAGACTTGAAGAATAAGAGAGAACCAGCTGTGCAGTGATCAGAGGAAGAACATTTCAAGCAGAGAGAATGGCATGTACAAAGGCAGGATTAGGGGAGGGCATTTCTTCCTTCATCAAATCAATGGGAGACTATTCTGGTTGTAATATAAAAGCCAAGGAGTAGCGCTGCCTGAAGTGAGAATGGTGGCAGATCATTCAAGGATTTGCAGGTCTTGACAACAAGTTTTTATATTATTCCAAGAATGATGGGTAGCTATTGAAATATTTTACTCACTAGAGTGACATGATATGATCAATATTTTACCAAAATTACTGCTGCTGCAGTTTACAGAATGGATTGTATGGGAAGTAGGAGGTATACGCAAAAGATACATTATGTAGATGTTGCATTTGCCAGACCTCTGGAGTGCCAATTATCCTGTAGTGCAGGAAAGTTCAAGTTTGGGAAACCTCACTGTACCATAGGTCAAACAGGAGAACAAGATATTATGCTATGATGCTCACTACCACTGATTTAAGATGGATTCACTAGCTTCTGGGGCTCTTCCTAGCCTGTCTGATTGTTTATTTGTATGTTTGTTTGTTTTGATTTGGTTTGGTTTTGGTTTTTTGGTTTTGTGTGTGTGCAATTCATAAATAGTACCCTTTTTGAGTGAGATGCATAGGAAAGGTACTTCTGGGAAGGCACAACTCAACTAGATATAAAGCTTAAGATCATATGTTTGTGGCATAAAAGAATCAAAAGCATCTTTTGGGTTATGAATCTGCAATTTGGGCAAGGCTTAGGAGGGGTGGGTTTTTTGTACTCCTTCAGCATCAGCTAGAGGCGCTTGACCTGTAGCTACAGATTCTGCTTTCAAGATGGCTTACTCACAGGGCTTTGTGAGCTGAGTTTGGTTGCCACCTGGGAACAGCATGTGCCTTATGCCTATGAGCCATGATCCAAGGTTATTCTCTATGTGAGACACTCCGCAATCTGCTTGGAGTCAGTCAGCTACAAGATGGTAGTTGTGTTCCAAAAGAACAAAGCAGTGTATGGCATTTTAATGATCTAGCTTCTGAAATTACATATCATCAATTCTACTAATTCTATTGGTCTGGGCCAGCATTATCCAATACAATAGCCACTATGCAATGGCTATTTAAATTTAAATTAATTGAAATTAAATAAAATTAAAGTTCAGTTGTACAGTCATCCTAGCCACATTTCAATGCCCAATGGGGCTAGTAGCTACTGCATTAGACAATACAGACAGAACATTTCTATCATTGCAGAATGTTCTGTTGAGCAGCGCTCATCTAGGAAGTCACAAAGACCCACTCAGATTCAAGGACAAGGGACCTAGACTACATCACATGCTAGAGGAATTGTTAAGGTTGCAATATGTTAGAAAGATGTCGGAGATATTGTTGTGGTCATCTTTGGGAAACAGAGCTTGCCACAGGAATTCAAGTTACAAAAAAGATGTAGGGTAAAATTATATCAACTGGTTATTAGTACTACAGCTTAACTTGTGCATATTCTATGACCCAGCAATTCTACTCCTAGGTATCAAATAGAAATGTTGATTTTATACCAAAAAAAGACAAAAGCAACAATTATCATAACAGCACTTTTTTTAAAATCGCTACAAATCATAAGCCATCCAAATGTCCAAATATTCAAATTATGAGTTGATTTTTGGTTCTGATATATATTAGCCATGTTTCTTATGTAATTGCAAGATCACTCAAAACTTGTTTTATAACTATAAGTCTCATTATCTGTATAACAATGCAATCCTACCCTCTTGAGATTGTTGTGAAAAACGACAATCTCATACGCAAAAGCACCAAGTAGTGTATGGTTAGCACTCAATCAGTGTTTCTGTTTAGAAGAGGCCTTGCTTTGAAGACAGTGCTAGTCATATTGTGAGTACTCAATATTTGTAAATCAGTAAATGGATATATGGATGAATCTTGTTTCTTCTCTTGCCTGTATGTACAAATCTCCTAATGCAACTCCAGTCAATGAGATTCTGTCCTATGTTTAAAAATCCCAGTACTCCCTACAGGACTTCTTTTTAATTATTGAACCCATACTTGGCAAGATAATATTGGAGTCTTAGAAAAGTAAAAAAGAGGGAGAATGGTTGTGGATCCAATGGCATCCAGTGGCTTACCTCTGCTCTGAGAATTGCAGCTGGAAATCTCTTGAGAAAATGACACCCACGTAAAATTCCAGTGCTTCAGGTTTCAGTGAGGGAGGAAGACCACAAATATTACCTTCCTGTTGGTATTTGGGAACTTCCACTTCAGGTCCAAACCAGAAGCAGGAAGCTCAGTGCTTGCTAAGCAAGAAAAGGGAATAGACTAGAAAACATTCCAGCTGGGGGCTGGTATTGGGATAGTTCTTTCTTTGCCTAGGGCATTTCTTTCAATCCTGCCAATAATTTGAACCTGCCAAAAAGGAAACATTCTCTTCAATAGCACGTAGCAAAAATGTCTCCAACATTTACTGTGTGCTGGGATCCAAACCCAGGTATGTCTTTCTAATTGCCACATCTATTCTCTTTCTTTGTTAGCACTTGGTTTGGACCTAGGGTTAGAGACATAGCTAGGACATTGAGAATGGAGGCTAGAAAACACAAATTTAAAATACATAGCTCAAAGTGGAAAAGATTTGGTGCCTTTGTCAGGTTAAAAAAAAAGTGCTATTGAATTTTTAAATATCTCTTCTACTTTGGTTAACCACCTAAGTCTTCATGGAGAAAGCCACAGCTGAATGGCACATGAAGAAGGACAGAAATGGACACACCCATTGAACAGAATAGTATGAACAAAGACATGAAGCTCTGAATATATGAGATATTTTGTAGGGAAAGTAAACAGTACTTTTGGCTGAGGCATATTGGAAAATAAGCAAGGCAAAGAACACTAAAATTTACGAAACACCTACAATGACCTAAAACCTGTGCTAAGCCCCCCCTCCTATGTTATTTGTTTTACTTAATCAGGGAGATGAAGATACTTGCAAAAGATCAAACAGCTAGAAAGCAGTGAAAATGGAATTCAGAATCTGTTCTGACCCATTCCAAGGACAACACATGTTGGACTATGGAAGATAAAGCTTGTAGGGTACTTTGGAGTAGACAAAGCAGGGTCTTAAATGTACATTTAAACATCTAACTTTAATTTTTAGAGCACGTTTGAAGCATGATTCTAATGAGACTGAGACTCACTATGCTGACAGTTGTTAGCAGGGTGAACACAAAGAACACAGGTCAGCCAGGCCTGGGAGTGAGTTACCCATAAAGCCTCAGATCCTGGGAGAGCCTGTTCATTCATTTGCAAAGCCCTTGGCAATGGGGTATGTGGCTGTCTCTGTTTTTCATTATTCACGAGAGAAAACTGGAGCAGAGGCCTGAATGAGGTCACTGTCAGAATCAGAACCAGGACTGGAATGAACTCACAGGTCACTTGGATTCTAATTATGCTCATGCTTGCTTATCTCTTGCTTACCTCTTGCTTACCTCTTGCTTATCTACTTGGGCATCTAACCTCTCAATCCCAGGGTTTCTCCTTTGAGTGAACTTGGAAAATCTGAAAACACACTAATTTATCATCTTCTTTCATCTGGAAGAATTTTCTTATATGGATATAAATATCAAAATTTCCCCCAAGCATTTCTATATTCTAATGCACACACTGTATATCACACATCTTGAAGCCTAAAAATGGCAGATACTCCCTCTCCTCTCTCACCCTTGCATCTCCATAGCACTTCATCCTATTTTTATGATCTTTAGTGCATGTTGCCTTGAATGAGCACGATATCCTTGAAGGCAGAAATTATCTTTTCTAAAAAAGTAATCTCCAAATATATCACATCTATTTTAGGCTGTTTCCAACTTGCAGTATTATAAACACCAAGACATACACATTTTGGTACCTAAATCTGTATGCGTATTTATGACTTTCTATTTTCCTAGAAGTGGAATATCCATTATCTAACATTTCTAAATCCTTAAAACATTTTTCTTCCAATGTGTCCTCAAAAAGTTTCAGGTTTTACTCCCATCCACAAATTAAAATACTCTCATATGATATTCACAAGAAGTGGGTTATAAACGCATTCCTTTAAAATCTGATAGAGGAGGGCACAATCGTTCAGAAAGGAAATGACATTGTACCAGTGACTTGCACATTGTTCCTAACACCACCCTCTGTCCCCCCTACTCTGTAGCATTGGGGATGAATCAGTTGGCTTCTGGGTAGGCTTGGCCGTTGGGTGGCACTGGTGAAAAAATGGAAAGTAGGAAGAGGGAAGAAGCCAAGTATTTCTCCCCTCTTGCTCAGATCCAGGCATGATCTCTGACAGTGGCTGCCATCTCCTCTGAAGTTAGTTTCAAATCCTTTCCACAGAGTTCCTCCCTCTTTGGTTCAGGCTCCCATATGGTAGCCCCACCACAGTTTAGCTCCTGCCTGACTGCTTCAGTCTCTGGGCTCTGATACATCACTTTCTCCCTGCATCCCTCCCATCCCTCTTTGGGGAGCAGCTTCCTCCCATTGCTACTCTTCAGTTGCCTCACCATCTCCTGCTTGCCTTAACAATTCTCATCATACCTTCGTATCAAATCACCTCTATCTGTCTCTCCACTGTAGGCTGTTTTTCTGATGTTCTCCTGGTTGATAGACTTACTTAAGCATGCTTGGCTACAAGTGGCAATACGAGGAACAGATTCAGAACTACTGGTTGAAATTTGGTGCTTCTTCTGCTAGACCATGCAGGAAGAATTGGTGTTTAAAGTATTAAGTGAATAGTGCAGACAACTGCTAGAGAAGGCCAGAAGAGTGTGTAATTGTAATTGTCTGAACTGGTGAGAGATGGCTTCGAGATGGCTTCCTGAAAAAGGTGCCATTTAAACAATTTTTTCAAACCTCACAGGTGGCGTCTGAGGCAGAATGCTCCTGGGTAGTTAAAAATACCATCATAATTAGTGCCTCTGGATAGATCAAATTCAGTTCTGGCCTACACCTATTTTTTACTCTCTCTAGGAACTATTTCTTTTAATGTGAGAAATTATTTTGAAAGGTTTTTGTATTTGAAAATTGCAAAATACATATTATGAGAATGTTAAGATGCTGTTGGTGTTCTTTAATCTTACTTTACTACTAATCATGTTTTGATTTTTCAGTTGCCTAGGAAGAGAACACAATTTCTTTGACAATTCAGAATCTGCAAATACTGTAAACCTGTCTTAGGTTGGAGGCACGAAATGGAAAATCACAAAAAAATCAAAAACTTTTTCCTGAACTCGTGGTCTCCTGCTGTATTTTAATTATATAGAACTTTCTGAATCGAAGGTCAGCAAAGTTTTTATGAAAAAAACCTTCCTGCTTGGACATGCTTAGGTGCTCCCTTCACAGTCCCTTTCTGTCCTAGCTGAGGCATTTCTACTCTTCCATCTCAGCCTTTAATTCTTTGGCCCTAATTTCTATCCCCACTGTCTTTTTAGGCCTGTTTTATTAAAATGGTAACTTCTATTTAATGCAAAATAGAACTCAAATGACCTCTACCAGGTTCATCTCTACAGAAAGAAAGTATAAATATGCTTTTTGTGTTCTTCTTCCTTGATCTACATTTAGACTATAATTGATTGATTTTAGCTTTGAAATTCTTTCTTTCTCTCTTTCAAAACAGTAAAAAGTGCCTGGCCTAAAAATCTAATTGACTGAGATGATCAGTTTTACCACAGTTCACTACACTCACTCAGAAAGGTGTTCTTAGTGGCAATTTAACAGAGCTGTCCTTTGAAAGTGGCATTTTCTAAGTATTCTCCTAAATTGCAGTTGGGCCATAAATACAACAGGTTAAACTAAGGCAGCTGGGAAATTATATAGGTGAAAAATTACAAGGACGAGATCTTTCCACTCAAGCATGTAAAGATTTAATCTCCCAGGTTAAAAACCCAGAACACAGTGATTACTTTGAGATAACAGCTCAGAGGATGCTCAGAGATGGGGTTCCCATGGTATTTTCTGGGGACCGGGTCTGTGGCCTGCAGAGGCAGGTGTTTCCCAGTGGGGAGCACAGAGGAGCCCTTTTCACCCGTATCAGGCCAGCTGTGAGCTTATCTGTGGCATCTCGCTTTCAAGGAACGGTTCCCCAGGGTCTGCCTAGGAGAAAGTTGATGAACCACATGGGAACTGTACAGCATATTAACAGGAAAAAAATGTAAAAATCATGAAACAGCAGGGCTAGGCAGGAATCTATTCTGTTAACAAGACAGTAGTAGAAGTTACTAAAATATCGACTCTTTTTTTGTTTGTTTGATATTATTAGCTAGACAGGCAGCACTCTCCTCCCAGGGATGCTTCTGGGATCTCTCCGGATTCTATTCCCTGATCCATACCCAGTATCACGCCGCCTCTTAGGTCCCCATCATTTAGACTAGATGGAGTACTTTTAGCCCAGTCTCTCAAACCCATTGTTATTTCCTTCTAATCTGGCAACCAGAGTGATCCCCATAAAACAGAAATCTGTCCATTTCACTGCTGTGCATAAAACTCTCCAATGGCCACACTTTGCTCTAAGATCCAGTCCAAGACCCTTAACCTATGATCAAGGCCCTCCATGAACTGGTTTCTGTACACATCTCCGGCCTAAGATCCCAACTCTCCATCCCATATACCTCCCACTCCAGTCACACAATGCACGTGGACACTTTTCTTCCATTGCCCATCGCCAGATCTACTGTGGTGAAGTCTAATGAAAGCCTCTTAAAATATATATATAGGCATTATATACTTCTAACATGGCAGCTCCAGGGTCCACAGGCACGTGTCTTAAAAGAAGCAGGAAGAAGCTGTATGGCCTTTATGATCTAGCATAGAAGTCTCATAGCATCCCTTCTGTGGCACTCTATTAGTAGAAGGATTCACAAAGGCCTGCTGGGTTTCAAGGAAAAGGAACATCAATACCACCTCTTGATGTGGATGGTGGGGCTCATGGTTCTGGAAGAGCATCAAGAACTGGAAATGTTAAAGTCACAGAGAGTCAGTATAGATAATTTGTTGAGAAGTTTGGCTAAGAAAAGAAGAATAGAAACATAAGAAAGAGAGCAAAGTAGAATCAAAGCAAATTTTCTTTGACCTGGACATGTAAATGCACCACTGGAAAATGGAGGCATTTGGAAACAAACTCAGAGAGTTGGCTTAAGTGTTCACACTTTTAACCACTTGATATAGAGCAAAAGTCTCCGAATTATTTCCTGCAGATTGAATATAATCCACCCCCTGTTTTTGCAAGGCCCTCAAGCTAAAAATAGTGTTTATGTTTTTTAATGACTGTGAAAATATCAAAAAATAATATTTTGACACATGAAAATTTATATATCACATCCATATATAACATAGGATTGGGAAATATACACATTTATTTGTATATATTTATATATCTTCTGTGACTACTTTTATGAGTTGAGTAGCTGCAACAGAAATCATATGGCACACAAAGCCTAAAATATTTACAGTCTCACCCTTTATAGAAAGTGTTTGCCACCACCAGATTCAGTGTCTCTCTGGTAGGCCTATTTGTGCCTTTATATACAAAAAGAACTTGTGTTTCTTAAAAATGAAAGGTCCTTCCCACATATGGCAAGCTAAAAACCCCAATATTTTGTAACCTCCTCACTGGCTTTCTGTAGGAATATTAAAAGAATAGCTAGAAGTTTTACCTTTATTCCTGGCCAATATTAATGATAGGGGTAGGAGGCAGGGAAATTCTGGGCAGAAAAGGATAGGTGCCTGGCAAATTCCCCACCCTTAAGCCAAAAAGCCTAATACTGCTGCCCAAAGTGAGAAATGACATCCCTGTTTCCCCGCTCAAATGTTGCCTTTTCCAAAACCAGCCGTGTCCCTCCCCACCCCCCACCCTGTGCCCATAAAAACCCTGGGCTCAGCTGGCAGAGAGAGGAGAAACAGCTAGACATCAGAGAGAAGTGGCTTGACTTCAGAGGGACAGCTTGACAGCCAGCCAGGGATGGCTAGACTCCAGGGGCAGATTACCTTCCCGCTCTGGACCCTTTCCAGCTCCCCTTCCCGCTGAAAGCCACTTTCATTGGCAATAAAATCCCCTGCATTCACCATCTTCAATTCATTCACATAACCTCATTCCTCATGGACACCAGACAAGAGCTCAGATGTCACAAGTGCAGATGTAAAAGACTGTCACACTGACCTTCCACTGAGCTGTTAACACTTCAGCTGTTCATGAACGGCAAACCTAAAAGTGCACTGTAACACTCCTTCTGGGGCTTCAGCGGTCATGGGCAATCCCCTAGATGCTGCTGCGGGGCCTGCATGGAGTTTTGCTTGCCCTGGATGCTAGATCCACTCACCTACACTCCGCCTCCCGCAAGGGGTGGAACACAGTTGGACCGAGCGAGTGGAGTCTGTCCCAGCCAGCACCAAAGCAACCAGCTATTTCCAGCATCTATGCATTCCTGTTCCTGCCCATGAAGGGGTCAGGGAAATATCCTGCTTCATTAATTTATGTTTTATCCATCATTTATATAGCATTTTACTAACCTAATTTTGTATGTCATGGCTACTTTCTTGTCATTCTGATCTTAAATATCACTTCTTCAGAGAGATTCTTTATGACCCTATCTAAAACAAGTCCATACTTGTTCCTTATTTCCAAACACTACATCCTGAATATCTCCCTCCTACCAACCTCTACCATCTATTATTATTTCATGATTTTGTTTACCTGTTTTACAGTCTGCCACTCCAACACCAGAAAACACATAGCAGCAGGAACATTGCCTATCCTTGTATCCCCAGAGACAATGTTTGTCTTATATTTTATCTAATACATCTAGCCTGCTCAGCTGAATGAATGAACTTATGAATGGAAGAATGTTTTCTCATTTTGACTTTACCTATGAAATGTAGAATGACACTTTAATTTCAACATTACCTGAAGCAAGCATCTCTCCATTTCTATTCCGTAGAAGATTGATGTATGGAAGTTAGTCTACATACCCTGTGGTTGGAATTTGGAGAACAGAGAAAAATTAGAATATTTCCACACCTGGCAGGGGCAGAACTGGAAAATGAGAAGTTTGCAAGCCCAGAGACAGTGGCTAGGGCCTCCATGCATGAGTGTGCTGGTACATTTCAGCAGAAGGACTCCAGGAAAAGGGATGAGTTGGGACTGGATCTGCTGGCTCAGTGCTTCTTTTGCCCACAGAGGCCACTGTTTCTACCTTTCACAAGGGTGCATGGTGGTCACACTGTGGCAAGAAGGCAGGGAGGGATGCAGGAAGGTTGGAGGTGAATGGGGTCAGTGACTCCAGGGGAATAATAGAACACCAATTGATGGTAAGAAAAAGCCCAGCAATACAGTGGGAAATGAAGACCAGCCTGTGAGTTCTGAGACACATTATTCTAAGTCATTGTTGCAGTAATTAAAAGGAAGAAATATAAGTTGGTTAAAAAAAGAACATAAATTGAGAGTTAGGCTTGGTGCAAAGTCCTGGTTTACATGCTAAAATGTACATTTCTTTAAAATGCACAGGGAAAGAACAAAGTATGACTGCTTTAAGAGTTTTTCCCTCCCTCTCTCCCTCCCTTTCTTCCTTCCTCCCTTCCTTCCTTCCTCCCTCTTTCCCTCCCTCCTCCCTCCCTTCCTTCCTTTTTTTGTCTGTAAAATGCTTTCTAAAAATGTCTTTAGTAAAACTCACCATATGACTTTCCAATAGTCATCATTTTTTGAAGCTCTCTATATATATGCTTTGTGAGTATTACTCAAAACTATGCTATCCCCATCATTTATAAGTACTTAAAGAATAAATCAAATGCTGTCACTCTCCTTCTTAAAGATATTTACTGGTTTCTTAATTCTCATAAGAAAGTAACTGAAACCTAGCAGAAGGAGTTATGCATATGGAGTATTGCCAAAATGCAGATTTAGAATGGTTTATAGTTTATGCTAGAATAATGTATACAGGGTTATTTCTGAGACTATTAATTAGATCAAAACATGTTTATTCTATTACCGTACTGAATTCCCATGAAATGTGTGTGAGTGTGTATGTGTTTGGGTGTGTGTGTAAAGTCATTTGAGCAGTTATGAGATCTTATTTCTCAACCTTAGACAACACTTTTTTTTTAGTTTCTATTGTTGCAGATACTTCAGTTAATAATTGGTTCACATATATCACTTTGCAACATTTTAAGGGCTAATGTTACTTTGAGAAAATGCAGCAGGCAGCTATAAATAAGAGAGTTATAAGGGCTATGGAGAGCTGCCACATGCTGATGAACGTTTTTAAGCCTGATACTTCCTCAGGTTCTTCTGGAGCCAATATGAGGCTGTAGTTAATGTGAATCTTGGCAAAGCATCCATTTCACATCCTTGGTGGTATTGACAAAACTTCAGAGGCAATGGGTTGAAACAAATAAGGAAAATCACATTGCAGCCACTGACGTAATGCCCCTACCTGGAGCCACTGGGGCCAGCATTAGGCTTTTAAGGTCCAGAGTTCATAGAAAAGGTTCTCCAGAGACAACAAGAGTGAGAAGAACCAGAGGGTAAGGGGAAGCTTCCTACTTAGAGAACATGAATGTTGAAGGAAGAAAGCTGAACTCAGTCATCATGTCCAAGGAGGCGGTGTGAGCTGCGATACAGAAAGCCAGTGAGTAGGGAAGTGGAGTGTTTCCTGACGGTTGAATGTATGGTATGCACCTGGGTCATATGGGTTTAAGGGTTCAGGCCCAGGATGGGTATTTTTTTTTCTTCCATTTTTGGTTCCTTTTTTTGTCTTTGAGTCAGTCAAGAACAACCAAAGCAATCTCCATGTTATTTTTCAAATAGCCCTTTTCCCCTTTCTTTGTCATTATAATAAACTACTCCAATAGGTGACTGTGAAACATCAGTTGATTTTTAAAATAGAAGCTTTGTACAGAAGCCACAGGATTCATTTGAAAAACAGTGGTATTTGGAATTGGGGGTTCAAATCATGGTTCTGCCATCTACAATGTGTTTGGCATTGGCAAGCTATCTTAATCTCTTAGCCTCAGTTTCTCTTCTTACAAAATAGGGAAGATTAAAACAGATGGTGTGTGTTATGTGTTTAGTAGAATTCTTAAACAAAATAGATTCTCAATCAAAATGAGAGTCCTTACATCTAAACTCTCTGTACTTGGCTTTTCACTGATGCTAACCAAGATCAATGTCAGCTTCATAAAAAGACAGACTCACTAATTTGCTTTTGAATTCAGTTGATTTACCTATTGATTTGATTTGCTGGTAGAATTCAATCCTGAATTTCTGAGGAACCCACTACAGTTAAACCCTGTAATCCAGAGATAACATGTTAGGATGTTATCTATTGATGAAGGAAAAACAACTCTGTTTTTATAGATGAGACAGTGGAGAGGGGCTGTGGATGTGAGAGAATTTATTGAGAGGTTTTCTTATAATCTCAGCATAGTTCTAGAGCTTGAGGAACTGAAAATGGAGAACGAATTAAATTTGTATTGATTTCCCTCAAAATACACTCAGATCAGAATCAGAAAAAAACAATTTCTCAAGCAACTCTTTCATTTATGGTTAGACACACGCCTCAGCCCCAGAAGATTCTCACATCACAGGCTCATATATAAACACCTAAATGCACTGCAATTGTGGAAGCATTCACAGAAGTGGAGGAAATGGACTCAAGGAATAAAATTCTGACCCTGGTCACTGAGAAAGTTTCAATTTATGAAAAGATAGCAACAAGTACATAAGACTCTTAATAAGTTCATAACTTGTAAGTCTCACAAACCACTGGCTACTGCCTGGTCAGTGCACTCTTCCCACCTCTCACATTGATAGCCTGCCTCTGAGGCTTCTGAAAATTTCTGATTGGGAAGGAAGAAACTTTGACATCATCTGCATCCTTCTCCCCCCATCAAGTGGCTTTATCTTCAGCAAAATGTTGCAGACCTCCCTCAGCAGCCCATTCCACCTCTACACATTTCCAACTATTGGACAAGTTCTTCATAGTCTTTGTTTCCCTGTGGTCTCCACCTACTGGCCCTAGTTAAACCCCTGAACAATTAAAGATGAGAAAGATTGTACAGACAGTGGTGTGCTGGTGAATGTTTAACAACCAACTCTCAAAACAGTGCTTTGTGTGCACACGTGTGTGTGCATGTGTATACATTTTATATTTAAACATATATGTTTAACTTTATTACTATAAAGGATGTTCAGCACTAATTAGCAAATAATAGAGACAATATTCTTTATTATAAATTTCAATATTCTTTATTATAAATTTCATAAGGTCACTTGATTCTCACTAAATTTTTTGATGACTTTTACTGAACTCTTTTAATTATAGATAACCTATAGGTTCAATTGACAAATGAATGTTACTGGACATTTTCATTTATGTTAATGGGTGCAACAAAAGTGAAACAACAAAGACATATGTTGGAACTTCTCTCATTCATCAATGACATTGAGTGTCTTATTCTCTTAATTAGGTAGTAGTTTCTAAACACTAGAATAATATTTTCTCATTTTTGGATGCTACTCATATTTAATGACTGTCAGTATGACACACTTTAATGTGCATTATTAATATTTTTCATCACTTTCATAAGTCAATACGATCAACAAAACAATAATCCAAAACCTGATTTGTAGCATTTGCTGATTTCCATGATGTAAATACTCCCACCTGGCAGATTTCAAGCTACCAACATGACTTCATTGAATTAGAGCTGGGAATAAAAGTGCAGCAGCACATTCTTCATTTATATCACACAGACACAATAGATGTAAATAGCCTCAAAAGCACGGATGATAATTAAATGAGGTAAAATAATTAGTAAATCATGATTTTGAGTTTTTATTATCTTTGATTTTTAATGTAATATGTTTAAGTGGAAATTTTTATAATTTCATTGTTAACGATGGCTATGCTTAAAACCGGCTCACAAAATTATAACCATTGGCTCTCAGAACCAGCTCCAGCATACTACTGCTTATATACACCCTATGACTCAACCTGTTATTTTACAGGTGAGAAACTGAGGCCCTGAGAAGAACTGGGAATGATCCAAAATTCAGTAATTTCACTGCTATGGGTTTTATCAGAGGAGCCATGAGTTTGATTCTCATTATTGCTACTTACTCTCTGAGAGTTCCTAAGTAGGTTGTTGACTTCTCCAAAGCTCAGCTGGCTTTTGTATTTTATAGACACAATAATTCTACATAATCAAATTGTTATAGGGAATAAATAACAGATATTCCAAGGCATATAGTTAGCAAAGTAGCTGATAATTGGAAAGTTTTCCATAAATAATAGCTATTATTAGTGATAGAAATTTAGTACAAATAGTAGAGGTAATTCTAATTTTAATTCCACATGGCAACCCTTCAGACATCTGTAGACAGCTGTGTGATTCCACCAAATATAATCATCTCTAAGGTGTTCAACCTGAGTTCTTTTAAAAACTCAATACTCATTTTATGCTAGACTTAGCACTTGGTGCTAGTAATACAAATGTATTGTTTTAATTAGAGTAGTTTTTCTCTTTGATCTAACTACCTATACTAAAGAGTCTTACCAATTAGGGTTTGTGTTTCATTTTGTTTTTGTTAGACTGACCATTTCTAGGAATTAGATTCAAGTCTGAATGCTGCATTTCAAGAGTGCCATTGCCAAATTAGAATGTGCCTAGAGGAGAAGGAATCTGGAAATGACTGCAGTTTGTGAGAGAGTTGAAGAAAGCAAGCTTATCTCTTCTGGAGGAGAAAAGAATTGTAGATAGAAAAATCACATAAAGCATAGAATTTATTTGACTATTTGACCCTAGTTGAGACCCCAACTTGTCATTTATGCTTTCATTGAACTATTATAAAAATATAATGAAACATTTAATGAAAGAACATGGAATTGAATGCATGCATGCCCATTATTAATAATTAATAGTTGAAAAGTTGACCCAAGCCTGTGAATGAATGACTCACACTAAAAGGTAAAGCACTGTTTAAATGAAATTGTGCTGTTTACTACAGTGTCTTAAGCCTGAATTTTCTGATTGGTAATAATGGGACAGCAGCTTCCTTGATAAAGATTAAAGTTATGTAACAAGCACTTGACACATGGTGAGCACTTTATAAATGCTTGCTATCCGTTGGTTATTAACCAGCTTTCTCACGATTTACACTTGAGTCCCCCAGATAGCTCAGGGGAAATGGCAGGGGCTAGATAGTATACTCCAGTGATCTGTGGGCAGCAGAAAAAAGTTATAGGCTGGAAGCTCTGGCTTTATAAAATCAATTTTTTGAAGGATAAGGGAGGTTTGTAAAATCAATTTTTGGAAGGATGGGGAGGTTCACAGAATATACATATTGTTGGGGACAGTGATATAAGCTCAAATAGCCAAATAACTCACTTCTGATTCTCACGCCTCTGATCCCCATGGTAATATTCACTAGGATTATAAAAATATTGTGGGATGGATTTCTTCAGAAAGCTGGTGAGAGACATGGTGTACAGCTAGGTTTGTATGTGGGTCTAAGCTTATTTGCAAGCAATGACGAGTGAACCATATGGCAAGAATGGTTAGTTACCTCCCAGTATCTATCTCTTGAAAGTGTGTTCATCCAAAAGGCTACTTACAATTCTCTCTTATAGGTAGGTGAGGCCGTGTAATTAAATTCTGGTCAAAGAGATGGAGGCAGAATTATTTTCTAAAATTTCTAAATTTCTGCCAAAGGGTTCTTAAAAAAATAGTCAATATGGGCTTTTTTTTTCCTTCCATTTTAAAAATCTTTATTCTAGCCTATAACTGCAATGTGATGGCTGGAACTCCAGCAGCCATCTGGGAGTAGGCAGCGACTTTGGGCGTGGAAGTCATGAGGTAGATTTGAATGATAGCCGGGTTCTTGTTTACAGGACAGCCACCAACCTACACTGAAACATTTACTTTCACACTTCTTTTGCATGAAAGAGAAGCTTAAGGCTCAACTTCCAGTCTCTATTACAATAACAGACATATTCAAAAGTCGTGGAGAAGGCTCTACACTTACCCTAATTGTAGCAGTCTAGAGCATTAAGCCAAAGTCACTGAAATCCCTATGTGAAGAGAGGCCCCAAGCGACACCTGAGTTCATTATTAATAATATGAGAAAAGTTGACCCAAACCTGTGAGTACTAATCTGAAGCCTCTCCTGAAGTTTCTAAATTTTTAAACAGAGATTTTATCACCTGGCAACCTGTTTTATTAACAAATACGTATATACTGTTCACCACATCCCAAGTACTGCTCTAAGCACTTAAAAACTATTGACAAATACAGACCAGGCACGGGGGCTCACACCTGTAATCTCAGCACTTAGGTAGGCTGAGGCTTGTGGATCATTTAAGGCCAGGAGTTTAAAGCCAGCCTGGCCAACAGGGCAAAATCCCATCTCTACTAATAATACAAAAATTGGCCAGGTGTGGTAATGCACATCTGTAATCGCAGCTACTCAGGAGGCTGAGGCAGAAGAATTGCTTGAACCCAGGAGGCGGATGTTGCAGTGAGCTGAGATTGCACCACTGCCCTCCAGCCTGGGTGACAGAGCGAGACTCCTTCTCAAAACATACATATGACACATAGAATTGGCATAACAACCCTTTAAGTTTTGGGCATGATTACTGACACCATCATTCAAGTGAAGACACTGAGGTGAAGACAGGTTAAATAACTTCCTCCAGCTCACATAGTCAGCAAATGAAAATTCAAAGTTCAAAATTGGGCTGGACAGTCTGGCTCTAGAGTTGATGCTCTGACCCACTCTTCTATGCTACCTTTTTGTTTTAACAGGAGGGAATCTTGTCACTAAGTTGGCTTAGACACCCTCTGCTGACTCAATTCCATCCCCTGATGGCTTCCTCTCCCACTTTTCCCATGAAAATTTGTTTGTATTTTAAAAACCGGGCTTTTACAAAGATTTAGATGTTGCTGCCACCATTTCTCAGACCACCTTGAGGAACTGGTTTTCACAATGCTCCTGTCATTCAGAGGCACAGTTAATCTTAACTGTTATCAAGAAGAAAGATCAATACTAACAGCAGAAACACCAGCTAGCCAAGATCAACACGATGTAGCCAAGCCTTCTTCTCCCAGGTGCCCCAAGATCTTTGAGTATCATCAGGCAAATGTGAACAAGCACGAACACGGAGATAAAGAGAGTCCCCATTTATTGAATACCTGCTACAGGCAAGGTACTTTTACATAAAGTACTTTTACATCTTCATCTCTAATTCTCAAAGAAATCTTATGAAGTAAGTATTATTATTTTATTTTTATAGTTGACAGGACTTAATGCAGGGTTCAACAACTTTGGGATTGGAGCCTAGGTCTGAAATCTCAGTTTCTTTCCATTACCACATACTACCTGTAGGTACCATGAGATCAAAACAAAACTATGCTACAATAACAGTCTTATATCCTTGTTTCTTTCTTTTCTTTTCTTTTTTTTTTTTTTTTTTTTTTGAGACGAAGTTTCGCTCTTGTTACCCAGGCTGGAGTGCAATGGTGCGATCTTGGCTCACTGCAACCTTCTCCTCCAGGGTTCAAGCGACTCTCCTGCCTCAGCCTCCTGAGTAGCTGGGATTACAGGCGTGTGCCACCATGCTAGGCTAACTTTTTGTATTTTTAACAGAGACGGGGTTTCACCATGTTGGCCAGGCTGGTCGTGAACTCCTGACCTCAGGTGATCCACCCTCCTCGGCCTCCCAAAGTGCTGGGATTACAGGCATGAGCCACTGTGCCCAGCCTATCTTTGTTTCTTTATTACCAAAACACTAAAACACAAAAAGGCATTAAGAAAAATGGAATGCAAACTCTTTTGCATCCATAACTCAACTTGGGAAATTTAAAAAGCAAATCACCAATCATTGTAGCTCTCCCTGATCACAATGTGCTTCTTCCTGAAGGCATAATTTCTTTTCAGCACTTCTGCTATGAAGTATCCTTCTTTGTATATTGGATCACAGCGACTGTTTGAATCATCCCCTTCTTGTCCACCCAGCTCTCATTGTAAACGTTGAAACTGAGGCCCAAAGAGGAAAAATGGCTTTGCAAGTTCAAACAATACTATTATCCAGGTTTGGGAGCCCCGTTTCAGTGCTTCCTTGTATCATGCTGCCCTTGCAAAAATGAAACACTCCTTTGCTACAAGTATCTATTTTTATTTGTTTTCCTAAACAATGGAATCATAGCAATTGAATTCGTTTGGAAATGATGGAAGAAAAGTATAAATTTAACTTGAGTTCATCTATGCCTAATGCATCAGAAATTATAAATTATCTTCTAAGAGTAAACTGAAAAGTGTTCCAACCTTACTTAGCAACTAGGAATTAGAGGGAACACATAGGCAGGCCATGGAAGAAACCATATTTTCCCTCTTTTCAAATGGAACCCCTCAGGTCCCCAACATTCCTAACACTGAGGGATGAGTTTGTACTTGACAAATGACTGCCTGGATGAGAGGCCCCCATTCATTACCCATAGCCTCAAGAATGGGCCCTGGTGAAAAGTGCTTAGAAACAGTTTGTGCGGAAGCAGGGCCCTTCTGATTCCATTTATCAGTGGTATCTTTTGAAGTGGCTTCCTTCAACCTTGGCAGAAGCTCAGAGTGCCACCAGCGTAGGAAGAACTGCCACCCACAGGCTCCATGAGGCTTCTCAAGGCGTGGGGTAGGTGGAGGGGGCACCTCACAGCTGGAGTGGGGCTTTGCTGAAGACGAGACTTAACCAAGGAAAAAGAGAATAGAGACCCACTGACTCATGGCTTTGGCCACTTCCAAGTTATTAGGAATTTCCTGGACCAGGGATTGCACACAGAGTTTTTCCTTCTGGGATAAGATAAGTCACTGGGGCCTTTTTCTTAAACAGGAAGGGAGAAAGAGATTCACTGCCACGATGTTTTAGGGACATTATCAATACAAGCTTTGTGTATTTACCATTAACCCCTTCAGATCCATTTTCACCCTTCTTCACCCAACTGTGCTGCCCATGAACCTGACATTTTAGAGGCCGTATCTGTGAGCCCTTGCCACTGGGCTGCCAGTTAGCTTTGGCCAGTTGGAGGCATTTAGTAAGAGATAGGAAGAGCTGGAAAAGAGTAAGGTCACAGTACTTATTCCTGCAGCCCACTTTCTGCCAGCTCACCATGGGTCTATTGAGTGCCTGTCCAGTGGTCAAGTCACTAACAAGCAGTTCTCTCCATAGGACAACCCTTTCCTCTAAGTCTAAGAGTGGCAGTCAGAGTGGCAGGATGGGCACATGGCCGATGCTAGGCCAATCAGATTTTTTTCCTCAGGAATTTGAATCTTAAACTAAGTGAGACAGAACTGAAGAAGTCAGAGCCTGTTGACACCTGTGTTGGAGCCTTGAATTAAACAATGTTCAGTGTCTCCTAATAGATTCCCAGGGCTACCTTGGTTTCCTTGGTTCTATTGGTTTTATTTTGTTTTGTTTTGAGACAAAGTTTTGCTTTTGTTGCCCAGGCTGGAGTGCAATGTCACGATCTTGGCTCACTGCAACTTCCACCTCCCAGGTTCAAGCAATTCTCCTGCCTCAGCCTCCCGAGTAGCTGGAACCACAAGCGCCCACCAACACGCCCGGCTAATTTTTTGTATGTTTAGTAGAGACGGGGTTTCACCAGATTGGCCAGGCTGGACTTGAACTCCTGACCTTGTGATCCACCCACCTCGGCCTCCCAAAGTGCTGGGTTTACAGGCCTGAGCCACCATGCCCAGCCTGTTCTATTCTTTTTCAAGTTGTGGTTCTTCGGTGATTCCTTTAACTTGAATGTGATTCATGCACATTCAAGTAAAAAGGAAGCTATAACTGAAGAAACTGAAGCTCAGAGCATTGTAGTAACTTGTCCAAGGCCACACAGCTAGTAAGTTAAAAAACGTGAGATTCAAATTCAGGTTCATTTCCAAAACACCACACTGCTTAGATGGAGGCAGGTTTTAGTAGTTTGTAACTTGTATAAAGAGAATTGAGGAAGGCAATCTAATTGTTAAAAGCTGAGTTGGGCAAGTGGATGACATATGCCTAGTACCTGGACAAAGGGAATACAGCATAGAGAGAAATTTAGAACCAATAAAATTATATTTTATACATTATGTGGCCTCCAGAAGATCAACCAGTGATCAACCTATAAAACTATGGTCGTTTGCAGCGGACTTTTTATTTTGATTGTTAATTCTCTTTCTCCTTTTTCATTGCTTGCTCTCTCTTCTGAAAGACTACAGGAAAAAAAGAAAAGCTGGTATTTATACCTTACTGACAATGGGATTTTATTGCATATGGTATCTCAATTTTTACAATTATCCTGTGCAGAGACTATTTTCATGCCATTTCTCAGGGACAGGAAATTAAGGGCTTCATTTTCCAGGGTCTTACGCCGTAATTGTGAAAAAACAAGCTCAGGACTCAGAATTTTGTCCATCAGCTCTTTCTCTATTGCACCGATATTTCTCAAAAAGGATGCTCCTGGCATCAGGGATGTGTTCATGGGACGATTCTTTACATTATAGGTTGTTCATCATCCTTTGCTCCTTCTTCCTTTATTCTAGTGGTACTATCCTCAAATCCTTGAGATAATCACAAAATTATTACCCCTGGTTGAGAACCTCAACACCACACATACCTATTAATATATTTCTTCTATCCCTTTCTCTCCTTGAATCCCTACATCCATCCTTTTGGCTTTCTAAACATATTGGGAAATATCTTTGTTGCTGTTTTTGAGAGGTAATAGATGGTGACAGCTAGCAGAGGATTGGGTATGTGGTCCTATATGAGGAAATCCTGGTACCTGAAGATGCAAAGTCTTCTAACCTCTGCTAGCTGCCTTGTGAGACGTCAGTGATAAGGAGTCATAATTCTAGAGGCCTAATTGGCACCTGGGACTTACCATAGAATGCTCTAATTTGTTTGAAATTTAAATGTATATGTTGATAGCATCATATAATTTAAGAGTTTAGTTAGTAAACAGATATTTATTGAGCATATAATATATACCTAGCATTGTCCTAGTTACTGTGAATACAGTGGTGTCTTGGTTCATTCAGGCTGCTACAACAAGAATATCATAGACTGGGTAATTTGTGAAAAACAAAAATTTATTTCTCACAGTTCTGGTGGCTGGAAAGTCCAAAATCAAGGCACCAGGAGATTCAGTGTCCTGTGAGGGGTGTGTCTGCTACATGGATGGTACCTTCTTGCTACATCCACACATGGTAGATTATTATATTATTTACAAAATAATAAACATGGTACTATGATTTAAAAATAACTGGCAGATTTTAACAAATGGTGCTGAGACAACTGGATATCCATATTCAAAAGAGTAAAGCCAGACCTCTACTTCACACCATATACAGAAATTAGCTCAAAATGATAAGACACCTAAATTTTAAAAGCTGAAACAATAAAACTCTTGGAAGAACACATAAAAGAAAATCTTTTGGACTTTGGGTTAGGAAATGGTTTCTTATATATGACATCAAAAGCACAAGCAAGCAAAAAATGATTAATTGGGCTTCATCCAAGGTAAAAGCATCTGCACCTCAAAGTAGACCATGAAGAAAGTGAAAAGAGAAGCCACAGAATGGGAAAGAATACTTGGAAAACATGTACCTGTTAACGGACTTGTATCCAGAATACATAAAGAGCTGTTACGTGTAGGTCATATTTTACTTGCTTCAATTTGTATTTCTTCCCTCTCTAAGAGTTTACAGTGCACGATCTTGGCTCACTGTAACATCCACCTCCTGGGTTCAAGTAATTCTTGTGCCTCAGCCTCCCTAGTAGCTAGGATTACAGGCACGTACCACCAGGCCAGGCTAATTTTTGTAGAGATGAGATTTCACTATGTCGTCCAGGCTGATCTCAAACTCCTGAGCTCAAGTGATCCACCTGCCTCAGCTTCCCAAAGTGCTGAGATGACAGGCGTGAGCCACCATGCCCAGGCTGAGAGCCACTTTTAAAGGCCAGGCAGTGGGTCATGCATGTAATCCCAGAACCTTGGGAGGCCAAAGTGAGTGGATTGCTTGAGCCCAGGAATACAAGACCAGCCTGGGCAACATGACAAAACATCATCTCTACAAAAAATACAAAAATTAGAGGGCATAGTGGCATGTGCCTGTAGTCCTAGCTACTTGGGAGGCTGAGGTGGGAGGGTGGCTTGAGCTTCCTTCAGGAGGCAGAGGTTGCAGTGAGCTGAAATCATGCACTGTACACCAGCCTGGGCGACAGAGCCAGACCCTGTCTCAAAAAAATAGAATAAATAAAATAAAATAATAAAATAGGCAGATAATTTAAATAAGCATTTCTCCAAAGAAGATATACAAATGACCAGTAAGTGTAACATATGAAAAGATAGTTAACAATATTATCGATTAGGAAAATACAAATCAAAACTATTATGAAATACTTCCTCACACCTAGTAAGATGATGATAATTTTGACCCAGCAATCCCATTACTGGGTATATACCCAAAGGATTATAAATCATGCTGCTATAAAGACACATGCACACATATGTTTATTGCGGCACTATTCACAATAGCAAAGACTTGGAACCAACCTAAATGTCCAACAATGATAGACTGGATTAAGAAAATGTGGCACATATACACCATGGAATACTATGCAGCCATAAAAAATGATGAGTTCATGTCCTTTGTAGAGACATGGATGAAGCTGGAAACCATCATTTTCAGCAAACTATCGCAAGGACAAAAAACCAAACACCGCACGTTCTCAATCATAGGTGGGAATTGAACAATGAGAACACATAGACACAGGAAGGGGAACACCACACACCGGGGCCTGTTGTAGGGTGGGGGGACGGGGGAGGGATGGCATTAGGAGATATACCTAATGTTAAATAACGAGTTAATGGGTACAGCACACCAACATGGCACATGTATACATATGCAACCAACCTGCATGTTGTGCACATGTACCCTAAAACTTAAAGTATAATAAAAAAAAAATAAAATAAAATAATAAAAAATGGAAAACAGGGCTGGGCATGGTGGCTCAAGCCTGTAATTCCAGCACTTTGGGAGGCAGAGGCGGGCAGATGCCTGAGCTCAGGAGTTTGAGACTACCTGGCCAACATAGCGAAACCCTGTCTCTACTAAAAATACAAAAATTAGCCTGGTGTGGTAGTGGGAGCCTGTAATCCCAGCTACATGGGAGGCTGAGGCAGGAGAATTGCTTGAACTCAGAAGGTGGAGGTTGCAGTGAGCTGAGATTGTGCCACTGTACTCCAGCCTGGGTGACAGAGCCAGACTTTGTCTCAAAAAAAAAAAAAAAAAAAACCGGTAAGTGTTGGTGAAGATGTAGAGAAATTGGACCTGTCATACAGTGCTGCAGAAATGTAAAATGGTGTAACTACCTTGAAAAAGAGTTTGGAGAGTCCTCACAAAGTTAAACATAGAATTACCCTATGACCTAGAAACTCCACTCCTAGCCATATACCCCAAAATGAAAACATATTCCCACACCAAAATTATACACAAACTCTCATAGCATCATTATTCACAATAGCCAAAAGTCCAACAAATGAACTGATGAGCAAATTACGGTATGCACATACAATGAAGTATTATTCAGCCACAGAAAATAATAGAACTGACACATGCCACAACTTTGATGAATTTTGAAAACATTATGTTAAGTGAAGGAAGCTAGTCACAAAATACAATATATCATATGATTCCATTTATATGACATACCCAGAATAGGCAACTCCATAGAGACAGAAGGTAGATTGGTGGTTGCCAGGCACTGGGGAAAGGGGAATAGTAAATGAGCTAATTGATATGGGGCTTCTGAAAATGTTCTAAACTTCAATAAGATTGATAGTTGCACAACTCTTTGAATACACTAAAAAGTACTGGAGGATACATTTTAAAGGGTAAATTTTATGGAAGATCAATTGTATCTCAGCAAATGCTGTTACAAAATAAATAGTTGGTGGGTGCATAGATTAGCCCAGTCTCTATCATCGCCGCCATGATGCTAAACGATATATGTGATTGGAGAGTTTAGTAATGAAAATCGTTTGCATTTTAAATGTGCATGTAGGGATGTGAATGTTTTTTAGAAAATCTGAAGCAAAAGCCCTAGAATACAGAATGGAATGGTTGAGGAGAAGCTCTGGAGCCAGAGAGCTTGGATTCATATCATAACATCACCACTTTCTAACTACACAATCTCAGACAATTTATTTAACCTTGTCAGATTCCAGGTTCCTTATCAGTAAACAGAGTAAGATCGCGCTTACCTTGTATGTGTGCACATGTGCGTGTGCGTGTACCTGGTACCGGAAGATGCGGTATTAAATGTGTGTATTAAATGAAACAATGCTCACATTGTTCTGTTTACGTTAGCAGCTATTATTGTTTTCATGGTCATTGTTACTTTCACAACAGCCTCTGGACTTAGCCTGAGTCATGGAGGGGTGACCAGAGGCAAAGGCCTCTCTCCCTTCCTGTTTCCATTTGACAGATTGCTGGTCTCTGCTACTTAATTTGCTCTCTGAATTCCAGTTTCTGGAACTAGCTCCTCATCCCTGCACCTCTCCTCCCAAGTCACCAGGGATCGCTTTGCTTTGGGGATGAACCTGCATAGAAAGAAGGAAGGATGAGACCAACTAAGTCTCATTTCCACCCCCATGTTCTCTTTCTCTCCTCTGTTCCCAAAGATAGGTCTCATCATAAGTATTGCAAGAATCTGCTTTATCTCCCATGTAACCTTCCAGGATATGTCAAGATATATCTTTCTGGTAAATATCTGACCTACACCAAACCATGTGATGATTCCGTTGTAACAGTTCTGTCCTACTCTGGGAAGAATGAAGCCCTGGATGAGGAGGGAAATGCAGCAGTGTGAGGATCATCCTTGAGATCCTGGAAAGATGAATGAGTACTAACTGTGTCTCAGAAATGGTCACACCACCCACCACCAGTGCTTTGTGCCCAGACCCTTGAGTCACCGGCCACCCTTGCTGCTCATCACCCCTTCCCTGTGGGAGCTGGTTACCAAGCTGCAAAAGCACCCCTCCAATGAAGGGGTTCCCTCTGGTTGGGGGGCTGGAGAGAAGGGTAAGTGGGTAGTCCCCCTCCTGTCTCTAGTCTCTGAGATCATTTCCTATAATATGAATGTGAAACTTTTGTTCATTGAGCACTTAAGAATGAGCAAATCACAGACAAACAGACAAATGTCTATATAAGGGAAGCCTGTATCTGAGACATGGGTAAAAAGGCTGCTCATGAAAATCTGGGGTGATTTCTCCAAAGAGACAGCAGCAAATCTGCTAGGACAGCCCCCTTCCCACTGCTGAGAATTAGCATTCCCATTTGGCCTCCCATATGTCAGACATTTTCGATGAATAAACTAATTTAACCTAGGCAGCCTGAACCCCACACTGTGTCAAAATTATTTCCACCTCACATACATTTTAATTAACATGGAGCTGCCCGGAAAGTATTTAAGGAAGGATGTAGGGACTTGGCAGAAATATTACTTGGCTGGGAAGAAGGAATGGGATTTACAAACTGTTTTTGAGGGTACAGCCTCTTAGTAGATCATGACTGTAAGCACACAGCCTGGCAGGTTTCATAGGCAAGGCTTACTGTTAGATGGGCAAACATTTCTTGAACACCTTCACTATGCCACATTCTAGAAACGCCTCACTGAACAGGCCCCATTTGCCTTGTTCTTGGCCCTCAATGCATCAGTCTTCAAGGCAAGGAGTCCTAAATTCATTGCTTTGTTTGCCATGCTGAGACCTCACAGAGCCCAGAATGACCCTTGCCCTATCTGTTATCACATCTCTCGTTATCCATCATACACATCTAGCAGAAAAGGAGGGGATTAGGGAACGCATGATGGTGATATGACAAAGCCACAAGAGCCTGTAAGACCCTGAAGATAATTCAGAGACTGTAATGTGATAAAGAAAAAAAATCAAACACAATTTTAGAGAGAGAGCGAGGGGGAGAGAGAGAGCGTATTAAAGAATGGCTTTAGAGAGGGTTTTTTTCATTGGGAAAACTTATAAAGAAGGATTTGGCAAGCAGGCATTGATGCTTCTTTTTCCTACATCTGTTTTCTTCCCTCGGCTTCCTGACGTTAGCCCTGCGATTGCTCCACATAATGCCTAGACCCGAGTTAGAGAGCCCAGTATGTAAAGAAAACACACCAAGCAGGATATTAGCCAAAGATGCTGGCAGGATCAGAGAGCCCAGCCTTTAGAGAGTATAGGCCCACATTCTGTAGCCAAAGAAGTTAACTTCATCACCCAGCATGTGCAAAGTCCATAGACGTATATTTTCAGAACAGGACCTCCTTGTTGAAACAGTTCCTCAATTTAAAACCAATTAGCTATTGTTTCTAAGAGCTCCCCCCTGTGAAATGGTAATCATGTATTGAGCACCTGGAATTTTGCAGGATTCTCTACATACCTTATTTAATGTAACTGTCACAGCACACCTGAAAGGGTGGTGTTAGAAAACTTCTTTACTGATGAAGCAATTAAGGTTCCAAGAAACTATGGAAACTGCCCCAAGCCAGACAGCTGAGAAGTAAAGCCATAATTCAACTCAAGTGTGTAATGTAAAAACCCTGGCTTTTTCTTAGAAAATCCACTCTTTCTCTCATGATTATTAAAACACAATTCATAATTCTACACAATAAAAGCTGAAAAAAAGCTTCTATGCTTACCCTGCACCATAAAAGGGGGATATAGTCAACAGTATTAGCTGTATGTCTTTTAGATAGATCGATTGATCTATAGGTAGATGTTTAGATAGACAGAATGAGAGATGATAGAATTTTTGCATTTTTAAGTTATTTTAAGAATTTTTCATACAAATACATAATACATTATTCATAGAAAGAATAGAAAATGTATATTTTTTAGAGAAGAGGAAATACCATAAAAAAAGAGCAAAGGAAACAACCCTATCAGCGTTGGCGAGCGCATCTTTCCCTCCCATCTCACTCATCGGTGTTTCTGTAAGTGGAATTTCTGGATGAGAGGACGTGGATGTTCTGAGCCTTTCTGATACCTATCACCAAACCGCCTTCAGAAAACATCACAGAAATATGAACTCTAATGTTGATTTTTAGCTCGGTTTTCACTTAATTTGCATTTTGATCACTAGACAGTATGAATGCTTTATCTGATTCTTGTGGTTTTTTGTATTATTTATGTATTTATTTAACTTTCTTTGGATATGTTTTTCTACTGATTTGTAAGTATACTTCATATACGCAGGATATGATTTTTCTGACCCAGCTGCTGCTATTTACCATTTGCCACAAAGTAATATGAGGAGCAAAAATGCCATTTTTAATATTTACATATTAATGCCATTTTTAATACTTAGTATCTTAAGTACGTTTACCTTTAATATTATTTAAGCCTTTATCATTTCATTATTTTTTGCTTAAACATTTGATATACCTGAAATGTATTTTGGTATATGATAGCTGTGCTCCAATATTTGCCCCAGTTGCTGGTTTTGAAATATGTTGTCACTGTGAATAGGAGATGTAGAAGAGAAAATGGGATATGTAAACCTTCTCAGGAAATTTACTAATGTTCAGGGAGATAATAAAACTATAAAATAGTGTATTTTCATAATTATAGTAATTGTGAAATATTCACAAAGGTCAAATGAATACAGCAACTTTGGGGGAGAGTGAGATTTTTCAGAGAATGAGTAGAATCTGGCAAAGGGCAGTGAAGAAAGGGCATGTCAGACAGAATCCCACAGGCAGTGGCAGGACAGAGAAGCCCACGGAGACCACATTGAGTTGTGGTGTTGAGTTGAACAGGAGTAGAAAATGAGGCTAACCAAAGGTTATGTAATCCAGGTGGTGAGCAACTAATCTAGTTTCTTTTTACAGCTGTAATCAGTTTGCAACAAAATTTGACTGTGTTTTAAAAGATAATATTAGATTAGTCCAAACATTGTTCTAAACCAGGGAAAACTAAAAGGAGAGTCAAGTCTAAACTAGGTGCCAAAAATGTGTATAATTCATTCCTATTTTCATTTGCTCATTCATTCATCAATTCCATCAGTGTTTAAGCCACTAAACATTTTTATTCTTTCATTGAACAACTATTTTCTGAGTCTGTGTGATGTGCCAGGCATTTTGCAAAGGGATATAAAGACAAACTTGATCTCTGTCCTGGGGGACACTCATAGAATAAAGAGGGAGACAAAAGCATAACACCGGTCAACTGGCTGAGTGCTCTGCTCTCCTGGAGTGTAAATCGGGTTGTGAGAGCACAAGAAGAAAACGGGAGATTTGGGCTTCTCCAGAAAGTCAGTGGCATTGAACTGATCTCTGGAGCTCGAGTAGTAGTTTATCAGTTTGAGAAGATGGATGAACAAGGTGTGGAATATAAGGACAAGATGGTCTCATGAAGCCATAGGGGGATTGGTATGTATTGGGGTGATCACCAGGGAAGCCCCCATTCTATATCCCTTTCCCCTCAAAGTTGTCCCTTTACTATAGCCATTCAGTCCACTTTTATCCCTTGTTCTTTATCAACAAATGCTTGGAGCCACTGATCAGACAGTTGGAAATCCATCAGCTGGATATCCCCCAGGCATCTATGCTATAAGGAACCTAATCATGATAGATGACATGTATTGAACACTTATTATATGCCAGACACTGTTACAACCATTTCTACTCATTATATCTACATAACACCTCCTTACTTTGCAGCTGAGGAAACTGAGGCCCAGAGCTGTTAAAGGAATTGCCCAAAACACCTGGGTACCAAACAATGAGACTACTATATAGTAATTCAAACTCATGCATCCAGGCCCCAGAGCCTCTGCTATTGAATCTTCAATCCCATCTTGCCTTCAGGTTGCTGGAATTAGGAAGAGAAATTGCAACTCTTGACTCCAGTACCTTAACATGGACAGTCATTCTCCTACAGCACCCACATTAACTTGGTAGAGAATACAGAAACATGAAAACAATCACAGAACAATTAACAGCCCAATTTTCTAGTTTTTAAAGTAAACACCATGCAGAGGTTCAGACAAAGAAGTTACCATTTTAATATTTTTCTTTCCGGTCAAATAGGCTGTGAGTTTATAGTTAGTTAAATAATATATCATCCTGTTGATTGGGTTGATTTTTCCACTGCACTTACTTCAAAATGAGTAAGCAGGATTTTATCTAAGATGCAGAATAAAATTATTTCACTTTTAGTAAAGCTTCCATAATTATTACTTAAGTAAAATTGCATAGTTTAGATGAGACCTCAGAGGTTGTTTAAGGCATCTCCTCATTATGGAGCTGGGGAAGTAGAGGGTGCCCAGCAGGTGTATCAGTGAGACAGATCCAACCTTCCCAGCGTCCTCCTCCACAGTCATTCCCACAGCACTCATAATTCAGTTAAGTGCAGTGTCTGTCTGTTGGATCATTGCTACAAAGATCCTTGCCTAGAACATGATCAGTTTGACCCCACCTAGATAAAAGTATTATAAGGGTAAGCAACGAGAAATAGAATCAGAATGGTCTGTGGTACTCCTGATTATGAGGATGGCCTAACACTGACTCTCCCATGTGGGGGTCAGTTATTTAACCTCTGCATGATTTCACGTCACCATATAGAGCTGAATTCCTAAATCAGTGGCTGGTGGACTCTAACCAGCCCTATAATGTGTTTTGCTTAGCTGTCAACATTTTGAATGAATGAATGAATGATGAATGAACAAAATAAATTCAGAGATTTCTGTACAACTTTATCTTTTTCAAATTCATGCTAAAAACTAGAAGACCTAGCAATAGTCCACATTCCTGCATGGCAAGTATTTACTGCAGCTGACTTGAAGTTACACAATTAGTTGGGACATGTTCTTTCCCCAGGAGTGTGGCCTGTTTCATTCAAGTTATCTGTCTGGCCTCAGCTGGGAGCTGGGATTTGTTTTTTGAACACTAGTTAAGAGCATTGGGAAGAAGGATACCTAATTTTCACACACTCTACAACAGTTTTTAATGGCCATATACTAAATTATAATTTAATTGAAGCTAATGATGGAACTATGCTTAATTCGTGCAGCAACTGTTGAACATCCAGCATGTATGTTTGTTTCTATTCATGATTCTGTTTTGTCTTTTATTTTCAAACATAAGTCAATACCCTTCAAAAAGGTTTCTGTATCAATCAGTGAGATTAATGCAAGCAATTGTATATGAACTATCTAGTTCCCTGAGGTGAAATTCAAATACTCCTGCAAAGGCCAAAGAATGCTCATGTTTCCTAATGTTAATAATCAGAAAAGCAACCAATAACTAACTGATTAACAATGCAACTGGAAGAGCTTCCAGATTTAAGGCAGATCCAACATAATTAAATGTTTTCCTGAGCTGGAGAAAAACAAACATATGACTTGTTAAATTAAGTTTATAGTTAGGATATTCGTATCATTTGTGTATTTTTGAAGCCAAGCTCCTTTTAATTAAACATAATAAACAGTTCAAGAAAAATTTACATGAAAATTTTATCACATGTTTTGCCACCTGGCAAAATCTTATCATTTGTCAAAGTCCACATCAAGCAGCTTCTGTGAAGTCTTTAAACAAAACTCCAGCTCTCCCTGGAGCTCCCTGTGATGATCTCAATCTTTGTCTGTTTTATTTATTTCACTAAATTATGATTCCTAGTTACATGCCAGTCTTTTGGTCGAAATTATGAGCTATTTGCTAACAGAGACTCAGTCTTTTTTTTTCTTTTTTTGATTTTACACACTCAGCATAATGTCTAATGAAAACAAATTAATACTGTTGAAAGAGTAGGTAGATGAATAAAGAAGTGAATAGATGTTCAATAATTAAGCATTAGACAGGCTTTGGGAGGCAACTCTGCTATGAAAGTAGCAATCGGTGTAGTCAGAATACTTAGAAATGAATTCTGAGTCCGCTACCTATAGCTTTAAGTTATTGAGCCAGGAATTTTACAGATGGACACCCATATTTCCCAATCTAGTTGTATAATAGGACTTCTGTGAACAACTAATGACATATTGCTTGTAACAGCAACTTGAAATTTTACAGTGCTTATCTAACATATGGATTTGTTGACATCAATACTACCATCATTTTCAGAAGCTGGTAACAATCACTTGCATTTTTTGACAGTTTTTTGGCTAAAACTTGCAAATATGGTCAATAACTTTCTTGTTTTTATATTTGCCAGTTGGGGCCATCTCAGCAGAGACATTCCTTAGTATCAATCTTATTTCTATAGGTATTATTTTGAAAAAACAAGATGGTGGTTCATGTTTCAGCTCCATATACTTGAAATTCGATTTTTGGTGGGAGTTGGGGATGGATACAAAAAATTTCCAAGGCCATAAGAAGAAATTTACGCGAGGGCTTCCAAATAAAGAATACAAAATAAATATAAGCAAATTTTCACCATTTATAACGGGAAAGGTAGAGGATAGATGTTGGGGCAAGAATGATTTGCTAAAATAATCCCTGTCTACCCAGATAAAGCAAGTGAATTTGGAGCCTCAATATTCTTATGTGTAAATTGGGAATGATGATAAATAGGTTTCAGGTATTGGGGATTAAATGAAACAACCTATCAAGAGCATCTGGCACATTCCTTTTGGAGGGAAATGTTCAGTCTTCCTGTGTATACTGAAAACAGAGTGCTAGTTTGGCAGTCCCTGTTTAGCCTAAGGGAAGATTTAATGTTGCTTTTCATATGGAACCCAGTCCCAGCAGTCTTCAAGGGAAGTTATTGCATCTGGCCCCAGAAGCAGGGCTGACATTTTCGACAGGGCCTTAAGTTAGGCCTTCCCTGGGGTGTTGTAACTGAGACAAGTTGGGGCAGGTGGCAGTAATTGGCATCTCATCCACTCAGGGATTGGATATAACACGGATTACCATGGAATTCCTTTTTTTTTTTTTTTAAGAGAGACTTCTATGAATCTTACCAGTTCAAAACCCTTTGATAATTATTTCTATCATCAATTACACAACTGAAAGTTGAAAGGAAAGTCTGTATTTTCTTAGGAATGAGCAGATTTTATCCCATTGTTCCCAAAGAGAGTAGGGTGGTATTTGTAGCTACCGCTTAGCTATCATCATTTTATTGGTCAGACTTACAAATTAGGGCTTGGATTCCTATTGTATCACTCTACTGCATTTCCTGACACACTTCTCAGAGTAATCTCTGCAACTCTGGGTTCCCTGAATACACCATGCCCCTTCACATTTCATGTCTTGTGTCTTGCAGTTACTTTAAGAAAAAAAAAAGTAAATAAAAAAGAACTCGATTCCCTTTTCTTGCTTCTATAATGTCACAAATCTTTAGGAGACAACAAAGCTTAAAGGGATGACTGTGGAGTTTAATAAAAGTCAGGATGTGGCTGGAATCCTGGGACCACCACTTACTAAGCGTGGAACCTAAAACACATTCTTTGTCCTTTTTATTCTTAGTTTGGTTATGCACAATGTGGAAGTGATATCTATTGTGCAGAGTTAAAATGAGGGTTTAAGATAATGTATATAAATGGCAATGTAGAGTGTGGCAGAAGTAACCATGATGTAATTAGTCCTTTGCAGACTAGCTCTGCTCTCTGCATTGAGACTAATGCCAGCACATTGTTGCATTAAAAAGAATGAGAGAGAGAAAGAGAGAGAGAGAAAGGAAGGATAGATTCCAAAAGCAATGATTGAAAATGTGGAATCTGCTGACGGTTTCATAGGGAGACAGAGATATGATTACCTTGTTAAGCATCATTTACCTTCAACAAAGGCTACTTTGCACTTCTGTCTATCTAAAAGCCCAATTATATTTTGAGTAGGAAAAAAAGAGGACATAACATTTATAAAGAAAAAAGATCAAAAGAATAACAGTTATTTTTAAAGGTCTGTCTCCAAAGGCTTAGGTTGAGAATTTGTGTTGAGTAATGTAAACAGCTGTGTACATACCTGTAACTCTACTTCTTGGGATGATGTCAAAACAATTTCTTCTTACTCACAGGAGCTATGAAACTGACTTCTTAGGTGGTTGACACCTGTAAACCCAGCACTTTGGGAGGCCAAGACAGGCAGATCACTTGAGGTCAGGAGTTTGAGACCAGCCTGGTCAACATGGTAAAACCCCATCTCTACTAAAAATACAAAAATTAGCCAGGTGTGGTGGTACACACCTATAGTTCCAGCTACCCGGGAGGCTGAGGCAGGAGAATCTCTTGAACCCAGGAGGTGGAGGTTGCAGTGAGCTGAGATTGCAATACTGTACTCAAGCCTAGGTGACAGAGTGAGACTCCATCTAAAAAAGAAAAAAGAAGGAAAGAAACCTACTTCTTAAACTGTTTTCCTCTTCTCACCTTATCTTATAAATCATTGATTTAAATAACTATTTAAGAAATTCCTCTGTTTCAAGTAAAAGTAATCAAAGAAGATGAGATAATGAGATAGAAGTAGTCACTCCTGTCATGTAGATTAAATTTATATACATGTGGTGAAAGAAATGCACAAAGGAAATATATATGATGCTATGGAAAATAATAGGTACATCTATTTGAGATTGGGGTGTGGGCATAGGAAAAGCCTGTGAGAATGACTGCATTTCTTGGAAATAGAGAACTGACTTTCTAGTAGGGCAAAATGAATCTTTCTTGCGTGCCTTTTTTCCTTCCTCCCTTCTTTCCTTTCTTCCTTTCTTCCTTCCTTCTTCTCTCTTTTTAGTTAAAAGGGAGAACTACTCCTTTGAAAGGAATCCTAGACAATAAGGCTTCACATACTACTGCCCATCAGTAGAGTCCAGAAATTATAAAATAATAACCCTACCAAAATTGGGTTTGTCTCAGCCATCCTCAGAGAGTAGAGAATAAATATTCAGATCTGGAAACTACAGTCGATTTTGTTGTTGTCAAGAAGATAGAGAATATATATTTATTATCAGTTCCTAAAAGATCAGTAAAAGTCCTTTTTCTAAATTATTAATTATAATAATCATAGTAACAATGATGATGATGACAGGCTATTAACCATGTGCCAGTTCCTGCTTCAGGCATATCCTTTGTCTAATGTCATTTAATGCTGATAATAGTCTGCTTTATTCACCTCAGTACCCAAAGGGCTTTGTCTAAAGAGGCATGAAAAACTGAATCGGTTCTTGTAGGTCCAACTCTCGGAGAAGCCACATGAGAAGCAGAAGCAGACAAGGAGGAGAGCATTGCAGTGTCAGGTGAGGGTATAGGAAAGAGGGTTTAAGCTGCTCCATGTACAGTCAGGCAAGATGTCAAAAAGTGATTTTAATTCCAGGACAAATATCAATGTATTTGTTTAATCTTTCCTTCAACACAACATGTTTTGACATCAAGCACATGTCAATGATGATATATCAATAAGAATAATTGCAATTCTCATTTATAGTACTATGTTATGGCTATGGATATGGGCTCTGGAACTCAGAGAGGAAGATCTAGTCTGTGGTCATCTAGTGATGCTTTCATGGACCTGAGATTGGGAAAGAGTAGCCTGTATACCAGGTACTCACCAATCTTTTGCTTTCCACATAAGAAATGTGAGGCCTTACAAGGGAGAATAATTTGCTCTAAGTCCCATGGTAAGCTACTGGCAAAGTCGCAATCCACATCAAGTTGCTGAACACCTGGGCTACTGCATTTTCAGTGTGCTAAATGACCCTATGTCAGAGATCAGATTGACATTTGGGCCACCTGCTCCTTCAAAGGTTGAAACTGGGTTCAATCTGACTGATAATAACTTGAGAAAGACACCTGGAAAACTCACTCACAATGTGACAAATACAACCAGGCAAGAGAGTGTGGATGACTCAATGTCCACACACTCCACTCTTTGAAACCATGTCAGAGCCTAGGCTCACCCCATAAAAAGAACAGTATTTTTCCTGTGTGCAACTCCCTGACAGGCCCTGGTGTGTGATGCCCCCCTCCCCACGTCCATGTGTTCTCATTGTTCGACTCCCACTTTGAGAACATGGTTTTCTGTTCTTGTGTTAGTTTGCTGAGAATGATGGTTTCCAGCTTCATCTGTGTCCCTGCAAAGGATATGAACTCATCCTTTTTTATGACTGCATAGTATTCCATGGCATATATATGCCACATTTTCTTTATCCAGTCTATCATTGATGGGCATTTGGGTTGGTTCCAAGTCTTTGCTTTTGTGAACAGTGCCACAATAAACATACACATGCATGTGTCTTTATAGTAGAATGATTTATAATCCCTTGGGTATGTAACCATGGCATGTGTATACCTATGTAACAAACCTGCACATTCTGCACATGTATCCCAGAACTTCAAGTACAATTAAAAAAAAAAAGAAACTGAGGTCAGGCTACTTCTCAAGGGTCCTTTTCTCCCTCATGTATGAACCTTCAAATTAAGCCACTTTTGCCTGCAAATGCCCACAAAGAGAATGGACGGCTATTTTGATTTATTTCTATGAAGCACAGGGTTAATGAATTGTGTACTTCCTATCATTTTTAAAGTTATTTTATGAAGGCAAAAGGATAGAAGACTCTGGGATAGTTTCTCAAAAACTACAAGCAAATAGTTGAAGTGTCACCCAGCAGAGTACAAAACAGAGAGCACTTAATCAAGCATCTACATAGCTGGGTTTTATTCCTGGCCTGAGTGTGACCTTGGGCAAGAAACTTGGACCCTAGAGGCTTCGGTTTCCCCATCTATAAAAAGATAAGCTCTGATGTCTCTTGTTTTTCTGCCTTTTCACAACTTTAAAATTAAGAATATACATAAAATAGACAAAGTTATGGTAAAGCACAGCAGCAAGCGTCATCTCTGGACTGGAGATCCAGGGCTCATAGCATGAGACTATAGAGTCAATGAATACACAGGGGTCTTTATATTCCAGTCCACTGCCAAAGGAACATTGAGGGGAAATTCCGGTCTCATTCCCAGGCTTTTTTTCCTATGAATCCTCATCCAATTTAAGCACATAATATTGCATATTCCGTATCTAACTTTTCCCACCAAAATAGAACACATTTGCACTTCCAGAAACTTTTCAGAAGAAACTGCTTAAAACCCACAAATTTATAAATTAAAAGTACAGACTGTGATTTGTATCATTTTTACAGAGAAAAAAACATGTGAGTAGTCTAAATAAAACATCGTGTCAGAAGCAGAATATATTATTTGGCAACACGAATGTTCCCAGTACTTGGTGAAACTAATGTTCAAGATGCAGTGAGCTCAAGGAATGAAAATGACTATATCTATGGAATATAGAATTTTAAAAAGAGCTCTTTTACAGGCTTCATCTCATTCTCCAGCATCTTTTAGTTTTTAAATTATCATGAAGCAAAATTAACTTTTATGCAAATACAGTTTTATGCAGTTTAAAACATTGTATAGATTCATCTAATCATCACTTTCAATTTACACAGGGAACCATGTAATCTACCTCAAAAACTCATTCAGGATATGCCTTTTAGCTACCCCGTTGCCCCACACCCCAACCTTTAGCAACCAACTGATGTGTTCTCTGTGAATATTTTTTTTCTTTGTGAGACATAGTCTCTAACATATTCATCATCTAATATGTTGTGAAACAAAAAATGGCCTCTTTCACTCACCTGTGGGATTCATTCAGGATATTCATCTATTGATATTGCATTCTTTGTTACTGGTGAGTAGTATTCCAATATGCCACAGTTTGTTTATCTATTCATCTATTGAAGAGCATTTGGGTTGTTTACAGTTTTGGCTGATCATGAATGCAGATGTAATAAGCATTCATGAATACAATTTTGTGTGGACACAGGTTTTCATGGTTCTCGGGTAAATACTTAGGTGTGGGTCATACTGTAAGTGCATGTTTAACTTTGTAATAAACTGTCAAACTGTTTTCCTGAGTCACTGTACTAGTCACAGACATCTTTGCATGAATGCATACATGAAGTTGATACATAATTTTCTTAACTAACTTCACCCTCTTCTACACCTATTGTACCTTATTACCCAGCCACATCAAGGGAATTTCACACCCCAGAGTCCACCAAGGTCTTTCTCACTTTTAGTCTAATTTTTCTTCCTGAATTGCCCAATCGTTTTGGAAAACTTAGTATTTTAAAAACATAGTTGAAAGAAAAACTCTTTAGCTCTTCCTTGACCTTCCATTCAAGCAGAATAGTTCTTGCATTGTTTCCTAATCATGCTTCTTCCACCAAATCCTGACTATTGACAAGGCAGGAGCAAAGAACTTCTTGATATTCTGCCTTCATCCATTTATTTATTTATTCACACATTTAACAAATATTTATTGAGTATCTATTATGGTTCCAGGGATTGCATCGGTTTCCAGGTTAAAGCCTAGCCTAGTTTCTGGCACAATTGAGAAGCAGTTAGGACATAGAGAGCATAACTGACATGGCCAAGGTTAAATATACTTGAAAAATAAAGACTAGATCTATCAATTGTTCCTTCGGCTGTCTCTTAATTAAACCATACCTCACCCCAGTGGCAATTACATTATTCTAAAACTGTGGAGGGAAAGGACTGTTTCATTAATTTTTGTACCACATGAGCTGACATAAGGATGCCCAGTAAATATTTGTTAGTGGAGACTGTATTTTACAGTGGTAGCTTTTCCATTTGATACAAAACTGAGTTGTTTTTAAAAATATTCCATTGGACAATAAATGTTTTGTGTTTATATTGAAAGACCTAGTCCTACAAAAATTATATCTTATAATAATAAGATATTCTTTTTTATTTTATTTTCTTTTTTACTGTAAAGTAAACCCTCTCATTTCATATTTTGTGTAGTAAGCATATTTTCTCTTTGGCTGCTCATTTTCTTTGACATCCGAGATTTGCTTAAATAATTGGCCTGCAACAGCAGTTTGTAATGCCTTTGGTAGTGCCTAGACAACAAGGCATTGTGGTAATTCAGTGGCTTTGTTGAAATAGCTGCTCAGTTTAATAAATACCTATTAAACCTGTTGTTTAACTAATGCACCATTTATTCATCAAACACCCATTGATAGCCAGTATCACACAAGGTGCTGGGACTGCGCAGATGAATAACACATTGTCCTGAACATTCCAAATAAGAAAAGGACACTGTGCAATCTAGTCCAGGAAGGATGGGGACAAATGGTTACTAAAGAATGCATTCCGTGGAGATTTGAAGATTACCACCTACTTCTATATCCTTGGCTGCTTATTCTTTTGTTTCAAGTTCAACAATGCAAATCCCTCAGGGTTTCTTATAGACTTATAATGAAGGATGTTGGATTTAGCCAACATTCCCACATTTCTCAGATACTCTCTGCATCCAAGTGTGATTAATACTCTTCTGAAGCTCTCCTAAAATGAAGTTAACATAAGCAAGAATGTATTAAAGCAGCATATATTTAAATCCTTTACATTATAAATTGGCATCATCAGAAACCTGGAATATTAGACATTCTTTTTGTTCCTTATGTTAGTTAAACCTAAGTAACTGTATATAGTAGGCCAATATACTTAACAACAACACAGTTACTATCTCCACATAAAGCTCATAGCCTAAAGTGGAAAAAAAAAAAGGACAGGAAAACATGTGGCTATACTATGAGAATATGAAAGAAGGAGGCATTAGCTTTGTTTGGACAAAGGGAGTCAGGTGACTTCTTAGAGGAAAAGACACTTAAATGAATCCTGAAGAATTAAGCACTCATCAAATAGACAAGGGACCAAAAGTATTTATAGAGGAAAGTCAAGGAGTTAGAAAGCACATGACATTTTAAGGAAACTAAGTGTTTAATAATGCCTTGATGAGCTGGTAGAATCTATTACTAGTAGAATATATAGGATCTTTATTTTTTACATTGGTGCATTTCAAGCACCTTAATGAGTTCCTGACCCATAGTAGGTGCTCAATAAATATTTGTTAAATGAGAAGCAAGAGATGTTGTTGGTAAGAAGGAGGAAAATAAGGAAGAAGCAAGGTTGGAACCAGAGATCAGCAAGGGAAACAGGTTCCAGGATAGGGTTTTGTGGTCATCACTGGGGGGGTCATTAGATCTACGAGACTAGGATTCAGGGAGACATTGAGTGCATTCATTTCCCCATCTCCTTGCACACAACTTCATATCTAGGGCCTAGTCTCAGGTCTGACACGTAGTAAGAACTCAATCATTATTTGCTGAATGCAAACATAAAGCTTTTTCTCCCAAAATATTCTGGACACTTCTGCTTCACTTAACCTGAGAATAGGGACAAAGGTGAGGGAAGGAAGCTCCAAACTGGCTAATTTGTTTATTCCATAGTTTTAATTTTTCTTTCCCCTTCTGGAGAAAGTTCAAAAAGAAGTAGAAGCAAATCTTGCTGGCCTGGGGTAAGCTAATTCTGGGGCTGCATCCCTTGGTGGTTTCAATATCTTAGAGGAAAGAATGTTGCGCACTAAACTTTGGAAATATTAGTTCCAGAATTGCTGCTTAGGTATTTTTACCCTCCTATTTTTATTAGGAGGGTAAGGGAAGTGCTTGAGCCAGCTCATATTGAAATTTTTCCAACTACAAATTTTGCTGGCCACTAGTTAAATATAGTCATCCTTGAAATCAGCCATAATGAGAGTATTTACACAAAAAGATCAGCAATTGCTACAAAGCAGCGTTGCTTGTGTTTTTGTTTTCTGAGAGCCAGTTTACATCACTGAGTGCAAAATTGACTGGAAACTGAATTGTCATAGATAACATACTGTTTTCTGTTTGAGGGTAGCTTTTCTGCATAAGACATGAAAAGAAGTGTTGACAAACATAAAAATTTCCCCTAATCATTCCTTGGTTTCACTATCTCACTTCGTTGACCAGTTGAACCACTGGAACTCAATTGGCAACTGAGTACTGTTCTTCCCACAGAAGGAGATGCCAAGGTCCTATAGTAGGTTCCTCAGATCTTCATTGTGTATGATTGAGTTGTAACACACAAGGTATGATATTATGGAGAAAAATGTCCCAGGATCAATTGATCCATGCCTGTAAACTTATGAAAATATTGCTATATCAACCAAAATTTGTATTCCTTTATGAATGAGTTATGTTTTACATTATAAATTGTGGGCCTTTACAACGTTCAGTTCTAGAGGATCCGAAGGATGGTTGTTGCATGCCTTCCCAACTCTCACAATTCTTGTCTTAATCAGATAAGCCTTTCTAGCAATTATAAAAAGCCGTTTACCTGTAGCAGAAGTTTGGGAAACTGTTCTATGCTCCCAAATCTGCCTTGTGACTTGAGCAACGACCAGACCTCCTGGATCTTTTCATGTTGCCATAACCCCCTTTCATGCTCAGCCATAGTTCCCCAAAACTTTACAGTCATCTCATGTTGCATTTTTCGGCTCATCACCAGATAAAGGAGAGAAAAGAACAGTCAGCTGCAAAGTGTGGCTTACTTGGAGGAATCTTGCAGGGGAATTTGCCTTTGACTCTGTAAAAGCAAAGGACCCATATGAATGTTTGTTACATGACCTTATATTTGGCTGTGCATTGAGACTCAAGCCACAGACTTGCCAATATGAAGTCAATTCATCTTGGATTTAGACCTGAATGGACTCTGCCATGTCTAACCTCTGAGATCTTAGCCAAGCTATTCAACGTTTCTCACTCTCAGTGCCCTCATCTGGAAAATGGAGATAAGAACAAAAGCAGCATAGGCTTACTAGTCCTTCCTCAACTAAATGGTGTATGTGGCAAAAGAGAGGAGCTTCATAAATGTTTTTTGTTTTACTTTATTATTTTTAATATCATAAAACTTTAGCTCAAGGCTACTTTATGCCACATATGGTTTGCTTTGTAGATTATAGTGTAGAATATCATAATCATTTATATAGCAATTGTTGCAATGTCTGTGTGACAGTGAAGGCGAACAATACAATTATATAAACACTAATAAAAACAAACACTTACATAAACTCAACAGGACTTGCCAAGCCCCGGGAGATGTTCTTAATGCTTCACACGTATGAACTCATTTAATGAACAAAGTAACCCTATGAAGTAGGAACTATATCATTTTCATTTTACAGATCAAAGGAAATGAGGCAAAGAGAGTTTAACTCACCCAAGGTCACCCAGCTATGAAGTACAGAGCCAAGATTTAAACCCAGGGAGTTTGTTCCCTGAAACACTAAACTATCTCATCCTTTACACTGAAGAAGGCATTTTATATGTATTACCTCACTGACTTCACAATAACCCTGAGAAATAAGCTGCTCTAGAAATTCTCTGGCATTCTTCCCTTGGGCTCCAGCCTGGTTTGCTCTCTCTGAATCTTAGCCTCAGCTATGCCCATGGCTCACAGCATTCGATCTTGCTGCCTTGAAGCTGAAGACTGCACTTCCTGGCTGATTCACTCTCTAGAGCTGTGTAACTCATGGCCATTCCAGAGACAATAGCCCCTGCTGGCATCCATGAGGCTGACAGCCTGGGATTTTAATCAAGGCTCTTTTGGTTGCAAGTAAAAGAAAAAAAAATAACTACACAAATGAGTTTAAGGAGGAAGAGTTGGAAAGGTGGAGTTTATTCAAAGAAAACACAGATATTCCCTAGAACCCAAAGGAAATACAGTCAGAAGAGGTTAAAAGCTGGAAACAGAAACCGGTAGAAGAAAAAAAAATTGAGCCCCAAACTTTCTCAGTCCCTCACTCTAGGATATCATGCTCCACCCCAAAGTTTGTTTAAATGCCTCCTTTATGCTTTTCTTTCTACACACTTGTTTTCTCTCCTTCTCTAGGTACAAAAAATGGCCATCCTCTAATTCCAAAATTCACATGCCTCTCATTTGTAACCAGCAGAATCTAACATCTTTGAATTCCAATTCGAATCCTGAATTGGAAGAATATGGTTGGCCCTTTTAGGGGGTCATGTATCCACTCTTGTTTCTATAAGCCATATGGGAGGCCACTACTGGGGGAATAGGGTCACAGTAAAATTATTGTGGCCAAGGCCCACATCATAGGAAGATAGCAGCTATCCAAAAAAAGGGCCCGGCTTATTGGATGGGCAGAAACCCCAGGAAAAATCTATTCTATGTAAGGTATCCTCTTGCATTAAGAACTTTGCCATCCCTCAGTGCCATCCTTCTCTTTGCCATTAAGTTTCTGATTACTATGTTATTCACCCGATTCCTGCAAATAGCTTTTTATCGTAGTAATGAAATATCTTCTCCAGCATAAAATTCTCTGTCAGAACATAGTTCCATGTGATTACAGCTCAATGTGGGTGGTATAACCTAATGTACACTGTAATAGATGGAGAATATTCTCAAAACTATGAAATATGTTTTTCAAGATGTCAAAATGAAGGAGTTTAAAATGCTCTCCTGTTTTAAAATTTAGGGTGTTTTTCAAGTGTACATTTACTTATCACATGGAATCTTTGTCACTCTGAAAAAACCTCTGAAAATTATAGCTTTAAATCAGAACACTTATTGTTCAGCAACATTCTCTGTTTATAGAAATACTGCTGAGAACAGGAGACGACTGTTTTTCCTGCTCAAAACTAGAGACTCTCTGCCAGGTATTTTTTTTTTTTAATATTAGCTATACTCAAAAACTGCATATTTAAACACAATATTTTTTTCTTAAGACAATATCAGGATTATTTCATGAACCCTGAATAATAGTCTAAGACTAAATGTAAAACTTGGGCTTCTATTCTGTTCATCTCTCTGATGGGCTTAACAAATCCAGGTATCAGAAAATCCAGCTCTTCTCTTCCTTACTGAGACCAAAAGCAAGTGATTTAATCTCTCTGAGCCTCACTTTCTCCCTTTTTAAATAAGAATAACTCTCCCTACCTTTTAGGATTCTCATGTAAGGCTCTTAACAGAGTCCCTGTAGTAAAGCAGATGCTCAATAAATGTTTATCCGTTTCTTTATTTATCCAACCATTTCTCTTTCTGGCATAGAGCCCATTCTATTTTACACTGGTCCATCTCATGAGAGGAGTCAGTAACACCTCACTAACCTGGTATTTACATGACAATTTTGTTAACTGGCTTTGTATTCAGATATCTGCCATGTGCCAGGTAACATTGTAGAAAAGAGGGCACAATTAAATTCTTCGTATCTTTTCTGGCCTATGAGTATTTCCAGTAGGAAACTGCTCCTATATATGTATGTGAGCAAACAAAAGACGCACATTACAGCAACAAAAGGATTTTAGGTTGTATGAGAGATCATGCGGGCAAACTGCCCATGCTTCCCCACTCAGCTTCTACACTACCCACTCACAGGCCACTGAGTCACCATCTCATAAGCCTATGTCTATGTGGCACCCAGAATACAAATAATTGATTTTTTGTGTTACTTTAAATTTCTTTGACTATTATTAAGTCTTCTCAATTTTTATAGGTTCATTTGCTCTATTTTATTTTTCTAACTACTAGGTCGTGTCTTTTACAATATGTCTATTATATTGTTGGCTGATTATTTTCCCTTAGTTAATTAGTAAGAGATCATTATATATTTATGATATTATTTGTCTGCCAAATATGTTGCAAATACCTTTCCCAGTTTGTTGTTTTATTCCTTTATTTTCCCTTTTTAACCAAATAGTAATAAAATTTTAGATATTTAAAACTATCCATAGTTAACTTTATTTTTTTTCTATTCATTTTGTTTTTAGAAAATTGTGATACCTAAACAACTATCCCAAATTTCTGTAGAGTAGCTTAAGATAGAAGAATTTATTGAATGAAATAGAAGTAAGCAAATTTGGGTCAATATGCAAGATTCAACCCAAATGAGGTCCAGAAGCAGAGAATCCGTCCCAAATTGTAAGTTTGGATTTAATAATGAACAGGACTCTGAGGCCGTTTAACACTCTGCTCTTTCCAATATGCCATACATAGCCTTTCAAGTGAACAGAACTCAGATGTGGAAAGGCAGGAACCCTTTACACGGACTGGAACAAATTGTGAAGGCTTAACTGGAGCAAGAATATATGCCAGAAGGGGTAGATTCATGGCCCCGAGCTGCCAACCTAGGACAATTTTAATATCCCTTGTCCAGAGAATGGACCAGCTTTGATTTCCTAATCCTTCTTGTGCCCATAGTAATATTACAGTAATGCGGCCAGTGAAAATCCATGTAGCCATTCCAGAATGTACCAACCATGGGGAAGGAAGTACCTCACATGTTTTGAACACCTGTTACAGGACAGGTATCGTACATGTCTTATCTTTAATTTTCACAGTAACACTTTGTGATAGGAATTGTTATTCTTATTTCACAGATGAAGAAACTGAGGCTCAGTGAAATTAACTCTTTTACTCAATGTTAAACAGCAAACAACTTATAGGGACAGAACTGGAACCCAGGCCTCTCTAATGAACATCAGCTTTTATTTATGTTAACATAAAACTTCTTGTGGCCAAGTTTCCATAAAAAGTTGAACCCTTTTTAGTCAAAACATACCTTCCTCGGTCTGGTGATGGGTATTATCTCTTTACTCTAAAATTCATGGCTTTCTTTCACTTGAAAAATCTAAGCATATTTGCAGCCAAGGCATCTATCTGTCAGATTGCTGTGGGAAGTCCCAGTGCTGGCTAAAATGGGCTACAGCCTTTTGAGCTGAGCTAAAAATAAGAGTCAAACTCCTTGAGGGACTTTATCTCCCACTCTTATTTCATTAATGGAAAACACTGTATTGCCCTTTCCCTGACCTCTTTTGCAAAAGAAGAAAGTGCTTCTCTATACCAAGACTCCCAAGCGTAAAAGAGAACTAATGAAATCATATGGTCCAAACCCCTGCATCAAGGCAATATGGTACATCCTTTTCAGAAAAGATGATTCCATCATTTGCTATGGAATTCAATTCACTTTCAGACACTTGGACATAATCCAAGAGACAAGAAGGAAACATTAAGAGGTCTTAAGCAGTAGATGGCATGGTTTTGTTTTAGATAAACCAATGTGAGATAATGTAGATGATGAAATTGAGTGTCCAAGTTTGGAAAAGTAAGGAGACATTTGTAGAAGCTCAAAAGATGATAAGAATCTAAATTGCAGCCTGCTGGTTGTAGTAGAAATAAAGAACAGGGACATACTCAGAGAATCACACGTAATTTAATTGCTAGGAATAAAGGTGAACAAACTGATAGCATCATAACAAAATAACGAAAGCCAACATTTATCATATGCCTACCATGTTCCAGACCAAAACTCACTACTCTGTTAGCATGGTAATATTTTATGCTCTCAACCAGACCTAGGTAGGTTATATTATCTTGTTTATATTATGTAATAAAAAAGCAAAGTGTATAGGAGTTAATTTTATTCCCCAAGACAGCTAAGAAACACCTAAGAAAAACTAGGATTTGACTCCACATCCATTTGGTTGAAGTGTAGGAAACTGGCTATGGATAAGGAGCATAACTAAGAACAGAAGAGGAAAAACTGGTTTTGAAGGAAAGTATCGAGTTCAGTTAACTAATTTTGGGATTGTCAGAGGAGGTGTCATCAGGTATCCAGAAATGTCTGAGAAGAATTGAGAAGCCAACATAAATGGTGATGGGGAAGCATGAGAGAGGATGATATGAATACATGAGAGATGCAGAGTGAGATGAGTGGAGGACTGAGATGGAATCCTGGAGAAAAACTGGGTTCAAAGGGTGAAATATGGAGACAATATTAAAAAAAAAGAAGGAAGAAACATCTAGAGCATAATAACAATAGCCAATATGTATTGATCACACACTAAGTATAAGCACTATTCTAAATGCATTACATGAGTAATATAATTCTCACAATTCAAGTGATAGGTACTATTATCATCAACCTTTTCCAAAGGAGAGAGTTAGAACATAAGGTTGTTACGTAACTTAGCCAAGGTCGTACAGTTAGGGAGTAAGAAGCCAGGATTTGTACCCAGAGAGTTTAGGACCAGAGCACATGTTTTATTTTTTTTTCCTAAAAACTTTTTAATTGAAGTATAACCTGTATACAAAAAGCTCACACAGGATAAACACACAACACAATTTTTCACAGAATGACACGTTTATATAACCACCATCAATTGGGTCAAGAAACAGAATACTGCCAGCGGTACAGAAGCCCCTTCCTAACCCACCCTGAATCGCTATTCCTTCCTCCCCTCCAAGTAGAACAATGATATGACATCTAACTCCATAGATCAGTTTTGATTATCTTTGAGCTTTATATAAATTAAATTTTGCAGTTTGTATCTTCTTTATCTAGCTTCATATTCCATGTTCTTTTCTAAGTTTATCCATGTTGTTGCTTTAGCTATTATGCCTACATTCCGTCACTGTGCAGTTCAATTTTGTGAACATACCAAAATGTATACATCTATCCTACTAATGATGGAAATTTGCATTTTTCCCATTTTTGACCTAATACAAATAGTTCAGCTATAAACATACTTCTATCTTTTGTTTCATATGTGCACACATTTCTATTGAGTATATAACTAGGGGTAAAATGACTAGATCATTAGATAGGTTCAACTTTACCAGATAATGTTAAATAGATTGTTTTTAATCTCATAAAGTTACACATATACACTTATAAATAATATATCTAATAAAGTATTTATATCCATAATATATAGAAAATTCTCACAACTCAAAAATAATGCAATTTTAAAAGAGTAAAATATGCAAATAGACATTTCACTAAAGATTATATACAAATGGACAATAAGCACATGAAAAGATGCTGAAGATCATTAGTCAACAGAAAATGAAAATTAAAACCACAGTAAAATAACCCTACATATCCACTAGAGTGGCTATAATCAAAAGGCTGACAATATCAAGTGTTGGCAAGAAAGTGGAGAAATTGAAGCCCTCACACATTATTAGTGGGAATGCAAAATGATATAGCCTCTTTAGATGACAATTCAGCAGTTTCTTAAAAATGATAAATTTAAAATGCATTTAATTGTATACTTTAAAAGGATGACTTTATATTATATGAATCATAGCTCAATAATCCTATTTAAAATTTACCAGATAACCCAGAAATTCTATTCATAGGTATTTACCCAATGGAAGTAAAAGCCCATATCCTTTCAAAGATTTGTACACAAACGTTTATAACAGCATTATCCATAGTAGCTCCAAACTAAAAACAATATAAATGTCTATCAACTGGTGACTGAATAAAAAAATGTAACATAACATACAATGAAAGCTTATTCAGCAATAAAAAGGAATAACTCATGTAATATGGATGTACCTCAAAAAACACCATGATAAGTAAATGAAACCAGATATACAAAACTATATACGTGTGATTCCATTTACACGAAATGCCCATGAAAGACAAATCCGTAGAGATGGAAAGTGAACAAATATGTGGTTTAGGGTCTCACTAGGGATTACCTACCTATAAGAGCACCAGGGAACTTTTTGGATAATGGAACTATTCTAAAACCCGACGTGGTCATGGTTGTATTAGTCTATAATTTTACAAAATATCATTGAATTAGACACTCACAATGGGTACATTTTATTAGTTATAAGTTATACCTCAATAAAACAAAGTAAAATAAAAAGTTATCTTCTTCACAAAGACATCTGGACCTTCAAACCCTATTGTTCCCCACAAACATGTCAAAATCAGTAGTTATCCATCAGCATTTCTATGGTTTATTAGCCCATTCCCTCAATTAGGATATAAGTATAGTAAAGTCATGAACTTCTCTTAACTATGTGTTTCATTTTAATGTCTTTTTATGAACATGCATCTTCCTACAGTCTATAAGTGCTTTCAGGATAGTACAGGCATCCCAAGTATCTAACACAATGCCTGAAAGCATACACTTGCTCACTGAATCTTTATTGAAGAATGAGTGTACTGAATTCATAAATATATTGGCACATAAGAAAAACAGAAATTTGTTATTAAATATCCATATGACCTATCATAAATTAATAATGTGTTTTCATTAACTTTTATGATTTGATTTTAGAGCAGTTCCCTGAGGTATGAGACAAGATGATAGACAGATAGATAGATAGGTAGATAGATAGATAGATAGATAGATGATAGATAGATAGATAGATAGATAGATAGATAGATAGATAGACAGATAGATATGCTTTTTACAGGTCTAAGAAAAAAATTTACAAAGCTAGGCATAAAGTTCAGAACTGCAGCTCCCGTTACTTATTCTGCCATACTGGAGTAAATTAAATCATGTCATTCAGGTGGAAAAGAAGTACGTTCCTTAAAAATGAATATATTTGGAGGAGCTTTGGACAACCATTAAGTACATTTGTTGGACACTTTGTCAATGCAGTGTACCAAATATCATGTCTAATGTTACTTCTTTCATTTGACAAGAGGAACATGTGACTCCTCTTGCTGGTCTCTCGTGTGCCTGATAGAAATCAAGATATTTAATCTCTCCTGTCCCATATCTCCCACTCCACCATCAAAACCTATACTGAGACACAACCACACATATACCCACAAATTCACAGTGCACAATCATGAATTCACATTTTTCACATATTTATACACACTTTTATGCTACCCACAACACACCCATCAATATTCATATAAGTACAAGAACACTCATTGCACAGCTCACATCATATGAAATGCAAAAGATGTCTTCTATGTTACTGCAGTACACAACCTGTGGCATCTAACTTGGCAAGCTTGCTTACTCACCCATTCAGAAATTCACAAATCTAGGAGTCTTCTTTCTCTCTAATGCTGCCTTTCCCCAAGTATAACAAAATGATTTTTTTAAAAAAAAGAGTAAAGTGAGAGGAATTTTTGAGAAGTGAGATAGTGACCTGAACACGTGAAATCAGAAAGAGATATCAATAAGATAAATTGCTCACACCTTGCTGCCTAAGACCATATTCAGATGGAGATAAATGGATATTGTCGACCTTACCAGGCAGGCAGCAATTATGACTATTTTATCCTCAGAAAATATAAAAATTGGATGAAGACAAAGCTAAGAACATGGGCATGCAAATCAAAGCCATAATTTCACAGTTTTCTAGTTGCCCCTATAGTCCTGACAATGTAAATATTTTTATTTTCATTTATGATTAAATATGAAAAGCTGTAGCAAACATTTTGAGTTATAGACTATGTTAGAATTCATTTATAAGTCATAAAGGTCATTAATCTTAACCTTTATCTGTAGCTTGACTTCTAAAAATAGTTCTGTTAGGGTGAAGTTAAGGATCCCAGAATCAGAATGCGGATTTAATAGCCATGTGATGTTAGATAAGTTCCTTAGTGTCTTTTGCCTTAGTTTTTTAAATCTATACCTGAGAATATACTATTATGTATTCATTATTTATAACACAAGAAAATATATATTACTTATGAATGCATCCGTTGGTTGAGGATTATGGTGGTAATAATGAAGGTTATAACAAGTAAATGTTTAAATGTTAGCTCCAGCCTGGGCAACATAGAGAGATCCTGTCCCTATTAAAAAAAAAAAAAATTACCTGGATATAGTGGCACATGCCTGTAGTCCCATCTAACTTGTGGGGCTGGGCTGAGGTGGAAGGATTGCTTGAGTGTAGGGGTTGAGGCTGCAGTGAGTTGTGATCACGCCACTGCACTCCAGCCTGGGTGGCAGAGTGACATCTTGTCTCCAAAAAATAAATAGATAAATGTTAGCTCTCTCTCCCTAGCCAGGCCATATTTAAAGCATTACTAAATCTCACTTTACAAAGATCCTCTGTACCTGTTACCCCATGCACACCTCACTTCTAGCCATAAACATTGTCATTGCATCAAGACTGTACTTCATGACACCAATGTTCTGTTGGCCATCCTGCCCCGAAATTTCTGCCCCCTAAATCATTCATGCAATTCCCATTCATCCAAAACCTGAACATAATCCAACCTTTCACACAGAGATACAAAAGATTACAAGAGGGAGCATTTGTGAAAATTGTTTTACACTCCCCACCTAGTTTAAACAGTTACTTTAAAAACTAATTTCAAGCTTACCTCAGTAACTCTGTTTGTGATTTACACAAGTGATTTCATGGCATACTCGTAATAGTCCTGTGACACAGGTAGTGATATCCCTATTTTACGGAAAATGGAATTGAGCCTGCAAGAGATTAACCTGCCCAAGTTTGTGCACCTGGTAAGGGCTAGCACTTGACTTTGAATCATAAATGGTTTAAATCTCAAGCTTATGCTCTTCTCTGCAGTCTGCTGCTGGCTGACAGGTGTCGAAAGGCAGCGACTGGCACAATACCTCCAAAACATTTCATGAAATAATGAATATGAACAAGTTAATAAGTTAAAGTGCACTGAACATCATCTCAGGAAGCAGATAATATCGTGGTGCTGTAGAGGTTTGCCAACCACACAACACACAATTTTTAGGGAAGGTCAGAAGTTAAATAATTTGTTGAGATTTATTAATCTAAGAACGGTTCAGTTCAAGGTGCACATATGAAGGAATTACTATTTACCAGATACCACATAGGTAACAGGGCTATAATAAGGCCCTTGAGGATCTCATCGTCTAGTTTTTCAAAGCATTTGTTATAATTTGCAAAGAGAAAACTTGCATAAGGCTTACAAAGTAAGGGCAAAACCTGATTCCCAAAAGAGGTATTACAGAATGATACATAATGCAGAATTAGACAAAGTTCCATTCTGGAGCTATTTTTGCATATATTCCTTTTGTGTAATCTTTTGGAGAGGGAAGAGAGCCGTGTTTTGAAGCTCACAAGGGCATCTGCAGGCCACTGTTCATCAATGTCCTTAGCTTCCACATGACTACCAAAAGGCAACTGATCAAGAGGAGATACCAGGAAAGGTTTTCTAGTTTCTAACTTAACATCTCCAAAATGGCAATGTTCATTTTTCACAGTGATGTCATTACTTGACACAATTTCTAAAATAGATCTAAGATTCTCTTTCCTGCTACTGACCTAGGAGAGGAATGGTGTTCCAAAAATATGTCAACCAAGAACATCTTCCTGAACTAAAGGTTTGAATTGGGAGGCACTATGGGGATTTGGGAGTAGGGAGGCTGTAGACATTTTGGGGGTCAATTATACTTTTGGATGTCATTTGTAAAATAAACACACAGAATCAGAAAAGCCAGAGGTGAAAGGATGTGTTGTGAGGATGTGTTTGTTTCGTTTTGTTTTTGTTGTCAGAGGGCTCATGATAGAGAGTTGGAAGAGGTGAAGAGAAACCCTTTCAATGATCTTCACTGATGTTTGCAAATGAGAAACTGAGACCCAGGGGGTGATGAGATTTTCCCAGCCAGCATTAGAAATCCAGAACAAGAAGCCTGGTCTCCCGTCTTTTCCTCCAGCAAGCTGTCTTGTCAATGCAGTGCTTTGGGAACTTGCTCATCTCTCACACCATCCCTCAGACCATTCTTTCTCAAAGCTTCTATGGCTTTGGGATGTGTGTGTTGGGAAGAGGGGGTGAGGGGAAGGGATCCTTCCTAAAGCTATGATGGTCATGGGAAAGTAAGCAAACTGTAGTATTTTCCTTGATTGTGTTTGCTTGCATGTAGATATGGTATGGACTTCTTGTGAAAAAAATTATAAAATTCATGAAAATATAAAGAAAAAATGAGTCACTCCCACAATTCCACTATTCTGAGATAGTTACCACTTTAATATATTTCATTCCAGCCTTTCATTGCACCTTCTACATGGTTTATTTTATATTGAATACACAATTGTTTCCTGTGCCTCTTACTTAATATTATATCATAGATAATCCCCCTTATCATCAAAAATCTTCCTATGCATAAATTTGAGTGGCAACACGATATTTCATTACAAATATATACCACAATTTATTTAAAAACTTCAATTATGTTGGACTTTGAGTTTTTTCTAATGACTAATTTGTGTAATAAAATGGCAGTGAAAATCTTGATGCCTACGTTTCAGCCTGCATTTCTAAATGCCTCCTCAGATTGATTACTAGAAGTGAGACTCTTATGTCAAATAGTAGATATGAACATTCTTAAGGTTCTTGGTAACTTTTTAGGGAGAGCTTGCAAATTTATACTCCTTTTAGAATTCTCTGTGAATAGGAATTCTAATTATTTTTCTTCATTCTCTTTCATCTTTTCCTAACCCCAACTTCTGCAATACAAGTTCCAAAGCAACTGGGTAGCCTATACAAACCAGCTTGGTGCAATTGTGTAAAATAATAATTAAACACTTCACTTAAGTAAACATTCTCTTTTTTCCTGACTATGCAATGGGAAAGAACAGTCACATGCTCTAACTCTGAGCTGTACAATGTAACAGCCACTAGCCATCCCAAACTGAGATGTGCTGTAAGTATAAAATACACACACCAATTGCATGTTCTCAGTTATTTATGAGATCTAAAAATCAAAACAATTGAGCTCATGGACATAGAGAATAGAAGGATGCTTACCAGAGGCTAAGAAGTGTTGTGGGGGGCTGGAAGTGAGATGAGGATGGTTAATGGGTTAAACAAATAGAAAGAATGAATAAGACCTACTATTTGATAGCACAACAGGGTGACGTAATCAATAATAACTTAATTGTACCTTTTAAAGTAACTTAAAGAGTATAATTGGATTGTTTGTAAATCAAAGAATAAGTGCTGGAGGGGATGGATACCCCATTCTTCATTATGTACTTAGTTCACATTGCATGCCTGTAACAAAATATTTCATGTACCCCATAAATATATACATCCACTATGTACCCACAAAAATTAAAAATAAAGTTTAAAAATTAAGTAAAATACAGACCAGAGTTTGAAGACCTAGTACCAAAAATGAGAATTAAAATATTTCATTAATATTTTTATATTTATTGGCCGGGTGCGGTGGCTCATGCCTGTAATCCCAGCACTTGGGGAGGCCAAGGTGGGAAGATCACGACGTCAGGAGATTGAGACCACCCTGGCTAACATGGTGAAACCCCGTCTCTACAAAAATATTTAAAAAAAAAAAAATTAGCTGGGGATGGTGGCACATGCCTGTAATCCCAGCTACTTGGGAGGCTGAGGCAGGAGAATCACTTGAACCTGGGAGGCAGAGGTTGCAGTGAGCTGAGATCACACCACTACACTCCAGCCTGGGTGACAGAGTGATACTCCATCTCAAAAACAAAATAAAATAACATTAAAACAAAATAAAATATTTTTATATTGGTTACATGTTGAAATGATTTTTCAATGTATTGGATTGAGTAAAATATATTAATTTTGTCTGTTTTTTTACTTTTTAAATTGTGGTTTCTAGAAAATTCATATATATATATATATACATGGCTCTCATATAACTATTGGATAAGGGCTGCTCTAGGAAATCCTCAGATTTATCCATGGATGTCTGTGGCTAATAACTTAATTCTGTTTTGCCTTAATGGCTTTTATGAATTCAGGAAACCAGCAATATGGAGCCAGTGTTTCCTACTTTCTTTTCTATTCCTTGTAGAATTAAATTTTGTCTCTGTGATCTTTCTTAGTTTCCTTCTGTTCCTCATGCCAGCCTATATGCTTTAAGCTAAACTGTTACCATGAGAATTCACCCAGTAAGTCATTTTCCTTCCCTCATTCTTTCAATCAATTAAAAAACATTGATTGTTCACTTATAATATAACCACAGTACTTTCTCAGCCTGGGAATACAAAGATTACTAACACATAATCCTTGCCATTGTGAAGCAAATAGTCTCATGAGGGAGACCAACCTCAAAATAATTAGGGAGTAGTGAAATCATTTCCAAAGTAGAGGTAGATTGAAAATGCTGTGGAAGGACAAGAGAAAGGAGAGGTCAACTCTCCCTAGGACTTGGGTAGGGGTGAAAGGAGGGATGAGAGGTGTCACCCAGATGACCTGGACCTTGAATGGAATCTTAGAAGTTGGAGTTTGCCCAAGGAGAAAGAATGCCTTGGGATAGCCAGCAATGTGTGAAGGAGACCAGTTGAGAATCCACTGCTAAAGAATAATGAGGTTGAGGGCAAGGAGTGAACTGTTGTTAACATTGAGACCATGTTACAAAATACGCCATGCTCTAATATTTGGTCTGTGTTACCTGTAGAGTATATGAGAAACTGTTCATTAGAGCATTCTTATATTCAGATATGAGATTTAGAAAGATTCCTCTTGCAGCATAAACTAGAGGGTAGAAATACAGGTCATGGGGAGAGAAGCTTAAGCAGGATATTAATCTTCTTGCCTGGAAGGTTTCAAAAATGCCTTATGATTCTTCATGATTCAGTTCAAATATCACTTCTAGGAAAACTTACCTGGCGAATCTTATCAGAGTTGGTAATCCCTTCTTTGTTCTTGACCCACATTCTATTCTCTGTAACTGTTCTTAACAGGAGGCATCACACTGTACACCTATATGCACAGTCCCCAGCAGTCTCTCGGTTCTTCAGGAAATTACCATCTGGAAGAATGCTTGCTTAATTGTCTCTTCTTCTGAGAGGGCTTCTCTGACCACCCTTTCTTTTTTTTATTTTATTTTATTTTTTGATGACTTTATTTATTTATTTATTTTTTATTTTTTTTGAGATGCAGTCTCACTCTGTCACCCAGGCTGATGTGCAGTGGCGCGATCTCAGCTCATTCCGCCTCCTGGGTTCACGCTATTCTCCTGCCTCAGCTTCCCGAGTAGTTGGGACTTCAGGCACCCACCACCACGCCCAGCTAATTTTTAGGCACCTGCCACCACACCTGGCTAATTTTTTTGTATTTTTAGTAGGGACGAGGTTTCACCGTGTTTGCCAGGATGGTCTCGATCTCCTGACCTTGTGATCCGCCCGCCTCAGCCTCCCAAAGTGCTGGGATTACAGGCGTGAGCCACCGTGCCCGGCCTAGACTTTATTTTTTTGAGCAGTTTTAGATTCACAGCAAAATTGAGAGGAAGGTCCCAAGATACCCCATCTTCCTCCTATCTTTTCATTTTTATTCTTTATTATTACACATTTTTGGTTTCCTGCAAAGCACTTATCACAACTCATAATTTTACATTTTACATAACTTACATTTGTATGTTTACATTTGTATTGTCTGTTATCTCCACTATCCTAAAAGATTCCCATAGAAGAAACATGCCTGTTACATTCACCAATAAACACACAATGTTAACACTTAATAGCACTTCAATAAACAATGTGTCAAATGAACAAATGAATGAGTAAATGGACAAAATGCGTCCTAAACCATGAGTGCTTAATAAATGTTTATTTAATGAACAAATTAGTTAATGAACAAATGAATGAATGATCTATTCCAATAAATATATGCTCCTAGACTGCTACTGACATTTTATTCCACTTAGGGTCTGCCACATTGGCTCTCCAACAGCCGGTACTATAATCCATGCTAAGTAATAATTACAAATTAGGAGTAATATATTGGTAGTGTTGGCAGAAATCCCCAAGTGATTCATTCTGCCAGATATGTTAAAATTATAGTTTAGTCATTGAATACTGAAGGTGATAAGTACAGTCATTTTTACAAGTTGTTCTGGATCCATGGACGAAGATAGGCATGTACACAAACGGCACTAAACTATGAGGCAGTGAGGTAGCACAGGGTTACGGGGGACACTGTGGAGGGACTTCTAAACTCAGTGTTTGTGATCAGGGAAGGCTGATTCCTGATCAGATTCTTAAGGAGTGAGTTATTCTGTGAGGTGACTGGTGGTGGTTGTATCAGGCAAGCAGAGGTAAAAGTGTAGACATCTGGAGGAACAGAAAAACAGAATCAACAGCTTCATGGATGAATATCCATTCAAAAGGAAACTCCAGCCTCTTGGCTTCTTCACCTTTTCTGTTTCTCCTTTCTTTAGTTTAAGAATACTTTCAAGCAAAAAGATAAAAAACATAAGAAATACCACTTTCAAATGAAAAGGCTTCTCAGTTTCATGTTAGGTGAGTTTCAGGCAATTCAAGAAAAGATTAGGAAATGGCATGCTGGCCTCTTTCTCATGGCTGTATTCCACAGAATGAAAGCAAGCCCAGTATTTCTGAGTAATTAGGTCAGCCTCACTCCCAGAGGATTAATTCAACTCCCAACAGATTATGGTAGCCACCTTTCATTTCCACAGACAGACTCCATCAGCACGGTGATTTCAATTAGAGAAGTGAAGCTCAATTGACTTATCCTAGACACAAGGAGACATAGCAGACAGATAACAAGCTGGATTACATAAGCATTAATCTTATGGTCATGGCATCAGAAAGATTTTTAAATGGATTACCTCTCTCCCATAGGAATAACAGAGAAGATTTTTTTCTCTCCTATTGCAATAAGTCTAATCTTCTCACAGGTGATGGGTTGATACATAAATTGAGAGTGAAGTCAAGACCTACTCACTTTCTGAGAGGTATTAAGCTCCTGGCTTTGGACCTGTACCTGCTAAAGACCACAGTGTTGGTCCTCACAAATTGCTAGATAAAAAGAAAACCTCAGATAAATTGTCTGGATGTCCATCCAGAAAACACCAGTGAGGCAGATAGGTTGAAAACTTGGTTATATAGACAAGGTGGAGACAACCTCATGCTAACAGTTAATAGCCAATGGCCTTAATGAATGAAGTGAAAACACGAATATTCAGAAGAGACTGCTTTCAGTCTCTTCTGTGTCTCATCTTCTCATGCCCCTTTTCCTTTCTTGTCTCTGTTTGGTGGTGTGATTTACCCTTCCTATCATGCTGTGCTTGGGTTGAATGACTTGCATGATCCACCTTTCCATGAATGATGCAGAAATCCATAAGATCCTTCATCAAGCACCTTCCTAAGACCCCACAATCCAAATCTCAGGTACAGGTTAGATCTCAATGTCTGCCCAGGCCTATAATACCATCATTCAAGTTTCAACCTCCTAGTTCCCAGGTGAAGAAGAAATAGGGAAAGAATGTCAAAGACCATGGAAAAACTAAACATCCACTGAATTTTTAAAAGCTCTAATTCCATCAAGGTGATATGGGAGTAAGGGAGAGGGTAAGTGCTGAGTAGAGACAGGTGGTGTCCCTAGCGAGGGCTCCACCCTCGGGCCTGTGCCAATGGACCTAGGTGAAGACAGTCACTCCTGTTTTCATACCCAAATGTTGCATGTTCCAAGACCACCCTGGCCCGCCACACCCTCCATTTTGTGCCTATAAAAACCTCAAGACCATAGCAGGCACAGACACACAAGTAGATGGACGTCGAAAGGAACACACCAGCAGGCAGGCCATTGACATTGAAATGATGCAGCTGCCAAGGGAAATTTGGCCTAGGGTGGTCAGAGGAGAGCCCAGCCATTGAGTGGTGTGACTCCAGGGGAAGACCATCTTCCCACTCCATTCCCCTTTTGGCTCCCCATCCATCTGCTGAAGGTTACTTCCACCATTCAGTAAAACCTTGCATTCATTCTCCAAGCCCGAGTGTGATCCGATTTTTCTGTTACACTAAGGCAAGAACCCCGGGATACAGAAAGGCCTCTGTCCTTTGAGCTGATTAACGTCTAATTGAGCTGATTAACACAAGCTGCCTATGGATGGCTAAACTGAAAGAGCACACTGTAACACATGCCCAGTGGGGCTTTGGGAGCTGTAAACACTCAAACCTAGACACTGCCGTGGTGTTGGAGCAACGACCTGCCCATCTGCATGCTCACTTAGGGGTATGAGCAGTGGGGCACTGAAGAAGCGAGCCACACCCTCATCACATGCCTTGCGAGGGGGATAAGGGAACTTTTCCTGTTTCAAGAGGACTCAGACAACAGAGTGAAAAAGCAATCTACAGAATAGGAAAAAACATTTCAAATTCTGTATATGATAGGAAGTTATTGTCCAGAATATATAAAGACCTTCTAAAACTCAACAACAACAAAAGCAAATAACCCAATTAAAAAATGAGCAAAGGATTTAAATAAATCTTTCTCCAAAAAAGATATATAGTCAACAAGCACTTGAAAAGATGTTCAACATCACTAATTACTGGGGAAATGCAAATCAAAACAACAATAAGATACCACCTGACATGCATTAGAATGAATACTATTAAAAGAAAGAGAAAGGAAGAAAGGAGGAAGAAGAAGAAAGGGAGGGAGGGAAGGAGACAGAGAAAGAAAGAAGATAACAAATGTCAGCAAGGATGGAGAGAAATTGCAACCCTTGCATACTGTTCATGGACATGTAAAATAGTGCAATCACTTCCCTATGGAGAACAGTATGGAAGTTCCTCTAAACATTGAAAACAGAATTACCATATAGTACAGCAATTCCACTTCTTGGTATAAACCCTAAATAATTGAAAGCGGGGTTTTAAAGAGATATTTACCTATTTATGTTCACAGCAGCATTATTTACAATATCCAAAAAAAGGAAGTAAATCAAGTGTTCATTAACATACGAATGAAGAAACAAATGTGGTTCTATACATATAATAGAATATTATTTAACCATAAAAAGGAAGGAAATCCTGACATAAGTTACAATATTATACTAAGTAAAGAAAAACTAGCCATGACCGGGTGTGGTGGCTCATGCCTGTAATCCCAGCACTTTGGGAGGCTGAGGCAGGCGGATCACCTGAGGTCGGGAGTTCCAGACCAGCCTGACCAACATGTAGAAACCCCGTCTCTACTAAAAATACAAAACTAGCCAGGCGTGGTGGCACATGCCTGTAATCCCAGCTACTCGGGAGGCTGAGGCAGGAGAATCGCTTGAACCCGGGAGGCAGAGGTTGTGATGAGCCGAGATTGCACCATTGCACTCCAGCCTCGGCAACAAGAGTGAAACTCCATCTCAAAAAAAATAAAAAATAAAATAAAATAAAAACTAGCCACAAAACATATATATAATATGATTTCACTTATCTGAGGTACCGAGAGTAGTTAAATTTACAGAGCTAGAAAATAGAAAGGTGGTTGCCAGGCACTGGGGCAGGAGGGAAGGGAGAGTTGTTGTATAATGGGTATAGAGTTTCGGTTTGCAAGAAGAAAAGACTTTTGGAGATTAGCTGTACAACAATGTGAATATGCTTAACAATACTGAGATGTACCCTTAAAATGTTAACATGGTAAATTCTACATTATATGCATTTTACCATAATTAATTTTTAAAAAGGTTTCAGCCCATGTGCTTTTAGTGGGGGTCCTATCACCACTAAGTGGACAAAAATTGATCTTGAGGGAAAGAGATTAAAAAAATTGTATCGTCTTCGGTGGGAAGCACAGATAAACATAAAGTTAGATAAATAAAAAGCATATCTGCAGTGTTCAAGTTCTGTGGGGGTGCAGTGATTATGGGGTAAAAAGCATCTAAAAAGCCTCTTTATGGGATCAGTCATGAAAAGCTATGGAGAACTCCTGCTCTAAATTATATCTGGGTTTTAGTTTTCAATTTTCAAACACCTGCAAGAGGTCTTTTCTGCCCATCTCAGACACAACTTGCACTTGACCAAAGTCAGAATTCTCTTCTGTCACCACCATTTGTTGAGCACCAAGCCTGTTTAAAATTGCATGCCAAGGCCAGGTGCCGTGGCTCACGTCTATAAACCCAGCACTTTGGGAGGCCAAGGTGGGCAGATCATTTGAAGTCAGGAGTTCAAGACCAGCCTGGCCAACATAATGAAACCCCATCTCTAGTAAAAATACAAAAATTAGCCTGGCATGGTGGCATGCACCTGTGGTCCCAGCTACTCGGGAGGCTGAGGCAGGAGAATCACTTGAACCCAGGAGATGGAGGTTGCAGCAAGCCAAGATCGCGCCATTACACTCCAGCCTGGATGACAGAGTGAGACTTTGTCTCAAAAAAAAGAAAAAAAAAATGCATCCCAAACACTGGATTGTGCTGTGGGAAAACAGACCTTAAATAATAAGAAAGTGGTCGTATCAATTCCCTACTAAATCAAACCTTCAATGGCTCCCTAACACAATATAAAACTATAAAACCCAACCACCATGACCTGGCAGGCAAGTCCGTAAATCATCTACCCTCATCTAATTAAACTAACTTCTCCTCAGTTGTAGTTAATCTCCCATCCACCCAGAAGCTACTGGGAACTTTGCACCCCCTATTACCTGTGATTACAAATCCCTACCTTCCCATGTCTGACTCTTTAACAGGTGACTATCATTGAAAGCTCTTATAAATCAACTCAATATTTCTAACTCCTCAGGAAAGCAAAGTCGTCATTCCTTCCTCTGTTGTCCCAAGCCACTGTATAAATACATTCATTAGATGTGGTGCATCTTTTTTAAATCACTCTGTTAATTACGTGCTTTCCTTTGAAGAATTATTTCACTATCCTTTAACTTCCATTGTTCAGCATAAAATTTTTAAGAGTCATCCATGTTTTTGTGTATATTAGTTGTTCGATATTTTTTATTTTTGAGTAATATCTCATTGTATGAATGTATCATAATTTGTTATCCATTTATCCATTTATAAACAATGGGGTTGTTTCCAGTTTTTGGCTATTCATCATAAAGCTGCACAAATCTCATAATGAAAAAAAATTATGTGCTTTCCTGTCCTATAAATCCAGGACTCCCTTAGGGCATAGAATATGTGCCTATCACAAGCATTGCATATGACATACAGATTGCTAAATGGATAAATTAATACATGAGTAAAATTAATCAAGTAGGGAGTTATTTTTTAATTAAGAGGACTTTGGGAGACTTTACGGGGGGAGTTAGTATTTGGATTTGGGTGTAAAACTGTCTCTACTTCCAAAATACCCTACTAAAATGACTTTAAAACCCCTTCTGGATTATCAAATACTTTAAAACTTAGAGTAAGAATCAGAAATTACAGACATCTTCAGCAAAACAGGGAAGAAAATCACCTCTTCTTTATACCCAGAAGAAACTGACATTAATAATTTAGACATGTTTTCTTTCAGACTTGTGCTAAGCATTTTTCTCTATATAACTGAGATAATATAATTTTATAATCTACCTTCCTCATTTAATAAGTATTTTTATTATCATTAATAAACATTACAAATATAATTGTTAATAATTACATTCTGTTTCTTCTCATGAGCATATATAATAATTTACACATTCATTTTCATAGTACTGGATTTTTAGGTGGTTTCCAGTTTCCTACTCTCATAAATAATGCACATATTTTTTCATAAATATTTATTCTCATTTGTGATTATTTCCTTTGGATGCATTCCTAGAAATAGAAATAGTGAGTCAAATGGTATTAGAATATGAAGGCTTTTGAGAAATAATGTGCAAGTACTTTATAGAAAGCTTGTAGAAATGTATACTGTCACCAGCAATGTGAAAGGTTAGCTTTACCATATGAGCCAGCAATCACACTCCTAGGTATTTATCCAACTGGCTCAAAAACTTATGTCCACAGAAAAATATACATATAAATGTTATGACGGTCTTATTTATAACATCCAAGAACTAAAAGCAGCAAAGAGGTCTTTCAATAGATGAATGGTTAAACAAACTGCAGTACATTTATATAATGAAACATTATTCAGGGGTAAAACTAAATAAGCTATTTAACCACAAAAAAAGATGTGGACAAAACTTAAATACAAATTGCTAAGTTACAAACAAAAGGCAATCTAAAAAGGCTACATTCTGCGTGGTTCAAATGTATGGATTTCTGGAAAAGGTAAAACTATAGAAACAATAAAAAGGGCAGTTGTTGCCAAGGGAGGCCCGAATAGGTAAAGCATGGAAGATTTTGTAGGGTAGTAAAACTATTTTTTATGATACAGTAATGGTGGATACATGACACCATGTATTTGGCAAAATCCACAGAACCTTATGGCACAAAGAGTAAACCTTTAGGCATGCAAATTTTAAAAATTATTTACAGGTTCCAGACACTCCAATGGAATGCAGCTGTGACAAAAGATTCTGTTTCATACATTACAAATGTAATCATTACAAATGTAACCATTTATCAGTAAAAGTGGATAGGTATCATAGCTGGCCAATCAACAGTACTTACCTTAACACAGTAGGTGAGAAAAAGGGAGCAGGCCAGGGTGGGTCCTGGATTTCTGGCTTTTCATACATTTCAAATGTATGAAACAAATCAGTTTTAAGTGGTGGGTGGAGGAAAATGCTGACCCAAATAACTTTGGAAACAAGTAGATGCTGTAGAAAGGCAAAATAAATTGTACTTAAGTACTGTGCTCTAGCTGATAAAGTTGCTTCCCACAGAGATGCAGGTTAACAATTCTGTTATTATGAAACATTGCAGATGCTCCTAGACTTACAGTGGGGTTACTCCTGGATAAACCCAGTGTCAGTTGAAAACACCGTAAGTTGAAGATACTTTTAATACACCTACTGCTAGCCCAAGAGAAGATCAAAATTCAAAATTTGAAGTATAGTTTCTACTGAATTCATTGCTTTTTCACCATGATAAAGTTGAAAAATCATAAGTTGAAGTATTGTAAGTCAGGGACTGTCTGTATACTGAAATTGAACAATTAAGTAAATAGATCTCAAAGGTAAGAGTCAGGTTTCTTGCTGTTGGACCAGGAGTTTACATATAAGCAAGGGGAGGAAGCTAGAATGAGCCAGAATGATGACAAATAAAGAATTTCATTAAGATTGAAACATAAAAGAAAAAGTTGTAATGATAAGATCATGTATACAGTTTAATACCATATTGATATATTTTAATACACAGAATATCAAATGCTATTTATAAATACATGTATGTGTAATAAATATTTTTAAAAACATAAAATAGAAGAATGTACAACAACTGCATGGCTTCTTATCTCTAATGAAGGAAGGAAGAGGGTAAAGGAAACAGATACATACTAAATGGGATTTCAACTATGTTTATGTTTTATTTTATTTTATTTTTTTTGAGATGGAGTCTCCCTCTGTCACCCAGGCTGGAGTGCAGTGGCGCAATCTCTGTCTCTGATGAAGGAAGAAAGAGGGTAAAGGAAACAGATAAATACTAAATGGAATTTCAACTATGTTTATGTTGTATTTTATTTATGTATGTATTTATGTATGTATGTATTCATTTATTTATTTATTTTGAAATGGAGGGAATCTCGCTCTGTCGCCCAGGCTGGAGTGTAGCGGTGCCATCTCAGCTCACTGCAAGCTCTGCCTCCCAAGTTCAGGCCATTCTCCCGCCTCAGCCTCCCAAGTAGCTGGGACTACAGGCGCCTGCCACCACGTCTGGCTAATTTTTTGTATTTTTAGTAGAGACGGGGCTTCATCATGTTGGCCAGGACGGTTAGCCAGGATGGTCAATCTCCTGACCTCCTGATCCACCTGCCTTGGCCTCCCAGAGTGCTGGGATTACAGGTGTGAGCCACCGCACCCGGCCTATGTTTTATTTTTAACAAAGTTTGAAGTATGTATAAAAGATGTTAAGTTTTGTTAATAATAGGGCGGGGAGTATAGCGATGTTTTTATGTTACACTATAATTTTATGTATTTTTGAAATTTTTATAATTAAAAAAGTAATTTTCATAATCAAAGTGATTAAGGTACTTACACGAGGGTAATTCAGCATTTATCAGTAAAGGACAGGTAGCATAGCTGTCCGATCAACAGTACTTACTTAACACAGCGGGTAAGAAAGAAGGATCAGTGCAGGTTGGGTCCTGAATTTCTGTCTTAGGCAGCTGTGTAGAAACAGGTACCATTCACTGAGATAGGACTGGATGAGGTAGAATGAGTTTGGGGCGAGAGAGGAACTCCTATAATACTGGGCATAATTCAAGGCTCACCACCAACACTTAGTAAATATTCTCTTTACTGATTTAAAAAGAAATCCTTGGGGAGTAAGCACAAAGACATTATATCCCCAAAACCTCATTCTCCTTCTTTTAGGTATTTGGGGTATAATGAGTCCTATATACTCATCACAGGCCAAATGAACTAGGCAAGTGAAAATAGGGGAAGCATTTCCACATCATCTAATTACAGATATTATTAGACAAAAGGTTCCAAGTGAATCCTATTCTGACTTTAAAAACATTCTGGAGGAAAGAGCTCTTACATCTCAAATGGCAGAATATGGCTCCCCTTTTTTAAAAAAAAAATCAATAGATTCTCTTGAGAAAACAGTAAATTACTTCCTTTTTAGAATTTCATCACTAGCTTTCCCTCTATACAGACACAGTCTATAAAATCAGCCAAAATGATCTTGTTGAAAAGAAAGAAACAATAACATAAACCAATAGCCTGTCTTGTACCTGAAATGCCTAGATATTTTCTGTTTATTGTTAGAAGTCCTTTCAAATCTAGCTCAGCTCCCATAGAGTCCTGGTGACCACTTGACCACTCTGTGGCCTCACCTTGTTTCTCCTCGACCAGATGCCAAACAGAAATAATCACATTTATCACAATAGCTTGTGGTTATTTGTTTTCACGCCTGCTTTTATGAATCATTAGGCTACTTGGGAACAAGAAATATTAAGAAGTTAGTCAGGCAGCCTCTTGGGATATGTAATCTATAAGGTATAGTGAAACCTAGAGCAAACCGGAAATATCGCACTCATTGGATTATATTTATTCACACTAATCTTACACAGCTAGAAAATGGAAACTGGCCCTACTGCTTTGCAAGGAGATAGCATACCCGAGTGAAAGGTTAAAACATTCCTCACCAGCCTTACTCTCTGTCTGTTAGACTTTTTTGCTGCAGGCATGTATAAATTATAGCATGCAGTCTTGGCTTCACCATTATTATGGGGTGGCCAACTGAGCACTATCTGGCATCAGCAAAATCAGCTACATCCCCAGACCAAATAGTGCATGACTTAGTTCTATTGACTATAATTTGTGTCTTTATTAACATATCTAACATTTAAACTCTTCAATATGACCACAATAAGGTAGGCTAATTTGGAAAATTATAATTTTAAAACAATTTCTAATGAGTAAAATATTTTATGGAACATGTAATGAGTCCTATCTATTACACATAGAAGCTTTATCTATAGAAAGTTTCTACCCACCCTGCTAAATAAATATTTTTTAAAATGAAGAATATTTTTTGAAGGAGATCCAAGTTCTCAATCTGGTCATATCGGTCATCATGTGTGTAATCCCAACCCTTTTCCCTAACGCTGAACACAGTGTCTGACACTTAGAAGGTGTCCAACAGGTTTTTGATGCATGAATTAGTTAATTAAACAATCCATATTCAATATCTGTTTACCCTTCAGTGTTAGAAAATCCACTAGCTCCTGTGATAACCCATTTTATTGTAGTGTAACTGTAACAGGGAAAAAATTTAACTAAATATCTAATGATCTTCTTGAATCTCCCAATCGCTGAATTTTCTTCAGTCATAGTGAGCTAACTTCATGAATAGATATCTCTATAGATAAAGGACAGAACTCAATAATGAGTCCTAACTCACAGAAAAAACAAAGACCCTTCCATTTGAATTGTGAAGACTTAGGTGATCTTTCTCATTGCCTTGACTTTCACACCACATTTTTGGTGTCAAGAGAAAGGAAAAGCAGCAGATGTTTTCCATACCTTCTATTTGATAGAGATGAAGACTTTCTTAAAAAATTGTGGAAGGAGAACACTAAATCCAAACTTCTCTTACTCCAAATAGAATGAGGAAGAGAAAGGACACTAACATTGATGGAAAACCTATTACCTGCCAACTGTTTTACCCACATCATCTCACTGGATCCTAACGCCCACTCTCTGAGCCATATGCTATTTACCGTTTTTTAAGGTAAGGCATCAAGACTCAGAGAAATTAACTAATTTGTTTAAAGCCACACAAAGCGAGAGTTGGGTACCCAGACTTTGTCTACGGGTATACCCAGTACATTGTCCATCCTATGATAATTGTCTGGGTTCAATGTAATTCACATCACTGTGTATCCTTCAAACTGACAGTCAATTTGCCCACCCATCCCTACACCCTGAGAAGAAAGAAAAGAGGGACTTTTAACATTATTTCCATAATGATATTCTAAAGTGAGAAGAATTAAAGAAAAAAAACTATCAACAGACTTCATGGAGATTATCAAACTCTAAATCTGTGCCAGGTGATAAACGGTAGTGGTGGTTTTCAATCTCGACATGTCTTTAGGATACACAGTTTCAACAATCTCTTATTTAAAGGGGCTTACTGTAGTGGTGATTATCAGGAAAAGGGAGCACCAAGGGCTTGGAGTGGGCTTAGTTTTTAAAAAAAATTTGATAGTTTAGATATGCCTCCCTAGAGAGCATACCTCTTTAGAACTTTGAGAATCATTGGAAGGAAGCTAAAAAGTTGGTCTTTTATTTTGTTTGTTTTCTCTAGAAAGAAAGATCAACCAGGCAAAGTCATGTCAGAGATGTCAAATGAATGGCTTATTTTTAAACTTATTGTGTTTCCTATATCCACAAGGCTCATTGCAAGTCACTGGTCAGAAGCATCAACACCACCTGGTAGCTTGTTAGAAATGCCGAGTCCCAGGTTCCACCCCAGTCCTATTGGTTCAGAATTTGCATTGTAGCAAGATCCGCAGGTGATTCTTATGCATCTCAGCTTTGAGGAGCACTGATTTACACCACTTCTAAACACTCTCCCCTTTTCTCCGCATTAGTCTAACTACCCCTCAAATGGCTTCCCTTAACAACTCATAAGTCCTTTATCATAGCAGTTATGGCATTGTCTTGAAATTGATTGTCTGAAGGTCTATCTTTTATGCCTGAATGTAAACTCTTCAAGACAAGGTCAGTGCCTTCCATGTTCCCCACTATATTGTTGGAACCTAACAGTTGCCTGAAACAGAGAGAGTTTTCAGCAAATATGTAGGAATCCCACAAGATTGTGATCTTTATAAGATCAAGAACTACAAGTTAGTAATAACTTAATTGTACATTTTAAAATAACTGAAAGAGTGCAATTGGATAAATGCTTGAGGGGATGGACATCCCATTCTCCATGAAGTGCTTATTTTTGTTTTTGTTTTTGTTTTTGTTTTTTTGAGATGGAGTCTCACTCTGTCGCCCAGGCTGGAGTGCAGTGGCCTCACTGCAAGCCCCGCCTCCCGGGTTCATGCCATTCTCCTGCCTTAGCCTCCCGAGTAGCTGGGAATACAGGCGCCCGCCTCCATGCCCAGCTAATCTTTTGTATTTTTAGTAGAGGCAAGGTTTCACTGTGTTAGCCAGGATGGTCTTGATCTCCTGACCTCGTGATCCGCCCATCTCGGCCTCCCAAAGTGCTGGGATTACAGGCATGAGCCACCGCACCTGGCCCATGATGTGTTTATTTCATATTGCATGCCTGTATCAAAACATCTCATGTATCCCATAAATAAAACCTACCGTGTACCTACAAAAAATAAAAATGAAAATAATTTTTAAAAGAATCACATATGGGTACTTTTGCATCTTTAAAATGTAGAAAGGCCCTGGCATAAAATAAATACTCAATTTGTGTTGAATTCCTTAATTTATGCCTGATTCATACAAGAAAATGGAAAGGACTAAAAACATAGTTATTTTGCCAAATGTCATTTTTGTCAAGACTCCTTGATATCTGCTGGTCCTAATTCTTGCATTAATTCCCTTCTGTTTTCAAATCACATTGTTTATTAATTATACGAAGTAAAAACTTGAATAGTTATTTTCAGTTTGTAAAATAACCTTATCTTCACAATATCATCAATTCTTGGATCACTAAGAAATTATCTCTTTGATAGTTAAACTATCAAGTTCAACTAAGTCTTTGAGAGCTAATGAGTCAGCTTCAAAGAGGTTATGTGATTTTCCCAACGTCACAGTGCTGATAGGTGGCAAGGTCAAGAAGTGATATCAGATCTTCTGACCCCATGTTCTTTCCCTCTATACCACACTGAGCACTGTAATCAGAGGGCATCTGAGATTTCAGGAAAGTTACTCAGAGATCTGCTGGCACTCGGTTTTAGTATTTCATTCAACTAAGTATAGTAATTATTTTTCAGACAAATTTGTCATTCTGGTTTTGTAGTGTCTTCTGTGTTGATGCATGCATTTATTTATTCATCAATTTATTCCACAACTTTTTCTTGATTTTTTTTGAACAGTGTCAGCCCACTAGTGGTCACACACTATTTGTCTAGTTGAACTGATTAGCTTTTTTTGATAAATATTGACAATTCAGGTCTCTGAGATCTACTGGTAAAATAACCACATTTCCAGATGAAAATTATAAAGTCATCGAGCATTAGAGCTGGCAGATGCCTTTAGAGATTATCTCCTCCAACCTCCATTTCTGCCAGATAAAAAGGCTGAGAGCCAACGAGGGAGAGTGATATGCCTGAGTTCACATTACAAAATGTTTATCTAGCTCTTCCTGTGAGAACCTGAATTATCTGCTGTATATGTTTGCACTGATCACAAGGCAGGTAGTTGCCAGATCCCCATTTGGCTTGGGCATAGAACCAAATAATTTAAAAATACCCCCAAAGCCCTATATAATAGTTAGATGCCTTCTAAAGCCTGCAGCTGACAATGTACTCATATTGCTGATCCTAAGAGAAATTTGTAATGACTGAGAGGGATTGATTGCCACCTGTAAATATTCAGAACACATACTCATCAAGGTCTGAACAAGAACATATGTGAATAATTAACAAGATAGTGATTTGTAGTATCATGGCAATAGATAACCTGGTTCCTAAAGAGAGGTTAACCGAAGTTGCTTTTCCTTTTACAAGGCAACCATAAAGTAGATTCTTACGTTTGTTATCTCTTTTGTGGTATAGTTTTGGAAGTTGAATCCTCAAGAAACAATTTTTCTTCCAAAGTAAACATTGATTCTTACTAGACACTGTATTTAACATGGTACATTCTAAGCTTTGAAAGAAAGAGACACAGGTATAATTATGTAGTTTCTTCACTAATCTCTGTCACTAATCTTGTTCCTTTCTTTCTTTCCCCACAGCAGATCTAAGAAAAAGTAACCCCAGATCTTTCTGTAGTTTGATTGAGTATTAAAACATCAGGGTTATTTACAGTTTAGCTCTGTGATTTCATTTGACATCTCTATTTTATTCGTCCATCTGTAGGCTGTGATCTATGTCTTTACCAAAAGGCAGCAAACAAGAAGAATCAAAAGGAAGAAAGGGTCTTAGTATCCTCCCTTGGGTTATTTTCCCTAAAAACAAAAATTCTCTCCACCTCTTCTACCTAACACAGAGAGCATCTGAGAAACATAATCACATTGTTTCATGTGAAACTTATAAAGATACGGTCCAATAGCATCTCTTGCTCTCTTTTTCTCCCTCCCCAAAGAAAACAAAATCACTTTTTCCCCTTAAATGAAAGCTGTCACTTTGAAAAACCTTTTGAAACTGTCTACTTCTAAAACTAAACATATGTCTATGCTACGACCCTGCAATTCCATTCCTCAGCATAGGTAAATGAGCGTATTTGCCTACCAAAATTTGTATTGTTCTAAGTTCTTTAGAGAAACAAACCAATATAATATTTTATCTGTAAGTGTATAAATGTATGTACATACGTATGTAATATGCATGTATGTATGTACATGATTTACTATAAGGCATTGGCTCACACAGTATGGAGGCTGAGAAGCCACAAAATCTGCAGTTGGCAAGTTGGAGACCCAGGAGAGTAAATGCTGTAGCTTCAGTCCAAGTCCAAAGCCCTAAGAATCAGGAAAGCCAGTGGTGTAAATTCCAGTTGCAGTCACAGACTTGGAAGTAAGATGGTGACAAGGAGGTCAGGGGAAGAGGCATGTAGATGGACCTCTCTGAATTGCAAGAAAATGAAGATGTTTATGTCCCATATGAGTGCTCACCAAACAGTGACCTAGGCAGAGAAAGATGTTAATAATCAAATGAACAGGATGTTCATAGTTCTGTAGATACTAGTGAGCTTCTTTCCCCAGCCACTTTGTCATTGCCTAATGGGCTCATGACAAACTGGCCATGGTGGCAGAAGTGGAGGATAAGCATGGGCTCAGCAACATGGACTTCTACTCAGTAAGGTCAGTCTCGCTATGGCCACTGCTGAGTGCTCAATCTTCCAGCAACAGAGACTAACACAGGATCCCTAATATGGCACATTTCCTTGGGGTAGGTTAATTTCATTGGAGTGCTTCCATCATAAAAGGGGCAATATTTTGTTCTTACTGGAATAGACATTTACTATGAATAGAGATTTGCTTTCCTTACACATAATGCTTCTGCCAAAACTACCATCCATGGAATGCCTTACCTACATTCATTATTACACACAGCACTACTTCTGATCAAGGAACTCACTTCATGGGCAAAGATGTTTGGCAATAGGACCACGCTAATAGGATTCACTAGTCTTATCTTGTTCCCCACCATCTTAAAGTAGGCAGTTTGATAGAAATTGAAATGTCTTTTAAAGACTCAGTTACAACACCAGTAGCAGGCCAAAAAACCTGTGTCTCAAAAGGAGAGTAATCATCTGTGAAGGATGGCAGGGATCTGTTCTGTAATCCCAAGGACTTGTGCTGCAATCCAACTATAGGGGTATGCCAAAGACTGCAAACAGCATCCCTATATAGCACTGACACTTTAAGAATCATATCTTCTAGCTCATATGGCCCAGGTGGCAGAGCAGTTTGCACAGCAGCCTGGACCTGTTGCAGAGCCTTCTTTCATTTTGAACCCCACTCAAAGTATAAGAATTTCAAAACATTTTATTTATAGTAACTAAAAACTAGAACAATCCAAATGTCTATCTATAGTAGAATGGATAAATGAGTTGCAGCAAATTCATAAAATGGAATACTATGCAACAATAAAACAGAACATTTACTACAAACAATATTACCATTGGGTTTCACAGGCAAAGCAATGAATGAGAGAAAGAAGATACCTACAAGAAAGGACACACTATTTTTGTATACTTAAATTACATAAAAGTCAAGAACTAAATTGTGGTGATAGTAGTCAGAATATTGCTTACCTGATTTCAGGGAGGTTGGAACAGGTATGGACGTAGGAAGTGAAATGAAGGCCCCCTCTTTGGTATTGAAAATATTGCAAAATCCCTTCATGATAAAAACCCTCAATGAACTAGGCATTGAGGGAACATACCTCAAAACAATAAGAGCTATTTATGACAAAACCACAGCCAACATCATACTGAATGGGGAAAAGTTGACAGCATTCCCCCTAATAGCTGGAACAAGGCAAGGATGCCCGCTCTCACCACTCCTATTCAACACAGTACTGGAAGTTCTAGTCAGAGCAATCAGTCAAGTGAAAGAAACAGAAGTCATCCAAATTGGAAAAGAAGTAAAATTGTCTTACTCACTGATGACATGACTATATACCTAGAAAACTCTAGAGATTCCTCCAAAGGATTCCTAGACCTGATAAATGACTTCGGTAGTTTCAAGATACAAAATGAATGCACAAAAATCAGTAACACTTCTATACACCAATAATGCTCAAGCTGAGAACCAAATCAGGAACTCAATCTCATTTACAATAGCCACAAAAAAAGCCATCAAATATCTAGGAATACATTTAATCAAGGAGGTTAAAGACCTCTGCAAGGAGAATTACAAAACACTGATGAAAGAAATCATAGATGAACCAAATGAAAAAACATCCCATACTCATGGATAGAAAGAATAAATATCATTAAAATAACTCTATTTCCCAAAGTAATCAATAGATTCAATGCAATTCCTATGAAATTACCAATGTCATTTTTTCACAGAATTAGGGGAAAAAAACCCTAAAATTTATATAGGGCCCAACCAAAAAAAAAAGCCTAAATAGCCAAAGCAATCCTGAGAATAAAGAACAAAGTCAGAGGCATTACATTACCTGACTTCAAACTAAGCTACAAGGTTTTAGTAACCAAAACAGCATGGTACTAGTATAAAAACAGACAGAAAGAGATCAAAGGTACAGAAAAGAGAACCCAGAAATAAAGCCACAAATCTACAATTATTTGATCTTCAACAAAGTCAACAAAAATAAACAATAGGGAAAAAGAGATTTTAATCAATAAAGGGTGCTGGAAAAACTAGCAAACTGTAGGCAGAAGAATAAAACTGGACCCCTATCTCTCACATTATTAAAAAAAAGCCCTCAAGATTGATTAATGACATAAATGTAAGGTGTAAACTTATAAAATTCCAAGAAGAAAACCTAGGAAAAACATTTATGGACATTTGCCTAGGGAAAGAATTTATGACCAGGTTCTCAAAAGCAATCACAACAAAAACAAAATAGATAAATGGGACTTAATTGATCTAAAAACCTTCCACACAGCAAAAGGAATAATCAACAGGTTAAACACAGCCTACAGAATGGGAGGAAATACTTGCAAACTATGCATCTGACAGAGGACTAATATCCAGAATCTATTAGAAATAAATAAATCAACAAGCAATAAACCAAATAACCCCATTAAAAAGTGAGCAAAGGACATGAACAAACACTTCTAAAAAGAAAACATTCAAGTGGCCAACAAACATATGAAAAAATGTACATCACCAATCATCAGAGAAATCCAAATTAAAACCACAATGTGATACCATCTCACACAAGTCAGAATGGCTATTACTAAAAAGTCAAAAAATAACAGATGTTGGCAAGGATATGGAGAAAATGGAATTCTTATAGACTGTTTGTGGGAATGTAAATTAGTTCAGCCACTGTAGAAAACGGTATGGAGATTTCTCAAAGAACTAAAACTACAACTACAATTTGACCCAGCAATCCCAGTACTGGATATATACTCAAAGGAAAATAAATTATTTTATCAGAAAGATACCTGCACTGTGAGTTTACTGCAGCACTATTCACAACAGCAAAATCATGGAATCAACCTAAGTGTCCATCAATGGTTGATTGGATTTTAAAAACTGTGGTATATATACACCATGGAATACTATGCGGCCATAAAATGAGTGAAATCATGTCCTTCATAGCAATGCAGATGGAGCTGGAGGCCATTAACCTAAGTGAAACAACTCAGAAACAGAAAATCAAATACCTCATGTTTTCACTAAGTAGAAGCCAAACAATAAGTACACATGGGCATAATAATGGAAAGAGACCCTGAGGACTCCAAAAGGGGAGAGAGTGGGAAGGAGATGAAGGTTGAAAAACTACGTATTCGGTACTATGTTTAGTATTTGGTTACAAGTTAACTAGAAATCCAATCCTCAACATGAAGGAATATACCTATGTAACAACATGCATGTATACCCACTGAATCTAAAGTTTAAAAAGAAAGAGAATATTCCATACATAAAATCTATTAATTTTTACGTTTAAGACTTGTGTATATAACTACACCTCAATAAACATTTTGTTTAAATGATAATTGACTCCTTCCTCCCCACAGCTGGGAATTGCTGGAATTATGAATATTTCTAGTCTTGTGTTCTTTCTCTGAGCAGCCATACCCTATGGGTTATCCACATTTTTTTTTTCATAAGGGAATTCCTCTTAGGAAAGCATGTATTTCAGCCACAACAAAATATTTCAAAATAAAAATTTAAACACACACACAAAACAAAACATTTTAACAAACAATCATTTTCATTATGTATGCAAATTCAGGGCAGATGTGTTCAGAGAAATAACTTAAATCCACCCACCACTAGACAAAAAGAAAAACTGAATAAGCATTTCCAAAATATTGTAATGATTTCCCCCCGCCTCCTAGTCAAGACTGGCAACAGAATTGTAGAAACACCATGAGAAAGGTCTCTCTGAATGTGTGTGACTAGAATTCTCAGATGGTGCTAGGTGATGGGAAATTTGATTTGACTTCAAATCCTCAGCTTTGAAGTCGAGCAGCGACCTTTAAGGGAAAAAGTGAAGTCCACTTTGGAATGACCCATTATATTCTTACTTATTTACATGCATTATCTCACTGAACACCTTTAAGATCAGTAACATCAGAAAATTTTACTTAGAGAACTTAAGCAACTTCTCCCCCAACATTATAGACCTGTTTGGTTGGGAACCCTGACTGGAGTCCTCATTGTCTAACCTCCAGCTTCTGTGATATGGCACTTCCAGTCTGACTGTTGGCTTTCTTAGTGTTGCTTCTAGACTGAAATATCTAGGAATGGACTTATAGATTGCTTAGATTAGTCACGGTAGGTTTTCCTCCATAAAGGACATAGTATCTTCCTGTTTTATTCTCTTGATGAAAAATTTATTATCTACTCTGTAACAAATCAAATAGAATTAAAACTAATATTTATATAATTCACATGACTGTCATATTATTTATAACACAGTTCCAATTTGTTCCTCTTTTACAGAACTTTGGTGATGAGAGAATGGGCATGATGCCCAACTTCAATGCCATGTAGTGCTCTTAGGTACTTATTCAAGGTTCACTGGGGTAACTACTACGGTAACTCACTATGGTAACTACTATGGTAGTTCACCTCTAATTTCAACCAACAGCTTATTCCTAATTCCAAACTGGCTCTGCTCCTGACCTTGAAACCTAGTAGAACTAGGTTCTGGAAATCAGTAATACCCCTTTTCCCTCTCAAGACTCCACTCATCAGCCATCATGGCCATGTTTTTTTATGCAGAGCCTCCCAAGGTGATCTATAGGTATTACAATTTGGGGAAAATATGTTGTATCGAAAGCCTGTGAGAGCAATGTCTGAATGAATTAAAAAATTGCTAACCTTGCCAGGCTTTTCTTGGTTCTCCATCAGTCTTTCTCAAGTAATTTGTGGAACACTAGTTACCCGAACATATCTGAGGCTGTCTAATCAGGTTCTCTTGTTTCATAAGCTGTTTGCAATTTGGGATGCTTCTTCAGGGAAACAGTCAGAGCAGGGCATCACAGTTCCCAAGGTTACAAAAGGCTAGCCATGATGGGCACTCAAGAGGTGCTTGTTTCCTTTATCTTTCCAAATAAAGAATCATGAAACTCTTTAGAAATCTAATTACATTAACTACAGCCCTAGTTTATATAGTAGAATAGCTATAGATAACTTGGACACATTTTATATCAATAAAACTTATCTTCTAATAAATAATGTAAGTAGTAATTGAGGGCTCAGGCTATTAAAGAGGAAAGGGAAGGGATTGGGCTCATAATAGAAACTTCTGCTTTCTCAGAAATAACAAGGACAAGCTTTGACCATTCCTCCATCTCAGATATGGTTTGGCTGTGTCCCCACCCAAATTCCATCTTGAATTGTAGTTCCCATAATCCCCACTTGTCATGGGAGGGACTTGGTGGGAGGTAATTGAATCATGGGGGTGGTTTCCTCTATGCTGTTATTGTAATAGTGAGTGAGTTCTCACAAGATCTGATGGTTTTATAAGAGGCGTTCCCCTTCTGCTTGGCATTCTCTCTCCTGCCGCCCTATAAAGAAGGGCATGTTTGTTTCCCCTTCTGCCATGATTGTAAGTTTCCTGAGGCTTCTAGCCCTGCAGACCTGCACATCAATCAAACTTCTTTCCTTTATAAATTACTCAGCCTTGGGTATTTCTTCATAGCATCATGGGAACAGACTAATACAACCTCTCACTCATGCCTCTGCTGAGGAAAGTTTTGTCTGATTAATGGATGAGGGGAACAAGTTAGTCAACCTCTGTGACTCATTACCTGGACCATGGATCATGCTTTTTTCTCTGTTCCTGCTGCACTGTGACAAGGTCAGTAGTGTAGAGATTTTCTGCTCTGTGATGGGGGGCAAAGTTTGTTTAGAAGGAAGCACTGAGAGCCCATTTGGTGTTGAGCCTAAGTCATATGTCCCAATGTACATTTGTCAGCAATAAGCCTTATTTTTTAAAATACTTTTTGTGTACAGGTATATGTCACATATATTTCAGGCATCCAACATGTTCAGATAATTCTAAAGAATACCATAAAGAAAAATTCCCCTGTCACTAGGCTTAAGAGCTAACACTAGCAATACAATTGATATTATTTGTATATATCTTTTTGTTCCCATTCTTCTCTCACACATTTCCTAGCCCAGAGAGAACCACCATTGAACTTTGTGTTTATCATTTTACTGAATGTTTTCATACTAACATGAAAGTATTGTTTAACAATATCTAGGATTTTTGCATATTTATAAACTTTAAATGTGAAGAGTATCATATTAACATTCTTATAAAAAGTTTATTGTACTCAATATTATGTTGTAAGGATTTATTCATATTGATAGATGTATTGCTAGCTCATTCACCTTATTGTAGCACTCCCACAGACTAATATGCTGCATATATATGATGATAAATATTTAAATCGTCTCTCATTTTTCACTATTACAGATAATACTGCGATGAATATTTTGTGACGTATTTCCATATCCACATATATGACAGCTTCTCTAGGTTGTGTGTCTCAGAAGAGAAATAATGTATCATAGGTAAGTGTATTTTTATTGTTAGTATATATTGCTAAAGCTGATATTTGCATCCCTAATTCTTCATTGTTTTCTCAGTTATTGCCAATCCCACAGAAAGGAAGAGATAATCAATGCTTCCTCTTTCCTCTACCTAAGGTCAGCTTTCTTTCTTCCTTTTCTATCTCATAAATGCTTAATCATTCTCTAAGACTCATCCAACTTCCTCTCTTCTGTGAAAACTCCTCCTAACCCCACAGAGGTAAAGTGACCACTCCCTCCTTTGAGCTTTCACAGATGGCTCTTCTGCATAGGACTTGTAGATTACTGAATCCTACAGAAATTACTTTGCCTATATATCTATGTACAAAATTCACAAATTTCATAATGTTCAGAAGAGAAACCAAGGAGGAGACTCCAAAAGACAACACTACAGTGACATTATATCCTTTAATCAGTTCTTAATCATCCACCAATTAGAAAGGTTACCCAATAATAGAATCCTTGGCATTGCCTTTGATCCATATTAGCCTCTCTCATCTAGGACAGTTGGGCTCTTTATAGAAGATGAGGTGAAAAACTTTATTGACTACATCTACACCTGCAAACACACAGGTGATTCATAGTCCCTACCCACATTCCTCTTGCTGTCTACTTGACCATATGAGGCACACGTGTGAAACTATTATAATGAGAAAAATCCATGTGTAGAATGACAAAATTCTGAGGCTTTTATAGCTATTAATAACAGGGGCTCATGGGTGATAGCAACAAAATTTCAATTTGATAAATAAGAAACTATCTTTTGAAGTATTGCTTCACCTCATGTTACAAAGCCAAATGGCAAAGTCAGAGTTCATGATAACTCATTTTCTTTAATTCAGCATATATTTATAGAACACTCAACTATACCACAGTTCTATGTATGTGATAATTAAGACAAACCTGAGGAGTTCAATTTAATTAAAATTATTTTCTTATACATCTCTGTGAGTATGGTCATATTAGGTATATCACAGAGTGTGCCAAAGGCATTATAATTGCTACAGTTTTCAAAAACCTTGTTTCATTTGGTAACATTAAAATGGAAAAATTGTGACATTTGAGTATATAACAGGATGTAAACTTGGAAGGTTTTATTAAAGCAGCAAGATGAAATAGATAAAAAGTTCCAAGGTGGGGTGCTATGTCACCTGCAGAAATTTCAAAGTAAGTTTGAGAGTCATATGGATCTAAAACCCACAGAGATGTTAAAAGGGTGATGAAAGAATAGAGATTAGAAAGAATGTTTTTCTGGAGAATGTTTGTTTTTAAAAAGCTGTGCTCTGATGCCATCTCTCTCTCCCCTACTCCCGCCTTATTTTACTGTAAGATTAAAGAGAGTTTCTCTGGCTGAAGAGAATGTTTTGTGCATTCTGGAGAGAATATGGGGAAATGCTGTGGCCTGATGAGTAACATATGCCTGGAGAATATTCAGGTATGGTAGAAGGTGAAATGGCCTGCTATCACAGGATGGGAATAGGGGTCTGGAAAATCACTGCACCTCCCTCAGTGTGCACTGCAGTCTTCTCATATTGAATTTCACTGGAAAGATCAGTCATTTAAATACAGATCTGCCAAATAGGGCTTCTGCCACAGGGCAAAGACATCCATTGAGCATATATTGAGTAGACTGCCAGAAATATGAGTTTACTGTGGATCAGGATTACACTGACAAAAAGTCAAGACACTTCCCACATCCATGACATCCTGCTAAAAGAAATTCAGTTGAGGAGGCTCTAAAGATCCCACAGAAATATTCATTAGAGAAAGAGTTAGCTGAACTCATTGGCCAGGCTCAAATAAGAAGCATTTCACAACTGGCCAAATCAGAATTCTCACATCTATCCAAATTCTCTTCCTGCATTCAGCCCAGGACAGGCTGTCAATTCAAGCTTAAGAAAATAGGTGAACATGCAATAAAGAAGGGAAGGAAGGTGAGTGGAAAGAAGGGACTAATCATACCCCATCCTCCCAAACATAGACTGGCCTACTTAGGTTGCCTAACTTAATAAATGGGTTAGGGGAAGATGTCTAATCTTTGAATGAAGACTAAAATATTAATTTCTAGATTACCATGTTGAATTTGACATTTACTGGACATTTCTGACTCATCTGATTTTGATATACAGAGTGATTGGATAATTTTCTATCATCTATTATCTATTATCTAAGAATGTCCAAAAATTGATGCAATCTGCCGACATTTTCAACCAGTGGCCTCGATAACTGAGTAACTAAATAACAAAGTTAAAGTTGAAGATCAAAGTGAAGCTGTGTTTTGATGCCACTTTATGATTCATGATTGTTCAACACACCAGTTACAAATTTTACCAGTGACAGGTACTTTAAATGAGCTCATTTAATGTTTAAGATGGTCCTGAAAGTTTGATATTAATATAATCACCTTTAAGAAATGATTCAGAAAAGTTGAGTAATTAACCTAATTAAATGCAATACTCCATGAGTAACTAGAACTCTTCTTCTCACGAAAAAACTAGAGCATCTGTATAGCTCTAAAAGCCATTTGCCTTCTGCTGGGTCCTGGTGTCAGATAATGATACAGCAGAATGAAATAAACTAAGTATCGCAACATTTTATAGGTGCAACCTGAATGAAATGTCTCATATGAATATCAAATCCAAAAGATAAAACATGTCCTCTCCAAAAAAAATCTTGGAAAGACATGTACATCTTAACTAAAATCACCTGAAAAGGCACCAGAAAGAAATTGCATTTGTGATGGCAAAATGTCTTAAAATTTTCTTCTCTTTTTTCTAGCTTATTATACAATCAGCTACCTTCAATCTCTCATCTTTGCTCTCAATATATCCAAAACTCTCTTCCCAAATTCAGGGAGTCTACTGAGTTTTCTCTCTAAATTCCTTCACTAGCCTATCAGGTCTGTGATTTCCACCAAGGACAAGTTCTTCACCCTGCATAATAACAATAAAGCAAACACTTTGCCCTTACCCACATCATCACAATCAAAATGCTGAGAAGGGTAAAAGGTGACAGTAAAGAGAGAAAGGCCATTAATATTATATGTTAGTACATTCTATCGCTACCACATATGAGTTCATAGAATGGGAACTTCTATTTGCACTTCAGTAATTGAACGACTTCAAGCAAGAATAGCAATTATATATCAAGACTTAAAGTAGAGGATGAGCTTGGACGTGCATTATATTAGCATATCAATATTTTGCCTACTCTCCTAGTCCAGATGCTAAAAAGTTGAAAGGATGGTGAAGCCAAATCTAAGATCCTCATTTGGAAGACATTTTCTCCTACCTTTCAAAGGTAGTTCCTGAGGAGAGCAGCCATCCCCAAGTATAAGCTCTATGAGACCTATAATCAGTTTCTCTCTAATTGAGCATTTTCTTTCCTTAGATTTTGGAAGAAGCACGAAAATGATTTACTGATTTAGGAACTGGGTGGAGTAGACCACAAAAAGACAAATCAAAAACATCTGGAATGAACTAGTTGAGAGAGAAAAAGAGAGAGCAAGAAAAAAGTAAGGCTTTCAAATGAAACAAAGTACAGATGATTTGGCCAAATTTAAGCCAAGCCAAACACTCACATTGAACATTGCACTTGGGTGTGTTTCAAGAGCAGGAGCCGGCAAGAGGGAGCCTCAGCCAACACTACATCAGAGGCACATTGTGGATGGAGGAAATGAGTTTAGTCAAGCCAGCTGTGACTTCAAAGGGGCTGCTCTCCCAGAGAACAGTGAGAAAGGGTTCCCCCTTCAGTGAAGACTGCAAAGTTCAGCCAGCGCCAACCCAAAGGGAATGGACTCCAGGAAGGGGCAAATTACATTCAACATACAAGAAAGAATATTTTCCTTCATGAAGTGGCTGTGACAGTCTGAAGAGGAAGGAAAATGACAAAAAAGAAAGGTGAGAAGAAAATATTCTGATGCCCCTTTGGGGACTGTAGTCCTGTGTGCATACTTATAAAATGGGGTATTTGTATACACATTTGTACTTGCATAAGGTTGCTTTTAATCTAAGACACCTCCAAGCATGAATCATGTTTCCAAACATGTGGGAGGAGAGAACATAGGATTCTTCCCTGCTGACTGCCATAGTTTCTTTCCCTCTTTGTGCTTCTAGAAAACTACACATTTCTTTCAAATTACTTACTTCACACAAATTTACTGAGGAACAATAGGGTGGACCCTGCATATTCGAAGACAAGATCGTCTGTGTTCCAGTTCAAAAGAAGAAGCTAGACACATAAACTGAAGATTATGGTATTGAGTGATAAGCCTTGGAGCAGGAATCCCAAAGTGTGATCACATGACCAGCAGCAGCAACATCACCTGGGAACTTGTTAGAAATGCAAATTTGCAGGCCCTAATCCAAATCTACTGAATAAGAAAGTTGAGGTTGATTTAACAAGCCCTTCAAGTGATTCAATGCTTGCTAAAACTGGAGAACCACCTTGATAGTGAAGGGACAAAAGGACTTTTGTGCAGAGAGCTAACACATCTGAACTAACCTTGAGATCCTCTGCCATCTATAAATCACTTCTCAATCTCTTCCCGATAAGATTCTAAATAGGTGGCTCTCTGGCAATTCAAGGGATGATACACGCGTGTGTGTCTTCTCTCTTTATGTAAGTTATAAGATCTGAATGACAGAGGCACATTCTTCTTTTATGTTTTCTTTCCTTTCTCCTCCTATTTTTAGGGCCAGTACGTGGAAAATGCGGAAATTGGAACTTACTATAAGTAACTAATTCAGAAATCAGGCTGGCAGAAGTGTTATACATTCACTGGAAGAAATTGGTGAATATATGGAAAACATAAATGTTATGTATCCTGGAACTTAAAATAAAAATTAATAATAAAAAATGTTATCTCTCCCAAGCACTCATTTGATGCTTGAATCCTCTCTATGACATCCTTACCAAGGATTTGTTCTTCTTATGCTTGGGTACTTCAACTGATGAGAATCTCACTAGCTCAGGATGCAGTTTGCTTTCTTTTAGATAGCTCTGTTAGAGCTGCCTTCTTCCAGGGCTGAACACTTCCATAATTTAAATTCCATTTATTAGTTTTAGTCCTGCCCCTTGGGAACTCGTAGCAAAGATACTTACATATTAATGTGACATTTTTCAGGTACTTGAGGTTAGTAATTATGTAGCATATGACATAGATTAAACTCATAGACTCTGGAAACAAACTACTTGCCTTCCCTTCAAATTCTTATTCTGCCACTTACTTACTATGTGACCTCCAGAGAGTTATTTACTATCTCTGTAACTTTATTTCTTTATCTATATAAAAAGATATAATAATAGCAGTACATCAAAGGGCTTTTATAAGGAGTCCATGAATTAATATATGTAGATGTGCCTGGAACACGGTAAGTGCTCTAAAAGTTTTCACTATTACTAATCATCATCATTATTATACAGATCTTGTCAGATATCGGACCTAGGCCATCTTTCTAAGTCTTTACTCATTCATTAAGTGAGCTCATTCACTCCCATGGCTTCAATCACCATCTATATGATTATGAAAAATCTATTTTCCTCCTGAGCCAAGAGCTAAATGTAAGTGACCAGTTATGGATACAGGAATTGCTCTGGCCACCATAATTTGGGTGGAAATGGTGCATACCACTTCCAGTTCTTGCCCCTTAAAATACCATGAGAAATCTTGCACTCCTTTCTCCTAGTTCATCAGCTAACTGAATGCAGAGAAACCAGTGGAGGACTCCAAGGAAATTCCAAAGAGTGGTTGAACCACGGGTTGGAAGAAGTCTAGATCCCTGAGTCAATGTTTGGAGAGGAGCTGCCGAGGAGAGCCACCAGAGAGGGACACATGAGCAAGAAATAAACATTTCTTCTGTTAAAACATTGAGATTTTATAGCCCATCATGACTAATCCAATGAGACCCTAGTGTAGATCTTTTGCTTAGTCTTCGCTTCTGAGATCTAGAACTATATATTTCATTTGCTAATCACCATTTCTACATGAACCCTCAAATAGGGTAATAGGTAAACTCAGAGTTTCTAAGATTAGACTGTGTTGAAATCTTAGTCCTTCCAGGTACAGCTATATGACTCAATGTGTGTGTGGGGGCGGGGGCAGGGGGGTTAAATAAACTATTCATAACTGTATCTACTTAAAAGTAATAAGAAAATGAAATGAGCATATACATATATATAAAACAGTTATCGGCACATAGTAAATGCTCAGTAATTGTCAGGTAATACAGTTATTATGACCATCCCACTCCAAATTTGCTCTTTCCCCAGGTTTTTTATGTTGATAAATGGTACCACCATCCAATAGTTGTTAAAATTAGAAATTTGCAACTTTATCTTGGATCACTTTTTTTATCCTCCCACATGGATAAAGTCAATCAATAACTGATTGATTACACTCCTTCAGTATTTTTCAAATCCATTTGCTTAACTCTCTCCTCTTCTATTCTACACTTTTCATCCTAGTTAAAGCCACCAGCCTATGTAACTTTATTATATTTGCGTCCTTACTAGTCTTTTCAAATCCATCCTTGCACCCTCCCAATTCATGCTTTATGTGGAAATGTAGGCATTTTTTAAAAAATTCAAATCAAATCTTGCTGCTCAAAATTTTAAATGCATCAACACCGATTGCTCTTTGGTGCCACCACATTCCTGACCCATTACTTCAGCACCCCCTCAAACCCACCACAGGACTTTATTTCTACAATTCAGCCACACTGGACTTTTGTCGGTGTCAGAAAAGTGCCATAGATTGTCCCATCTTTGATGTTATCATGTGTTGGTTACTTTTGCTTAGAATAAACTTTCTCCCCATCCCAGTTTACCTAATTAATTCCTGACCACTCTTTACATTTCTGCTTAAATGCTATACTCTCCAGAAAGCCCTCTTAGCAATCTCTGCCCACACTTCTTAAAGCTATGCCTACATAGCCCCCACCTTATTTCTTCATTAAACTCTTTGCACTTGCCATTATTTGTATAATTATGTTTTCCCAGCTAACCAGGAGACTTTGTGAGGGCAGAGACCTCATATGTATGGCTCACTGCCTGGTATAGACAGTATATTGGCTTATACGAAGGAGGAGTTTATTAAATACAGTAAATTTTTTTAAGTGTGAATATGAGTCTGTTAAATGACTGTGTGTATATGTACCCAATGTAAAGTTTTATTTGGTTCGGTCTAGAAAAATGTCCTACAGCCAATTCATGTACCTAATTAAATTCACTTACAAATTTAGGAAACTCAGCACCTGCCCTATTTGAGTTTAAAACTAGTTGATTTGATAGACATATAAAATAAAAACTATACTATAGTATCATCCATGCTGTCATAATAGAATTATCTCAAAACCTCCATTGATGTACTATTTGGGGTGGTCCAGAAAGTAGTATGTTTCTGGAAACAGAATTATGAATGCTCTGATATCCCACACATCAAAAATCCCTCCTTTCCATAATTTATAGCATATTGTGATGCCAGTTTAGATCAAGAAATGCAGGAGAGGTGATTAAAAGCAAATTGGAGGTGAGGCACGGTGGCTCACACCTGTAATCCCAGCACTTTGGGACGCCAAGGCGGGCAGATCACAAGGTCAGGAGATCGAGACCATCCTGGCTAACAAGGTGAAAACCCGTCTCTACTAAAAATACAAAGAAAATTAGCCGGGCATGGTGGCAGGCGCCTGTAGTCCCAGCTACTTGGGAGGCAGAGGCAGGAGAATGGTGTGAACCCGGGAGCTGAGATCACGCCACTGCACTCCAGCCTGGGTGACAGAGTGAGACTCCATCTCAAAAAAAAAAAAAGCAAATTGGAGTTCACAATTAAACTAAGGTTTGTGTTTATATGTTGGTCCAAAATTTGGCAAAGTGCATGATTGGGGAAGGAAGAGTAGGTGAATGTCCTGTGGAAAGTGCAATCTAGAGAATGTATTTTCTACAGAAGGAAACACTGCAGAGCGAACTGAGTGGATGGTGAATGAGCTTCGGTGAGCATCTAGCTCCACACCTGCTCACTCTGCTCTTTGTGCAAAGTATAGAATTTCTCTCAGTAACATTTATTTTCTCATCTGTGAAATTAAAATGATAAGCCCTAAGTAATTAGACTGCTTTTGATATAATTGCTGTCTCAAAACCCACTGGGAAGTTGAGAACTTTTCCTGGGGTAGCATCCCGATAACTGATAAAAGCTAGGTTTGTGACTCAGTCTGAATTGTATTCCATTAATTCTTAAAGGATTGTCTTCTCCTCTAAAAAAGACAATAAAAATAAGTGGATATTGCCAAGCAAATAAGTTAAGCTAAGGCTAAGTTCTACTTAGTTCCCATAAGCACCCTGAGTTAGAGATGATGTGTGTCAAATTTAAACTAACAGAAGAGGTTTGTGATCATATTTTCCCGAAAAGCTGAAAAAATAAAGCCAAAATAGTGGCCCAAATTTGACAACACAGGTACTTTCTTCTGCCTTCAGTCAAAGAGAAAGAAATTTAAAAAGAAAAAAAGCAAGAAAACAAAAAACCCTGATGCAAGCCTCTGGCTAAAGCAATAGCTTTGCATCAGTACCTGAAGTGTGTGGGTTTTCTCTAACTTCTTTGGAGTCATGACCAATAGTTCTGTCGCCTTTGCTGGTTCTAATAAAACTCTGTGATGGGTTTTGGATTACGCTCACTCCAGAAGAACTCCTCATCAGTCGTCGAGGGGCCTTTGTTGTCCACAGCCGCTTGCAATGAATTTGGGGGCAAAGGTCTCTGGTTACACCCACCAGTGAAATCAGATTCAGCTTCACAAGGAACACATTATAGGGTGGAATCCAGCATTTGTCCCCATAGGAGGAAGGCAATCGCCTTGCAGTTATTCCCTGTGTCTTCTTTTGATGATTCTATAACCCACTGCCTCTTACATCGGAGAGAGCAAGGATTTCTTAGCAACTCTTACCTGAATAGAAAATAAAAATAGCGTGCAGCAAAGGAGTCTTGGGAATGTTTTCTCCAAGAGAAGAGGTCGAACGAGTTTAAATGTAAAGGCTTATAAAACCCTCCAAGTATTTTTTTCACTTTAATAGTCCCAGCCAGCGCCTTATTATCATTCACCCCATGTTTGAATAATGGAGAGCTTAGATCACTGTATTCATCAAGGGAAGGAAATGCTGTATATTCTAAAAAGCACTTTGAATAGAGCTCTCTCCCTCTTCGAGACCATACTTCACTGAGTTTTCTTAATTGCTAAATGCTCAGCTCTGGCTTGAAATTCAAGAATTTGAAGAATTGAACACACACTGCACCAGTGAAATCAGACCATATCACATTCCAGGGTCTCCTCACCCAAGCAAACCATTCCAGTACTAGACTATTGCCAATAGTGTCAAAATTTTATATCTATATACATGCATTCCAGATTATTGCAAGTAGTGTCAATTATATACATACATACATAGATGCATGCATACATACATATGAATTAGGAGAGAGAAGGTTCTAGTCCTCAGGCTCTGCTACCCACCAATAGAGTGAATTTGGAAAAGCTCTGAGCCTCAGTTTTCTCGTCTGCTAATGGGGAAAATGAATTTCTCCTCCTCACTGGTCAGGCTTATTTTAAAGCCCTGATGAAATACTGTGGGTCCTGGGGATTAATAATACTAGAAAAGATAGGTTCGGTAACTTTTAGGAAAGGGAATTTCCTAGGTTGTGTGTACTATCTATCCCGAAATCAAAATCATTCAGGGTATTGGTTCACTGTTAAATCTGTGGTATCTCTGATACCCTCTGTGGAAGCTTGTCAGATTGCCCAATGGAGGGCTGAGAGCCCACTCCTCCCACTTCCTGTGTAGAATCATTCTGAATTTAGTCAAGTGGGACAAGTGGCCTGTTGTTTTAAAGAAGCCCACATTTCTTGAAAATCTAATGTTTTAGGTTGATTCCCTCCAGTGAGTGGTAACATTCATTCACTCCAATGCTTTATGAAAAACAAATTAGAGTTCAACATTACTTGTTCCACTTGGCTTATATAGTTGTATATGCAATAATTCTGAGCATACAATGTAAATTATTTGAAACAATCCAAATATCTAATCACTGGAGAAGCACATTCATTGAGTGGATCATCATACAGCCATGAAATAGTTATGAAACTTCTTCTTGCATATGAGGAAGTACTCATGTTATAATCTTAAATAATAAAGCAAAAGTCAAAATTGTATAACCTCTATTATATCAACTCGATGTGAGCATGTTTTGTTGGTCATAATGAACTCCAGAGTGTATAAGCAGAAGGCAACTTTCTTTTTTCAGCTGTTCCTTTAAACTTGTGCAATGGAACTCTTGAGGCAGGCCTTTAACTTTTCCAGGCCATCTCAGATTTTATATATGTATATGTATTTTATATACATATGCACACACATATATGTATTTTATATTGTCTTTAGTCACCTTCAGGCATGAAAAGCCTCATTTTAATAATTAAAATATACCATTCAATAATTTAATAATGATTTAATCAAATAATTAAAGTAGTATATACACCATCCACTAATGCAATTTAAAATTTTATATCTATACCAACTCAGGGTCCTGCTTCATGCTTAGTGTATTATTCAGGGTTTTCTAGAGGGACAGAACTAATAGGATAGACGTATATATAAAGGGGAGTTTTTTAAGTAGATTGACTCACAGGATCACAATTTGAGGACCCACAATAGTCTGTCTGCAAGCTGAGGAGCAAGGAGGCCAGTCCAAGTCCCAAAGCTGAAGAACTTGGAGTTCAATGTTTGAGAGCAGGAAGCATCCAGCATGGCAGAAAGATGTAGGTTGGGAGGCTAAGCCAGTCTAGTGTTTTCATGTTCTGCCTGCTTTTATTTGGCTGAGCTGGCAGCTGATTAGATTTTCCCCACCCAGATTGAGGGTGGGCCTATCTTTCCCAGTCCACTGACTCAAATGTTAATCTCCTTTGGCAACACCCTCACAGACACACCCAGGAACAATACTTTGCAACCTTCATTCCAATTAAGTTGACACTCAATATCAACCATCACACTTAGGAGGCTGCAATGAGGGAGAGATACATAGTCAGCTGCTTCTCTCTCCTCTGGCCTTTCTCTTCTACTCTTTCGCTCCATGAAGCTGCCTTTGGGCTCCCGCAGAGTTGAGGCGAATGAAGGGAGAGAGGTAAGAGTGACACTGGCAGGCTCAGACATAATCTGGTCTTTGTGGCCTCTGGGAAAGCAGATTCCCAATAAGGATGATCTCTCCTTGAGGAGCTTCCTATGAGTCCACAAGAAGTTTCACATGAGCCTCCATCCACAGCTCTAAATACCCAGCCCTGTCTTTCACCCTACCTTTCCCCTTCAAGCCTCAGCCTCTGAGCTTCCAATGGCCACCTCTCCACTGAGTCACTTAGCTCCTTCAAGCAGTCCTCGTGGGTGATTGATATAATTTGGATGAGTGTCCCCTCCAAATCTCATGTTGAAATGTGATCCCCAATAGTACAGGTGGGGCCTGGTGGGAGGTGTTTGGGTCAGGGGAGCAGATCCCTCCTGAATGGCTTGGCACCATCTCCTTCATGATGAGTGAGTTCTCACTCTACCAGTTCACATGGGAGCTTGTTTTTTAAAGAGCCTGGCACCTCCTCCCTTCTCTCTCTTGTTCCCTCTGTCACCATGTGACTCCCCTGCTCCCCTTCCTCCATGAATAAAAGCTTCCTGACGTCCTGACCAGAAGCCAATGCTCATGCCATGTTTCTTTTGCAGCCTGTGGGAACATGAGCCAAATAAACCTCTTTTCTTTATAAATTACGCAGCCTCACATACTTCTTTATGGCAATGCAAAGTGGACTAACACAGGTGAAGACACTTCCAAAACAGCCAGACTTACTCCTCATACCTGCAACTCCCCTGCACCTCCAAGAACAGCTCCACTGTGCCTCTGAGATGCTGAAAGCTTCAGCCCCATTAGGGTCCTCAGGTGGGCACGTACCAGACCCCTATTCCCTGTGTCTGCATTCTTAGTGCTTCTCTGGAAGCTTCTGTCATGCAACTTGGAACGAAGGACAAACACATGCCTCCCTATCCCAGCATGGGGATGAAGGGTGATGGCACACCACCCCTACCACTCTGTACAATTGAACTCTCATTCTGCCTTCTTTAACTCAATACTTTTGTATCCTTGAGTAAGACACCTTCCCTTGACTCTCTTTTTTGGTCTTCTTGTGCATTTATCTGGATTCAGATGTACCAACAAGAACATTGTGAAAATATACATAGTTAGTGTTAAAAATAACCTATGAGGTTAGGGTTGTGAGTCATTATTATTTAATTTTCTATAGCTTTTTCTTTCTTCCCCAAATGTTATACAATGAGCACTTGTTAGTTTCATAAAATTTTTTTACTTGTTTAAATAGTAGAGTTTAAATTATTCTTTTCAAATGTGTCCTAAAATTCAGCTTCATGATTCAACTAAATGCCTGAATTGTAATTCAACTTTTTGTTGTTGTTGTTTAGAAAAATAAGTGATCAGTCTTCCCCATCATTTCTTAGTTTTCTTGACAGTGTCTCAGGAGTGAAATGCTATGGCTTCTATGTCACATTGCATTCAAATCAGATCTGAAGTCTTTTAAAGAGCTACTAAATGAATCACCAAATGTATCACTTCGAGCATCCTTAGGAAAAATAGAACATGTTTATCTCAAGTGATGTTACCAAACAATGCCCACTTGTTTCTGCCTCTCTTCTTATCCCCCAGGTGAGACAATGTACCATGGGAGATTCACCAAAGACTGCTAACCAGGTGAATCAAGCGGGAATTGTTAAAAAGGAGAACTTCCCGAACACTGTTCTTTCCCTTTGCAGCCTAAGCAGGAAAGAAAACACATTGCAAAGGAACAATAGCCACTTGTGTGCTCACACACTCTGTGAAGGTGTTGTCTAAACTGAGGAGAGCAGCCTTGGCTCCCACATCCAGTGAGCCCAAGGCCCTTGAAGTCCAAGTCCAAAAAAATAGGTTTCTTCCCATGCAAACTCATTAGGGCTGATGCCATCACTGCTGCATTAGAAGGGAAACCTTATGTTCACCTCAGGGCTGCCAACTTTCCAGCTGCCATCCTATCAGCAATGGCATGGAGTGCTCTGAATTTGGACTAGAGAAAACACAGTGAGAGCCAGGCTAGTCAAATGAGCCTGATCATGATAATGCTAATAACAGCAAACCTTCACTGAACACTCATCATGAGCCAGTGCTGCTGAGAGCAGTCTGTGTGTGTTACCCCATTTAATCCTCACTACTATAATGAAGCTGGAGCTGTTGTGATGACCATTTTGCATGTCAGAATTGAGGCTCAGGGAGGTTAATTTGCCTACAATCATTCAGCTTGAAAGTGGTAGGTAACTAACTACTAGCCCACAGAATAAAAACACAGGGGAGCAATGCAGCTGTCAGAGGTGCCAGGGACATCTCTGTCTGAATGGCTGAAGCACCTTCAAAGGCTGATCTGGAATTCAAGGGAAAAGGAGGTTGCCTCTGAGCTCCATCTCTCTATGCTACTAAATATGGTGGACATTTGAGCAGCTTGACCTGTGGGCAGGGGTTCTTTTCAGAAGAGTTTTTGGGTTTACTCAAAATGATGTTATTCTCAGATGCTTGATGCATTGTTGGAAATGTGATTATTAATCATGCAAATAAACTATTTGAAAATCAAAAAAAAAAAAGAGAGAAAAGATGCTAGAGCTGGGATTGTGTTCAGGTCTGCCTAATGCTTCAGCCCAAGACCCCACCTCCCACCTTCTCTACCTCCAAAGCCCAATTTCTCAGCAGGGATTCTGGTCCTCCAGCATGTAGCTCAGAAGCCCCTGCCAAGGTGACCTCTCCCCATTACCCCCATGCCCTTTTTCTCTGGCCTTACCAGTTCAGGCCCCAACCCTGATAATATCTTGTACTTCTATGGTTCTTTGCTTTTGCTCATCACTTGTGCCTTACAGACACTTTCCCTTCTTCTCCACCAAACAAACTCCATAATCCATCAATTCTTCTTGCAAATGTCACCTCTTCTATGATTTCTCTCTCAGCTTCCTCCTCCCAACTGTTGGCCTCCTTAACTCTGCTTTCTTAGTGCTAAGTTCATATTTTAGTGCAGGGGTTGGCAAACTATAGCTTGTGGGCCAAATCTAGCCTGCTGCCTGGTTTTGCGTGGCCCAAAAACTAAACATTGTTTTCACATTTTTTAATGTTTGGAGAAAAAAGTCAAAAGAGGAAGAATGTTTTGTGCTATGTGAAAATTATATAAAGTTCAAATTTCAGTGGCCATGAATAAAGTTTCATTGGTACATAGTCATACTCATTTGTCGATGTATTGCCTAAGGTCACTTTTGCACAATCGCAGAGTTGAGTAGTTGCAACAAAGACATACAGCTCAAAGCCTAAAATATGTACTATTTAGCTCTTTATAAAAAAAAATGCTAACCCCTGCATTGGAGTACCATCACATGGTGTTTCAGAGGATTGGGCTCTCATGTTTTGGAGATTTTTATATCTCCTGCACCCAGCAAAGGGCCTTATTCTTCATAAATAATTTAGAGAGTATATGAATGAAATAAAGTGATATGTGGGAAAGATGGTGCACCAAGAACAAAGAGTCTTGGACACCAGTGCCGTCTCACTTATTGCATCTATCAGAAATACTCAAAGTAGGATAATTTGATACACACTTTTCAAAAAAGAATGGTTCAATAGCTCAGAGCTGTTAACTGCGAACTTGCTACCATCTGTAGACTGAAAGGAATCATTCAGGATCCCTAAAAAAGAAAATCATGTACTGTCAGCTGCTTTGAGGGTACCTGTAGGCTTCCGCAGAGATACACAGCCAACTGATAGGAGCCCTCAGGGAAGGAGCCAAGAAAATAAATACCCCGACCTCATCTTCTTCCTTCTTTCTTATCTTCTGTTGAGTCACCCTATTGGCAAAACCTAATAAGCACTTGAGCCATGTCAATGGCATGCATAGAAGTTGGCTCCTGGAAAAGAGGGCCAATGGAGCAAATAGGCAATCTGGGGGGGGAACGGGAAGATATCCTACACACAAACTTAGTGACAAGTCACATGTATTATTCAGCCTTCAATTTCTTCACCTATAAAGCAGGCAAGTTAGGTTAGAAGATCTTTATAATAACAATAACTAAAAGAATAATAACAATAATAAAAGTTATTTGTTGAGACCTTGTTATATCCCATCCATTCATTTTGTCAAACAGCCTTCAGCATAAATATCATCCCCATTATTCACATGAGAAAACTGAGGCACAGAGAGATATTGTAGGATACTCATTCACATAGCCAATAAATTGTCCAATTTGAAACCATACTTTCCTCCCACGTTTTTGCTTACCATTCCTCAAATCTGGTTGCAATGGCTGGGATAACACCTGCTCGATGTTGCTGCTGTCTTGCAAACTAAACTCAGTCCCAACTACTCATGTTTAGCTTACCTGGTCAGCCCTCTTAGATTTACTAAATGTGCACAGCCCTCCCTAATCTCACACCTAGTTTCTTATGGTCATCAATTTCAGTCAGTGTCTACCCAGTGGATGAATTGAGACATCCTGGAAGATCAGAATGCCAAGGAAATATGGTCCTTCATACCAAACCTCTTTCTTGTTACTATCGTGATATAAGACATGGGAAGGAGTCCCTGTAACGGAGACCTCTGATGAAAGATGTACCCGTGTTTTCCAGGAAACATGTTGGAGGCTGGGTCCTGAAACATGTTATAGGTCTGAACCCTGACATGTTTATTTATTTATTCTGAGCAATTTGCCCAACCCTAGAAGCCTTGTACATCATAACATGGATGTGCTTTCTTAATTATTCATGCCATTAATAATTGACACCATTAATAACACTGCAATACCGTTAATAATTGAGCACATAAAATGGAATTCTCTGGAATTAATTTATTATCATTAATTTTCTCTGCCAGCTTGCTCATTAGAATTGTAGTCAGGCTCTGTGCATCAAATTATTTAACTTCTTCAGGCTTAAAGGCCAAGGAATCATGGAATGCACTTCAACCACTTCCTTTTCTTGCTATTAACAGATCCCCTTTCACCTTTTCGCTCTCTAGGAAAGAGGGGAAAGCTTTTCATAAACAATTCCACAGCATTCAGCATATGCTCACTGCTGGCTTATAAAATGTGGGTTCAAGAATACAAGCAAGGAGGAAAGCTGCCTATGGAGACACACAGCCTTGCAACAAACGTGCTCTCAGGGCTAACAGTGCTCCCAAGCCAGGTCCAGAATTCAGCTCCTTTCTTGCCATAGACCCAATGAGTTGTGGTGCTCACCATCCCTATTTAAAGCTTTGCCACCTATCTGCTCTTCCAGGATCCCTCTTCCTTAAGCTGGACAAGGCAGAATATTCCTACCTCCCTCAATCTCTCCTTGATGCTATCTTTGAAGACAGGCCCACTGACCCTTTTAAGAATTTCAGAGCCAATTACAATAAAGAAACTGAAAGGAGTGAACAAGAATTATCTACGTAGATAATACACACAGGCTCAAATTTTGATGTTAGAGATCCCTAATCCTCACGCAAGGCACTGAAATTTATTGAGACTAATCTCTTTTTCTAGAAATGGGTATAATAACTATGGCAAAGGTAAAAGTGGTAGTCCTGGAGATGCACTGCCCCAGGACCACATTCTAGGGAGGGACCTGATTCCCAGGTAAAGGAAAGTGTTAGCAGACAGCTTCCAGCTGTCAGCTTCTTCAAGATCTGAGCAGGTACACAGAATAACTTATGTTAGGTCACACACTTCCCAGGTAGGATGACCAACTCATTTGGTTTACCTGGGACTTCCCTGGCACCAAGTCCTGCATCCCAGGATGGGTCTCTGTGCTGGAGCTTGACCCTATGGGTACATCTGTAAAAGCAAAGACATTTGCCCTCAACATCTGACAAGGACAATCTTTGTGAAGTTCTGGGTTTATTGTCTGGAACAACAGACAGCAGTTAAGTCTGTTCTTCTCCCCACCCCGACTCCCTGCCCACACCAGCTGAGCTGAGTACAGCTGCCCACAAAACCCACTGGGATATTCTGACAAGAAAATTAATGCATTATATTCCTCCTATGAACTCCCAAAACACACCATAACTTCCTAATGGTGCTCTCTACATTTTGTCTTTTATTATAGCTATTGCTGAACTTGTCTTCCTCTCTCTCGGGGACTGTGAGCCTCAGACCTCATGCCAGTTACTGACACATTTGTGTTTGAAGAAATGAGCAAATGATTGGCACACTGCAACCTACACTTCTCTCTCATATGCCCATTAAACTTTAAGAGAATTCCCAACATCGAGACATTAAACGTATGTGAAAACCTGTGACATTCAAACCTAGGTTCTCTGACCTCCACCTGAAATCCTAAAATCTGTTTTGCTTAACTCTTAGGTTTGTTTGTGCATAAATGAATCTGTTAAATAATAGATGCAAAATCACTTTAGAAATTATTTATGTAAAAGGTTAAAGCTAGAAATACTTCTATATCTGTGTTTAAACATAGTCTAATCCAGTCTTTAAGATAAGCCAACCTTTGTCAATTTGGAATTGCTGTTCCAAATTGTAATGAAGCTTTCTGATAAAAAGAAATAAAGAAATTGATATTATCCAGTACCAGATACTTATTGCTAATCTTCTCTTAATGTATTGCATGGTTCAGTTTGCATTTTAGGAGCTTTGAAAATCTTATCTCTGCATACTGTATTTTCCCTTATGCTTCTGCAGGTATCTATAAATACATATGATCATGTGCTCTAGAATGCAAATTGTGGCTGTTTTCCCATCTCTCTGACCTCATTTAACCTTTCTCCTGGATTTAGTCCTCCTGACTAACCTGAGGGACAAAATTCACAGTTTCACCTGGATGCTTTGATGAAGGATACTTAACCCCAGTGATAGAAATAATCTTATCTCCATTGAAACTTATCAACTATTAATTAGTTCACTCACTGACCAGGGCTCCATCTGCACCAGATGATATTAAATGCTATAAGAAAAGTAAACCTCTGGGATACAGAGGCCCTAGAATTTGAAACTGTTTACTTTCCTGCTATTAGGGTTTGAAATTGTTTACTATCCCAAATTAAGTATAAAACACAGCTTCAACAAAAAATGTTATAGTAAGTATCATCATCTGACATACTATATATTGATTCATTTATGTGTTTATTATATATATGCCTCCAATATAATTTCAATGAGGTTAAGGATTTATGTAAGGAGTACCTATCACAGTAATTTTTTTCCCTGCTAAATGAGTAAATGATGAATTTTGAATTTTCAAACTTGAAACATCTCAAATGGAAAAAACCTCCAAAGCCATCTAGTTCAACTGGCACTCTGCATCTCTGTGAGCAGTTATCATCCTGAATGTGAAACTTTCCAGGAAAAGGGCTCATTATCTCCCAGGAAAGCAGCTCAGTCATTTTGCTTCAATTGTGCCATCAAATAAGTTTACTCACAGGACACTGTTTTCCTAACATCATACTGACTTTTGCATTCATTACAAAGCTATGAGCCTTAGAGCTACCTTTGAGGTTCAAGTCAAAGTTTTTCACAGACAACATTTATAGAATTTCTATTGTGTTCTAGGTGCTTTGCTCACACTAAGGAAGTAATGTTTTGTGTACCCATTTTCTAGATGAGCCAAATGAGCTTTAGAGAGGTTCTTACTAAGGCACTCAGCTAAACAGTGGCAGAGAATTTAGTTCTGAGTTCAGGACTTCCTAACATTATTATATTCATTGTTCAAAATAATAACAATTGCAGAACATGTAGATAGCTTACAAAAGGCTCACAGATCTCTCTCACTCAAAATTTATCAGCACTTAATGAGTAAGGAAGGCATAATTCATACTGAAGCTAGAGCTTGAGAGACATGTTTAAGATGATAAATAGTAGAGCTGAGTTAAAACAAGTTAACTGGAAATAAATTTCATGTTGTTTACACTAATACCACATCACTACAAAAAAAAAAGTTTCACATTCTGTAAGTTAAATCCTTCCAAAATATTGACATTTATTATAATCACTGAATTAATAGATATATCCTTATTGTATTTCTATCAATCATAAGCCATGATTGGAACTGAAAGGGTAAGGATGAAGAAGGTATCAGCTCTACATGCTATGAATTCACAATCTTGTTGGAGACAAAAAGACATTCACAAAAAGGTTCAGGAATATTACAGAAGAGGGTAAGAGTTAGGAGTCATGCTAGCTCCGAGACATCAGCACAGGGAAGATATTTCATCCAGCTAGTCTCTGTAGTTACTTGTGAACACATTTTTCTCCTCTATTAGATTGTAAATATCTTAAGGGCAAGAATGATGTCTTGGACATTTTGATATCCTCTTAGCATGTGACAGGGAACTTTGCACAAAGTCGGTGAAAATGATGGTGATGTTGTATACCACAAACTATGATTTTACACAATGGCATAGCCATTCATCTGTTCAAATAAATCAATATCCTACATGGATTTACTCTTTTGTTGGGGAAGATGATCTATACCTGGCAATGAGAGTAAGTATGGTTGTCGAAGGAAAGAGAAGATTTTAACAATATAGAAATACCAACACCTCATTTCTATCAAAACAAGAACTGGTAGAACCAGGATTCAATGTTGCTAAGATTGAATGAAAAGGTTTCATGTCCCAGGGATAATTTTTTTTACAATAAATAAAGCTTTTTAGTGGAGGTGGCTTTTGATATGGGCCTTGCATGATAAATAGGTGATCAGCAGCCATACAGTGGAACACAAGAATAGGACTTGATATTATTTTGTATGGCTTTTCTAGTTTCTGACAGAAGACACTTGAAAGCAGAATCAACAGCTCAATTACGTAAACAGAGAATTCATTCACCCTTGTGCAAGAAAATCTAGTGTGATCGCTTAATAATATATATTTACTCTGCATGAGTCTCTGGCCCACATTAAAAGAAAATTGCACTTAGAGCTATCCCTGCTATAGCTGTCTCCTTGGCTATAGAAATGTATGCAGAAAAAAATGACTGTAACAGCATGTATAATGTTAAAAGTGTCAGAATTTGAAGGAGATAATCTAGTAGTACTTACTAAGGCTTAGTATTTTAAATTTAAAGAATAGAATCATATTCTTACCATCCATGTGTAATTCAGCTGTCTTTGCATTCTTGTTTGTAAAGAGAATATATCTTACACCCACCAATACCAAAAAGTTCTATATGCTTGCTTTGAGGCAAACTGTACTACTAGAACTATACCTGATTAGATCAATTTCAGAATCTGAAATTTTCATTTACTAAAGCCTATGAAACAACAATTCTAAAACAGCCTTTCACCTAAAATCAAGTCATCCACTTAGGTGCAGACACCAGCTGTAATACAATCTGCTACAAAATACCAAGAGAGCTGAACTCTTTGAACTTTGTGGGTATTCAATGCCAATCTTTATGTATGTTCTTTAGGGTTTTCCTGGTTCATGTATCTGTGTTGGCTGTTTAGGGGGTGATAAGTAGTCTTAGCTCTTTTTCCTCTGAGTTCAGTTCAGATTGAGGCAAGAATATTAGACTGAACCCGGGAGGCAGAGGTTCAATCTCAACAACTCAACAAGCGAGAAACAACCCCATTAAAAAGTAGGCAAAGGACACAAATAGACATTTCTCAAAAGATGATATACAAGCAGCCAACAAACATAGGAAAAAATGATCAACATCACTAATCATTAGTGAAATGAAATTAAAACCAGAATGAGGTATTACTTGCACCAACCAGAATGACTATTATTAAAAAGTCAAAAAAAAAAAAAAAACCAACCACAGATGTTAACATGGATGAAGAGAAAAGGAAATGCTTATATACTGTTGGTGGGAATATAAATTAGTACAACCTCTATGTAAAACAGTATGAAAATTTTCCAAAGAACTAAAAATAAAACTACCATCTGACCCAGCAATTCCACTACTGGTTATATGCCCAAAGGAAAAGAAATTACTTTATCAAAAGACACCTGCATTTGTGTTTATTGTAGTACTATTCACAATATCAAAGTCATGGAATCAATCTAAACGCTCATCAAGGGTCTACTGGTTGCAGATTCCCTCGGTGTTTGTTTGTATGAGAAAGTCTTTGTTTCTCTTTCATTTTTAAAAAATAATTTCACAGGCTACAAAATACCAGGTTGGTTTTTTTTTTTTCTCTGAACTCTTTAAATATTTTCTTTCACTCTTTTCTTACTTGCAGGATTTCTGAGGACAAGTCAAATATAATTCTTATCTTTGCTCCTCTATAGATAAAGTATTTTTTCCACTGGATTCCTTCAGAATTTTTTCATTAATTTTCTGTAGTTTGAGTGTGATATTGCTAGGTATAGTTTTCTGCATTTATCCTGCTTGGTATTCCCTGAAATTCATGAATCTGGTTTGGTGTCTCTTGTGCCAGGTTCTAATTAGCCTAGTTGTGCTAACTCATGACTCAGTGGCCAATAAAATGCTTACGAATTCACAGTTTATTTCAAGCCTTTCACACATTATGCAAATTATGCAAATATATTCAATATACACAATGGGAGGAGGGTACTAGGGAAGGAACCACAGAGAGTAGCTCAGCTAGGGAGACCAACATGCTGACAGGACAGCACCAATACACTGGGGGTTGGGAGCAATCCATGGGGACATGGGGGTGTTGCTGCTCTTTTCTCAGAGGAGAGCTCTAGCAACAACAGCAGAAGGAAAGGAGGCCTCAGTGTTCTCATGGGCAGAGATTCTGTAAGCACCTTGCCATGGTCAGTCTCTTTGCAGTTTTTATGCCCCTCCACAGGAGTGTCCATGGCCATTATCTTTAGCTGTATTTTGGCTTCACTTTCCTGTCAGGTCTCAAAAAGGTCTGGCCACAGCAGGTGACATCTGATTACCTCAATCCACCATACATACATTCATCATTCTGAGGGTTCAGTAATGTCACTATAAGCTGAATCACTTGTCATAAGTACTCCATTTTGAGATATTTAGTATTACAAAGCATTATCCTATATCAATGTCTGACATTAATTAAGAAATTCTCAGTCATTTTTGTTTCAAATATTTATTCTCTTCCTTTCTCTCTTTGTTCTCCTTCTGGTACTGCCATTTCATGTATTTACACTTCTTGTAGTTATCCCACAGTTCTTGAATATTCTGTTCCCTTTTTTAGTTTAGTTTTATTTTCTTTGTTTTTCAGTTTGGGAGGTTCCTGTTGATATATTCTCAAGCACAGTGATTATTTCTTCAGCCATGTCTAGTCTACTAGTGAGAGCATCAAAGGCATTCTTTATTTCTGTTACACTGTTTTTTATCTCTAGCATTTCTTTCTTAGTTCTTTCTTAGGATTTTCATCTCTCTGCTTACATTGTGCATCTGTTCTTGCAATGCTGTCTACTTTATCCATTAAAGCCCTTATCATATTAAGCATAGTTGTTTTAAATCCCTGGTCTGATAATTCCAACATCCCTACCAGGCCTCGTTCTGATATTTCTTCTGTCTTTTCAAATTGTGTTTTTTGCTTTTTAGTGTATCTTGTAATTTTTTTATTGATAGCCAGACATGAGATACTGGTAAAAGGAACTGTTACAATAAGGCCTTTAGTGGTGGTAAAATGTAGGGGGATGGGCAGTGTTTATAGTCTTAGAACCAAGTCTCAGTCTTTTAGTGAACCCCACACCTCTGGCTCATGAACTTCATAAATGCCTCTCAGGTTTGTTTTCTTTTTCTTTATTTTCTTTCTTTTTTTTACTTCAGGTGTTTCTACATGGAAAGCTGGAGCTGGCTGAAGTTGGGTATTTCCCTTCCTGCTGGTCAGTGTGGCTGAGATAAAACTCTGGCAGGCTCTAGTTAGCTAATTTCTCTGAGGACAGATTTTGTTGAGAACAGAGTGCACTGATATATTTCAAAATCGTTCCTTTTCCCCTCCCCCTGCCAGAATAAGAGAGGACTTTTCTCTCATATTTACTATGAGAGCCTGGTTGAATTCCTGAGACAAAACTCACAAAAGTGTGGGGCCCCCCTATGACTAGGTCCCTCAGGAGTTTTTAAGTCTCACACTTGTCTACTTTGAACCACCAGCAATTTGTCAACTACGGTTCTGGATTCCCAACTCCAGCACTGGTTCCCATGGGGATTTCTGCTCCTGAGTTTCTGCTCCAGTGAGTTGTGATTCTCTGTATTCATCTGCCTGTCTCTCCAGCTTTAGAGGCAGCAGTTTGCCCTGTGACCTACTTCTCTTATAGATCTAAGAAGAATTGATCCATGTTGATTTTTCAGTTGCTCAGCTTTTCCCTTATTATTAGGATGGAGTGGTGACTTTCAAGCTCTTTACATGCAGAACCAGAAACCAAAGTTCCACGGTAATTTTTAAAGCAAAAAAAATTACTAAATATTAAAAGGTATGGTTTTTGATTATAAAAGCATCAACCTTTAAGGAAAATGTACCATTGCAAAATTTGTATCCACCTAATAACATAGCTTCAAAATACTTTATAAAGCAAGTACTAACAGAACTAAGAGAAATAGACAAATTCAGTCACTTGGCAGAAGTTAATGCATATGTCTGTAAAGTTCTGATTAAGGTAAGCAGACATAAATTCAGTAAGAATTTGTGATATTTAAATATTATGAATAATAAATATGAATTACTCCACACAGAGAACTGTTGATATGGTTTGACTCTGTGTCCCCCCGCCAAATCTCATCTTGTAGCTCCCATAATTCCCACATGTTATTCCCACAGGGACCTGGTGGGAGATGTTTGAATCACGGAGGCAGGTCTTTCCCATGCTGTTCTCATGATAGTGAATAAATATCACGAGATCTGATGGTTTTAAAAAAGAGGAGTTTCCTTGCACAAGCTCTCTCTCTTTGCTTGCCACTATCCATGTAAGATGTCACTTGCTCCTCCTTGCCTTTCACCTTCCTCCATGATTATGAGGCCTCTCCAGCCATGTGGAACTGTAAGTCCAATAAACCTCTTTCTTTTGTAAACTGCCCAGTCTCAGACATGAAAACGGACTAATACAACTATGAATCTAATAACTGCAGAAAAAAATAATCCACAAGGGAATCTGAGGAATGTATAGAAAACATACTTTTATTATTGTTGATGGTGAATTAGAGGAAGTGCTTTACCCTTTGTCAAGGTAAGCCTTTCAACTGCTGCTTCTACCACCACCACCTCCATCACATTAAACTTATCTTCCTGTATTAAGTAGCTGGACAGTTGTAGACCTGCCAATGAGGAGGAAGAAGAGAAAAGAAAACCAAAGCTGTGTACTTGTAGATCTGATTTTCCAAATTCCACATTCAGATCAGGTGCTTCTTTTGTGAGGAGGGTGGCACAGAAAGTCAGAACTGTTTCTGTCCTAATTAATTTCTCTCCTGATAGTGGAAGTTTCCTCCTGGAAATATGTTAATTAGAAACTGTGCTTCCTTCAGATTTATCCATGTTATCATAAATGACAGGATTCCCCTCATTTTAAAGGCTGAAGAGTATTTCATTGTTTGTATCCACTCATCCGTTGCTGGACACCTAGGTGGTTTTCACAGTTGGCTATTGTGAATAACGCTGCAATGAACTTGGAGGTACAAATATCCCTTCGACATACTAATTTCAGTTCCTTTGGCTACATACCCAGAAGTGAGATTACTGGTCCTATGGTAGTTCCATTTTCACTTTCTTGAGGAATCTCCATGTTGCTTTCTATAATGGTTATACTAATTTACATTTCCACCAACAATGTATGAGTTATGAGTTTTGTTTTCCCCACATTCTCTCCAACACTTGTTATCTTTTATCTTTTTGAAAAAAGGCATTCTTAAAGGTGTGAGGTGACATCTCATTGTGGTTTTCATTTGCATTTTTCTCATGATTTGTGATGCTAAGCATTTTTTCATGTACCTATTGTCCATTTTTGTTTTCTTTTGAGAAATCTCATTATGCTGAGTGAGGTAAGTCCAGCACAGAAAGAAAGACAAATACCACATGAACTCACTTAACATGGGAATTCTAGTACAGTTGAACTTATAGAAGTAGAAAGATTGTTATCAGAGGGTATGCAGGGGTGGCACCAATAGGGAGTTGTTGATCAAAGGATACAAAGTTGCAGATAGAAGGAATAGGTTTTGAGATTTATGGCACACCAGGGTAACAGTCAATAATAACGTATTATATATTTCAAAATAACTATGAGAGTATATTTCTAATGTTTCATACTAATAAATGACAGGCAAGCAAGGTGATAGATATGTTAGTTAGTTCAATTTAACCATGCCACATTATATAGATATATCAAAACATCACATTGTACCCCATAAATGTATACAATGGGATTAAAAAAAGGAAATTGGGTTTCCCCCTAACAGTATCTGAAGGAGATACTGTGATTCAGAGAATGACACAAAAATGTTATTTATAATACTATTTTAGCACTGACCATATTTTTATTTGCACAGAATGTTTGTATGCCTGACACCTCATCTCCAGAAACCAGATCTTATTAACATGTGAATTCCCAACAGTTCACATAGTTCTTGGCACATCAGAGATGTTCTATAAGAATTTGTTGAATAAATTATGAGTCCCTCAAAATTTGGAACAAGGTGAGGAAAGGTACTTGGCAGAGACTAAAATCGATCTATGAATAATAAACAGACCTTTACAGAAGTAGTCCTTCCTAAATCATGACACGTAAATGTCTTCCTAAGGAAACTTGGAAATCATCCAAACTCAATCAGGGTAGCTGTGTACATCCTCACATCTAAAATGTAACACAGAACAGTCATGGTTTCATCTGTTGAATTTAAACTGGACAGTCAGAGGGAAGATATGTTAATAGATCCATGTAGTATATATGGAAATAGGGATTGGGTCAGGGTCATTAACGTAGCACAGGACAAACAGCAGCTTTCATTGGCCAATCTGAGGCTTTTGAACTAAAGATGGGGACTCAGCATTTAGAGTGCCAGGAAATCCTATTCAACCCCCCATTTCAACCCTTAAAGCAGGAATCATTAGCCCTTTGTAATGGAATGAAACACTAAGGTCCAAAGAGAATGAATATTTACTCTAATTATTGCTGTTTGAGAATCAAATCTTAATCTTTCTAATCCCCAAACCCTAGACTCTTTCAACTTTCCTATACAAGTTCCCCAAAGTTGCCTCTAAAAGATGTTTCGTGTTTACTCCCTTTTCTTGTTAAGGAAGGTACTGATATGGACTTTACTGTCTTTGGAAATTTCCTTCACAGGGGGAAAATGTGATGACACACAAGAACAGTTTCATTCCTATTATATTTATATTCTCTATCTTTCATTTATAAAATGGACCCTGGCTTAATAATCAATATCTAATGATATTGCTTAGTCATTGACTGTATTCACTTCTTTTTTTAGTAATTCCAATTTTTATTTTAGATTCAGGGGGAACATGCTCTTTTAGTTCCTCCTTCCTTACTCTCATCTATTTGTTGCCCCTCCTTTGTTGTTGACTCTTATCTTTTTACCACTGCAGAGTTTTTAATTTTAGTCAACCTTACATATCTTTCCACTCATTCTTTAACCCACATTATTATGGCTTCTATTTCTGCTTTTTTCAAAGTTCACAAGTTGACTCCTGCTTTATCTGACACTGTAGTTTAAACTCTGTCCTTTCTCAGTTTCTCTGTCTGTAATCTCTTCTTATCCTTCTAACTATGCATTCTCAGCCTTCTTTATAGCTTCTCTTTCTGTTTCCTCTGTTTGAACAAGTATTCTCCAGTGATCAGTCCTCTGCATTCTTGCTACTTTTATCTTTGTTCCATTTCCGAGTAGTTTCTAGGAGTCCAAGGATTCACCAAGGAGATGTGATGGTATGAAGGAAAATAATGAGGACAAAGGGGCAATATGGCACATCTTCTTTGAACATTTATTTTTATTAAGATTTGGAGATAGATTGTTTTATAACAAGACATAAATGGATATATTATAAAATAAAAAGACAAAATTTACATAAAATTTTAAAATGAGACATGAGGCATGAAGAAAAGTCAAAGTCATTGCATCTGATTTTAAGCCATGTCTCCAGAATCCCTGGGCATATTTTTTCATTATTGTCCATTATCACAAGTACATTTATGGAAAAACAAGTGTGCACAGAACTCATGTAAGATCTTGTTTTATGACTGATAAATTATATCAATAAACCTAATGAATTTTGAGTCCTAACTTCAAATCCCCAAATGTTTCCTAAATTTTAATGATTACTATTATTATTCTAATCATTCCTAAGCTGTTAATGCTAATTTGATAAGCACTATTGCACAGAATAGTACAGAATTGTCCTCTGGCAGGAGCAGGGCGTTAAAATAGGGGTGACTATCTTCTTGTCCAAAAACCTGCTCTAGAGAGCTGGGAAAACAAGACACTTGGATCAGGAATGCCTAGTATGTATTTATGAACCAACAGTTGTAAAATAGTGTCACAAATTATGCCATGGGACTGAGAGGTATCACCTAGGAGAGTGCACTGTTGCTCAACACAAGAACACCTCCAGCCCTCCTTTGCTATAAAGTGGGTCTTCTGGGTTGATACAATGTTAGGAATCCCACACTAGCATATCATGCTGTAAGCATTCAAATCGTGGTCGTTGCTTAAATTTCAAAGGTAATAAAGGCTAATACTAACCCAAAATATTGTGTCTGTTCCTGTGAGAATGAACCACTGGTTTATCTAGAACAGAATAGGCCTGATGTGGTCAACTCATCTTGTCAAGGATTGGTGCTATGTCAAGAGTTCATTGTTTTATTTCTTCTGCTGGATCATCCAACATCCATTGCCATGCCATTTCAGTAGCTCGTCAGCCTTGGTCAGTGGGAGTCCATGCCGTAGGACTTGTGCGTAATCTCCATCTCTGCCACCTTGGCCACATCGCTCATGTGCCTATCACACCAACACTGGGGTTGCTGATGAAAGAAGCTGGTTGATATCAACTAACTAATCATTTTGTCTCCTTGGCTGCTTAGTGCCTTTCTGATGGTAGGTACTCTCAGGTGGCTGTTCATCTGTTGTACAATGATACATTGTGCCTACTTCCAAATGCACATTCATATGCCTGTAGCCAAAACTCCTGCCTCTGGTCTTCCAATGCCTTTCTTTCCACATCACTGACCAGCCTGCCAGGCCATTTACACCTGTCCATGTGTCCATATATATTCTAACCTTGGCCAATTATCTTTTCTCACAAAATGGATATCCATAAAATGGATAACCAGGGGCAATGCTCAAAGCTCTGGGCAGGAGCTTTCTTCCTTGCTATTGCCTTTCAAGATCACTAATGCAATGCACACTAAACCAAGAGTCAGCTTGGTGGGGAGTTCTCGAGTTAGTATTACCTGTCAGAGTATCCCTCAGTGACCCCACCTGAGCGGTTTTTATGCCCTTACCTCACTTTGTTATAAGATGTAGTCTGCCCAAGGAAGAATGAGACCTCAGGTCAGGTGGTTCCTTGACGCTGAGGTAGATCCTGAAGAAGCTGATGGCTGGAGGATGTCTGCTGATTCCTGTCCCCTGTAGTCGGTAGCAAGTCCTTCCTGAAGGGTAATCTCAACAGTGCATCTCTCTGTCTACCAATCCTTTTCTTAACACAATGCCTGGAATATAGTATATTTTGAATGTGTATTTCTTTTCTAAGAAACACAAAAACATGGCCACAGTGACTTCTTCTATTTTCTTAGTATGAAAAGATCTCTAAAGTTAAGTGGTTACTTGTGTTGGTTCAATACATCAATAATATCTACAACTTTCTTGACATTATCCTCATGGTTGCAAAGTGGCAACTATCACATTCCAGGCAGGAATGAGAAAGTGATTGCTTATGTTGGTTCAGTACATCAATAGTGTCTTTAACTTTCTTGCCATTATCCTCATGGTCACAAGTTGGCAACTATCACATTCCAGACAAGAATGAGAAAGGGCATTGCAGTATGTTGTCCTTCTTTATCAGAAAATCAAAACCTTTTTAAGAAATCTGCACATATACACCATGGAATACTATGCAGCCATAAAAAATGATGAGTTCATGTCCTTTGTAGGGACATGAATGAAATTGGAAATCATCATTCTCAGTAAACTATCACAAGAACAAAAAACCAAACACCGCATATTCTCACTCATAGGTGGGAATTGAACAATGAGAACACATGGACACAGGAAGGGGAAAATCACACTCTGGGGACTGTTGTGGGCTGGGGGGAGGGGGGAGGGATAGCAATGGGAGATATACCTAATGCTAGATGACGAGTTAGTGGGTGCAGCGCACCAGCATGGCACATGTATACATATGTAACTAACCTGCACATTGTGCACATGTTCCCTAAAACTTAAAGTATAATAATAAATTTTTAAAAAGTAAAAAAAAAAAAGAAAAAGTAAAAAAAATAAAAAAAAAAGAATTCTGCAGGAAAACTTCCTTTTCTTAGGCCTCTTTGGGCAGAACTAAGATACACTAGAGCTTCCAAGAATGCTGAGAATAGGATTGTCGAGATTAACTTACACCAATAAAAATTTATTGCTTGGATGTGGATACAATGCTCCCTCTCAAAATGGAAAAAAAATAACATGAGAGGGCTGCTAGCCTGAAAAAAGGAAAGGAAGTTGAACATTAGGTAGAATACTAACAATATCTGCCCACTTCATATATGTTTATTGAATAGGGAATGATTTTTTGTTGTCATGCAAATAATTCCTCCAACAGGAACAAGTTTGACTAAATCATTCTGAGGTCATTTCAACCTCAGTCTTGAACTAAAGGAAACATTAAAGGCCATCCGTAATTAACAAAAAGAAATATCTTAATTATGGCAAACCATCAAGACAGCCAGAAAAAAATAGAGAAAAATTATTTAGCGTCATAGCCAGACTCATTTGGTATCCCCAGAGGAATCTTCAGGCAGCCATTGACTTTCTGAGCAGAGCTGCTGAGGCAAGGGTAAGCCAAAGAGGAATAATAACCACTCTGTCCTTCCAGTGGATCAGGAAAATAATGATCAGCTGTAGGGTCTATGAAAAGCCTCAATCTTACCACCTTTAACGACCCACCCCCGCCTTCCTCCCCACCCCTGACGGATTCCCCTACTCAAAATCTGACGTAAATTGTTTCCTTACCATGGCAAGCTGCCCAAGATTTCTGGGAAGTATGTTTAAACAGGAGTCCTGCCAGGGCTGAAATCAGCAGTGCTTCTGTGTAGCCTGCAATGTAAGCTGTAATTAGGGATATTGAGATCCCTGAATTTGTAGGCCAAGTAAGTGTGTATGTATAGGGTGGGTGTATAAACACACACACATTATTATGTGTGTGTTTGTATATACTTGTGTATATAAAATTGTATATATACAACAAAATTACATAATTACATAAATATGTAATTACATATATAATTTTCTATTCATTTATTAACTTAAAATATGAAAAAAAACAAAGAAAACAAAAGACTTTGTTAGTTTGATGGAGGGTGGCAATCTTCCCAAGTCTGTTTTCTTTCTCCTCTATTTTCAATCATTCATTAACTCATTTATGCATTCTTTCCATTAAAGAACTATTCTTGGGTCAAGAGAGGCTAGCAAGATAAATACGGACTGCATCCTCACAGAGCTTATAGTGAAAGGCTGACTTTAACCCAATATTTAACATCATTTTTCGATGACATCTACTCTTTTTCCTCCTTCTGCTTTTCCTATTCTTCACTATTTCAGGGTTGAAGTAAAATATTGCCTGCTGGGATGATATAGTTGAAGAAGCAGGAGCTAGGGAATAAAACGATTTTGATTGGAATTCCAGCTGAACCACTTGCAAACTATTGGACCTTCAGAAATTTACTAAACCCACATCAGTTCCTTTTTATTTTTCATCTGAGCAGGTGCCCAGTGGTCTATTCACATACTGATATACCCCTTTTTCATTCTTCATTTCCTCAGCTGTACTTTCTTAAGCCACCCCAAAACTTGTTGGTAATTTCTCATGAAGTCATCTCTCTTCTTGGCATACAGAGATATTCCTTGTGTCCTAATGACTCCGTTCTTTATTTGTTAAACTTAGTAAAATTGTATTGAGGAATAACACACATACACAAAAGTATACAAATTACATATGTGCAGTTTTATGGATTTTCATAAACTTGAACAAACCTGTATAACCAGCATCCATATCATAAAATTGAACATTATCGGCTTCCCAGAATCCCTTGTACCCTCATCTGATCTCTGCACCCGAAAAGTAACTATTATTCTAATTTCTATCACCAAGATTACTTTTAACTCTTGCTAAAATCTGTATTAACAGGATTATACTCTAGGCACTCTTTTGCTTAGGGCTTCTCTCACTAACTCAATGTTTATAAGATAAATTAATGTTGCTGACTACAGTTGCGTCTTTCATTCTCATTGCTATATAATATTTTATTATATAAACACATCACAGTTTGCCTATCTGTCCTTCTGTGGATAAATATTTATATTATTCTACTTTAAGACCATTATAGTGTTGCTGTAAATATTCTCAAAGATGATTTTCTTTTGTTGATATATGTTGACAAGTGTTCATTTAGGTACCTAGGACTGAATAACTGGGTCATAGGATATGAAAATGTCCAACTTTAGTCAACACTGCCAAACAGTTTCCCAAAGTGTTTGCAACAACATATGCTCCTGCAGGCAGTGTGTAAGAGTTTCTGTTGCTCAACATGGTCACTAACTTTAGATATGTTTGCCTTTTTCATTTGAATCATTCTGGTTAATGCATAGTGACATTGCATTGTGATTTTAACTTTCACTTCCCTGATGACTAATGGAGCTGAACAACTTTTCTTAAGTTTATCGGTGATTTAAATATACTCTTATGAAGTTTCTATTCAGGCTTTTTGCCCAAGTTTTGCTGTTGAGTTGTCTGTCTTGTACTTATTGACTAGTAGCAGTTCTTTATATATTTTGGATATAAATCCTTTGTTAGCATGTGTATTGCAATTATCTACCCTTACCCTGTGGCTTACCTTTGGTTTTGACTCATTTTGTTCATTATTGAATATTTTGCAATATCCTGATGTTGTGAAAACATCAGTAAAATCATGACTCTGCATCTTCTTTTCTGTGAAAATTCAAATGTGTTCATCATCTTCTCTAAATCTCAGCTCCCTATATACAAAATGAAAATAATGACCTCTGCATAACCTACGTGATATTGTTTTTGGGAGGAACAAGTAGATACTTCATGTGCAATAGTTTGAGAATTTATACAGTATTTAGGTTACAAATTATAACTATGGTTTAATCATCTTTATGGATTACTTTTATTACTATTAGTAGTCATTGTCTCCAGAGAAAGAAATAATCAAGTTTTGTGCTGCGTAGAAAAATAGAATAGGTAGAAATCCTGTGAGAGTGATATCCTTGTTCGTAGCTGTGGGACAAAGAACTTTTAGTTATGGCACCTATACAGGAATAGAATCTCGTAAGACTGATATAATTCTCCCAGATATGAGCCTCAGCACTTACATAATAAATATTTTTAGAACCTGATATTCTTTATTTCTCATTTCTTCTAGGTCCTCTTACTTCCAAATGAATATATCCAATTAGGCAAAAATATCTTCCCCGAGAAAGTGGTGCCATTCTCCAGGAACCTCGAATGGACCTATATCAGAATAAGGTTTTTAATCTATTTTATTCCCACAAGGCAAGTAGCAATTGACTTTTCTTGAGAACTTAGTGATTTAGGACTGTGGGCGATAAAAGAAATATTTAATTAATAAGAGGTCAGATGCTGACACTTTGGGATAATCTCATCCTGCCTCCTACTTTCATACCTGGGAAAACTGAGGCTATGAGAGAGAATTACATACGTAAAGAGGTACCTGAAGTAAGGGAAGGACAAAAGACTAGAATTATGCTTTAGATATTCTGGAGGCAGCCTCTGCATCTGGAGGCAGGGTCTGTATCTGTTTTATTCACAGCTATAGTATGTGGTGCACCAACACAATACCTGTCCATCAGCCTGCCTGCTACTTTTTAAACACAAAACTCATTCCCATCTTCAAGGAGAACCAACTTAATAAACACTTAGCTCTTAAAAATATATAACATAACAAAAACAACTAATTGTACAGGAAATTTACACAGCTGGGAAAATTTGTACAAATAATCATTTGTACTTATGAGATCCTAGTCGTGTTCCTCTGAGAATCCTTCCAAAACCACCCACACCTTAAGACAAGAGTTAACTTGTATTCTCATAGCAATGTTCTTAATTCTATCACAGTAGTGTGTATTTTACTACCTCATATTATACATAGCTATTCATGTTTTTAAATCCGCTAGACTGTGACTAATACAGACCTTGGTAAAATAATGTGCATTTTAGTAAATAGCATTTCCACTTCTTATTCTGAGCCTTTAGGGGAAAAAAAAGTCAGACTTCGGTGTGGCCTGGCTGTGGTCAAGTGAACTAGGTACCTGGTAGGTGATCCATAAACAGCTGTTACAGGAGTGATTTAATCAACCAACAAATATTTAATGGTTGATTTGTATACTACTCTAGTATCTCAATCTATATTCCCAGTGCTACTCAACCGAGGAAAAATTTGTCCCCTTCCCCCAGGAGAGATTTAGATATTTTTGGTTTCCACAATTGTGGGGGAGCGGATGGGAGTACTGAGTGTATATAGGCACCTAGTGGGTAGAGATCAGGGATGCACAGGATAGCCCCTACAGCAAGGACTTATCCGGCCCAAAATGTCAATAGTGCCAAAGCTGAAAAACCCTGCTATGTATCCATTGTGACTAAAGTGTTACCTAATGGCTTGCATAGTCCAGAAGAAAGACTACAATTGGTTTAATTAGGAGATACATCTCCTTTAAGGGGAAGAAGTATGCAATTACACAGCTCTTTTTCTTTAAACCTTGAAGTGAACGAGCCAATCAGCCTTGTTCATCTGTGGAGATTCAACAATGAGTGTTCTGATCCAATCCAGAGGTTACCTTCTAATCATTTAGGTCATTGAACAATTGCTTATTGTATGCCTAACAGTTGCCTATCACTGTACTAAACTAAAAGACAAGGCAAAATAGAAACAATTTCCATGGAATTACTGCTTTCCCCTTTTCAAAACACTTTTATTTTGTGATCTCACAACTCCACTTTAAGGAGGACATGTATTATTGGCCCAATCTGACAGGTGAAGAAACTAAGACACAGAGCTATAAATAAATAGAGCCCCTATCTGCCAAAGATTAGAATTCTCTCACTAATATAAATGTGAAACCATTGCTTGTATAAAATTGGCAACAAGCAACACAATGAAACCTATTAAAATGGCATGACCACTTTGTAGTTGCCTATTTGGAGTCAAAAAAGTGGTAAAGGAAAGCAACGCTAACTCTTCCTCAGGCACCTCTTTGGTAAAACCACCCATTGCAATCAGGATTAAGAAGCTCAGCTGAACTAACTAGTCCTACAAGATTCTCCCTATCTGGGTGGATCTGATGGTCCCATTAAGATCAGCACACCTCAGCATAATTGAACTAGTTTCTGTGAGCTATCTTGTAAGACTTTATCATTTAAAATAAGTACAAGCATATATAAAAATAATAAATGCACATTTTAGTAAATAACAGGCCTTATTTTTCTGAATTTATTGATGAAGAAACTAAGGCTCTTAGCAGTTAGATGACTTGCCCAAGGCCACATGTTTGCATGGTGGTGATTACACCACATGGCCTTTTGAAACTGACGCTTTTGTTCCTGAACTCTCTCCTCTTTTTAAATCATCATTACCACTTCTCTACCCACCACCTTAATTTTCTTTAGCCAAAAAAAAAAAAAAAAAAAAAAAAAAAAAAAAGCTGGTAGAGGGAAGCACAAACTCAGAAAAGTATGATACCTCCAGGGATTTTTTATGACTCACTAAAATAACTAAATGCATCCTCTGGGAAACAGAGTCAGAGTAAAGAATGTGGGAAGATATTCTCCTTCCTCTGAACTGACTGGATGTGACATTCTCTGATTGACATTCTTCGATTCCCACGGGGAGAACAGAACTCTGTGTTCCCTAAGTATGGAGCCCTGAGATGAGAGGCATCTTTATCTTTTCCGAGAAAAAATGGGATCACTATGACCAAAAAAATAGCCTTTCCTCTACCAAGTGGCACAGTTGAGACAAGGAAATGTTCCCTGCAAAGCAAGCCAACACCCACAGATTCCAAGCCTGGCTGTGGTCAAGTGGACCAGGCACACTGAATTCTGGTCATTGCATCTGCTAGGATAGATGGTCCTTGATTTAATTTCAAACCATGTTTATGAGCCTTAACAATAATTTGATATGTGAGACACATATAATTACACAGTAAATTTTATGTTTTTAATTGAGTTACTCCTAATATGTATTCCCTAATGGGGTTTTGAGAATACAGAGTACTAACAAGTTGAATCATGGCTATTCTTCTCAGGATCATCTCTGACACAGGAGCATTATTACACTCCTATAGCTTGGGGGATAGTGTGTGATCAGTAACGGCGTTATGTTTACGGAGCAAGGGAATTTTTCATTTTCTATAATAATATCAACAACAATTGAGAGCCTTTCATGAAACTATACTAGTACTAGAGAGAGGAGAAGAATCAGACACAATTTCACTCCCATAAGATAACTGACTATTTGATTCTATTAAAGTAATCGTTGTTATTACTTATCATGTATGGGGTTCTGTGCTACGCACAAAAGGTATAAAGAGGAATTTGAGAAGCAATTTCTATGCTCAAAGAGAGACAAATCTACTCCTAAATAACTTCATACCATGGTGATAACACCATAGTAATTGCTTGCATAAAGTGCTATGCTAGCACAAATGTAGGAGTGACCAATTCTACAAAAGTTATTAAACAAAGGTTGTGAAACAAATGTAACAAATGTTTGAGGCTGCTGGGACTGCCAGTAAGACCAATCAGTCTTAGTCCTACAAGACGGTCTTCCAAACCCTAACTCAATGACCAGTGGTTGATTCAGTGACCACACAGACACACAGACTTATTTAACTACCACCCCATCAAGGCACAAGATTTGTTTCATTGGGAAAGTTTTTTTTTTAGGGCTATTGTATTCAGTTCTCTGCTTTCATTTCATAAACTGAGGTCAGGAAGCCAGTCCAGAATATGAGTAACTCTGAAGTCTTATAAAATTTCACAAGAAGGAAAGATAATTGCATGTGTGTGCAGGGCCAGATTTCAGGGAGGCGATAGTCTTACTAGTCTCAATGGAGACAATGACTGAAACTATTACTACTCAGTCTCTGCTTCTTCCGGAACAGCTGAGCAAAAGCGTTCTGACATTGAGTCTTTTAAGCCTAGATCGGCATTATTTCGTCTAACTGATCAAGAAGTGTATAAAATGATGTGGCCTTATGTAGTAAACCTTTAGTCTCTGGCCTCTTGAGACCAGTTAAACCTTCCCAATATCCCATGATCCATCAATAAATATCACTGCCAGGCCTTAACTTATATTAAGCACTGGGGAATCAATAACAAATGAGCCATAATCCCTGTCTTCCAGCATTGTACACTTCAGGGAAGAGAAAAATACCTAAACTGGCAATTAAAAGTCTGATTCCAGGGTGCTTCATGAACTGAGGAAGGGTTCAGATTGCAGGCCCTGGAGAGCTGAGAGGTGGAAGGAAGACTTCCTAGATGAAGTAGTATCTAAGCTAAGTCCTGAAATACACGAAGGAGAATCTAAGTGAAAAAGGATTAGAGAAGGGTGCATTTCAGGCAAAGGAAGCAATAAAAACAAAGGCCCAAGAAGCAGAAAAAGGCAGGGTGCTGTCAGGACCCTAAAAAAGTTCTGAATAGATGGAACATAGCAGGGAAGACATGAATGATTGCGAGTGGAAAGAGATACTGCTAGAATTGTATGCTAGTCAGTTTCTGTAAGTTCAGATTTATTTCAAAGGCAGCAAAACTTTGAAGGTTTTTAATAGGGTAGTATACGAGTGTGGTGTGTGTGTGTATGTGTGTAAAGAGTACCCCAAAGGCTGGGGAAAAGTGGATTAGTGGGGATCAAGACTAAAGTTAGTAGACAAACTGGGAGGCTGTTTTGTGTCCCAGAAAGGAAACAATGGAACACTGAAATAAGAATGGCAGTGTATTAGAGACACATTAGTGTAATAAAGAATCTTCAAGGACTTGAAAAGGAGAATTGGCAGTTGATTGGATGTTGAAACTGAAGGAAAGGGAAGGCTCAAGGATGTTTAAGTTTGGATTTAGAAATTGGATAGATAATGGTCCTATTTACTGAGAGCAGTAATACTTCATTTTTAAATTTTTTTTTTTTTTTTTGCTTTTTTCCACTCAGAAGCAGGTTGTTACTTGAGTAATTTAGCAAATAACTAATCATCTAAATTAAATGATTGTTCTACAAAAGTGATTTATTAAATACTGGTTTTCTCTCTATTACTAATTATATTTATTATATATGAGGCTGCTCACGAGAGTGTAGTTTGATCTAAATTTTAAATTGTACACTTATGCTGTTTGGCAAAGATAAAAACATGCAGGAGAATCTATGAGTACTGAATAAACAACTGTTAATTGACATATGCAAGACTATTGGCAAGTCCTTCCACACACACATACTTAACCCACAGTATTGCAAGGTGCTGTGAAAAAATGAATTAAGTAGAAGAGCTTTGGCTGCCTATGCTTTTTGGGCCCTAAGAAATTATTGCCGAGACCAATGTCATAGAGATTTTCCCCCTTTCTAGTAGTTTTACAATTTTAGGTCTTACATTTAAGTCTTTAATTCATTTGAGTTGATTTCTGTATATGATGTTGAGATAAAGATAAAAATCTTTCGTCTTCAGATATCCAATTTTCCCATAGCAATTTATGGAGGATACTTTCCTTTCCCCATTGTGTGTTTTTGGTGCCTTTGTTAACAATCAGTTGATCATAAATATGTGAATTTACTTCTGGGCTTTCTATTGGTCTATGTGTCTGTTTTTAATGCCAATATCATGCTGTTTTGATTACTACAGCTTTGTAGTATATTTTTAATGTTTGTTTCCATATTTTCAGTACCCATCTCAAATAAGTGTCCATCTGGGGTTCCTAGAACAACAGTTCTGGAACCAAGTTATCTTTTCACCTGATGTTATGTTACCTAACTCTGGTTTCTTTGTTATATATATACAGGAAAGAAGCTAGACACAGTCACACAGTATATGATTTCATTTATATGAAATATCTAGAATAGGTAAATCCACACAAACAGAAAGCAGATTAGTGATTGCCAGCGGGTATGGGAAAGGGGGAAAGGGAATAACTGCTTAACTGTTTTGAAGTTTTCTTTTGGAGTAACAAAAATATTTTCAAGCTAGAGAGACATGGTGCTTGTACAACATTATGAATGTACTAAATGTCACATAACTGTTCACTTTAAAATGGTTAATTTTATGTTCGGTGAATGCTACCTCAATATACCTTTCTAAAAATATGCACAGGGGAAAAATAATCATGCCAAGGACAAAAGCTCCCACTTCCCAGTTCTCATCTAAACCTGAGGTATGTTTGATTTCTGGTCTTCCTCCACACTTTCAGATCATCATTTCTTTACACAAACATAATGTTAAGCCTGACAAATCAATGTGACAATTAGAGAAATAGTTGAAAGTTTCAACTATGTATAAAGTTATGTAAATAACTTTAAAATTATAAAGTAAATAGTAGGTTCCTTTTTAACCTTTATTCTTCATGCTATAAAATCTCTTTGACAAGTTAGTGATTTCATGTGGGGAGGGGCATCTATGAATATGTCGATGTTCCTGACTGTCTGGAAGTTTCGTTTTCTTTCTCTTAAAGTCATGTTTTCCATTGTCTTGCAGATCTTTTAGCCAAAGCTAGGGCATTTGTTGTGGGGATCACCTTATGGCCTCCCCTCCCATAGTAAGCTGTCCCAGTGGCTCTCCAAGGACATGCTGCATTTACTGCGTATCCATTTCAAAGATTGACTAATTGCTCCACAGGCTGCAAAAAGTGCACTCTCAAATCATAAAAGGGAAACATTCTGGCTTTTCCCAGGCCACAAAGCATGACCAAGTTGATTAGGACTCATAATTCACACTGCCGATACCTGAGCTTGATCCTCCGAGAAACAGCTGCCTTATAAAAGCAGAGATAGAGAACATATATCACACTGTTCAGGCAGCCATAGTCACAGCTTTGCATCCACAATAAATGGCTTCTGCCCTCTCTGGCCAGGGCTGCACTGGAAATGAAACAATAAGAGTGGGAAATAGCCTTTATTTATTGAGTTCACTAACCTAATCATCAAATCAAAGCCCAGCCTACACAGTTCACAGAATCCAAAGAACGAACGATGAAAAACACTTTGGTGGACAAGTGATCTGTTCCCAGGAGCTGGCACTGAACATCCTCCCCACAGGATGTTTGTCAGTGTCCAGATCTCCAATATTTGGAGTGAGGAAGCAATCAGTGCTCTGCCGTGACACACACCATTTAGGGATGATGGGCCTCGCCAAAGCCTGTTTGAGTTCTTATGGCTCAAAAAGGAGCCACTGCTTGCAATTAGAAGGTAATAAAAAGAGGCATCATGATAAACATTACAAAAAGCAACCTTTTGTGGTCATATGTGTCAAGCTGGGAGATACAGACTGAAAGAAACTGTTTCATAGCTTAGGGGATAGTCATGTTCTGTGGGAAAATCAGGTGAGTGAATGCTCTTCTGGAGAAGATACAGCCCATCTTGGAATTTATATGTTGTGATAAGTCTGTCTCTTGCTGACAAGGAGCTCTAAAGTGACGCTATGTATCAGTAGGTTTGACAAACAAGCTTTGGAATTGCCCAGATGTTGCTTTGAATCATAGCACTATACTTCATTCATTCATTCAATCATCCAACATGTATTTCCAAGTGGCTATTGTGTGCTTAAGGATCAAGCAGTGGATGAGCTAGGACCCTCCTCTCAAGCTTGTCACCCAGGGTGTATTGAACAAGAAAGCTGACATCATAATACAGCTGAGAAGTGCTTTGATGAGACTTGGCACAAGGTGGGACTATAAAGGAGAAGGAATTGACACAGGAGGGCAGGCCAGGAAATTAGTACATGGATATGTAAGATGGGAAACAAAGTGTGTATGAAAAGACCCAGAATATAACAAGTATCAGGGGTTCAGAGAAAAACAAAATGGGCCTGGACTCGGTAGCAACATGAGAAAGAGTTCTTATAGGCAGAAGGCAAAGAGACTTAAGAATTGTATGCAGAGAAGTGACATAGGAACATAAACTTTAGGAAAATGTTACTAATTGTATAACTTTTAATAAACCACTTAATCCCACTAAGCCTCAGTTTTCAATATGGATAAAACTACCTACATTTCTTTGCAAATTAAATGAGATAATGTATATAAATTGCTCACTGCCTGAATCCTAGAAACTAGTTACTCAACAATAACCATAACAAAATATGTGAATTGAAATTTGAAATAACTTTTGAACTTTGTTTTCTGTACAACTTCTACTGTTTTATAAAAAATTTTTTTGTAAATTCAGGTACAAAGTGGTTAATTTAATATTTCAGCTTTTCGAGAGTTGGAGAGATTCATTTCTTCGATCAATTATTCAATATGTTTAGTAAGCATCTTTTCTGTGCCACTCACTGAACTTGCCATTGGAGATGTAATGATGAAAATGTTGATTCCATGACGTTTCCATTAGAAGAAGAAGCAGTTGCTTAAATTAAGTATCAAGCAAATTGAGTGGGGCAGTGTGGTTTGGGGTTTATTGCAGAGGCTACTGGTTGCTGTCAAGTATCTATTCTCTTTTCTTTATGAACAGAATTCTCATTTTTGGTGTTGACACTGTTCTGTTTCATGACCTGGGTGTTGTTTACACAGATGGACTCCCTTTGAGAAAATTTGTCAATATATACACTTACCTGGGCATATTTATCTGGCTAAAAAGATTACATTTGTAAGACTCCCTTGCAGCTAGGAAGGTAATATTACTGAGTTCTAGCCAATAAAGAATAAACACAGGCCGGGCGTGGTGACTCACACCTGTAATCCCAGCACTTTGGGAGGCTGAGGCAGGCAGATCACAAGGTCAGGAGTTCGAGACCAGCCTGACCAACATGGTGAAACCCCATCTTTAAAATACAAAAATTAGCCGGGCATGGTGGCGCACATCTATAATCCCAGCTACTCAGGAGGCTGAGGCAGGAGAATCACTTGAACCCCGGAGGCAGAGGTTTCAGTGAGCCAAGATAGCACCATTGCACTCCAGCCTGGATGACAGAGTGAGACTGTCTCGAAAAAAAATAAAAAAATAAAGATAAACACAGATGCTGAGTGGTATTGCCAGTAAGTCTTTTTAAAGGAATATGGAAGTGATCTTGCCCAATTGCCTCCTCGATCCTGAGACCAGGAAACACATATGATGTATATGTAGACTATCTTGAATTATGAGGGCAAAAATAATATCCTAAGGATATTTGAGAGGTTAGCTAGAAAAAGCCTTGGCCCTGCCTGACAACTTTTCACAAATCCTATGCCTCCAGATTTAGTTTACATGAGGAAGAGTGGGAAAACGTGATCTTTTTTTTTTTTTTTTTTGAGACGGAGTCTCACTCTGTCGCCCAGGCTGGAGTGCAGTGGCATGATCTCGGCTCACTGCAACCTTCGTTCGTCTCCTGGGTTCAAACAATTCTCCTACCTCAGCCTCCCACATAGATGGGATTACAGGTGCCTGCCACCACGCCCAGCTAATTTTTGCATTTTTAGTAGAGATGGGGTTTCACCATGTCGGCCAGGCTGGTCTCTAACTCCTGACCTCAGGTGATCCGCCAGCCTGGGCCTCCCAAAGTGCTGGGATTACAGGCGTGAGCCGCCGCACCTGGCCAAAAGTGATCTTTTTAAAAGCAGTTACTTTGGGTTTTCCTGTTAATTCAGCTGAAATTAATACTAACACATAAAGGGTTCAAAGTTGAATTCTGTTCAACCCTTGCTTTCACAGCCAAGAAAACCCAGGTGACTTTTTAAAAATTACCTGAAAGAGTGCTAGAAACAGCAGAACACTCAGAGTCTTATATTAAATTCTGGCTTTTTTTTTTTTTTTTTTTTTTTTTTTTGACAGGGTCTCACTCTGTCGCCTAGGCTGGAGTTCACTGGTGGCGATCTCAGCTCACTGCAACCTCCGCCTCCCAGGTTCAAGCAGTTCTCATGCCTCAGCCACCTGAGTAGCCAGGATTACAGGTGCGTGCCACCATGCCTGGCTAATATTTTGTGTTTTTAGTAGAGACGGGGTTTTGGCACGTTGGCCAAGCTAGTCTCGAACTTCTGACTTAAAGTGATCCATCCGCCTTGGTCTCCCAAAGTGCTGAGATTACAGGCATGAGCCATGGCACCCGGCATGCCTGGCTTTTTTATTGTTTAATTGCAACTCCACATTCTCAAACATAATATGGAGATGAAAAGTCTGTGTTTTCTCCATTATTAGATCTCTTTCCTGGCAGTAGCCCAATCTGAATCTAGTTAACTTAAAAAAAAAAAAAGGAATTTATTGGAGTGCTGACAAAGATCTCACAAAATAAATTGATAGGCTAGTATCCAAGCTTAGAAACAAAGCAAAAATCAGAGTCAAAAATCAAAATAGGATCCAGGCAACAAGAGCCAGTCTATCGTCTCATTAGAGTGCCATACCTAAAATGAAGGTCTCCATTTTTCTCTGCTGTGAGTCACTTGATTCCACACACAAAGTTCTGGGAGAAAGAGTGTGATTGACTCAGCATAGATCAAAACCCCCTGGGCTTCTTTGAAGCAGTGAGAGAAAGAGTCTGGAGGGAGGAGAGTGTACTAGCCTTCAGGGACCTCTAGTTCTCTATTAGAAGGGCAGTGGACATTGATTTATAGTCCCACCGAGAATGTACAAAACAGGGGCTAGTTAGGTCCCTCAAATTAATGGATGCTAGATGGTCATAAATTAACAAATATCCACTCTTTCTACTTCACAAGGCTGTTGAGAATGGAGTAAATTAGACAAAAAACTCTGAAAACTGAAACCCACTATGCAAATATTCATTGCTGTCATTATTACTATTCTTGTTATTAATATCAGAATTTATGAAAAATAAAATATTTTTTAAATTATGGTCATTTTACATTTTGAGGAATCCCCCCCTTTATTAAAGAAATCATTTTATTAAGTATTAAGCACTAAAGTAGTGGCCTGTCTCTCAAATTAATAGTAGACAATGGGTATAAATAATGTTGACAACCAGTAAGTAAAAAACAATTCTCATTTTTACACCAGTTTGGAAGGTCATATTTCATATTATGTGGGCTTTAAAGAGGATCATAGAGAATTAGCCAGTGTAAATTTCTAGACAGAAATCATCACTTAGAAAGGAATTCTTAGCAGAGAGCTTTGAGTGAATGAATAGCTTCAGAGAGAATTACAAAATCCTGAAATTTCACATAACTATTTGGTTTGCTGCATCTAAGAGTATATATATATATTCTCACACACACACACACACACACACACACACACACACACACACACACAGTCAATACCTTTATCAGTTTCAGTTGTTGAAAGATGCATGACCCTAAAAACACCAAGAATCATTAATTTTTAATGCAAAGGGAATTCCTGCAATATCAAATCAAAAATATTTGGATTCAAATTCTGGATATCCACCATAAGTTCAAAACTGTGCTAATCAATGTAAACCATTCTACACCAATGTAAACTCATAAACCATTCTTTATTCTTCAGGAGCTTAGACTCTCACATGAAAGATAAGAATAGGTATGTCAATTAAAATACCTTGGGTTACAAATAGCCCAAATATCCAAACTGAAGTTAGCTTAAACAATATGGAAATGGTTTGTGAAGTTCCTGGGAATAGACATTGAGAGGTGAGGTGGATTTCAGAGTTGGCTGAATGCAATGGCCCTCCTTGAATTACTCTGTGGTGCTCTTGGCTCGGCCTTCCTCTCTGTTTTGGCTTCTTCTTTAGGCTAACATCTCTTGTGGTTACAAAATGGCTACAGATGTCCCAAATTGAGTGGACAAAAATAATATCCATACAACTGCATATCATTCATTGTTCAGCTTTTCCCCACTCAGAGAACCCTGTACAATTAAGTAATCAATACATATCTCTTAATAAAGAAGTGGTTGGATAAATGTATGAAGAGTTAAATAATCATCCATGGCAGGTGTGAGGAAATGAGCATTTTAGAAAAAATACGTAATAGATCAAAGAAAGAAATTATAAGTTGAGGGGACACAGAAAACTTCTAAAGAATCACATGCTTTGAATAGATAAAGGGTAGCAGACATAGCATTCCAGGCATATACAGTTGGCAGCTGGTTTAAAGTAAATAAATTCATAAATGAAAAAAAGAAGATATGCAATTTCAGGGAAACTTTCCATCCATTCCAAGTGGTTTCATATTTTGAGTTGCAACATTAAGAAGTTACTAGGACATTGGAAGTTTCCATGGAAACTTGTATCCTGCAGAATCTCAAATTACCTCATGCAATAATGATCATGACCAACTAGGGTAGTAAGATTAATACATATGATGAAATTGAAGCTTAAAATTTTTCACACAATGAAACCTCATTATATTTTTTATTCTCCACTATTTTTATAGTTCTTTTAAATATTCTTTGAGTGCTTTCCATATGTTGAGCTCTGAGTTAGGTACTTTCAAGTGATTTTTTTTTTTAAACTCACAATAAGGTTATTATCATTATTTTTTACTTTTTACAATTTAACTAACAAATAACCAACTAATAAGTATCAGAGCTGGAATTATACGAATGAATATATATGAGTTAATTTTAACTATTTATATTCTATGTAAAAGACTAAACTACTTTTAACTACACTAAAAGTAACACTTTAAACAGGAGCAAATGTTATAATGATTAAAAATAACTTTAGGCTAGTTACGCGGGAAAATCTACTAGCTATTCCCAGTACCCTTCCTCTAGGCAATTTTTGGATAACAGAAAAACACTTAAAGAATATATGGGCATACCTTGTTTTATTGTGCTTCGCTTTATTGTGCTTCACAGATGTCACGTTTTACAAATTGAAAGACTGTGGCAACCCTGTGCCAAGCAAGTCTATGGGCACCATTTTCCAACAGCATGTGTTTGCATTGTGTCTCTGTGTCACATTGTGGTAATTCTCACAATATTTCAAACTTGTATTATTATTATATCTGTTATGGTGTATTAGTTTATTATCCATTGCTATGAAGAAATACCTAAGACTGAGTAATTTATAAAGAAAAGGGGTTTAATTGGCTCACAATTTTGCAGGCTTTACAGAAAGTACGATGCTGGCATCTGCTGGGCTTCTGGGGAAAGCTCAGGAAACTTACAATCATGGCAGAGGTGAAGGAAGCATGTCTTACATGGCCAGAGCGGGGGAAGGGGGTGGTACCACACACTTTTAAACAATCAGATCTCTCAGTAACTCCCTCACTCAGTATTGCCATGACAACACCAAAGGGAATGGTGTTAAACCATGAGAAACTGCCCCACAATTGAATCACTTCCCAAAAGGCCCCACCTCCAACACTGGGGATTACAATTCGATGTGAGATTTAGGAGGGACACAGATCCAAACCATATCATATGGTGATCTATGATCAGTTATCTTTGATATTACCCTTAGAATTGTTTGGAGCACCACAAATCACTTCCATATAAGACAGTGAACTTATTGATAAGTGCTGTTTGTGTTCTGACTGCTCCACCATCTCTCTCCCTCTCCTTGGGCCTCCCTATTCCCTGAGACACAAAATATTGAAATTAGACCAATTAATAACCCTACAACGAACTCTAAGTGTTCAGGAAAAAGGAAGAGTCATGCATCTGTCACTGTAAATAAAAAACTAGAAATGATTAAGGTTAGCGAGGAAAGCTGATATAAGTCAAAAGCTAGGGCTTTTGTGTCAAACAGTCAAACTGTGAATGCATAGAAAAAGTTTTTGAAGAAAATCAAAAGTGCTACTCCAGTGAGCACATGATTGATAAAAAAGCAAAACAGCCTTATTGCTAATATGGAGAAAGTTTTAGTAGTCTGGATGGAAGATCAAACCAGCCACAACATACCCTTAAGCCAAAGCCTTATCCAGAGCAAGGGCCAAACTCTCTTCAGTTCTACAAAGAATGAGAAAGGTGAGGAAGCTGCAGAAGAAAAGTTTGAAGCTAGCAGAGTTTGGCTGATGAGGTTTAAGGAAAGAAGCTGTCTCCATAGCATAAAAATGCAAATTGAAGCCACAAGGGCTGATGAAGAAGGTACAGCAAGTGATCCAGAAGATCCAGCTAAGCTAATTGATAAAAGTGGCTACATTAACAGATTTACAATGTAGACAAAACAGCCTTCTATCAAAAGAAGATGCCATCTAGGAAGTTCATAGGTAGAGAGAAAAAATAGCGCCTGGCTTCAAAACTTCAAAGGACGGGCTGACTCTCTCATTAGCAAATAATGCAGCTGGTGACTTTAAGTTGAGGCCAATGCTCATTTACCATCCTGAAAATCCTGGCGTCCTTAAGAATTATGCTAAATTTACTCCACCTGAACTGTATAAATGGACCAATGAAGCCTAGATGACTCCACATCTGTTTCAGCATGGTTTACTGGATTTTTTAAGCCCACTGTTCAGACCTACTGTTAATTTTAAAAGATTCCTTCCAAAATATTACTTTGTAATGACAATGCATCTGGTCATCCAAGAACACTGATGTAGATGTACAAGGAGATTTCATGCCTACTAACACAATGTCCATTCTGCAGCCCATGTATCAAGGAATAATTTTGACTTTCAAATCTTATTATTGAAGAAATTCACTTCAAAAGGCTATAGCTGCCATAAATATTGATTCCTCTTATGGATCTGGGCAAAGTAAATTGAAAATCTTCTGGAAAGGATTCAGTATTCGAGATGTCATCACTTACATTGGTGATTCACGGGAAAAGGTCAAAATATCAACATTAATAGGAGTTTTGAAGAAGTAGACTCCAGCCCTCATGGATGAATTTAAGGGGTTCAAGACTTCATTGGAGAAAGTCACTGCAGATGTGATGAAAATAGCAAGAGAACTAGAATTAGAATTGGAGTCTGAAGATGTGACTGAATTGCTGCAACTTCATGATAAAAATTTAATGACTGAGGAGTTACTTCTTATGAATAAGCAAAGAAAGTGATTTTTTGAGAGGGAATCTACTCTTGATGAAAACGCTACGAGCGTGTCAAAATGACAACAGAGTTTAGGATATTACCTCAATTTAATTGATAAAGCACCATCAGAGTTTGAGAGGATTGACCAGTTTTGAGAGAAGTTCTACTATATGTAAAATGCTATTGAAAAGCATCACATGCTACAGATAAGTCTTTTGTGAAAAGAAGAATAAATTAATGCAGCAGACATCATTGTTTTGATATTTTAAGAAATTGCCACAGCCACTTCAACCTTCAGGAAGCACCATTCTGTTCAGTCATTAGCTATCAACAGTGAGGCAAGACCCTCCACCAGCAAAAAGATTATGACTTGCTGAAGGCTCAGATGATTGTTAGCATTTTTAGGAACAAAGTATTTTAAAATAAAGGTACCTACATTATTGTTAGACATAATGTTATTGCACACTTAGTAGACTACAGTGTAGTATAAATATAACTTTTGTATGCACTGGGAAATCAAAAAATTTGTGTGACTCACTTTATTACAATATTCACTTTATTGCAGTAGTTTGGAACTGAACCCTCAATATCTCCCAGGTATGCCTGTAATTATTTTCTTGGAGACTATTGACAGTTCACATTTTCCTCTCTTAATAAAAAAAAAAAAAATATGGTATACCAGGAAGGATTTTGGTTATGGTGCAAAGAGAAACACAAGTCCAATCTTAAATTTTGTAAAAATTACATAATTTATTTGAGCCACAGTTTTCATATCTGTAAAATAGAAGTTTTAATCGCCACTATAGAGGATTGTTGTGGCAATAAAAGGAGATGGGATTAAAGTGACTTTTATGCACTCATAAGTGCCTAAGAATTATTACCTCTCCTGTCTTTATTCAACTTGGCTTGTTGCCCGAATATTTCAAATTACAGAGAAGGCAAAGAAAACAAAACAATTAAGAGATGACTTTGTGTCAGGCCCATGATTATTATTTCATCTTAATGAACATCGAGCTTATGAATTTAGAATATTTCAATGTGGCATTCTGGAAATGATGAAATTAACAGTATTGTAGGGGTAGCTTATTTTATAAAACCACTGAATTAAGACATTTGTTGGCCTGTGTGTTGGGCTTCTAACTTTTCCGTTATGTTTGTCATAACTCTTTTTGTTTCAAAAGAGAAAAAAATAACTCAAGCTGACTTAAAACATACAGGAAATTTTATTTGCTTCACATAATTAAAAGTCCAGAAATAAGATTTAGGGCTATTTTTTAATACTTGGATTCTTTTTTATTTTTAAATATTTAATTGACAAGTGAAAATTTTATATATTCGAGGTATACAATGTGATGATTGATACATATGTGCATCATGTCCTGATAATGACAGTCCAATTAATCAACACATCTATCATCATTCATAGTCACCATTTTGTATATGTGTTGATGAGGACACTTAAAATACCCTCTTATCAAATTTCAAGTAAATAGCACAGTATTATTAACTATAGTCACCATGATGTACATTAAATGCTCAGAACTTAACTGAAAATTTGCACCCTTGGACAGCACCCCTTTTCCCCATTTCCGCCCATGGTCACCACCCTTCTACTCTCTGCTTCTATGAATTTCACCTTTTTAGACTCCACATATGTAAATGAGATCATACAGCAGATGTCTTTCTGGGTCTATCTTATTTTAGTTAGCATAATTTCCTCCAGTTCCAGCCATGTTGTCACAAATGAAAGGATTTCCTTCTTTTTATGACTGAATAATATTTCATTGTACACATACGCACACGCACGCACGCATACACGCACACATTTTCTTTATACATTCATAGACGATCAATGGATACTTAGGTCATCTTTATATCTTGGCTATTTTGAATAATCCTGCAAAATATATGGGGCTGCAGACCTCTCTTTGACATACTGATTTCATTTCCTTTGGATATAAACCCATAAGTAGGACTGCTCAATTGTATGGTAATTTTATTTTTAATTTTTAAAGGAATGTTTAAACTGTTTTCTGTAATGGCTCCACCGATTTACATTGCCACCAACAATGTAAAAGCGTTCTCATTTCTCCACACTCACAATTGATTCAGGGTTGGTTTGACGGAAAGACTTAACAATATCACCAAGGACGTGCATGTATGTGCATGTGTGCATGTGTGTGTGTCTATTACTCTACTCTCACCTTTGCTGTGGGTTCAGTTTCATCCAAAGGCAGATAAACCCAAGGATGAATTGCCTATAGCAATTTCAGGGTGTTCATATTCAAACACTATGTCTTCTCTTTTCTTACCTGTCTGAGAATAATAAGCAAGATTCTTACCTCAGTGCCCTTGGTAAATCCTCACCTTTCATCTAACTGGCTTAAATTGAGTCACGTATGCCCAATTGGGACCCAAATCCTGTGCATCATAATTCCAAGAGGTAGCTGCCTTTGGTCTACATTACCTGAACCAATCACTCCATAAAAGTGAAGGGATTACCCTGATTGGCTTTGACCATCAAAAGTTCCCCATGGAGCTTGGATGGGTTTAACTTCCCCAATGATAAATGGGCTAATTAAAAAATACATGGATCTCTTAATTAAGAGATATATGGATTCATAATAAAAAGTCAAAAAACAATACATGTTGTCATGGTTTGGTAAAAAGGGAATGCTTATACACTGCTGCTGGGAATGTAAATTAGTACAACCCCTACTCTACCTCTAGTCAACAGTATGGAGAGTTCTTAAAGAACTAAAAGTAGATCTACCATTTGATCCAGCAATCCCACTACTGGGTATCTACCCAAAGGAAAAGAAGTCATTATATCAAAAACACACCTGTACATGTATGTTTATCACGTCACAATTCACAATTGCAAAGCTATGGGACTGAGGCAGAAGAATAGGATCTGGGGCAGGGAATCTAAGGACTTCCTAGAACTAAATCAAACAGAAAAACCCCAACTTTCCATGACTAAGTAAATAACTCTGTAACTCTACTTCATCTATGACAGGAAATGTCCTCTTCATTTGCATAGGGTATACACCAAGTAAATAACTTTGTAACTTCACTTCAGCCTCTTCATTTACATAAGGCATATACCAAGTAACCAATGGGAAACTTCTATGGGGTATTTAAAACCCAGAAATTTCTGTAACCAAGTTCTTGAGCCACTTGCTCGGCCCACTCCCACCCTGTGGAATGTGCTTTTGTTTTCAATAAAACTCTACCTTTGTGGTTTCATTATTTCCTTGCTTTATTTATGCATTTTGTCTAATTGTTTGTTCAAAACGCCACGAACCTGGACACCCTCCATCGGTAACAGAACCAACTTAAGTGCCCATTGACCAATGAGTGGATAAAGAAAATTTGGCAAACATGCACCATGGAATACTACTCAGCCATAAAAAAGGAATGAAATAATGTCTTTTGCAGCAACTTGGGTGGAGCTGGAGGTCATTATTCTAAATGAAGTAACTCAGGAATGGAAAACCAAATACTGTATGTTCTCACTTATAAGTGGGAGTTAAGCTGTGGGTACACGAAGGCATACAGAGTGATAGAATGAACTATAAAGACTCAGAAGAGGGAGGGTGGGAGGGGCGAGAGGGATAAAACACTACATAATGAATACAATATGTTATGCACCCACTACTCTTGTTGACAGGTGCACTAAAATCTCAGACTTCACTACACAATTCTTACATGTAACCAAAACCCACTTGTACCCCAAAAGCTATTGAAATTAATAAAAAAATTTTTTTAAAAAAGGTGAAACTTAAAAAAAGAGACAGATGGATCCAAATACTATAAAAAGGGGGGAAAGGAAAATGATTCCAGATAGATAAGAAAAAATGTTCACCTCCATAGTCAAAGAGTTGATAAACTAGATAAGACAGAGATGTGGACATGGACATAAATGTGCATTTAGTCATGAACATAGATATAGATATATGAAAAACATTTTATCCAATAACAAAAATGTATGTAAGTTTAAGTATGGTCACTACAGAAAAGCATCAATAAAAATGACCCAGAATATTACCATTCAGACATAATTACTCTTAATATTTTGGTGTATATACTATACTAGTATTTTTCACATATGTAACTTATGTATAACACATGTAATTATTTTTAAAAATTAAAATCACACTATACATTTTATTTCCATTCTGCTTTTTTCACTTATCAACACATTATGAAAATGTTCATATGGCTGGCATTATAAAAACTTGGCATTTATATTCTTATTTTTATTACTCTAAAATATAAGTTTTGATAGCTACATAGTAGTACATACTATGGATGTATTATAATTTGTTTAAGCATTTATTTATCGTCATACAGCCATTCTTTGGTGTCCATGAGGTATTCCAGGACCCTTTGTGGATAGCAAACTCTGCAGATGCTCAAGTTCCTTATATAAAATGGCATGGTATTTGCATATAACCTGTGTATATTCTCCTGCATATTTTAAATCATCCCTAGATTACTTATAATGTATCTAGTACAATGTAAATACTATGTAAATAGTTGTACACTGTTTTTTATTTTTATTATTTTTTATTGTTGTATTGTTATTTTTATTGTTTTTAATAATATTTTTTAACCTTGGTTCATTGAATCTATAGATGCAAAATCCCTGGATACAAAGGGCCAGCAGCACTTTCTAAAATCACTTCCTAATTTTCTCTCTCTTATGCTATTCATCAATAAACACTAAGTTCATTAACCGAATTCTTACCCAAAGTTTGAGACCCTAAAGTCAGACAAACCTAGACTAACATTATGACTTTACCACTTATTAGCCATGTGATCAGAGGAGGTAAGTTGTTTACCTTCTCTGACCTCAGTTTCCTAGGAATAATAATAGTACTGTCCACATAGACCTGTGGTGGTAACTAAATGAAGTAATGCATGTAAAGTATCTGACACATAAAAGGAACTCAGTGGTTACCATCCTCAATCAGAATAGAGAGTTCCTATATGACAAGAAAAAATAGTTCCTTTCCTAAGCTAATCTCATTTCTGGGAGATTGCTAGTGGAACTGACTTTATATACTAAGTATGTCTTTGTTGTCTGAATCTATCTTCATGTCAATGAGCAATAGGTAACCTACTAAGTGACGTATCTGCAAAGTCAAAAACTTTTGACAATATTACTTCTTCAAGATTATCGGCCATTTAAAATATTACAAATCTAATGTGGAAAGATAATGGTGATATTGCTGAATTTTTAAATACAGTTATTGAAAGTGACATTATTTCTAAAACTAGAAATTCACTGACTTCAAGAACTAAAAGGAAGCTCGAGATTGACTAATCTTTTGCCCATCTTTCATATATGGAGGCAACAGAACACATGCCCATGGTAGGAAATAACAGGTGGCTCTGAGTCCTAAAGGTTATTTTTTAGTGTTCTCTACAAAGGATATGAAGGTAAAACGCTAAAAGGATTCAATAGCCAAAAGATCCCAAATAAGTAGAGAAGCATTTGAAATTCTTGTTCATAGCCATTGTGAAGGGTACAATCACATACCTAGGCCAGGGTTTCTTAGTTTCACCACTATTGACTTTTTGGTCTAGATGATCCTTTGTCGTGCTGTACATTGCAGAGTATTTAGCAGCATCCCTGTCCTATACGCTAGATTTATCCCTCCCTCATTTCTGACAGCCAAATTAGCTCTAGGCATACCCAAATATCCTTCGGGGAATAAAATCTACCCCGATGGAAAACTACTGAATTAGGCTGCAAAGAATATACAGTGCTGATTCTCTTCCTCATTTATCTTATATGCACAGATAATATAAAGTAGTGGGAATGTGGCAAGAAATGTTCTCCACCTTTTTCCCCTGTCCAAACTAGAATTACAGAAGGGGGCCATGTAAATCAAGTCAGAGAAAGAATGGAGACATGTGTATTATATTAATTTACTAGAAATTTTCTGACAGAAAGTCAATACTGTCAGTAACATGTCCTCTTGCCCACCTCAGAAAATACTTAGTTCTTTTTATCTCTCCCTTTGTAGGACTCATTATCTATTTCCTTCTCCTATTTAGTATAAGCTCCAGTGAATTAATACTCTAACTCTAGGATGTGAGAGTGATCTGGCTCTGACATCTGTCACTCCATTTATTACCAGCATTGATTTGGCTGATCTGACTGGCCAGGGCGTGTCTGCTTTCTCCCTCACTGCTCCATCTGTGTCCTCCCAGAAGCTGCAAGCTCAGTCAAAGAGGACAACCTTCTCCAATAGAGGAGGACTATGCCTCTGTCAAGGGTATATGAGTAGCTGTGCTCCCCTAATAGAACCTCCAAACAAGCTCTCTAAGTCTAAGGCCAGGGAGGGCAAGGGGAACTAGGAGAGAGATCAAATGGGTACAATGGACCCCACACCCATGACAGTATAAGGTGATGATAGAGAGTTCAAAGAGACGTGGTTTCTCTTCGATAGAGATGGGCAGTATTATGGGTTAAATTGTGGCATGTATAAATGTGTATGTTAAGGTTGTAAGCCCTAGTACCTCAGAATATGGTTTTATTTGATAATGGGGTCACTGTAGATATAATTAGGTGAGATGGGAAAAGGTGGGCCCTAATCCAATATGACTAGTGTCGTTATAAGAAACAGAAGTTTGGACACAAATGCACTCCCAGGGAATAGAACACCATGTAAAGATAGGAGTTTCCTGCCACAAGCCAGGGAACAACCAGAAGCTCAGAGAGAGGCCTCCAGGAGATCCTTTGTTAGCACCTTAAGAGGGAGCATGGCCCTGCCAACACCCATCACAGACTTCCAGTCTCCAAAACTATGAGACAATAAAGTTCTGTTGCCTACACCATTCAGTCTGTGGTGCTCTGTTAGGGAAGACCTCACAAATACAGGCGGTCATGACTAAAGAAAGGTAGTCACACCAGGTGAGGATTTGGTGAGGGAAGCCAAATGAAATAAAGGGGTCCATCACAGGTTCCCACTCTCTCTGACGTGATATGGGTTGAAATATATATATATTTGGGTTGAAATACATAATGAATATTTACTTTTACATCTTCTGGAATCAATGTCTGGCAGAACATAAAATGTGTTTGTTAATGGATGTTTGCTATCTTCCTTTCTACTGAGTGTTGATTTTTAGTAGTCACTATAATTTTACGGATGTAGTGCCATATCTGAATATTCTGAGTTTCTGAATTCTGTGCCTCCTTCTTCAAAGATCAAGAAACTCAAGATTAAGTTTCAAATCTGTCACCTCCAAGAGAGAAGCTCATCAGGTTTAGGAATATAATGAACCAAGAGTTGAAAAGAGATATAATTTTATTTTATTTTTCTAATCGTGGCCCACCCCTCCAATAGTACTTTCACCTCACAAACTGCAAAGTGCTTTCACCTACAAAGATTCACCTGTTTCTACCAACAACTCAAAGAAGTAAAAGAGAAGTCTGTTACCATTGCACAGATGCAGAAAATGGAAGCCTAGAAAAATTGTGACTTTCTCAAGGGGACTGACACAGCTAGTTGAAATGGTCTCGTATCCTTTTCTTTATACCAGAATGTTTTTTTTGTCATGAGAGAAATATTCCAGCACACATAGATAAAAGATTCACTCTGCCCATTCTCTTTAAGAAAAGGACACTTGATTTACTGTTATGTACTCTTAAGGATGGGGGCCAGCTTTGGGGTTTGGTCCAGACTTAAGATCTTGATTCCCAACCATGGCCTTTTGGTTTCTTGACCCTCCTATTAACTTACCAGACTTGAGTCATAATTCTGGATGATCTGGCATAGGATCTTTGACTCAGGAGAGTCTCATAAAAGCTCTTCTGGGAAACTGCACACTAATGCCAGAGTTTCACACAATTGAGGTATCTTTATAGAGTCCCAGATAAATGTTACAAAATGTTACTTCCACACCACCTCCTGCCTGAAGGCCCTAGCATAAAAAGATGCATTTCTCATCGAGATGCAGTAGTTTTCCTATCTCCATTTGTCTTTGCCAAACCAGGTCAGGAAATCAGCCCAGAATGTAAGGTTGTGGTTTGCTTTTTTAGACTCATAAAATGTTAATGCTGCAAGTAATCTAAGAGATAGTCTGTTTTAACATCATCTTGCTAAGAACACTGAGACCCTTAGGTGATAGCAAATTTGGCCAGTGACATAGAGAAGTTAATAACGAGGCTGTTATTCTAATCTAGGGTTCTTAATTCCTAATTCAGTATTCTTTGCAATATGTTATCAGGTATCTATTGACCCAAATATTTCCAAAACATCATTATTGACCTTCTACTCCCATTTCATGGATGAAAGCAGTCACCAATATGAAGTATGATTTGTCAAGCATTGTTGAAAACTTCCAACTGATCCCAGGTCCCACTCTGTTGTCTGAAGTGGTGCCCGCTTATTCAACATAAGTTACTAAATAATCTATTTATACATTCAGCAAACATTTATTTAGAAATGACTGGGTCTTACTTATCTTGGTCACCTCTGATAATATGAAGGTCAGAGTGCAGTAGGAAATGCATGTATCTATAGAATTAAGAAAATACAATTTGTAGAAATAATCACATAAGAAGTGAGATTTGGAGCATAAAGGAAGGAGTGACTCACTGTTACAGGGGTAAATTATGGGGATAGGGAGAAGCCTTTGCAACATAGGTGATATTGGAGTTGAACCTTAAAAGCTAAGAAGGAGTTTGTTAGATGGAGAAGGTAAAAGAATATGCCAGATAGAGGAAACAGAAGAATCAAATTCTAACAGTCTGAGATCACCTAAACAGAGTCATAGAGTCCGTAGAAGAGGGGGAAAAGGGACATGGATAAAAAGCTGGGGTAGGGTGGCCGGGAGCAGTGGCTCACGCCTGTAATCCCAGCACTTTGGGAGGCTGAGGTGGGCGGATCACCAGGTCAGGAGATCGAGACCATCCTGGCTAATACAGTGAAACCCCGTCTCTACTAAACATACAAAAAATTAGCCGGGCGTGGTGGTGGGCACCTGTAGTCCCAGCTACTCGGGAGGCTGAGGCAGGAGAATGGCATGAACCCAGGAGGTGGAGCTTGCAGTGAGCTGAGATGGCGCCACTACACTCCAGCCTGGGAGGACAGAGCGAGACTCCTTCTCCAAAAAAAAAAAAAAAAAAAAAAATTGTTGGGGTAGGCAGTTCAGGAGTTTTGAAATCCATGAAATAAAGCCTAATGAGGTTGAGATTTGCAGTGAAGATGCTAGGGAGCTAATTTAAGCAGAGTAATAACAGGTTAGACATGTGCTTTTAAAGGTCACTGTGATTCTACCGAAGGCTTAGATGTAGCAAGAACAGGGTCAGGAAGACCATTTCAAACATTTTAATACTCTTGGCAATAGATGATGAAAGTCTAAACTAGAAGTGAGCTTAGAAGGAAATGAAAGTTTAGAAGATTTCAGAAGATAGATTCAGTGATACATGGGACACTGATGATGAGGGAGGGAAGAGACCTAGATGTAACTGGTGATTCTAACTTAGGTGGCTGCTACATGGTCATGAAACTACTCTCCTAGAGTATATCTTTGACTCTTCAGAGTCACTGGGTCTTTTTAAAATCGGATAGAAACTCTGGGGACTCTATCCAGAAAAAGGCACATATGCACATATACAAACAATTTTTCATGCAATTTCAGATGTTTCATGAGCTCTCTGAAGCCCATGAATGAATGAGACTGCAGATTACAAAGCTCTGTTTTACTGGAAGAATTTAAAGGCAAAAACACTGGGAAACCTAGATTGTCAGTTGCTAATGTCATAGAATGAATCCATTTCCTTCTGACACTGTTAGTTGGATATTTGTATGCTAATGTGGCAACTGGGGATAAGATTGAAAGCACTTGCCAGGTGGTGACCAGGGGTGGGAGTTGGGGGAGGGAACCCCAGACCAGAAACAAAGCACAGTGGGGAATGAGAGAGATGATCATCACCATCACCTCCCAGGTTTCCTGAGTCAGAGCAGAGTCATGGTGCTGAATGAATCAATTACATCCTTCCACGTAGGAGATTTTATTTAATATTCACAATAACCTTGTGACGTTAGCAAAGGAACACTAGTAGATCCATGTCACAGGATGAAGCAATTGAAGCTCAGAGAAACTGAGTCACTTTCTTTCCCAAGGTCACACACAGTTAATGGCAGAGATTGAACCAGGTCTGTTTCCTTCCTTTTCAAGGTTGGTTCTTTTATGGACAAGCAGGTCTAAGACATCAAGATGAAAGTCTCCCTTCTAGTCTGAGTGCTAATCCAGGCTTTCTAGCTTACACTGATAATGCTGTTAAGAGCATAACATGAATATCCAGAGTACCGCTAAGGGCACAGCATCCAGGAGGCCCTGGGGATGACTTGGGTTGGAGTCATTAAAGACATCATTTTCAGTTTTAGATAGTTCAAATGCCAACCCTGCCACTTATATCCCCGTGAGCCTGGCCAAACTACATAGCCTCATTGGCCTTGAGTTTCCTTGTCTTTAAAGCAGGGATAATATATTAATCTTCATCCTTGCCAGGCTTCAATGAGACTAAGTTAAAATGCCCTCTGTAAGTGCTAGCTCCTCTTGTGAGGGCTTCAGCAGGCATAGACATTTCTCTGAGATTATGGGTTCTGTCTCCAAGCTCCTGACTCCAATCCCTTTCTCTTATTTCACTCACTGGGGACAACCAGGCTGCCAGAATGGTCTACTGACTGACCTGCCTGGAACACACAGCTCTTTTCTATTATCAATAGAATAAAAGATGCCAAGAACATCTGAGACCTTAATACTTAAAGGGACAGTCTTTACAGACTTAATGATGGTCTATTTTTAAGCACACAGGATCAGAAATAGTGAACAATATGATTGTGATACGGAAACTTTCTGATGAAGAGTGTTTTTGCAAGGTCTGTGTCATGGAACATTCCTGCTATGTTTTCTATTCTTACAGAGCTTAAACCTATTCACGTGTTTAGATGGTCACTTGTAAGATTTGAAGGCCAATCATCTATCAAGAAATAAAACTAATGCATGTGTCATTCCAATAAACAACCTAGCTAATGCAAAATTGCCAACAATGATTTTTCTTCATTTAAGTAGTTGATGATTCATTCAGCATGAGTACATCTTGCCACAATAAAGGAGAGTACTTGCCCACACCATTTATTACAGAGAGAAAAAGAGAAAATGGGTAAGCCAAAACAAAACAAAACTAAAACATAGTCTTTGATTTGTGATGCCCATCTACTTGCTAACTTTGTGACTAGACAAACTGGTTAACTTCTTTGAGCTTCCACTTCTTTATTTCTCCACTGGGGATGTAATGCAGTGTATTAGCTTGTTTTCACACGGCTATAAAGAACTACCTCAGACTGGGTAATTTATAAAGAAAAGAGGCTTAATTGACTCACAGTTCACAGGGTTGGGGAAGCCTCGGGAAATTTACAATCATGGCAGAAGGTGAAGGAAAAGCAGGCACCTTCACAAGATGGCAGGAGAGAGAGAGCAAGGGGGAAGTGCCACACTTTAAAACCATCAGATCTCACGAGAATGCACTCACTATCACGAGAACAGCAAGGGAGAAGTCTGCCCCCATTGTCAAATCACCTCCCACTCAGCCCCTCCCTCGACACATGGGAACCACAATTCGACATGAGATTTGGGTGGGGACACAGAGCCAAACCATATCATATAGGCTCAACACCCTTACAACCTCTTGTGAAGAAGACTGTAAATCCCCATATTTAATTGAGGGATTGTTATTCCCATTCTGAGCTTCTTTCTTCCATTCCATTTCTTACTATCAAAGTGCTCAAGATTCATTATATTCAAGGACACACACTATGGTTGCATTCCTGGGCAGCACTTGCTATTCTGGATTCTACTGTTATTCCTTGTTTCCATTAAATGTGAACAATGGGATCTGTGTATGACCCACTTCCACAGATGAGTAATATGGTGGCAAAACATGGGCTTTGTAATCAGCTAGGGTCTGGTTGTAATCCTAGTTTGATCAACCCTGTGTTTTATGTGGATTTACTTTCCTCATCTGTGAAATAATATGGATAATAATTTTTTAGGGTTGTAATTTAAGAGCTTTGTTGAGACATAATTTATATATCATACATCTCTCATTTAAAGTGTAAAACTAAACTATTTTTCATATATCCACAGAGCCGTGCCACCATCACTACAAACGAACTTTAAAACATTTAATCCACACTGATAAAAAACACCATTAGTAGTCACTCCCCTTACTTCTCCTGCCAACTTTATGAAAAAACTAATCTCTTTTCTGTCTTTATAGATTTGTTTATTCTTGCTATTTTATACAAATGGAAACATACAATATGTGATCATTTGTGACTAGCTTCTTTCACTTAGCATAACATTTTCAAGATTCACCAGTGTTTTAGTATCACAACTTCATTCTTTTTCATTGCTAAATAATATTCCATTGTATAAATATATCACATTGTATTTACCCGTTTATCAGATGGTGAATATTTGATGCTTTTTAACTATGATGATAAATGCTTCTATAAATATGTGTACAAGTTTTTGTGTGGACATGTTTTCATTTCGCTTGGGTTATATATCTAGAAGTAGAATTGCAGGGTCATATGCTAGCTCTGTGTTTAACTTTTTAAGGAGCTGCCAAACTGTTTCCAAAGCAACAATATATTCCACCAGCAATATATCAGTGTTCCAATTTCTCTGCTTTCTTACCAATATTTGTTATTTCAGTAGAAATGAAGTGATATCTTATTTAGATTTTCATTTGCATTTACCTAATGACTAAGCATTTTTCATATTATTATTGTCCATTTATATCCCTCTCTTTGAGAAATGTCTATACAGGTCCTTTGCTAATTAAAAAAATAGGCTATCTTTTTATTATTGAATATTAGTTTTTTGTATATTCTGGATACAAGTCTCTTAGCAGATATATGATTTGCAAATATTTTCTCTTATTACATAGGTTGTTCTTTTCACTTTTTGATGGTAGATTTTACAACACAAAATATGACACTTTTATGGTTCAATTTATAGTTTTTTCTTTGCTTGCTTTTTGGAATTGTAACTTTAAAAAATTGTATAATCTGAGTTTGCAAAAAGTTATTTGTAGGTTTTCTTTTAATAAATGAATACTTTAAGCTGTTACATTTAGACGTGACATCCATTTAGTTTTTTTGTTTAGTTGGTTGGTTGGATTTTTATTTTTTCTATTTGCTACAGAGCTAGAACCTTTATTACTTTTTAAAAATAATTTCAACTTTTATTTTAGATTCATAGGGTATATGTACAGTTTTGTTATATAAGAATATGGGCAATGCCAAGGTTTGGGGTATGATTGATCACATCAGCTGGTTACTGAGCAAGCTACCTAATAGTTAGTTTTACAACCCTTGCCCCCTTTTTTAGGAGTCCCCATTGTCTATTATTGCCAACTGTATCTCCATGAATATACACTTATAAGTGACAGCAAACATGCAGTATTTCGTTTTCTACAATATGAGGCTACAGTAACCAAAACAGCATGATTCTAGTGCAAAAACAGATACACAGACCAATGGAACCGAATAGAGAACCCAGAAATAAAGCCACACGCCTACAGGCAACTGGTCTTTGACAAAGTTGGCAAAAGTAAGCGATGAGGAAAGAACTCCCCATTCAGTAAATGATGCTGGGATACCTGGCTAGCTATATGCAGAAGAATGAAACTGGATCCCTTTCTCTCACCACGTACTAAAATTATATCAAGATGGATTAAATACAGTATAGTTTGAATTTGAGTAATGTGATGCCTCCAGATTTGTTATTTTTGCTTAGTCTTGCTTTGGCTATGCAGGCTCTTCTTTGGTTCCATATAAATTTTAGGATTGTTTTTTCCAGTTCTGTGAAAAATAATGGTGGTATTTTGATGGGAATTGTATTGAAATTGTAGATTGCTTTTAGCAGTAAGGTGATTTTCACAATATTGATTCTACCCATCCATGAGCATGAGGTGTGTTTCCATATTTTGTGTCGTCTATGATTTCTTTCAGCAGTGTTTTGTAGTTTTCCTTGTGGATGTCTTTCACCTCCTTGGTTAGGTATATTCCTAAGTATTTTATTTTTTTGCAGCTATTGTGAAAGGGGTTGAATTCCTGATTTGATTCTCAGCTTGGTCACTGTTGTAGTATAGCAGAGCTACTGATTTGTGGACATTAATTTCGTATCCTGAAACTTTGCTGAATTCATTTACCAGTTCTAGGAGCTTTTTGGATGAGTCCTTAGTGTTTTCTAGGTATACGATCATATCATCAGCAAACAGCCACAGTTTGACTCCCTCTTTACCAATTTGGATGCCCTTTATTTCTTTCTCTTGTCTGATTGCTCTCATTAGGACTTCCACTACTATGTTAAATAGAAGTGGTGAGAGTGGGCATCCTTATCTTGTTCCAGTTCTCAGGTGAATGCTTTCAACTTTTCCCCATTCAGTGTAACATTGGCTGTGGGTTTGTCCTAGATGACTTGTATTAATTAAGTTATGTCCCTTCTATGCCAATTTTGCTGATGGTTTTAATCATTAAGGGATGTTGGATTATGTCAAATGCTTCTTCTGTGTCTATTGAGATGATCATGTGATTTTTGTTTTTAATTTTGTCTATGTGGTGTATCACATTTAGTGACTTACATATGTTAAATCATCCCTGCCTCCCTGGTATAAAACCCACTTAATCATGATGGATTATCTCCTTGATATGCTGTTGGATTTTTTCGCTAGTATTTCGTTGAGGATTTTTGCATCTATGTTCATCAGGGATATTGGTCTGTAATTTTTTGTTTTATCCTTCTAGTTTTGGTATTAGGGTGATGCTGGCTTCATATAATGATTTAGGGAGGATTCCCTCTTCCTCTACTTTTTAGATTAGCATCAATAGGATTGGTGCCAATTCTTTGAATGTCTGATAAAATTCAGCTGTGGATCCATCTGGTTCTGGACCTTTTTTGCTGTTGGCAATTTTTTTTTAATTACCAGTTCAAGCTCACTGCTTGATATTGGTCTGTTCAGATATTCTATATCTTTCTGGCTTAATGTAGGAGGGCTGTATATTTCTAGGAATTTATCTATCTCCTGTAGGTTTTCTAGTTTGTGCACATAAAGGTGCTCATAGTAGCCTTAAATAACCTTTGTATTTCTGTGGTATCAGTTGTAAATCTCCCATTTCATTTCTAATTGAGCTTATTTGGATCTTCTCTCTTCTTTTCTTGGTTAGTCTCACTAATTGTCTATTAATTTTACCTTTTCAAAGAACCAGCTTTTTGTTTCATTTATCTTTTTTTGTTTGTTTGTTTCAATTTTATTTAGTTCTGCTCTCATTGTTATATCTTTTCTTCTGCTGGGTTTGCTTTGCTCTTGTTTCTTTAGTTCTTTGAGGTATGACCTTATATTGTTTATTTGTGCTCTTTCAGACTTTTGATGTAGGCATTCAATGCTGTAAACTTTCCTCTTACCACCACTTTTGTTTTATCCCAGAGGTTTTGATAGGTTGTGCCACTGTATTGTTCAGCTCACATTTTTTAATTTCCATCTTGATTTCATTGTTGACCCAGTGATCATTCAGGAGCAGGTTATTTAATTTTCATGTATATGCATGGTTTTGAGGGTTCCTTTTGTTTGATTTCCAATTTTATTCCACTGTGGTCTACGGGAGTACTTGATATAATTTCAGTTTTCTTAAATTTACTGGGACTTGTTTTGTGACCTATCATATCATGTATCTTGGAGAATGTTCCACATGCTAATGAATAAATATATACTCTGTAGTTGTTGGATAGAATGTTCTGTAAATATCTGTTAAGTCCATTAGCTGTAAGGTATAGTTTAACTCCATTGTTTCTTTGTTAACTTTCTGTCTTGATGACCTATCTAGTGCTGTCCGTGGAGTATTAAAGTCCCCCACTATTATTGTGTTGCTGTTTTTCTCATTTCATAGATCTAGTTGTAATTGTTTTATACATTTGGAAGCTTCAGTGTTAGGTGCATATATATTTAGAATTATGAGATTTTCCTGATGGTCTAGTCCTTTTATCATTATATAATGTCCCTCTTTGTCTTTTTTAACTGTTGTTGCTTTAAAGTTTGTTTTGTCAGTTATAAGAATAGCTACTCCTGCTCACTTTTAGTGTCCATTTGCATAGAATATCTTTTTCCACCCCTCTACCTTAAGTTTATGTGAATCCTCATGTGTTAGATGAGTCTCTTGAAGACAGAAGAAACTTGGTTGGTGAATTCTTATCCATTCTGCCATTCTGTATCATTTAAGTGGAGCATTTAGGCCATATAGATTCAATATTAGTATCCAGAAGTGCGGTACTATTCTATTCATCATGCTATTTGTTGCCTGAATACCTTGTGTTTTTTTCTTTGTGTTATTGTTATATAGGTCCTGTGAGATTTATGTTTTAAAAAGGTTCTATTTTGGTGTGTTTCAAGAATTTATTTCAAGATTTAGAGCTCCTTTCAGCAGTTCTTGTGGTGCTGGCTTGGTAGTGGCAAATTCTCTCAGTATTTGTTTGTCTGGAAAAGACTGTATCTTTCCTTCATTTATAAAGCTTAGTTTCACTGGGTACACAGTTCTTGGTTGATGAATGTTTTGTTTAATGAGGCTAAAAACAGAATACCAGTCCCATCTAGCTTGCAGGGTTTCTGCTGAGAAATCTGCTTTTAATCTGTTAGGTTTTCCATTACAGGTTACCTGAGGCTTTTGCCTCATAGATCTTAAGATTCTTTCCTTCATCTTGACTTTAGATAACGTGATTATTATGTGCCTACACAATGATCTTTTTGCAATAAATTTCCTAGGTGTTCTTTGAGCTTCTTGTGTTTGGATATCTAGATCTCTAGCAAGATTGGGCAAGTTTCCCTCTATTATTTCCTCAAATATGTTTTCCAGACTTTAGATGTCTCTTCTTCCTTGGGAACACCAATTATTTTTATGTTTAGACATTTGACATAGTTTCAAACTTCTTAGAGGCTTTTTTTTTTAATTCTTTGTCCTTTGTCTTTGGTTAATTTGAAAACCTTGTCTCCAATCTCTAAAGTTCTTTCTTCTGCTTGTTGGATTCTATTGCTGAGACTTTCCAGGGCATTTTGCATTTCTCTAAGTGTGTTTTTGATTTCCAGAAGTTGTGATCTTTTTTATTTGTGCTATCTATTTCACTGAAGAATTTTTCTTTCATATCCTGTGTCATGTTTTTTATTTCTTTAAGTTGTACTTCACCTTTCTCTGGAGCCTCCTTCATTAGCTTTATAATTGACCTTTGGAATTCTTTTTCTGGCAATTCAGAGATTTTGTCTTGGTTTGGATCCATTGCTGGTGAGCTGGTATGATCTTTTGGGGGTGTAAAAGAACCTTGTTTTGTCATATAACCAGAATTATTTTTCTGGTTCCTTCTCATTTGGGTAGACTATGTCAGAGGGAAGATCTGGAATTCAAGCACTGCTCTTCAGATTCTTTTGTCCCATGGAGTGCTCCCTTGATATGGTGTTCTCCTGAATGGGGCTTCCTGAGAGCTTAACTGTAGTGATTGTTTTTGCTCTTCTGGATCTAGCCACCTAGCGGAGCTACTGGGCTCTAGGCTGGTGCTAGGGAGATGCCTGCAAATTGTCCTGTGATGTGATGTCTTCAGGTCTTGCAGCCATGGAGACCAGCACCTGCTCTAGTGGTGGTAGCAGGGGAATGAAGTGGACTCTTTGAAGGTCTTTGGTTGTGTTTGTGTTTAGTGTGCTGGTTTTGTGTTGGTTGGCCTCTAGTCTGGAGGTGGCACTTTCAAGAGCACATAAACTGCAGTCCTATAGGAAAGATATACACTTGCTTGAGGGACACCTGGCTAGGAATTCAGGTTTCTAAGGTGGTGGGTAGGGCTATAGAACTCCCAGGAGATATGACCTTTGTGTTTGTTTACCAGGCGGGTAGAGAAAGACCACCGGGTGGGGGCAGGGATAGGCATGTCTGAGCTCAGCCTCTCCTTGGGCAGGGCTTGCTGCTGCTGCTGCTGTGGAAGATGGGGGGATGGTTCCCAGCCCAATGGACTTATATTCCCAGGGGGATTATGGCAGCCTCTGCTGAGTCATACAGGTCACCAGGGAAGTGGGGGAAAGCTGGCAGTCACAGGCCTCAACCTGTTCCCACATATACCACAGTCCTAAAGGCCAATCTCACTTCCACCGCACCCCACTAATGGCACCAAGTCTATTTCCAGGCAGCTGGTGACCAGAATTGAGAACTTGCCCCAGACCATGAGCCTCCCCATTGAGAAAGCAAGCCGACTCACAGTTTTTCGGCATCTCAAGGAGCCTGCAGCAGTGATCCAGGTCCTTCAAAGGGTCTTTGGATTCTCTCAGCTTTCCTGGTATGTTCCTGAGGTAGTTCTTGGAGCAAAAGTTCATGATGTGAGTCTCCACACAATGCTATGTCATCCCGAATGGGAGCTGCAAGCTAGTCCTGCTTCCTAACTGCCATCTTAATCCAATCTCTTCTCTCTATATTTTTTTCTTTCCTTTTCCCTTTCTCTGTCCCTTAGGGAATGCGGCTGTTGGGTAGGGGGTTTTGGCTGTGCTTCTATAGCCCTGTGCACTTCTGTTGGCAGTTTTTATATTGGGGTGTGCAGTTCAAACTATGAGCCAGTAGATGGCGCTTATGGTAAGAGCCAACTGTAGACAATGCGAATGGTTGTATACTTGATCTTTGCTCCCTGGGAGAAGGTCTCTGTTGCCATAGGCAATGGTCTGATGTCTGGAGTACACAGTGGTCTGAGCCCTCTGCTTAGCCTCAGGGGGTTGGGGGGGGGGGGCAAGATGGGTGAGACTGGACCAGTCAGGCCTATCTACAGGTCCCTCCATGGCAAGCACAAGCACCAGCATTGAGGGAGAATCTGGTGGGCAGCCAACAAGCCCCCAGAGGTGTACCTAGGCACAGAGCTGAAAAACCTCCTTGGCTCCAAGTTCTACGCGTGGGGAGAGAGAGTGGCCTAAACTCCTAATCCAGGACAGTGGGTGTTCCAGATGGCCTAGAGATTTGCCTGTGTGCAGAGTATAGAGGGCCCTGCTGTCTCTGCACAGGAGAGGTGGGCCAGCTCAGGCTGATGATTTAGGCAAGCAGGATCTCTGATTACCTGGAGATTTACCTGGGTCTGAAGCAGAGAGGGCTCCACTTTACCACAGTCTTTGCACAGAAAGGGTGAAATGGCTCAGGCTGCTGACCTGGGCAAGTGGTGCTCTAAATGCCTGGAAATCTGCCTGGTAATGGAGCAGAGAGGGCCTCACTTTACGATAATGTCTGTAGAGGAACAGTGGGGTGGCTCAGTCTGCTGGTCCAGACAAAGAACTCTGAATGGCATGAAATGGGATACTACTTTGGAGGCTGATAGCCAGTAAACTTGCCACCTGATGTTCATATGCAAAAGGCCTCTATTTCACTGACCTTTAAGATCTCCTCACACTCTTTAATCTTCTTTCTGCTATCCATTATGAGTTGATTTTTATGTATGGTGTGAGGAAATGATCCAACTTCATTATTTTGCATATTAATATTCAGGTGTCCCTGTCTTATTGTCCTGGTACAAATTAAATGACCATAAATGTATAAATTTATTCCTGGAAACTCCATGGTCTTCCGTTGATTTATGTGTCTTTGCTTACGTCAGAACCACACAGTCTTGATCTTGTAATCAAGTTTTGTAGTAAGTTTTTAAATCAGAAAGTATAAATTCTATTTTCTTTTTCAAGATTGTTTTGGCTATTCTGGGTCCCTGGCATTGCCATTTGGATTTTAGAACCAGTATGTCCCTTTCTGGGGAAAAAAAACAAAAAACAAAAAAACAAAAAACAAACAAACAAAAAAAACACCTAGCTATATTTTGAAGGAGGTTATATTGAATCTGTAGATCAACTTGGGGAGTATTGCCATCTTAAGCATATTTTGCTCTCTGACGCGTAACAGTAGCGATATCTATCCTTTTACTTAATTCTTTAATTACTTTAACAATGATTTTTAGTTTATAATGTACAAGTCTTGCACTATGTTGTCCCCAAGTATTTTATTCATTTTGATGTTATCATAAAATAAATTGTTTTTGAATTTCATATTCAGAATGTTCATTGCCAGTGTATAGAAATATAATCAATCTTTGTATGGTGTTCTTATGTACTGAAACCATAGAAAACTTATTTATTGGCTTTAACAGATTTTATTTGATTTTTAATGATTTTTTACATACAAGATTATACCATCTGCAAATATAGTTTTAATTCTTCATTTTTAAATTGCATGCCATTTATTTCATTTTTCTCTGACCTAATTCTCCTGACTAAAATCTCCAGTAAAATGTTGAATAGAAGTAATAAGAAAGGACATCTTGACTTTTCCTGATCTTAGGGGAAAAGCATACACAAAATTTAATTCAGTCTTTCACCATTACGTATTATGTTAGCTAAGGAGTTTTCACAGATGCATTTTATTAAGTTGAGGAAGTTGCCTTCTTTTCCTAGCTTCTTGAGTGTTTTTATTACAAAGTGTGTTGTATCATGTCCATTTTTCTCTGTATGTATTATGATGGTCATGCATTGTTTATTCTTTATTTTATTGATACTATGCATTACATAATTTAGTTCAGATATTAAGCCATCCTTACATTCCTGGGATAATTCTACTTTGTCATGGTATTCAGTCATTTTTATATGATACTGGATTCAGTTTGCTGGTATTTTATTGAGGATTTTTTGTATGTATTCATAAAATATATTGTGTTATAGCTAAGATTTATTTTTTCTAGTTTTGTCACCTGGGTAATAACTGACCTCAGAGAATAGGAAGTAGTCCTTCCTCTTCTAATTTTTGAACTGATTCCTTTTCTATTTTTCAGAGGAACTTGAAAAGAGTGGCTACTAATACATCTTAAATACGTTTTTTAGATAAGTAAAACTTACCATTGAAACTATCAACTTTAAAACTTTGTTAAGTCTGACATCTGGGCCCCTTCACAGGCAGTTTCTTTTGCTCAATCTTTTTTTTTTTTTTTTTTCTGTGCATAGATCACACATTCCTCTTTCTCTGAATGTGTCATAATTTTTTTGCTGAAAAATAGACATATTTTAGATAATACACTATAACATGTATGGAAACTGACTCCCTAACCAGAGCTTCATTTTTGTTATTTGCTTGTTTACTTAATTTTATTTTAGTGACTTGAAGGGACTGGTTTAGTAAAGTGTTCTCCCACAGTGTACAGCTCTGATGTCACTTCTAAAAGGGTGCAGCCTGGGGTATATGCAGTCTCCTTGATCACCTGGCTGATCTACGTGTATTGGCTTCACACTCAAATATTAGACTTTACTGTTACTTCATTGCTCTGTTGTTTATGGCAATGTCCTGGGGCATCAATTGCTCAAGAATTCTATCCTTTGTAGGGCATGAGACTGCCAGTTTTGGGGGATGGTTTAACTCTAATAGGATTCTTCTTAACTATTTTTCTGATTCTCTCTGTTAAAATTTTAGCTGGTAACATTTTCATTTTCACTTTGAGGATCATGAAAGTACCAGCCTTCTCTTGATTGATCATGCCAGGATCTCCATTGTGCCTTTAGGCATACACTTCCCCAGACTCTTTTACAGGTGAAGTCAGTCCATTTAGGGAGATCTCTGGAGATTCTGTCTTTAAGATCTGACTGTTCATCTGGGTCAAAACCTTGTATTATTTATTACTGTACCAGAGCTGAGGGCAGGAACAGCGACTCACTTTTCTTATAATGACATCCCTGCTGTATGAACAAGGCTCTGGGCAGGGACAGTAACCCCTGGTGTTCTCAGTTTGCCTCTCCCACAATGGAACTTCTTCCTTTATACACAAACTAGGGAAGTGACCCTCAGGGTCCAGTATTTTCAGACTGCTATACCTGGATCAGATCTTTTATCCCATAAGTAGGAGCTGATTAAGGGAAGGTAAACTCAGCCTCTGGACCGTGCTTACCCAGAATAGAGCTTATGCAACATGGAGCTACAAGAATAAGAGATAACAGTGCCACTGACTCTTGGAGTGAAACCACAGCCTTAGACTGGTAACTAGGTGGAGAGAGAGACTGAGTGCAAATGTGCAGAGGAGAGCTTCTGACACACTAAGCTGGGGGAAGGTATATTAGTGTGTCATGAACCAAATGTCACAGTTTCACTGCTCTTGCCAAGATTTAGTAAATTTTTTTGAATAGATGTTTCTCCATTTGCTGTATGCCCTTAAGAAAATATCCAGACACTTTAAATGGCTGGTTTCTTTAAAAACAATCACTTTGAGCAGTTAAATGGTTATTTAATAGGGGCAGGGTTCTGGAGATTCCTCACACAGGCATCCCATCATGGTTATTTTGAGAATTAACCTAGATAATCTATTTAAATTGTCTAACATCGTACCTAGCCTATAATAAGGACTCAATAAATAATAATTTCAATTATTTTTGTCACAGTTTTCTGCAATGACAAACCTTATGGTGATCAATTACACAACCTTGGCAAGAATTTAATATACATAGTGTTATTTTAAGTGAGGTATATTTTATATAAAGTTTATAAATCCAAACTATATGATTGGATGGGTTTTGATAAATATATACATTCATGTAACTACTACCCAAAGCAAGAGATTTAATTTAACATTTTCATCACTCCTGAAAGTTCCCACATATTCATTTCTAGTAAATACCCAACTTTAATGTAGGCAACCAGTGTTCTCATTGTATCATTACAGAACAATTTTTCTCACTGAACTTAATATAAATGAAATTATACAGTTTGTATGTCTTTGTAACTTTGTTCACTATGCTTCTGAGATTCATTCATGTTGTTGCATATATCAGTAGATTTTTCCTTTTTATTGTCGAGAAGTATTCTATTGTATGTCTATAGCAAAGTTTATTTATTCATTCACCTCTTGGCTGACAAATAGTTTATTTTTAGTGTTTGGCTATTATGAATACATCTGCTATGAAAATTCTTGTACAAATATTTTTTGTGGACATCTGTCTTCTCTCTTATGTGAATATCTAGGAATGAAATTCATCATTTTAATTCTAGCCATTTTAATGTATATGCAATGGCATTTCATCATGTTTTAAATTTACATTTTCCTGCAAATTAATAATGTTGAACTCCTTTATAAGTATTGATATATATTTTTGTCCACTCAAATCTTTTGTTCATTTTAACTGGGTTACTTATCTATCATTATTAGGTGCACAAAATGTTTAGAATTATATTATCTTGAAGAATTTACATATTTATAATTGCAAAATAATCATCTTATTTCTGGTAATACTCTGTGTTGCAAAGTATTTTTTGTGTGTATCTAATATTAATACAGCCACCCTAGCAGTCTTCTGATTGATGTTAGCATAGTATATCTTTGTCTATCTCTTTACTTTTAACATATTTTGTCTTCATTTTTAAACTGATTTTTTTCTTTAAGGGGACTATAGTTAGGTTTTGCTCATTTATCCACAATCTTTCATTTTGCAGCATTTAGACTGTAAAATGTAATGTGAATTCTAAGACGTTTAGGTTTATATCTATCGTCTTTGTTGTCTTATTAGCTGGGCCTCTTTTTTGTGTGTGGTTGCTTTGAGGTTTAAAGCATACATCTTTAACTTATCACAAACTAACTTCTAGTGATATTATACAACTTCACCTATAGTATAAAAATTGATGATAGTATAATACTTTATACTTCCAGTTCTAACACTATTTTCCCTTCTCTACCTTTGTGCTATTGTTGTCATACATTTTAACTTTAAATGTTATGTATCTTACACTGTATCATTATTATTTTTGTTTAAACAGCCAACTCCTTTTTAAAGAGACTTAAATAATACAAAAAAATGTTATGTATTCACTCATGGGGTTAAGATTTCCAGTGCTCTTCATTCCTTTGTGTAGATTGATATTGCCATTAAGTACCATTTTTCTTCTACCTGAAGGATTTTCTTAAATATTCCTTGTAGTTCAGTCCTGTAGGTGATAAATTATTTTAGCTGCTTCATGTTTAAATGAATCTTTATTTTGCCTTCATTTTGGAAAGATTTTCGCTGGGTTTAGTATTCTAACTTGACAGAGTATTGGTTTTCTGATTATTATCTTACAGCACTTTAAAGATGTTGCTATATTGTCTACACATTTGCATTGGTTTTGAAAAATCTGCTGCTTTACATCTCCTTGTTCTATATGTAATGTGTCTTCCCTCTGGCTGGTTTTAAGATGTTTTTCTTTACTTCCAGTTGTAAACAATTTAATTCTGATATTTTATGTTATAGTTTTGTTTATGTTTCTTATACTTGGGTATCATTGAGATTCCTGGATCTGAAGGTCTATACTTTTCATCAAATTTGGAATATTTTTAGCAATTATTTTTTCGACTATTTATCTGTCACCCCCTTTTTCCTCTTCTTTGGAAGCTCCACTTATTTGTAGATTACATTGCTCAAAGTCATTCTGCAACTATTGTTATTTTTATTAAAATATGTATTCTCTTTTATTTATGTTCCATACCAAATAGTTTTCATTCTTTTCCTTAAAGTTTACTGATACTTTATTTTTCCATGTCTATATTATGTTAATTCCATCCAGTATATCTTCTATTCCACATGCAGTAGTTTTTAATGTCAAGAAATTTGATTTGGGTCCTTTAGATTTTTTCCATATTTCCACTGAATGTTCTAAAAGCTAGAATTATGTTATAATAACTGTTTTAATGTCTTTGCCTGACAAATGTAACATCTGTTTTATTTCTGGTGTGGCTTCAATTGGTTGGTTTTTCTCCATATTATGGATCATATTTTTGTCTGCTTTGCATGCCTGGTATTTTTTAAAAATTGTATGATGACAGACATTGTGAATTTTACTTTGTTGGACACTAGATAGACTTGTTTCCAATAATTCTGCTTTTGCTTTGCTCTGGAATGCAGGTAAGTTACTTGGAAACAGTTTTATCCCTTGGAGTGTTGTTAAGCTTTATTAGGTGAAACCAAAGCAGATCTAAATCTAGAACTAGTTATTCCCCAATACTAAGGCAAAACCATTCTGTATATTTTATTCAGTACTCCATTAATCATTAGATTTTCTAGTCTGACAGGATAAGCACTAATTCTAGCTCAGCATGAGGGCAACATATTCATCTCTTATCCTTTTGAGTGGCTCTTTCCCAGGCTTCACACACATGAGCTCATCAGTAATCAGCTGATTACTCAAGGGGGAATCTCTGTAGGTTTCTAGAGTTCTATCTTTATGCAGCTCTTTCCTTTACAGTTACATCCTGCAAACTCCAGAAACCTATGTCTCCCAAGACAGATACATCTCTTCAACTCAAGAAGTTTGCTAGGCTCTGTCTTGGTTTTTCTTTCATGTACTTCAGCATGTAAACTTTCTCAAGGAATCAATATGAAGAAATTGTAGATCTCATCTTATATTTTTCCCTTTTTAAGAATAATTTTCCTTTATTTACTGATGTCTTGAATATCTTATTCTTATATATGTTGGGGGAGTTTTTGGCTTTTCTCAATCAAGAGAGTAAATCTAATTCTTGATATCTCATCTTGGACAGTAATATAAGTCTATCTTTTACTATTGATTTGTAGGAGCTATTTATTCTGGATATAATTTCTTTGTCACATATATTTTGTGAATATATTCTCCCAATCATGACCTACCTGTTCATATTTCTACTAGTGTCTTTTGGTAGGCAGAAGTATTTACTTAAAGTCTAATTTATCACCTTTTAATGGTTAGTGTATCTGTGTCCTGTCTAATAAATCTTAATCTACTCTATGGCTGTAATGATACTTCATTATTTTTTCTTTAAAAACATTTTATAGATTTTACTAACACATTTGGATCTATTATCCATCTCTAACTCGTTTTAGTAGGATGTAAGATAGAACTCAAGATTTATTTTGCTCCATATGAATATTCAATTATTTCAGCACTATTGTAAAGGCTTTCCTCTTCCCTATTAAATTGCATTGGCATCTTTATCTTAAGTTTATTGACTATTTATGCATGGATCTAGACTTGTGTCACCAACCAAAGTCCCAGAATTACTGTAGCTTTATAGTGAATCTCGAAATCAGATGGTGTAAGTCATCTAGCTTTATTCTTCTCCAAAGTTTTCTTGGCTATTTTAAGGCCTCTGAGTTTTATATACATTTTTTAGCCATCTTGTCAATTTCTACAACATGTGTGATAAAGTTTTGACTTCATTGCATTGAATCTAGATCAATTTTGAGTTAACTGGTAGGTTGTATATGCTTCCGACCCTTGAACTCATCTGTCTCTTACTGAGAGCCATTAGCTCACAAGGAAAAAACATGTTTTGTATCACCCTTCTGTGCCATAAGTTTACTTGAGAGGTTCCCACAGGAGGGACTCCTCCCATGGAAAGTTGTCTGCTTGTTGTCTGAAGCAAGCTGAACTACAATTTTTTCTAATAATGCTAGCTTTGTTCAACTTTGGGTTTATATTATGTATGACAATAGAATTGAAATAATGTGAAAAACTTGAATTTGATATTTTGATCATCCTTATTCATAAAAATATTTCTTATAAAAGACATCAAGAATGTTGAGGGACTAACATTTATTGAGTCATAAGTCTCACATTAATCCACATTGCAGATTGTTGGGTATTATTCCCATTAAGCAGAGAGGAAAAATAACATTTGAGAGGCTAAGTAACAAGAGTCCTGAATTAATAATGACACTCTGAAAAAGACATTTCAGCTTCTTATGTAGTGTTTATAACCCTGAAATGGTTTCACAAACAAAATTTTATATAATGCTCAGAAAAATGCCATAAAGAAGTCAGGAAATTATCTCCACTTTAGAGATGGCAGAACTGAGGCTCAGGGGGCTTAAGTGACTTGTTCATAATCACCAACCCACCACCAAAAGATAGCAATGGGTCTTGTGACTCATAGTGAGGCAATCTACTATGAGAATATACTCCTGCTTCACAGCACAGGGCTATTTCCAGGCACTGTTATTACTTTTAACATAAGGTTCCTGAGCACTGCCTTATTTTCAGAAAGCAACGGAAGCTTAGGAAGAATAGAGGTGAGTGTTTCTTTCATAGTTCAAAGGAAAGAATGAACACAGTGTTGATCTACTGCAATTAAAGTAATGAATGTTTTAGGATTGGATAGACGGAAATCTGTAACAAGTCATCTGGTTGTTTTGGTGACTGGAAAACATACTCTGAGTAAGCATTTCATTTCAATCACCATAAAGCAACTGGCTCTATCTTAACTTTCTCTCAAATTCATTGTGTGATATTTTTTCCCACCACTTATTCTATATGAATGGACTAAAGTTAAATATGGTTCTAATTATAAATCAAAGATATCAGCTTGTGATAAAATAATAAATAGATTGATCTAGTATGATTGGTTTTCTTGTCAAGTAATCCTTACTTACATAGTCTGAACACATTAAATAGCCCCAGTCACTCACAAAATAATATCATTATTCTGGATAAAATGTAATGAGATTGTGAATGAAAACAGTGTTGATAGTGGTAGAGAGAAGTGCCACAGTCCCTAATACACACCAGATGTTCAAAGAATGATTGTGGAATGAATAAATGTTCATATTTAATGAACATTCATGTAATTGAATGGTAGGGCATTATGAGAAGTGGGATGAGGAAAAAGGATGAATCAAAGATGATTTTCATGTTTCTATCTTGGTAATCACTGAGATGTGAAATTCAGGAATATGAAAAAGATTCTAGGAAAGAGCTGATAAGTTTACTTTTTAAATTAATCTATTTGAAAGGTACCTGCATACACAGATGTTGCAGATAAATGAAAGATGAATGGAGCTGGAGCGTAAGAAAGCTCTCTGGGCTGTATATTTATGCTCTAATATCATCTGTTTACATACAAATGGTAAAAGCCAAAGGGATGAATAAAAGTCATTTATTCATTCATAAAATATGTATTAAGACCTAGGCCAATTTCTGGAATAAGAGAACCAGATGTCAAAATTCTTCGGGAAAATCAATGTTTAATAGATAAAAGTAGAAGGAATTAAGTTTTAAGCATTGATAAACTTAGTCATTCTAAGTCAGAATTTCTACTGTTGAGAGATTTGGGCATCGAATATGGACTCAAGGTGTCTTTTTAATACCTTCATACCTGGGCTCTTATAAACTTACAAAGTGTTTTTCATATTTTTATCCTATTATCCAGTTACCCGGAACTATGTAAGTTAGGATTTAGATTTCTTTAAAACAACACTGCCAGTTACCTGCCCTACATCTGTTCATACTCTCTCTTGGCAGAAGCCTGACTTCGTTGAGGCTGGCAACATTCCTCACTAACTCAGCCTCAGCCCCCAAGGGTGACTTCTCATGAATCTATGAACGTGGTAGTGTCTGGAGACATTTTTGTGATTGTTAAACTGAATAGAGGAGGTGCAACTGGGATCTAGTGGGTAGAGGCCAGGGATGCTTCTAAACATCCTGTAAGGCACAAAATAGCCCACAGTAACAAAGAATTATTCAACCCAAAATGTCAATATGCAAATACTCCATATGTTCCTGTAGAAAAGCATGAACAAACCTATAATTTAAATCCGAAGGAATCTCTGGCGTCTAAAACTTCACAGGTGGAATGCAAAGTAAGGGCAGGAGACTAAGCCAACTCCAAGATGGCCGCCAATGATCCCCACTTCCTGGTGTTCATGTCTTTGTCTAATTCCTTTTCTGTGTGGGCCTGATCTATTGACTCGCTTCTAATGAATAGAATATGTTTAAAATGATGTGATGTCACTTTTGAGATTAAGTTACAGAAGACTCCATGTTGGGAGTTGTGCCTCACCCTCTTAGATCATTTTTCCCTGGGGAAAGCCAGCTGTCATGATGTGAGGTAGCTGTGTGGAGAGAACCACATGGGAAGGAGCTGAGGCCTTCCAACAACCATGTGAGTAAACTTAGAAGCAGATGTCTCTCTAGTCAGGTCTTCAGATGAGATCACAGCTTTGGTTTACAACTTGACTGCAACCTCTTGAGAGATGCTGAGCCAGAGGTGCCCAGCAAAGCCACACCCAGATTTCTGATCCATAGAACTGTAAGATGATACAGCATTGTTCTTTGAAGCCTCTGTGTATTGGGGTAATTTGTTATGAAACAGCAGATGACTTATAATGACAGGGACATCTATAAATCTTGGCACTTGCCAACTAAATTGACTGTTACAGGTCTGTCGCAGCTACCATTATTACTAATTCTGTGGCTGGGATTGTACATTCATTAGAAAATCCCAAGGTTATGCTTCATTAGACCCATACCTCATCCTGTACCGACTCCACGTGCTATAAATATTATCTTAGATATTAATCAAATGCAAAGTGTGATAGAAAGAAAGTGGCCATTAGATTTAGACAGATCTCAATTCAAATCCCAAACTCTCTGCTTACTACCATGGTCAAATTGAATAATCCCTTTGCATGTGTGTTTTATCATTAGCAAAGTGCTGATTAGTGCTGGAACAAGAAAAGTACAAGATGCAATTGGACCATGAACAAGAAGCTACTAACTTCTTTAGAGAAAGCATTCTCACAGGTAACTTCAGAGAAAGCATTCCCACAGAAATGATGTTTAAGCAAATTCAAGAAGGATGAGTAGAGGTTAACTAGGAAAAATTGGAAGGAACAGTGTTCCCAGCACAGGCAATAGCTTACACAAAGGTCCGGCACCTTTCACAGGCTGAAAAATTACATGGTTTAAGAAAAAAAGTAGCAAAGGATGAGTCTGCAGAGATTGACAGGGTTCAGCTCACATCATAGAAAAATATTAGACTTCTTTATGACAATGATTGAGTCATTGAGGACTTTAAACAAGGATAGTGAAATAATTGGATTTTTACTTTGGAAATATCACTCTAGTAAAAGACAGAGAACTAGACAGTAAGCATTTTGCATCTCACGATATATATACTCTCTGGCACAACTATTAAACTGCTTTTGCAGCAGTGCAAAAGCAAATATAAGCACTATGTAGTGGATGGGCATGGCTGAATTTAAATTTACAGAAACAGACAACAGGTAGTGTTTAGGCCTTAGTTTGCCAACCCCTGATATAAAATACACAAGGGAAAGCCAAACATAGAGAATATAAAATATTTGGAAAGACATTTAATTAATTACATAATTTACTCATTTAGCAAATCTCTAGGTCAGGGATCCCAAACCCCGGGCCATGGACCAGTACTGGTCTGTGGCCTGTTAGGAACCAGGCTGCCCAGCAGGAGGTGAGCTCAGGCAAATGAGCATTACTGCCTGAGCTCCACCTCCCTGTCTGATCAGCAGTGACATTAGATTTTCATAGGAGCGTGAACCCTATCATGAACTGCACACGTGAGGGATCTAGAATGCACACTCCTTATGAGAATCTAACTAATGCCTAGTGATCTGAGTTGGAACAGTTTCATCTGGAAACTATTCCCTCTCACCCCGGACTTTTTTTAGATACTCATGACACAGACATGATAAGATAGACACAATTCCTTTTCTGGTGGAGGTTGTGATACAGTGAATTAGAACATTAAGTGAGGATAGCCTTAACAATAAGCTCTATAAGCTGAAATTTATAGTATATATATAAATTCTAATTGTAATAATTCAATTTAATATGATTATTATGAAGCATTTTTTAAAAACTTAAGGTCAAGCACATATTTACTGACAGATTGAATAGAATGACTTAAAGAAATTGCAGAAAGTTCCGGGCAAGTAAATCTAGTATAGAATTTAAAAGACCTGCCAAGAACTATGTAAGGTATTTTCTATGTTTGCTCTCATTTGATATTTATGGTAGCTTTTCAAGGTTATTGGTCTCATTATTGGTCTCATTTTACGAACATGAAAATCTGGCCTGAAAAAGCTCGATCACTTTCTAGACCCTAGAGAGCTGGGATTTCGACTCTAAAGTTCGTTCTCTTCCCTGTTCTTCATATCGCCTGTTTGGGAAAGAACACAAGCAAAGCAGCAGAGAGTTAGAGGCTGAAATTTTATAGCAAGGAACTTAGCAAAGAGGTTGAGATGAGCCCTTCAGAGTCCCACAGAGAGCTCAGGAGAGGCCTGGGAACTGAAATCAGGAATCCCAATTGCCACTTCCTGCTTCTAATCACTTTCCCAAGAGAGTTGTCCCAGCTGTTCCTGAGTGGAAGAAAGACTGAGAGACTCTTTTAAAACCCAAGCCCTTGTAATAAATTTAGACTTCAGGAGAGGAAAAGAAGAAGAAAAAAGAAATTGTTGGCTTAGGAAAGTAATGTTTCCCTTTCATCAGATCAAGGGCAGTGGACAAGGGAAGAAAAAGTACATTCAGTCACTTTGACTGCAGGGCTCGAGGCGATGAAGTCTCAGCTTGCCCTGAAAACTCACCCACTCCACTTTGAGGGAATTCGGTCATGCCCAGAAATAACGTGGCTATACAAGGAATGCTTCTGTTTCTCCCCAATGAGTTGATTATATCCTGTCAGAAGTATCGTAAGGCCATCAAATGTCAAGTCAATTTTCTCAAACATATTATTTTCATAACAGCTGGGTTTGACTAACTCTTGAAACAGAGCAACCCATTGTTAGATTTTACTGAGAATGTCAGAGTGAAGCTCAATTAAAAAGGAAAGAAAGAAATGTTATAGGACACATGATCCTGATTCACACAAGTTTACAATTTAGTATTTAGAGGCCAATTGTATTATGATGATTTGGTCACTTAGTTCACAATTAATTCATAATGTCAGAGGAAATAAATGAAGACTGTGTCATTTGCCTACAGGAGCCAATTTCTTAGAAGGCAGGCAGGGCACCTTTTCAGTTATTGACTCAACAGCTAAAGAGCTGGAAGGATAAGCCTGGAAGTGTGAGGCGTTGAGTTCTAGTCCTTATCTTTCCAACACATGCTCCTGAATGAACCTGGTTTATCACATCCTTGAAAGACACCAGTATAACATTGAGGAGAAAGAAAGGGACTTTAGAATCTGACAACCAGAGCCTCGACTACTTATTTGCTGACTGGTCTTAAGTGAATTAATGAAATGGGCACACTCATAACTAGGTAAGAGTTATTGAAGAAATTAAATGGAGTGAGATACCTAGCATGTTGGTACAGAGTAAATCTTCAGTAAATGGTGTGATTAAAAATGATGATGACAATGGTAATAGAAATGAAAATGGAGAAAGATGAGGAATTCAGTAAAACATGTGCCTAAGGCCAAACAGAGGCTGTGAATGAGAAAGTCATCTAACCTGGAACAGAAGCTAAAAAGCAGCCCTGAATTTACATCTATTAATGTTTGTATAGGACAAGTTTCACAGCACATAATATCAAGTGTGATATTATCAGGAAGCTGGATTTCCCTTCAAAAATTAGAGCATGTCTCCTGCCACTCAAACCCAATTCTTATCACCAAATTTTGTTGTTGATATTCTAATTGGTTTTCATTTATTTTCATTTTTTATATAATTTGGTGGTGTGGTAGGTAGAATTTTACAATGACGGCCCCAGATTCCTGGCCCCTGATATATGCATACTTCCCATTTATTCAATCAAACACCAATATAGGTATTTGATTCAACTCTGAAGAGATTTCATGGATGTCAATAAGGTCCCACATCAATTGACTGTAAGATAAAGAGCATATGTGGGCCTGACATAAACACATGAGCCCTTTGCAAGCAGAAAGTCTTCTCCAGCAGCAGAAAGGAAAGTCAGAGATTGAAAACATGTGAATGGTTCAGCACACCATAGCTTGCTTGAAGATGGAAGGGATGACCATGAGGAATGCAACAGGCCACCAGAAACTGAGAGCTGACAGCCAGCAAGGAGACAGGGACCTAAGTCCTACAACCACAGGAACTGAATTCTGCCAACAAGAATGAGCTTAAAAGAGGACTTGTTTTTCCTAGATCTTGGAGAAGACAATTCAGTCTAGATGATATCTTAATTTCAGCTTTGTGGTACTCTGGACAGAGAACCCAGCCATGTTGAGCTAGACGTCTGATCTTCAGAACTGTGAGATGTTTAATGGGTATGATTTTAAGACACAAATTTTGTGGTAATTTATCATATAGCAATAGAAAACAAATACAGGTGAGCTGAGTACCTCAAATCTAAAAATTGCTCTCAGTCTTCTGAATGAGCCTAGTTTATCTATCTAGCTTAGAAAAGGAAATACCGACAATAATAGCCCTAATAACTTTTAAACATGTATATGCACACACGCACACACACACGCACACACACACGCACACACACATAGACACATTCACAGGCTTTATCTCAAAATATAGGATAATTGAGCCAAAAGTATACATTTTACTAGAAGTAATTCCACAGATGGCCCCAGTTTCCTTCCTATCAGCATGCCATTTCTTCAGTAAGTGTTTGCTGAACAACTACTGCATGCTGACCACAAGGATATAACCTGATTAATACATAGTTTTTCAAAGAGGTAGTAGACTACGGTGAGTATGTGTTGTGGTAAGGGTTAGGCTATAGAAAGGCCACAACCTAGTCTTAAAAATCAAGGAAGGCATCCCAGAGAAGTAATTTCTAAGCTGCAATGTGAAGAATTAGCCACTCAAAATGGATATAAAGGAAAGCAAATGTTTCTAGGCAGCAAGAATATCATTACAGACTACTGGAAGTGATAGAGACCAGAAGCTTCTCGAAGAACCATGCACCGTTCATCATCACTGAACCATGACTCAGGGGAGAAGCAGATGGGGGAAAAGTTGAACAAGTAAGCAGAGATTAAGTCCTCTCCAGAGTGGAATCATCTAAACAAATATTGAATTCTTCTTAAAGTGAAAGGAAATTCCAGGAGATTGATAAGGAGAAAAACAATGGTATCAGCTTTGTTTAAACAAAGATTATTTGCTGGAGCTTGGAGAACAGCTTGAGGAGTGATGCTTGTCGCTGAAGACAATAGGTCATTCCAGTAATTCAAGTGAAGTTGATATAGGTTGGTGGTCTGAAGGTAGCACCAGGTGGATGATGAGAACAAAGATTTGAGAATTGTAAATTTTATATTTTTTTCATACTTGGTTCAATTTAGAAGGTGAGGTAAAATAGAGCCAAAGTCAACTTTCAGATATCTGACTTGGGAAATGGGACAGATAGAAATGTCAATAAATGAGAAGAGTTCCCCAGGGAAACAGACCATTTGGTTGGGGGATGGAGGAAGAGGTGGGAGGTGATGGGTTTTATTTTTGTAAATTTTACACTCTAATTTTGTAGATTGTATGCACCAAAAGTATGGATTGCCTAGCAGCATCGCAAATTTCTCAAATTTTTTTCCTCAATTCTTCCTTCAGTTAATAGAAATTGGTTAAACTTTACAGAAGCACAGTTGATGAAAAACAGAATATCATTCATATTGCCATCCTAATTAGTCCTCTCTTTTCCCTTCAGATGAATGAATGAACAGCACAATTACTGGCTATTTTAAGGGAGGTGAACATGAAAGCACTGAGAGATCACTAAGTCCCAAAAGGTGTTGAACAATGTGCAGGACATGTTTCCCTGGTTTTAAACCTAATTTTTTTCCTATTTTCAAATAGTTAATAAGAGCACTTGTTACTTATACTGTGAAATTAAAATAGGAAGCTAAAATACAAGCAGGAGAACCAAGTCTGCCTTTGAAAATAGATGATGTCATTAGAGAAATGCTCATTTGTGTCTGCCCTCTTGAGTCTTGTGAAAACAAAAGCAACACATGATGCTCCCAAGGCTTTAGTAAAATAGTGAGCAGGAAGGAGCATCTTCCATTAGAAATTCTCCACTTAGGTTTCATTTTGTGAATCCATTTATTGAGCAAACATTAGTATGTGAAGTAATTAGTAAACAATGACAAGAGGAGGCATAACATCATTGGAGATAAGAGCTTGGAGGCTAGAGTGGGCATAAACCTGGATTTGCTTACAAGTTACAATATTTACTATATTTGTAACCTTGGAAAAATTATGTATGCCTTCTACATATTGGTTTTCTCACCTCTAAAATGGAAGGATTATAGAACTTATCTCATATGGTTGAGGTCAGTATTCAATGAAATCAGCATGTAAAGAATTTTTCACAGTACTAGCACATTCCCTTGACAAATATTACTTTATTATCATTTTTATAATTACTACTTTTATTAGTTCCTTATATAAAGGGCTCTGACATTGGTTATTATCTTCTCAGGCCAATATATAATTTTATAACACCAATATTAATTACATGGAGATTAAACATTTGCAACCAGAAAAATAAGACAGAAAAAAAAATAATGTGAAGCAGCATTTTTCAGCTGGTTACTATATGCCAGGTACATATTCCAACTGTTTCTCCAACATTCATCTATGCAACAAACCTAAGTATGAAATCAAATTTTAAACAGAACTGAACTTTCTGTCTCACTTCCCATTGAACAACTCCAATGTGATGAACATCCAAATGTACCAACTTGTGTGCGTATTTATTTATTTACTTGTAATTTTTCCAAGCTATTAAACTCATCAACCATGTCATCTTTGAGTCTCCAACACCTGACTTAGAGTCTGCTTCTATCATGCCCAGCACGTGTGTTACATCATTATATTAATACACGTATTTGAACCATAACAATCCTAGACATTTAATAGAGCCTCAAATCAACACATTTAATCTTAGACATTTTTTAAAATTTATATAAAACAGTGACATCAAAATAGTCTTCAAGCTCTAACCAATGACTGTTTCACTATAGAAAACATTTATGCTTTACCATGGGTTAGGCACTTTGACAAGCATTTGACAAGGCTTTAATCCTCAAAACCACTTTCTGATTTGAGCATTTTTATTATTGCTTTCATTTGCATTTTTATTATTGCTTTCATTTGCATTTTGCAATAAAACTGAGTTTTCAGGAAGCTAAATTTAAATCACACTGGTGGTAAGAAACAATGATTGAGACAGGACTCAAAAATGATTCCACCTGACTCCAAAGCTCCTGCTTTGAAAGTCACCTGGGTTTTTTTGCATTCTTCTTCCACTCTTAAATTTGTATAATTTTTATAATAACTAGTTCTGTATTAATTATTGGCTTGGGTACTACTTTAAAATTCACTAAGAAATTATTTTGATGGGTCAGATAAACAAGGGCCAAAAGAAAAAGCAAAGATGGGGAAACCAATGGGATTGTAGAAGAAGAGACTTGAGTATCCCCGAAGGATGTTTTTGCAGACATTGTCACACACCTACTCAGGGCCCAGAATACCTTTCTTTCTTCCAAACAGAAAGTGGATTTTGTTCTGAATATTAGTATGCCCACTCTTAGAAAATTAACCATTGTCTAAGCCAATCATTAACATCGAACGCTCTATTTTCCTTGCCACTAGATTAGCCATGGTTTAAGTTTTAGCCTGGGAAATATCTGAAGACATCTTCAGTTATTTAGATATTTAGCATCATGGCTCTCCTTTTCCACTCTCTGAACCCAAATACAGCAATGATGGCTGAAGCTGTAGTAATCACCCAAGCCCATTAAAGAAAAAATGAGTAAATTACAGTTGAACCCTGACATAATTGAGCGACTAAACTAGTCCTACTGAACTAGTACCTTCTTGTTATGTGAAAAAAAACCCTCATTATTAGTCATATTTCCTGTTACTTGAGTCCAGATATATTTCCATCTGATAAAATTACATAGACTATGGATAAATACAAAGAAGTATTGGTAGGATGAAACTTCATAAATTAACAACAGCAAAAGATTTATGGTTATTTTAGTTTTTAATGCATTTTATTTTGGTTATTTTCCCTGTCATATTTAAATGGCTTTTTTAGCTGTGGTGATATGTTCCTTGAGAGGTAAAAGTTAGCTCTAGAAATGATCCAATGGCATATGTACTCAGCGTCACATTTAGAAATGGAAACTATGCCATAATAAGCACATAGCTAAATACTTCATAGCACCAAATGATGGCAGAACCAACCAAGGGCTTTGTGGAAAACTGACTTTGGCTCTTCACATTGGTCCAATTCCCTGCTCCCTGTAGCCTCAGCATGTAACTAGCACAATAAAATTTCAGTGTAATAGACCTAGCTCATAAAGTTTCTATTTCTACCAGGACTTTGCCTAATGTAAAACTAGATGCCCCAGCCACACATTTGCTATCTGCAAGTGTTAAAATTGTGGTTAAAGCTGAATATTAGCAGCATTTCCCACTTGTGCTGTCATCTGGATTATATAACAATGTGTGGATTTTATAAACAGCAACTGCTCATTTTTGCGGTTGGCTTCTTATTGGATGTGCCCCAGAGCCATCTGACTAAATAAGTTGGAGACAACCAGATTGAGCACAGGGAGCAGTGACATTCCCTGGCACATGCAAAGCCAAATCCTGCAGAAACTGCAGGAACTAGGAAGGTTACTAGAAAAGTCTACATACCTCCAAGTTATGGCCCAAGTATTACAAAAATATGTGTGAGTTTTCTCGTGGATTAGCTCTGCTTCCTGACAGCATTTCACAAATATTCTACCACACCGTTTTGCTCCAAGAATACTGAGGGACCATAACACTAAAGCATTTGATAATGGTGTTGTCTAAACATAATTCATTTTTAGATGGTGCATGTCAAGCAATACAAGCACCTGTCATGTTAAAAATTATTGTTGTACATCTGATTCCCAAAAACAAAACATTTTAACTCTGGCTGATCCATGATCTATTATTTCATGGGATGATGGAATATTTTAGAGATGATCCTGCTGGGAATCAAAGTGACTATAATTGTCCAAAACTATGCCCCAGAGAAAATTTATAAAGCTTGAAACATGAAAATAATTCACCAGGGAGATGGAAAATGATGAACAAAGTCACCAAATACTGTAGATGGATAAGATCTTTTGGAAGAACTTATGGAGGTAGAGAATTATAGATGTTAAGAGTGCAAGATCCTCCACTCCACTGAAGAGATTGTTCTGATATAAATATACTCTGCATGCCTTCTTGCAAAGCAAAAGAAAAAAGATTTTAAAATATATTGATGATTCACTCAGCAACTATTCATTCAGAGAATGTGTGAAAAGAATGGTATTAAGCTGTTTTCATCACTGTTTTTAGCCTGTGGGTCTTCTCATTCAATTGGAAAGTCAAGGTGCAAACTCATTAAGAGCGACTAACAACATACAAATCAAATGGCAACAAAAGTCAATGAAAAGATATTCCACTGGAGCATGAGATGAAAAGCAAGTGCACTGATTTAATTAATGAATGCTAATCAATTTTTATTTGATTCATTTGAATAATATTTAGTTCCAGGATTACAATGAGGACTAAGACATGAGGGTCCTCAGGGGATTTATAGTAGGCAAAAGAGTTGTTTCAGTCAGAATATTTGGGTTGCAATCTTTTTATGTCTATTCCCTGTATCAGAGCTACTTGCCCTTAGTGTCAAGGTTTTGGATTCCTCATAACATTTGCTTGTCTTGCTCTCTCATAATTCTGACTTTGTACCCATACTCTGTCCTCCTACCCCAATATATCCCAAACTTGATTCTAATTCATGACTTTTTTGTATACCTTTTTTTTTTTTTTTAACTCTAGTGGCTCCTGCTATCTTATTTCCTCCATGTTACCTATTTAAAATTCCAAAGAGAAAACAACTGATTGGGCATGGCCATGTTTTCAGGACAGGATACAGCATGGGTTGTTTATATTGTATAAGTTAGCCCCCATTGGATAAGTGCCCTCTCTGGTCTCAGGGCTTTTGATGGGTCAGACATCATGATAGGCATGGTTAATATAAATGTGGGATGTAAGAGACTGCCAGGACATCCAAGGGCTATTGACTAGTTCAGGCATTGGGAAACTTTCCATAAAAATCAGATAGTGTCTGGGCGTGGTGGCTTATGCCTATAATCCCAGTACTTTGGGAGGCTGAGGTGGGTGGATCACCTGAGGTCAGGAGTTCGAGACAAGCCTAGCCAATATGGTGAAACCCCATCTCTACTAAAAATACAAAAAATTAGCCAGGCCTGGTGGTGGGCGTCTGTAGTCCCAGCTACTTGGGAGGCTGAGGCAGGAGAATCAGTTGAACCTGGGAGGCAGAGGTTGCAGTGAGCCAAGATCATGCCATTGCCCTCCAGCCTGGGCAACAAGAGCAAAACCACCTCAAAAAAGAAACTCTGCCTCAAAACAACAACAACAACAAAATAGATAATAAAAAGTTTAGGCTTTATGGACCAAAAGACAATATTTAGGATACTTATATAACAACTCATATAACAAGTTAAAGGACTTAAGTACCTTATATAGCAATTTGTATGTCTTAGAGTACTTATAAAATAGCCATTTTAAAATGTAAAAATCAAGCCAAGATGGCCGAATAGGAACAGCTCCGGTCTACAGCTCCCAGCGTGAGCGACGCAGAAGACGGGAGATTTCTGCATTTCTATCTGAGCTTTGAAGAGAAGAGTGGTTCTCCCAGCACACAGCTGGAGATCTGAGAACGGGCTGACTGCCTCCTCAAGTGGGTCCCTGATCCCTGACCCCCGAGCAGCCTAACTGGGAGGCACCCCCCAGCAGGGGCACACTGACACCTCACACGGCCAGGTACCCCAACAGACCTGCAGCTGAGGGTCCTGTCTGTTAGAAGGAAAACTAACAAACAGAAAGGACATCCACACCAAAAACCCATCTGTACATCACCATCATCAAAGACCAAAAGTAGATAAAACCACAAAGATGGGGAAAAAACAGAGCAGAAAAACTGGAAACTCTAAAAAGCAGAGCCCCTCTCCTCCTCCAAAGGAACGCAGTTCCTCACCAGCAACGGAACAAAGCTGGACAGAGAATGACTTTGACGAGCTGAGAGAAGAAGGCTTCAGACGATCAAATTACCCCGAGCTACGGGAGGACATTCAAACCAAAGGCAAAGAAGGTGAAAACTTTGAAAAAAACTTAGAAGAATGTATAACTAGAATAACCAATACAGAGAAGTGCTTAAAGGAGCTGACGGAGCTGAAAACCAAGGCTCGAGAACTACGTGAAGAATGCAGAAGCCTCAGGAGCCGATGCGATCAACTGGAAGAAAGGGTATCAGCGATGGAAGATGAAATGAATGAAATGAAGCGAGAAGGGAAGTTTAGAGAAAAAAGAATAAAAAGGAACGAGCAAAGCCTCCAAGAAATATGGGACTATGTGAAAAGACCAAATCTACATCTGATTGGTGTACCTGAAAGTGACGGGGAGAATGGAACCAAGCTGGAAAACACTCTGCAGGATATTATCCAGGAGAACTTCCCCAATCTAGCAAGGCAGGCCAACGTTCAGATTCAGGAAATACAGAGAACACCACAAAGATACTCCTCAAGAAGAGCAACTCCAAGACACATAATTGTCAGATTCACCAAAGTTGAAATGAAGGAAAAAATGTTAAGGGCAGCCAGAGAGAAAGGTCGGGTTACCCTCAAAGGGAAGCCCATCAGACTAACAGCGGATCTCTCGGCAGAAACTCTACAAGCCAGAAGAGAGTGGGGGCCAATATTCAACATTCTTAAAGAAAAGAATTTTCAACCCAGAATTTCATATCCAGCCAAACTAAGCTTCATAAGTGAAGGAGAAATAAAATACTTTACAGAGAAGCAAATGCTGAGAGATTTTGTCACCACCAGGCCTGCCCTAAAAGAGCTCCTGAAGGAAGCGCTAAACATGGAAAGGAACAACCGATACCAGCCACGGCAAAATCATGCCAAAATGTAAAGATCATCGAGACTAGGAAGAAACTGCATCAACTAATGAGCAAAATAACCAGCTAACATCATAACGACATGATCAAATTCACACATAACAATATTAACTTTAAATGTAAATGGACTAAATGTTCCCATTCAAAGACACAGACTGGCAAATTGGATAAAGAGTCAAGACCCATCAGTGTGCTGTATTCAGGACACCCATCTCACGTGCAGAGACACACATAGGCTCAAAATAAAAGGATGGAGGAAGTTCTACCAAGCAAATGGAAAAAAAAAAAAAAAAGGCAGGGGTTGCAATCCTAGTCTCTGATAAAACAGACTTTAAACCAACAAAGATCAAAAGAGACAAAGGCCATTACATAATGGTAAAGGGATCAATTCAACAAGAAGAGCTAACTATCCTGAATATATATGCACCCAATACAGGAGCACCCAGATTCATAAAGCAAGTCCTGAGTGACCTACAAAGAGACTTAGACTCCCACACATTAATAATGGGAGACTTTAACACCCCACTGTCAACATTAGACAGATCAATGAGACAGAAAGTCAACAAGGATACCCAGGAATTGAACTCAGCTCTGCACCAAGCAGACCTAATAGACATCTATAGAACTCTCCACCCCAAATCAACAGAATATACATTTTTTTCAGCACCACACCACACCTATTCCAAAATTGACCACATACTTGGAAGTAAAGCTCTCCTCAGCAAATGTAAAAGAACAGAAGTTATAACAAACTATCTCTCAGACCACAGTGCAATCAAACTAGAACTCAGGATTAAGAATCTCACTCAAAACCGCTCAACTACATGGAAACTGACAACCTGCTCCTGAATGACTACTGGGTACATAACAAAATGAAGGCAGAAATAAAGATGTTCTTTGAAACCAAAGAGAACAAAGACAGAACATACCAGAATCTCTGGGACGCATTCAAAGCAGTGTGTAGAGGGAAATTTATAGCACTAAATGCCCACAAGAGAAAGCAGGAAAGATCCAAAATTGACACCCTAACATCACAATTAAAAGAACTAGAAAAGTAAGACCAAACACATTCAAAAGCTAGCAGAAGGCAAGAAATAACTAAAATCAGAGCAGAACTGAAGGAAATAGAGACATAAAACACCCTTCAAAAAATTAATGAATCCAGGAGCTGGTTTTTTGAAAGGATCAACAAAATTGATAAACCGCTAAAAAGACTAATAAAGAAAAAAAGAGAGAAGAATCAAATAGACGCAATAAAAAATGATAAAGGGGATATCACCACTGATCCTACAGAAATACAAACTACCATCAGAGAATACTACAAACACCTCTATGCAAATAAACTAGAAAATCTAGAAGAAATGGATAAATTCCTCAACACATACACTCTCCCAAGACTAAACCAGGAAGAAGTTGAATCTCTGAATAGACCAATAACAGGATCTGAAATTGTGGCAGTAATCAATAGCTTACCAACCAAAAAGAGTCCAGGACCAGATGGATTCACAGCCGAATTCCACCAGAGGTACAAGGTGGAACTGGTACCATTCCTTCTGAAACTATTCCAATCAATAGAAAAAGAGGGAATCCTCCCTAACTCATTTTATGAGGCCAGCATCATCCTGATACCAAAGCCGGGCAGAGACACAATCAAAAAAGAGAATTTTAGACCAATATCCTTGACGAACATTGATGCAAAAATCCTCAATAAAATACTGGCAAACCGAATCCAGCAGCACATCAAAAAGCTTATCCACTGTGATCAAGTGGGCTTCATCCCTGGGATGCAAGACTGGTTCAATATACGCAAATCAATAAATGTAATCCAGCATATAAACAGAACCAAAGTCAAAAACCACATGATTATCTCAATAGATGCAGAAAAAGCCTTTGACAAAATTCAACAACGCTTCATGCTAAAAACTCTCAATAAATTAGGTATTGATGGGACGTATTTCAAAATAATAAGAGCTATCTATGACAAACCCACAGCCAATATCATACTGAATGGGCAAAAACTGGAAGCATTCCCTTTGAAAACTGGCACAAGACAGGGATGCCCTCTCTCACCACTCCTATTCAACATAGTGTTGGAAGTTCTGGTCAGGGCAATTAGGCAGGAGAAGGAAATAAAGGGTATTCAATTAGGAAAAGAGGAAGTCAAACTGTCCCTGTTTGCAGACGACATGATTGTATATCTAGAAAACCCCACTGTCTCAGCCCAAAATCTCCTTAAGCTGATAAGCAACTTCAGCAAAGTCTCAGGATACAAAATCAATGTACAAAAATCACAAGCATTCTTATACACCAACAACAGACAAACAGAGAGCCAAATCATGAGTGAACTCCCATTCACAATTGCTTGAAAGAGAATAAAATACCTAGGAATCCAACTTACAAGGGATGTGAAGGACCTCTTCAAGGAGAACTACAAACCACTGCTCAAGGAAATAAAAGAGGATACAAACAAATGGAAGAACATTCCATGCTCATGGGTAGGAAGACTCAATATCGTGAAAATGGCCATACTGCCCAAGGTAATTTACAGATTCAATGCCATCCCCATCAAGCTACCAATGACTTTCTTCACAGAATTGGAAAAAACTACTGTAAAGTTCATATGGAACCAAAAAAGAGCCTGCATCACCAAGTCAATCCTAAGCCAAAAGAACAAAGCTGGAGGCATCACACTACCTGACTTCAAACTATACTACAAGTCTACAGTAACCAAAACAGCATGGTACTGGTACCAAAACAGAGATATAGATCAATGGAACAGAACAGAGCCCTCAGAAATAATGCCACATATCTACAACTATCTGATCTTTGACAAACCTGAGAAAAACAAGCAATGGGGAAAGGATTCCCTATTTAATAAATGGTGCTGGGAAAACTGGCTAGCCATATGTAGAAAGCTGAAACTGGATCCCTTCCTTACACCTTATACAAAAATCAATTCAAGATGGATTAAAGACTTAAACGTTAGACCTAAAACCATAAAAACTCTAGAAGAAAACCTAGGCATTACCATTCAGGACATAGGCGTGGACAAGGACTTCATGACTAAAACACCAAAAGCAATGGCAACAAAACCCAAAATTGACAAATGGGATCTAATTAAACTAAAGAGCTTCTGCACAGCAAAAGAAACTACCATCAGAGTGAACAGGCAACCTACAAAATGGGAGACAATTTTCGCAATCTACTTATCTGACAAAGGACTAATATCCAGAATCTATAATGAACTCAAACAAATTTACAAGAAAAAAACAAACAACCCCATCAAAAAGTGGGTGAAGGACATGAACAGACACTTCTCAAAAGAAGACATTTATGCAGCCAAAAAACACATGAAAAAATGCTCATCATCACTGGCCATCAGAGAAATGCAAATCAAAACCACAATGAGATACCATCTCACACCAGTTAGAATGGTGATCATTAAAAAGTCAGGAAACAACAGGTGCTGGAGAGGATGTGGAGAAATAGGAACACTTTTACACTGTTGGTGGGACTGTAAACTAGTTCAACCATTGTGGAAGTCAGTGTGGCGATTCCTCAGGGATCTAGAACTAGAAATACCATTTGACCCAGCCATCCCATTACTGGGTATATACCCAAAGGACTATAAATCATGCTGCTATAAAGACACATGCACACGTATGTTTATTGCAGCATTATTCACAATAGCAAAGACTTGGAACCAACCCAAATGTCCAACAATGATAGACTGGATTAAGAAAATGTGGCACATATACACCATGGAATACTATGCAGCCATAAAAAATGATGAGTTCATATCCTTTGTAGGGACATGGATGAAATTGGAAATCATCATTCTCAGTAAACTGTTGCAAGAACAAAAAACCAAACACATATTCTCACTCATAGGTGGGAATTGAACAATGAGAACACATGGACACAGGAAGGGGAACATCACACTCTGGGTACTGTTGTGGGGTGGGGGGAGGGGGGAGGGATAGCACTGGCAGACATACCTAATGCTAGATGATGAGTTAGTGGGTGCAGCGCACCAGCATGGTACATGTATACGTATGTAACTAACATGCACATTGTGCACATGTACCCTAAAACTTAAAGTATAATAATAATAAATAAATAAATAAATAAATAAATAAATAAATAAAAAGAAAAAAATGTAAAAATCATTCTTAGCTTGCAGGATGCAGAACATAAAAACAAACAGGTAGAAAGCCAGATTTGGCCCATGAGCTGTCATTTACCAAACTCTTGTCTATCTAAATATGTGGTATTATAAAACACATATTTTGGCTCTCAGTATATACATTTATAAATTGGGAGTCATATTTTTGAAGGTGATAGGCAGTCATAATGAGCTCTGCTACTCACAGGCTCCAAACACATGTTCTGTACCTGAGTAACACCTCCCACCAAGTGGAATTGTCTTTGATTGTGCTCTCCCAGAAGCTGACCCTGAGGCAAAGACTTGAGTGGAAGTATTTTGTTCGAGAGATGATACCAGCAAACACTTGTAGGAAAGTGGGAACATAATTAAAGAAGGAAGGCAGCTTTTACAGAGTACGTTATTATGCTTATTAGGACTGTGGGAACATATAACTTAATCCCTGATACTGTATAGAACTCTGATAGTCAGTATAGAACTGACTCCTCAGAGTCCTTTCACTCTGGGGGATGGAGCTGGAGTATTTACCCACCAACTCCCATCAGTCATTGGTTAGGAAGTTCCCTATATCATTTCTCTAACACTTCCAGCTTGCCTGATATGTAATTAAGCAAAAGAAGCTTCAACTGACAAAAAACAAATTCCAGGCAGTTGGAGATTAAGACATTCAGAAATCAAGAGCTTCAGCTGAATGGATTAATGATATCTACATAGGAGCAAGATAAAAAGGATGGGATGAAATGATTCATGTGAACTAGCTTGATCTTCAATAAAACATCTCATTTGCTGCCTATTCACCCTATTCTATATTTGGTTTGATGCCAAAAAGCATTTTCCTGGGACTTGCACAGAATATCACTATTATAAACTGCCTTCTCAGCAGGATGATGGGCTCTGTCATTGGCTTGCTGGCTTGCTGGGTGATCTTGTTTTTTGTTCCAAGTATGTATTAGTCTGGTTACTCCAGAGAAACAGAGCCAATAGGAGATACGTAGATAGATAGATAGATAGATAGATGATAGATAGATAGATAGATAGATAGATAGATAGATAGATAGATAGATAAAAGGGGGATTATTGTGGGAACTGGATCACATATGGAATCACATACGAAAATTGGACCACATGCTGAGAAGTCCCACCATATGCGCTCCAGCAAGCTGGTGAACCAGAGACGCTGGTTGTGTAATTAAGTCTGAATCAAAAGGCCTGAGAACCAGCAGAGCCAATGGTGTAAGTCTCAGTTCAAGGCCAAAGGCCCAAGAACATGGGGGGCGGGGAGGAAGGGGGGCGGGGCTGCAGGGCCGGTGTAAGTTTCCATATCTGCGGCCAAAAACCTGGAGTCCTGATGTCCAAGGTAGGAAAACTGAAAGTCTCAGCTCCAGAGAAAAAAGTGACTTCATCTTTCCACTGCCTTTTAATTCTATCCAGGCCTTCGATGAATTGGACGATGTCCACCCACATGGTGAGGGCAGATCTTTCTTACTCCACCCACCGATGCAGATGTCAATCTCTTCTGGAAGCACTTTCAAGGGCATACCCAGAGCTAAAGCTTGACCAGCATTAGTTGGTAAATGTGAGTACCCCTTAACCCAGTCAAGCTGACATGTAAAATTAACCATCACAAAGTTTTTGTTTTTTCTTCTTACATTTTTCAGCTTGGATAATGGCATCTGAGAAGTCACATGGCTTTTTCAAAATGCAATGTGATATCAAAAACGTGTGTATAGCGGGGCCAGTCGGTGGGTGGGGGGCTAGCGGAGGGATAGCATTAGGAGAAATACCTAATGTAGATGACAGGTTGATGGGTGCAGCAACCCACCATGGCACGTGTATACCTACGTAACAAAACTGAACGTTCTGCACATGTGCCCCAGAACTTAAAGTATAATAAGTGTGTATGGATCTGGCACATTGTAGTCACTCAAAAAACACTCTTCTGCTTTTTTCTTCCTCACTCACTTATCCTAGTGCACTTCTACTATTTTCTTTTCCAGATGTGATTAGGAACTCTTTATGAACCAGAAAAGAGAAATCTTGCACTGATTGGAATATGGCAGCCACTCACCATCTCCCCTGTCTGCTCTCACTCAGTTTATGTGACCCAATGGGAATGGAGAATCTCAGGCATAAAACCAACTGCTTCGTGGGTTACTCTGGAAAATTCTAAACTGAAGCTTTTTGAGAAAGGCGACATTACCTCAGAACTTCCACATGTAGCTACTGTGGAGTTTCTGTTTATGTGAATGGATATTTTCACCAGATATTGGAAACATGCTGAAGCTGGATTCCAGTGCAATAAAGGCAACTCATTTAGCCATTGGCCTGTGATACTATGAGAAATACAGTTAAATTAGACGAATGCTCCACCAGGAATTGTGGCCAAAATAAATGATCATTTTTTAAAAAAGAAAAAGATAAAGACACAACAGATTGTCATTTTTTTCTTCTTGTCGATGTCCTTGAAAAACAGACTTGAAGTCTCAAATGAACACCTTAAATTCCAAATAACCATTGAGGCATTGGGGAAGACTTGTCTCCTTGTTGATTCTATGGATGGATAGATGGATGATGAGTACTACAAATATTTTTATCTCCTATGTATAAATTAAAGGAATAGTAACTGAGAAGGGCTTCAGAAAGCTTATTGGAGGATAGGCATTCAGAGAAAAAACTGAAGGATGAGTAATTACAGGTGAAGTTGGAGGAGAGGCTATTTTTGATTGAAAGAAAAGTAAAGAGAAAGGCATAGACAGAACTAAAGGAAATGCAATTTTACCTCTCATACGAAGAGCAATGATTGTCCCCTCACTTTCATATTTCAATAGAAGAAAAATCTTTTTCCAAATAAAAATCAGAAAACTAAAAAAATTATTGAAATATTTCTAATAAATAACATTTTCCTATTTATTACTTTATTGCTATATTTTCTTATAAAATATATTTAAATTAGATACACATAAATAATATATAATCTATCTTTAAATTAGCAAAATTTTATACAATACAAATCACAATTTTTATATTATATATTCTTACCATTCTTGTTCATTTCTTGTCCATATAAATTCACATTAATATAATTATTATTATAGTGCAGATACTACTTAATATTCCTTTTAACATTATTTGGTAAAAAAAAAGTTTTAGCATTATATTTTTAATTATTATATATAATTATTCATAGCATTCCATTGAATAGATAAACTATTATTTAGTTTAACCATTCTAATGTTTCAATATTTTTGCTATTATACATAATGCTGCAAAGAATATCTTACTAGTGTGGCCATTTTACTGCAATGTTTTTTACCTTAGATTTTATTCTGTGAATAACATTACTAAATGAAAGGAATTTATCTTTCTTATGGTTTTTAATATGTATTGCCAATTGCAATCACAAAACAATCACTAGTTGCACACCAATCAGCGGCATATTAGTGTATTAATTTCACCAAGTCCTGCCTTCATTGGGTGCTACCATGTTTTGGACTTTTTAACTGTTGAATAATTTATCAGGTATATAAATAATCCAAAGAATTTAAACTTTAATGAACTGTTCCTCTACTGCTAATCTAGCCCACATAGGGATTGTGAAGATAGCTCATTTAATAAATACTTCTTGACCACTGTCTTTGTTCTCATTCCATGCAGCAAAAGTAGCAGAGAAAAAGAAGCACAAGAGGAGAGAGGTGATGAGGATTCTGAACACAGAAGGCCTTCTAGGCCCTGTGTATTAGGATTTTGCCTTTAATTATGAGTGCCATGGGGAGCCACTGTAAGGGAAACAATTTCATGTGATCCTTGTCCTTTGGGAGCTTTTAAAATCTTAATGACGAGATTAGAATCAGATGTTGTTCCCCATCTCCCCAAAATCCTGCCTCAACTCCATCCTCATCATTGTGCAGAGATCAGAATACCATGACCAGTCATTGGAAATACTGTTCCTCTCTCAGTAAGAATGGAAGAAGGGAGGGCATGGAGGGCCTCCTGTATCTGGAGCATTGTTAGGTGCTACATATCCAATCTAATTTTGTCCAACAACAGTCCTGTAAGGCAGGTCCCATTTCTACAGAGGAAGAAACTGAGGCTCAAGGTGCTCACTTTGGGAAGACCTTCTGTTTGTCTTCCTTACAAAGAGAGAAAACATTAGATGCCTGAGTGCGCTCAAGGAGCTTTGACAGAATCTGAATCATTTTTACTCTGTCTTTCATGTTTAAATTTCCAACATACCTTTGTCGTTTTCATCCACTGGAAACTGAGGCATCCCATGATTCACAAAATTGGCCCATTGTTTAAACTGTCACCCTTCTTTCCTTAATTCCACTCATGAGCATTTGGACCCAACCAAAGGAGGTTGGTTGGATCCCACAACAGCAAGTCCACTGAACCGGGAATATGCAATGGAAATTGAAATCTATAATGTGTTCTATGATTTTGAACATGTCTACTCTCTCCCTGCATCTCAATCCCTCAAATGTGCAGTGGGGGGATGGAGAGATAAGGCAGAGGATCTCTGGGGATCATTCTTGCTTTAATGATCTATGACAAAATTTTCCCAGTGTACTGCACAGCCAGAAAGAGCCAAGGCTGAGAGCTATTTCTCCCCAGAAATGTGATTCCACAGTCTTGGTTTCCTGGAACAACTGAAGAGTGTGGTAATAGAATCCATGAAGAGAAACTTTATGTGGCTAATATTCCAAAGCTTTCTAAGTGCAGTAATAAACAGAGCACATCTTGGTGACACAGAAATTATGAGGCAGAGACCATAATAATAATTCATGTCTGCTTCTATTCACTATTGACAAGATGTGCTTCCACTCCCAAGACACCAGAGCAGCAGAAAAATAAGTAATTCCCTGAGTTGCCACCACACTATTTTGCTTTATGCTAGTTTTTCTTCCTTTCTTTTCTGTCACCCACAAAAGTGAAACCCAGTCATCTACAGAAGCTGCCTTTTGTCTAGGAGTAAGTGGTGGTTATTATCTGCATCATATGAAGCTAGGCATCATGGTTTCCATGCTGGAAAGCAAAGCTCCCCTATGTTAGGCATCTTTGGTTTACAATAACATACACTCAATAACTGAGAAGAAATTTTGAATAGATCACACTTGCAAAATATTTCCCAGACTGAAAATTTCACGGAGACTGGTGATCACGTAGGCCAAGTGTACTTTATTTCCCCCGTCTCTCCATTCCTCAGCCCCTGAAATAATTCCTAGGAGATTTTTAGCTAACTCCGGCTGAGTCCACCAACAGATGTGAAACTTATTACCTTACTGTTTTGTGGCCCTTCCTATTCTATTTTCTTGCAACAGCTCCAATTATTAAAGTGAAATACGACATCTTAGCCCTTTTGGAGCAAGGCAGGAAGCATTTATTCTTTGATTGTGTAACTGTTCTTCAAGAATGTGTAATGAGCCTCACACCTCTTCTAAGTCTTCTTTTTTCCATGTTAAACATTCACAATTTCTTCCCCATTCCTGGTTGGTATAGGTCTCAGATCTTGCTCTCATATTGTTTAGGCTTCCAAAGTGGTGCCACTTGACCAACACAAACTTGGAAATAAGACATCCTAAGCTTGAAACAACACATCCAATGTGGTCTATCTTAGAGAAAATGATTGAAATTGTCACCTGCCTTAATCGGTACATTTCAACTCTATTACAATAATTTTGCCTAAGAATGTTTTGATTTTTCCAGCAACTGTGGCACACACTTGGTTTATGTTTAGTCCTGTGATCAACATATGAGCTTTGCTCTTCCTCCAAGGCACAAGCAGGAATGTAGTGAGTAGCAAAGTGCTCTTGGTCACTCAAATGTATTGACAAAACAGGACCTCTTTATGAAATTATAAAGTCATCCCAGATTGTATTTTGGACATTTCTTTTATTTCTCATGTTCTCATACTTTCTGTAGTCTCCTCTGCCCCCAACATACATGCCTGACTTCTACTCAAAAGTAGTTCTACTCTGCTGTAGTAGTTCAGAGCCTGGCTTGTAAAGGCAGCCTGCTCAGGGTCATATTCCAGCTCTGACATTTGCCTGCCCTGTAGGTTTCAGAAACTCAATGTCTTTTGCTTGTTTAAGATTTTTTACGTTATGTATAAAGTAATAATACTATCTCCCTCATTATGTTGTTATGAGAATTTAATGATTTCATATATCTTAGGCACTTAGGACAGTGCCTGGCACATACTGAGTGCTAGCTGATACAATAAGCCTAGCATGGTATTTGGGACAATCAGGTCTGAGGCTCGGGGTACCAGGGATATAGTCATTACCCAGGTCCAGTAATATATGTCACTTCTTTTTTTTCAGACCTTCAATTTCTTTAGCTATAAAATAGGGAAATCAAACAGTAAGAAATAACAACAATTCTTTCCAGCTCTGTCATTTTTAAAACTGTAATTGTCTGCAAGTCTTTGATCTTCCAGCTCCTGACATGGGTGGAGCAAGCATCCCCAGCTTGGATAATAGGGGGAACAAGCTGATGATATGACTCTTTTTGTAGACATTGCTACTAGTGTTCAAACAAATAAAGATGTAAAGGCAAAATGTTTCATAATTCTGGCAGGCAAATTTGGAAAGACTTCTGAGGTCAGCGCCGCCTTATCAGAGCCCCTTACATCACACTACATAGAGAGGCTGCCCACTCCCCAAATTGCTACAATTGGTAATGTGGTAGAAGTATTAAGAAAAGCCTGGGCAGTCAGAGATGAGAGATCATGTCATTTTGAGGGCTGATATAAAGAAAGGAATCCATTTTTCATGGAAATGCTTGGCTTTGCATGAGCCTTTGAAAACCCACACAGTAAATGCAGTGGAAAAGGCAATGCACCACAGCATAAGGCCAGAGGTCTGGGGATACCTCAACTACAAAACCAACACAGCACTTAATTGTAGCCATATGTCTGAATCAGCCAGAAATGCAACTTCTTCATCAGTCCAATGGGATACTAATGCTCTCGCTTGACTTTCTCACAGAACTGCAAGAGATCATGAACGTAAAGGCATTTTGAAAGTTCATTTCAACTGCAATATGGTAGTGACAGTAAGGTTCCTGACCTTCCAAGGCCAGAATCTGTGTCCTGTAACCTCCACCACAATTTAGTTCCTGAAACTACACACAAAAACACAGCCACTCTAGAAGATGAAAGTGCAAAATTACTTTCTTCCCCTACTCAATGCCATTAAATGGCTTCCTTGACATCTACAGCTCTTTGCAGTAATGTTCACTATGACTAAATGTGTGGCTAATAATACCTTTTATGATCTGACCATTTTATCGCCTTAGCCTCATTTTTCTCATGCTTTGCTTTTAAGATTTCATGTCTTTGCTATTGTGAATAGTGCTGCAACAAACCTGCACATGTACCCTTGAACTTAAAATAAAAGTTAAAAAAAAAATGTTCCTGAAGGAAAAAAAAAAAGTCTAAGATTTTGTAGACTGATCTTCCAGTTTCTTGAACATACACATTTCCTCTCACTTTATGCTGCCACTTCTGCCTGGCTAGCTCCTACTCATCTTCAGGTCTCAGCCTTTTACCTTTTATTTGTTATGTTATTTTATTTTTTTGAGACTGAGTCTTGCTCTTGTCACCCAGGCTGGAGTGCAGTGGCGCAATCTCAGCTCACTGCAACCTCAACCTCCAGAGTTCAAGTGATTCTCCTGCCTCAGCCTCCCAAATAGCTAGAATTACAAGTGCCTGCCACCACGCCTGGCAAATTTTTTTTTTTTTTTTTTTTTTTTTTTGTATTTTTAGTAGAGACGGGGTTTCACCATGTTGGCCAGGCTGGTCTCAAACTCTTGAACTCAGGTGATCCACCTGCCTCAGCCTCCCAAAGTGCTGGTATTATGGGCATGAGCCACTGTGCCCAGCCCCTTTTACCTTTTAAGTATCCCCTCCTCTCCATCCAATTAGGTAGATTATCTGGGCTACGTGTTCCCAACGCACCTTGTACTTCCCACCATGGTTTTCAGCCTGGTCTAATGGAATTACTTGCTTAATTTGTTGTTCTCCACCCGGAAATATGAGAAGCTTTGTGAGAACAGAGACCGGCATATCTCTTTAATTTTTAGGATCCTCAGTGCTTAGCAGAATAGCTTACAAATATTGGCCTTCAATAAATATGAATAACTCACCTATTAGAGATAGATGGTATCTTTTACTGACATTCTAGAAAGCTTTTCTCCTTTTACCCCAAATCCTTCTCTTTTTCCTTTTTGCTTCTTTACACATTCTCCTAGTTCTCCCTATTTCCAGTGTCCATCAAGGGCTTGAAGAACCTTTGAATTTTATCTCTCCTTGTAATAGTTAACTCAAATATCACTTCCTCTAGAAAGATTGTCTGACCTGATTCTCAGGCAACAAGGCATCTCCTTCACTTTGCAATGTGTTTATATGACTACCATAGAAATTACTATGTCAGTTTCTTTACTTGTTTACATGGCTGTCTCTATCAGTAAACTCTAAGACCTATGAGCAGGAATCTGTTCTGTTCATCTTTGTTTTCCTTTACCCAGAAATGTCTGAAAATGGTAGCAATATTAATAGATATTAAATAAATGTTAATCAACCATTTCTTTTTCCAGATGAAAGCACCAAGTATCTACACAAGGGGAGAGACCTCACTGAACCAGGAAAAGAATTAAGAGTACCTTACTATCATTGCTTCATTCATTCAACAAACATATATTGAGTTTGTTCATTCTGGGTGATAGACTCTCAATGGAAAAAAAAAGTCATCTGTAATAATTTTTAAATAGATAGCCTATATTTACCTCTAATGATATTTTCATTTATTTGTCTTCCTAAACTTAACTATCACTGTTGTTCTAAAAGACCTCATAAGAATAAGCCTTATTTAGTCTTGCCAGAGTAATTTAAATCTCACCAAGCATTGGTGTTCCATAGTAAAGACTTTTTATCTGAAATTATTAAAAACTTTTTATCTGAAATTAGTAAAAACCATTACATTGAAGGTAATTGAAACTACCTCTTAGTGTCATTTTCGTGACTGCACAATGCCATCTGGAAAAATACTACATTTATTGGAATAAACTCTACAGTCATCAAGAAAGAGTCAATTGGAAATTATTTAAAGGACTGAAGGGAAAATGTAGAGACCCCTCCCAAGCCATGAGAATCTCTGTTTCTTCTCTCATTCTAGCTCTGTGAGATGATGGCATTGCTCCCATTCTCCTGAGCTCAGGCTACTTATGAAAGCTTATCACACATTTCTACTCTCACATTCAGTGATTAATTACCCCTAAGACCATAAGTGAATTAGAAAATAATGTAACAATGAATTGAAAAAACCATTATCCTCTTTACAGTGATCAAAGTAGCAATATGAGGGATCAGTTTGCACAGAAATGAATTTTTGATTAGTCACAAATCTTGCGTGAATTGGCCAAACTCAGATTACAGGTTAAATTTCCAAAAAGGAAGAGAATAAGATTTTTGGATACTTTCCTATAATTCTCATAACTAATATAGCTTATAAAGTCGGCTCATCAAAAATTAGAGTATACCTAGGTCACTGTTTTTAGACATAGGAACAAGTGTGGACAACATCATCTAGTCACTGAAATTAAACAGCATCACACCAGTGTTTAAAAGTCTATCTCAGCCATTTACTAACTGTGTGACTTTTGGCAATTTGATTTCTCTGGATTTGGATCCCACATTTATAAAAGATAGAACATAATAACAGCCACCTAACAGAGCTTCCATGAAGACTAAATTATGTAATGGATGTATGGCTGACAAACAGTGTCAACTAACATAGATCCCTGGTCTTCTCTAAAATCATTCTCTTCCCAATTATAGAAGGTCAATATGAGATAATCAAATCTGAAAAATAGGCCTGGATATTTTGAAATTTTTTGTTATATTATGTATGTTAAATGAATACTGGTTTCATCCATTCCTCACCCCAACCCTCCTGTAACTCATTGATTACTTTTCTGACCCTCGATTTCCTTACCTATAAAATGAAGTTAATAATAACAGATACTTCAAGGAATTATGGTTAAGTTTCCACAAAGTAGCCCATGTAAAGGACATAATATGGACTGGCATAGCAAATACTAAATAATATTAACTGTCATGATAATCTAAAACATTATTATTAATGTTTCTGATTTTTATCAATTTTGCCTGCCTTCTAAAATATGAACATGAGTGTCATTGGGGATGTGAAGAAGTGGTTGTTGATAATCTTTAAGATATTCGCAGTGCCAAAATTCAAAGAGCACATGAACACGTTGTCACTTAAATGGTCATTTATGGCTATAGCCTGGGCTAGTGCTTGAGAGCCTGGCTCCCATAATTCACCTTATTAAATATTTTTATATTCCAGTCCTCTATTTGACACTGGGAGTAAGGAAAAGAGGACATAAGGCTCCTGCTCTCAAGAAAATCACATTACAGGAAAATAAACATATTAAAACATAATCAAAATGTTCTCTTCCATTCATATCACTTGGGGAAAAAAATTGATCCCCACTGAGAATGGTAAAAGTGCCCACAATCCTAGGAAAAGACTGATTTTTCTGCAGCCATAGTAACAGGTAACTACCAGAAGTGCTTTTAAACCTCTTCAGTTGATCAACAATTCCTCTTAGTGAACCTGTTTTTACAAGCCAACAAGTCAGTGACCATCTCTTATTGTGGAAAAACACTTTATCAGGAATTGACCCACTCTAAGAAACACACCTCTGAATGTCAGTCCTTCAACAGCAGTTCCACATAACCTCTTTTCTCCAGATCCAGAATACTTACATGCCTAGAAATCCTCCAGCCACTGACCTACACACTTCCCCACCACCCTCTGTAAGATCTGCTGCCCTCCTGCTGGGGACACTGACTTAGCAGCATAGCTCTCCCTGACTGTAAGCAATAAATTCAGCTTTGTCTTTCAATCTAAGATAGTTCATGATGTTCTTATGATCCTTTGACACTAGTACACATTTTGTATCAGATTAATTTCAGATAAATTAAGATTAAAATCTGTGTGTATCTGTATGTATAATCATAAGATAATTAGAACAAAATACATTTATTAAAGACATAGCTTTGCTATAGTAATGGTCTTTTTTTTTCACATGACACCAAAGGCAGAAACTGTAACAGGAAATACTGGTAGAATTTAAACTTCTGCAAGGTTAAATGACACAGCATCGCCATCACTACTAAAAACAACAGCCCTGGTACGACTGCCACCAAAACCAACAATGCCACAAGCAGTAACATCAACACCATCAACAACAATAGCAAAACCAATTAAACTTAGTAGCATAACTACCATTACCATTGTTGTGAACAACATCAAAAGGCAAGTGATGGAAAGAAGGGAAATATTTGCATTGTATAACATAAATATTAATGTTCTGAATGTATAGAGAGCTTTTAAAAATCAGTAAGAAAAGATATAGAGATGGATTCAAAAAAGGTTAACGGATGCCAAAGTAATTACAAAAGGAAGAAATGCAAATAACAAAGAGAAATAGAAAAAAGAATACCAGATAAAAAAGAAAGTTCTTTTTTATCAGCAGTCATGGAAATACATAGTTTAAAATGTTGGCAACGCCTGCTTTTTATCAAAGTTGTTGAGGAAACATGTTTTCATATGTGGCTGGTGGAAAAGTAAATTGGTCCAATCTATTTGGGGGGCCTATTTGGCAATATGAGTTAAAATCTATAAAAATATGTAATTTATATTCTGTAATTACACTTCTAGGAATTTATACCAAGAAAATAATCAGAAAGCAGCAAAAGTATTTTCAGAAATATTCATTGCAATAATATTTTTAAAAATTAAAAAATGGAAAGAACTTAATTATGTAAAAACTAAGGATTGTTTTAATAAAGTATGATACGTCCATTAAGGCAAAAAGTCAGCTACTCTATAGTACCTAAAAAATTATGCAAATATTTATTTATTGATATGGTTAAAACTACACAATATATTAAGTGAAAAATATTAGGTTACAACTTTCTAGATATAATATCTCATTTTTGTAAAACAATTTAAGCATACATACAGTCATTTATTTAACAAAAAACTGTATTTATAATCTACTTTGTGCAAAGCACTATTCTAACCATTGAAGAGAAAGCAATGAACAATGCCAATCTGGTCCCTAATCTCATGGTGCCTATGGCTTGGTGAAATCATCTGAAGAGACAAAGAAGACTGGGCAACTAATACCTCAGGGCAGCAGAGCTATGAGGGTTTAATAGTTTCTCTTTTTTTTTTTTTTTTTTTTTTTTTTTTGAGACAGAGTCTCACTCTGTCACCTAGGCTGGAGTGCACTATTGTGATCAGGGCTTACTGCAGCCTTGAACTCCCAGGCTCAATTGATCCACCTGCCTCAGCCTCCTAAGTAGCTGGGACCACAGGCCACCATGCTTGGTTAATTTTTTTAATTCATTTTTTGTAGAAACAGGGTCTCCCTATGTTGCCCAGGCTGGTCTCTAACTCCCGAGCTCAATCAATTCACCTGCCTCAGCCTCCCGAGTAGCTAGGACTACAGGTGTGCGCCACCACACCCAGCTAATTTTTGTCTTTTTTACAGAGACAAATCTCGCCATGTTGCTCAGGCTGGTCTTGAACTCCTAGGCTCAAGCGATCCTCCCGCCTCAGCCACCCAAAGTGTGGAATTATAGGTGTGAGACACTACACCCAGCGTACCTTTTCTCACTTTTTAAATCAACATAACCTGTAACATTTTAACAATCGTTTTTCTTTTTTTCTTTAACTTGTCTATAGTCAAAATAAAAAGTAAAGCCATTTACCTTTTAGAGAGAAAATAAGAATACCAAGTCATTTAGGCCTGTAATGTTTTAATATTTCTATTGAAACTCCCTAAGGCAACTTAACTAATGGGAGCACTTACACATCAAATTGGATTCCCCCTCCTCTTCTCTCTTGAAGTTCTGTGAGAACAGGGTAAAACCTGTCCAGTTCCAAAGTGTGCTCTCAGCAAAGTAGGGGTGACCATGTTCTCAGGGTTCTGTGGCCTCAGATCCAAGTTCTTTAGGAGCCATTGCTTCTGTCTGCTCAACCCAAGTAAACTACTAAACCTATTTTCTGTGGCTTTTCACAGTACCAAGCTTTCCTATGTAATTCCAAGTGATATGGAGACACAGTAGGAAGGAGGTTTCTATCAATAAAGCACCACTTTTCTCTTGAGGCTCCAAATGCCATTGATGGAAGCGGGTTCAGATCACGTGATTGTGAGTTTCTCAAAATTTGGGATGTTGATTTTTGGAGGCACAAAAACATCAGGACCAGAGGAAGTTATCTTCAATAACCCAGTGAGAATATTACTCCTCGTTCAATGTTCCTTACTCTCGAGAAGGAATAATCAGCGAGGTGCTAAAGCTCTTACCCTTCTATTATCCACTTTTTTTTTTTTTTTTTTTTTTTTGAGACAGAGTCTCACCCTGTCACCCAGGCTAGAGTGCAGTGATATGATCTCAGCTCACTGCAACCTCCGCCTCCCAGGTTCAACCAATTCTCCTGCCTCAGCCTCCCGAGTAGCTGGGATTACAGACACCTGCCACCAAACCCAGCTAATTTTTGTATTTTTAGTAGAGATGGGGTTTCACCATGTTGGCCAGGCTGGTCTCAATCTCCTGACCTCAGATGATCCACCCACCTCCCAAACTGCTGGGATTGCAGGCATAAGACACCATGCCCAGCCTATTACCTGCATTTTTTAACAAACACAAAATGTGCTCACAGCTCAAAGCCTTCCAGTAGGAATCATTTTCTATTTAGAATATAATGACTTTTTCCATATTTTGAATTCATTTATTTATTATGTCATGCGGTGAATAATTCTGGTCTCCCTTTCATAGTGCTTTAGAAAAATATAAGGTTTTTATAAATAATTAGTAATCATTAAGGTAGAAAGGCTAACATGGCAAAACACTTGAAAGTATTAAATATTACTTTAAAAATAGCCGAAATGTGGCAAAATAAATAAAAATAAAATACTGCCCCGACCCTTTGCCTCTGCCAATTTGTCACACCTGTCACAAGGGAACCTGTGACGCTTAAGTTCTTGTAACCATTTTCCCAACTTGTCTTGGTAACTGCAGTCATTCTTGGAATCTCTTTTGGTTCTAGGCCTTTTTTCTTTCTATCTAAGGCAGAGACCAGCTAAATCTATTTTCTGTGGCTTTTCACAGTACCAACTTTTCCTATATAATTCCAAGTGATGATATGGAGAGAAAGTAGGAAGGTGGTTGCCATCTAATATCAAGAGAGTTGAGAATGACCCTCGGGATGGGAGAAGGTGGTAAGATACCTACCTTCACCTAAACAGGTTGCTTCCCAGAGACTTAAATGCTTCTTTTATATGGTACTCATTTAACCCTCACAGCAACACTTTTTTTTTTGAGACAAAATCTCACTTTGTCGCCCAGGCTGGAGTGCAGTGGCACAATCTCGGCTCACTGCAACCCCTGCCTCCAGGGTTCAAGCAATTCTTGTGCCTCAGCCTCCCTAGTAGCTAGGATTACAGGCACCCACCACCACACCCAGCTAATTTTTGTATTTTTAGTATAGATGAGGTTTCACGATGTTGGTCAGGCTGGTCTCAAACTCCTGACCTCAGGTGATCTGCCCACCTTGGCCTCCCAAAGTGCTGGGATTATAGGCGTAAGCCACCGCGCCCAGCCACAGCTACACTTTTAAGTAAGATTATTCCTATTTTACAGAGGAAATTGAGGCTTGCAGAGTATGGCAGAACTATGGTACTCACCCTCCTGTTCCTTCACAGTTACCAACTGGTGATGGCCAATGGGCTGTGAGTGCAAGATTTATCATTCATCTTCAGGCCAAGGTATAGAAAAGCTGGTACCTGATCCTCCAGCTATATCAGGGACATACGACTGGAGTCTGCTTGTTCTGTATACCACCAGAGGAGATAGAGCCTTGATTAGCCTAAATTACCAACTGGCCATGTAGAGAAATCCCTCAGCTGAACCATGTAGATAGACTTGTTTTGTTAAGCAACTGCAATTTGGGAGTTATTCGTTACTTCAGCTGTTGCAGATATGCTTCCCTAGAAACAATGTCTGAGACTGTCCTGATGGGCATAGAGAACATTCATGGAGGAATGCTCTCAATATAAACACATGTAGGGAAAGGGAAAGAGGTGGAACCGAGCAGTGAGAGTAGATGGGCTGTAACGTGCCCACCACAAGGACTCAGCTGACTCTGTGGGAAGCTGTGAAGCTGCCATGGCCCCTTAGAGTTGTTTCAAATTGGGAACAAGAACTGGGCCTTTATACCCGCAAATCAATGAGTCATTGGATGAAGGCTGCTCCCAGGAAGGAGTTGTGATCTTAAGTGAAGTGGCTGTCTTCAGCCAAGGGGAATTCCTGGAAAGTACTGACAGCTGAGACACTCCTAGAAGCTGAAAAAAGTAAGTTCTTCAGTCCTGAAAATGTATCCGTTTCCACTACTGTAATGCAACATAACATAGTCTATTCTGACCATTCAGAGAGGTTAAAAAAGCCCCATCTCCAAATGCAATCACACTGGGGGCTAGGGGTTCAACACATGAATTTGGAGGGGATGTGTAGGACCTCCCACTCTTGACCTCTTCTCCAGACTCTTTACAGACCAAACTCAATCAGATACCAGAGCGAAGAATACTGTTAGTATAACCCATACACGGCAGCATCCTGGGCACACAGCTGGTGAGAAGGGTGAAGAATGGATCTGAAGAAGCCAGAAAGTGTCTACCACAGTAGGTTGAAAGAATAATAAAGGAATAAATGAATAAATATAATAACCGAAGTTGTGAAATGTGATAGAGAGTTGAGAGGATCAGTGTTTCAGCAAAAGCTAAAGCCATCAGGGGATAGATGTTGAAGGATTTTGTATGCCACGGTAAGGGCTTTGGACTTTATCTGAAAAGCATCATAGAAAACACAGGAAAAGAAAACAGAATTAAGGGGGAAATGAAGTTTCATTTTGGACATAATTAAAATTGAGGTACCTGGGCATAGTCAAGTGGAAATTTCCAGTCTGGAACTCAAGAGTCCAGACATAAGAGATGGAGATAGGGTATTTAGAATTCATCAGTGTATATAGCAGGGGCTCAGATAAGATTTCCCAAAGATAGTACATGGAATAAATTTTGATCAAATACCTAAAACTCAAATTGTAATTGTTGAATTTGAAGGTAAACAGAGTTAGGAAAATATATGCAGATTTATAGGTAGAAAGCTATAAATATCTGTACTTTGTGTAATTAAGAAAAAAAGTAAAGATGAAGGGAGATGACTCGAGATAACTTGAATTACCTTGGTATCTATATCCTCCTAACACATTACAAAAAAATGTTCTTAAGGGTATTTGTGTTTGTTCTACTAATAGGTATTGGAAGGCATACCATGAGTCAAGTACTATACTAAATGCTATGAATACAAATAATATTATAGTTGTAACTTTTTCAATGAGATCATAGTTTAGTGGAGGAAACAGCAAAATAGGCAGAAAATTCTAACACTGAGCTAATTTAACAGGCTGTTTGGAACAGAGACATCCCTGTACTTAAACTTAGCTCCTGTAGATGAAGTGTGTTAAGTCTGAATGCAAAGGACAAAATAACTTGAATCTGAACAATTGTGGAAGAGAACTGATAGCAATTAAATTGGCAACTGCCCATGGACTTGACCTGAATACAATAACTAAAGAAGGGCATCATTCTGAAACGGTGAGGTATGAAACTGCAACTTGTGACAGAGGTAGAATAGAAAGCTCTTGACCATTAGCTTGTGCTCTCATTTCAGCATCTAATTGAATCATTTGATTTGATTATGTCATTAACTCTTTTAAAAGGGAGTACATCAACTTTCCTTTGCAGCCATGATGGATGACTGAAACCAGACCTACCCTCCTGACTCAAGTGAGTAGAAAACAAGGAAAAACATGAAAAAAAAATTTTCTGCATTTTGCAATAAGAAGCACAGGACTGTGATCCTTATGAGGAAGGAAACAAAGATATGAGTGCTACAATTGTCCCAAATTTCTACCTGGATGTATGTTCCAGACCATAAAGTAAAGGTACCCAAAAAGACAATGGCATTCTTACTAAGCTAAAGAGACTAATATCAGAGTTCAAAGAGGTTTAGGTGACTGTAACTAGGAATGTAGACAACTAGAGAGGTAGGAAAAATTTACAAAGTACCACACATGTCCATAAATGTTCCCTTGAGTCAATTACTAGATACAATGGCATATGTATGTTCATTAAGACTACAAGAAACCAGGCAAAGAATGATAAGGAAACTATAAGCTGAATAATATTACACAGGGCTAGGATATGTCCAACTTCTAAACAGTGGAGAGTCCTCAAGAAAAACCAGGGGCATTTGGAAATTATCGCAGAAGGATACAACTTAGTAATAGCACTAAAATAACCAAAATAAATGCTATCCCATGATAGTTTTAAATTAAATCACAAAAGGATAGAGTTGATCTTTCAGTAACTTAACCATCAGCAGAACAAAGTCAAACACCCTTTGAAAGAAGAGAGCAAAAAATTCAGCACTCAATACCGCAAAGTATACAATGTTTAATATCCTCTTAAAAATTGCCAGGCATACAAATAAGCATGAAAGTGGATCATAATCAAGAGAAAAAATAATCAGTAGAAGCAGACCCAGAAAATACAGAGATGACAGAAACAGGACACAGAGACTAAAGTTGCTTTTAAAAATACATTCAATATGCTCAAGGATTTAAAAGAAACTAAGAATACAATACAAAAATAAATGGAAGATATTAAAAAATATCAAGTGGAACTTCTTTGAAAAATGAAAACTACAACCTTTGAAATGAACATTTTACTCACTGAGATTAACAGCAGATTAGGTGCTGAAGAAGAAATTGTCAGTTAATGTGAAGGTATAGCTACAAATACTATTCACAATGAAGTACAGATAGAAGATTGATTGAAGAAAATGGACAGGGCTTTAGTAATCTGTGGGGCAAAATAAGGCAACAAGACATAATATACATGTTGTGTATCCTCAAAAGTGAGAGAAGGGGCAGATAAAGTCTTTGAGAAAAATAATGGCTGAAAAATATTCAAATTTCTAAAAAAGTATAAAACCACAGATTAAGAATTTCAAAAGATAAAGAAAATGAAAACCCACACTATGACAAACTAAAATCAAATGGCTAAATGTTATGCTAAAATCTCAAAAATCTTCTGTAGAAGAAAACACATGTTATGTACAGAGAAAGAAAGATAAAAATGAGTGAAGACTTCTCGTCCGAATGTCTGCAAGCTAGAGAAAATGGCTTAAAGCCTTATAGTGCCAAAAGGAAAACACAGGAAACCAATAATTCTATATCAGAAAAAAAGTACTTTTGAAAACTTTGGACAAAAAAAGATATTTTCAGACAAACACAGGTTGAGAGAATTTATTGCCAGCAGATGTGGCATATAAAAAACACTGAGGAAATTTCTTTAGAAAAAATGTGCATGAAATGTAGAAAGTTAGACCAGCAGAAAAGAATGAAGAGTGCTAGAAATGGCACATATATGGATAAATATAAATGACATTTTTAATTTACTGGAAATATAATTAATTAGTTAAAGAAAAATATTAGGACACTATACTTTGGGGTTTATACTATATATAGAATTAAAACATGATTTAAAAAAGAAAACGAATGACTAAAGGGGGAAAGGAAGTATTCGATTAGAAGATTCTTATATTAAACATAGTAGTGTAAGTACTACTTAAAGAAATACTGTGATAAATGTAAAGATACACACTGTAAGCCATACATCAGCTATTAAAACAAAGTTAATATGCCAATATGTGAAATAATACAAAATATTAAACATAATTAATTAAAAGAAGTCACAAAAGGAAAAGGGCAAAGAAAACATGAGACAAATTTTTAAAATAGCAATGGGTAGATGAAAACCCAAACATATTGATAATCACACTAAATGTAAATGATGAAAACTGATAAAAGACAAAAATTATCAGACTGAACAAATATGCAGTCTACATGACACCATTTTAAATACAAAGACCCAGCTATTTTTAAAATATTGAAAAGGGGAAATTATTCAAACCCCAATTATAAGAAAGCAGAATGGTTATATAAAATAAGACAAAGTAGAATTCAGAATGAGGATTACTAGAGATAAAGAGAAGCATTTTATAGGCATAAAGGAGACTGTCTTAGTTTGTTTACTGTTACTATAACAGAATATCTGAGGCTGGGTAATTTATTTAAAAAAAAAGGTGTATTGAGCTCACAGTTCTGCAATCTAGGAGGTATAAGAAACACGGCCGTGGCATCTACTCACTTTCTGGTGGGGCTTTTCATGCTGCAGTATTACATGGCGGAGAAGGCCAAAGGGGAAGCACAAACGCATGAGGAGAGATCAAACAGGATGGGAAACTTCATTTTATAAAAACCGTCTCTCACAGGAACTAATCCATTCCCAAGAGAACTAATCCAGGTAAGAATAAGAACTCACGGCCAGGAACAGTAGCTCACACCTGTAATCCCAGCAGTTTGGGAGGCCGAGGCAGGCGGATCATGAGGTCAGGAGATCGAGACCATCCTGGCTAACGCGGTGAAACCCCGTCTCTACTAAAAATACAAAAAAAAATTAGCCGGGCATGGTGGCGGGCGCCTGTAGTCCCAGCTACGTGGGAGGCTGAGGCAGGAGAATGACGTGAACACGGGAGGCAGAGCTCACAGTGAGCCAAGATCACGCCAGTGCACTCCAGCCTGGGCGAAAGAGTGAGACTCCGTCTCAAAAAAATAAAATAAAATAAAATAAAATAAAATAAAATAAAATAAAATAAAATAAAATAAAATAAAATAAAATAAAATAATAAAATGAAATGAAATGAAATGAAATAGAGTTCCAGACCAGCCTGACCAATATGGTGAAACCCCGTCTCTACTAAAATTACAAAAATTAGCCGGGCGTGGTGGCGCGTGCCTGTAGTCCCAGCTACTCTGAAGGCTGAGGCAGGAGAATCGCTTGAACCCTGGAGACGAAGGTTGCAGTAAGCCGAGATCGCTCCACTGCACTCCAGCCTGGGCGACAGAGCAAGACTCCATCTCAAAAAACAAAAAAAACAAAAAAAACTCACCGCCATGAGGACCATGAGAATGGCACCAGGACACTCATGAGGGAACTGCTCCCATGACCCAACATCTCCCTTGAGGCCTCATCTTCCAAAACAGCCACATTGGTAATTAAAATTTCAACACGAGTTTTGGTGGGAACAAACCATACCCAAACTATATCAGGTTTAATTCATTAAGAAGACATAAAAACGTACATGCACCTAGTTACAAATCTTTAAATTCAGCGAAAGCTGACCAATCTGAATGGAGAAGAGACAAATCCACAATTTTAGTTGGAGATTTCAACATTCATCTCTCAGTAATTGATAGAACAATTAGAATATGAAATATTTGAACAACACTGTCATATAATTTAATAGGATTGACATTTACAGAACATACCACCAAACAGCAAAATATATATATTTTTTACCATGATATTCTCAGCCATAAAGAAGGCTCAGTAAGTTTTCCACAACTGCAGTCAGAGTATGCTCTCTGGCCACAATGAAATTAGAATAGAAATTATTGTCAGAAAGATATGTTGAAAATTCCCATGTGTAGAAAACAAACAACGCACTGCTGAATAAGCCATCTACCATAGAAGGCATAAGGGAAATAGGAAGATATTTCGAACTGAAGAAAAAAATATGTCAAATGTTTTGAGATGCAGCTAAAGCAATGCTTCAAGGGAAAACATTAGCTTTAACTGGTAGTATTAAAAGAAGAAAGGACTAAAGTTAATTCTCTAAGTTCACACACTACACAGCTGGATAAAGAAGAGCATATTAAATTCAAAGTAAATGAAGAAGGTGATAGCAAACATTAGAGTAGAAATCAATGAAACAAAAAACAAACTAATGAAAATGCATGAAAACAAAAATTGGCTTCTTTGAAGGATTGAGAAAAATGGCTAATCTCTAGCTAGATTCCTCAAGTAAAAAGAAAGGGTAAACAAATTGCCTGCATCAGAAAAAAAGAGGGACTATCAACAAAGATTGTGGAGACGTAAAAAGAATAATGATGGATTATTATGAACAATTCTATACCAATGAATTTGACAATTTAAACAAAATAAAAAAATACTTCCATATATAAACTACCTAATAAACACAAAAAGAAAGTATAAAGGCTGAATATTCATATTAATTAAGGAAATTTAACTTTTAATTAAAAATATTCAAGCAGGGTGGGCGCAGTGGCTCACACTTGTAATCCCAGTACTTTGGGAGGCCAAGGCAGGTGGATCACTTGAGGTCAGGAGTTCAAGACCAGCCTGGCCAACATGGTGAAACCCTGTCTCTACAAAAAAATACAAAAATTAGCCAGGTGTGGTGGCACACACCTGTAATCCCAGCTACTTGGGAGGCTGAAAGTCTGAGATGGGAGAATCGCTTGAACCCAGGAGGTGGAGGTTGCAGTGAGCCAAGACAGCACCACTGCACTCCAGTCCAGGTAACAGAGCGAGACTCCATCTCAAAAAAAAAAAAAAAAAAAAAAAAAAAAAATTCATGCAAATAAAACTCCAAAGAAGCACATTCTATAAACCATTTAAGGAAGGAATAATGATAGTCTTATAAAAACATATTCATGAAATAGAGGGTGAGTAAGTACTTTCATACTAACACTTTAATGCTCTTTTACAAAATGGCATTGAAAATAAAATCAAAACAAATACATGAAAAAATATACATTCAAATATTTCTCATAAAGACAGAAAATTTTAATAATATTGGCATATAGAATTCAGTAATATATAAAAGCACAACACATCATAGCCAAATGGAGATTATTCTAGGGATTTTAGGTAGACAGAAGATTGAAATGTAATATTAACAGAATAAAAAAGAGATATGTATAATTATTCCAATAGATGAAGACATTTGACAAAACTTCAATACATGTTTAAAATAAAAAGACTGACTTGAAAGGAAAGGGAACTTCCTCAATCTAATAAAATCTACAATTAACACATACTTATTGTGAAGTACTGGATATTCTCTCTGTGGGACCAGGAACAAGGCAAGATGTGCAGTCTTGCTGCACGTATTCAACACTGTACGGGAATCCTAGCCAATTCAATAAGCCAAGAAAAAGAAGTAATCGACATAAAAATTAGAAAGGAAAAAGTAAAACTATATTTACAGATAAGATGAAGCTTACATAACATATTCTACATAATAATATTATCTAGAATATTCTAAGAAACCTAGAGTAAAATATTAGTATAGACAAGTGAATTTAACAAATTTGAGAATTCAACATTTACTGAAGATCCTGGGTTAAGGGCTGAAGATGGAAATATAAATTAATATGATGATACTGATAATGGTAGCTATTATATTCCAGTTAAAAACCTACTATGTTCCAAACACCAACGGAAGCCAATTTGCATATAATTTCCAACATATTCATTACAAAGTGGTTGTGTGGTAGGTATAACTATCCCTATTTTCCAGACAAAGAAACTAAGGCTTAGGAAGTTTAAGTAACTGACCCAAGGTCAAACAGATATTAGGGGAAGGAGCAGATATTGATATCATGGTCCATGTGAGTTGACTTCCCAGGAGCGAAGAGTGTGGAGAACACACAGATTCCTCACTGCTGGCCATCATTTGTGGCTGAACACAACAAGATCTTAGCCCTAAATTGTGTGTTTCCATTTGATTATTTCAGCTCTCTTCTCTCCTCTTGTTTTAACATATTGTCTATCATTTCCAGTGAACCTGCATTTTGGTTCTCTTTGTGTGTAATATTTTGCATGTTTAGTTTTTCACGCAATGCCTCCTCCTCCTTCATTTTCACCACTAACCTTTGATACTTATTTATTGGAACATTTTGTGTTCTCTGCCTGGCATGAACACAAAACATGAGCCTGCGGGAGAGCAGCCTGAAAAATGGAGCCTCCTTTTCTTCTCTGTCTCTGCTCGATCTTTCCCAGTGTGGCAGGTAGACCGCTGTGGGCAACAGGCCAGGCTGCAGGCACAATCTGTTCAGGGGGTGGAAACAGAAGCAGGGTTCAGAGACACACTCTGTACTTTTATGCATTTTACAACATCTGTGCAGGGAAAATGTCCCGCTGGCTGCATCATTCCAGAGTCTGGGTGTCTGGGGCAAAGGGAGACAATGCTGCCACGAGGGCATGTGCATCCATGTGTGTCAGGCTGGTAGCAGCTGCAATAATGCTTCCCCATCTGCAATAAAAGTCCTCCTTAAGTTGACTAATGAGTCATAAGAGACGTGCTTCTTCTTGCTGTTTTTTATCTGCCTCTTCCTTCAGAAAAAAAAAAAAAAATGGATTTCACACCTGCAAGACCATCTTTCCCAAATGCAATGTGTTTTCAAACCTGCACACCCACATTAAAATTCAAGGCTGTGATATGGGTATTGAGACCTGGCTCTGTCACTCAGAGGTTGAAAGAATGTGGGTATTCACTTATCTTCTCTTCGCTGCAGTTTCTCCAATGGCAAATGGAGAAAAGAACACCAGCATCGCCCGCTGGTGATGGAAATTCAACTAGATAATACATTCAAAAACCTTTGCCTCAACTGTAAAGGACTGGAACATAAGAGGTAATTATTGCTCCTGCTAAACAACACATTGTTCATACCTTTCCCCTTAGTAAATATCCCTGCTTTTTATTGGAGAGAAAAATCTCTGGAAGACTAATTTGCAATTTTCAGATGGGAAACCAAAACCCAAAGAAGAGAGATGTTTTGCTCATAATTCTGAACTTCGTTACTCTTACCTGCTCTGGATTCGACATTTGTTTGGATTCTAAAGCCTTATGTGATTAATTAATAATATTATCATCAAGACACGTCTATAATTCTTGCCATTTCTGTTTTCCTATGCCATTGTTTAGAATTTCCCACGAGACGCACTTCTTTCTAGACAAAACATCTTTTACGTGCAGAGCAAAATATCAATATTTTCCAGGTTTCAGATCGTTCAAATCCCAGCATTAGAAACTGAATTCTGTCATGTCAGGATTTGAAGTGACTTTACAGGTAACTAGGTCTTTATATCTGAACTTTGTTTCTTTGTTTGCTGGGTACCTAGAATGCTGGAATTCCTGGTCCATACTTCCCGAGACCCAAACCACAGGGTGTCCAAAGGACAGCTGTTGTGGGGGTGAACTGGGGTCCTCTCTTTCATGCAAATCCTCATGGCATGGGACAGCTGGATGGAAACAGAAGAGTGGCTCTCAAGGGCCAATTACCCCCCATGCCACCACCTTCCAGGACACAAAGCCAAGAGTCTGAGAATTCTAAATCCAAACTTGACCTTTCAGATTGTTACAACATTATATTTGTCAAAGTAAGAAGATAGATTTAATTTAGGTTTATTTGCCTAATTTGTAATGCTTAAATATTTGGACATACAATATGGGGGCCCCTATTTGTACTCTTGTCCTTGGCCCTGTAAATATCAGGGGCAGGCATGCCAAAAGCTGCACTTGAAAACTGTTGGCTTGAAATGAATAGCAATGCTTTCCAAACCATAATTCACGGAAAACTAGTCTGAGAAATGTTCATAGGTGCTCCATGAAAAAAAAGTCCGACTTGAGTTAAGTGAATGGATATGGACCACACTGCTGCCTCTTATATAGTTAGGTCACTCTTGTTGGCAATAATTACCACTGTTATTAGTATTGTAGCTGTAGTAGTAGCAGTAGTAGTAGTCATGTCAGCATTATTTTCAAGCCTTCATTGAATGTATTATTGTTTTAAATTATTGTGTATGTTTACTATCTGTCCCTCCACTAAGATATAAGTTCTAGTAGAGGGTGGGCCTTCTCCATCTTAATCACTTGCTGCAGTGCCTAGAACAGCAAATAATAAGCAATCAATAATCGCTAGTGGAAAAGATTCATTAGATAAAAGGTTTTAGTATATACAGTAACAGGTTTCAAAGATTTATGAACACCACATTGTTTTTACCTATGACTGGGCAATGGGGTCATTTCCCATACTGGTGTCTTTCAAGCTATCTACAGAGTGTTAATAGGTATTCTCATAAAAATGGATTGGGAAGTTCCGCATTATCTCATTTAACCCTCGGTGGGAATCTGTTATTCTCGTTTAACAGAGCTATAAACAGAGATTAAGAGAGGTTAATTAATACTCAAAGTCACACAGCCAGTAAGAGATGGGATGGATTTTAAATTCAAAGAGTTCAACTCCTGAGCCTGAAATTTTAACCTCTAGATTCCTCATGTACAATATGAATTTGATAGTGTCCCATTCATTAATTGAACAGGTCAGTATTTTATGATGTTTCCCAGAGAACAGTAAGACTTCATGACTTCCAGTGTGAGAACGTTTGAGAACACCTAGCTTAGTAACTTCCTGGAAAGCCTAATGTTAATTGACAATTTCCCCCTATCTCCATCACCAAACTCACTTCCAGCTTTCCCTAAGCCAATATTTTAGTTGGATATTTTGGAATAATCATTACCCTCTGACATCTTTTATGAAACATCTATGTCAAGGCTAATCTCTCTGTGCCTAACAGTGGGGCTGGCACGTAGAAAGAAATCACATTGAATGAAGGGGAAAAAATTGATGAATGAATGAATGAATGAATGAATGAATGAATAAAGAGAAGTGCCAAAGCTGAGTTTGAACCATAGCTCTACAACTTATTGCTAGTATAGCATGATCTTAGATAAACTTCTTAACCACTTTGGGCTTACATTTTCCACCTTACCAATGCAGATAATATCTACTCTATCTTCTTGGCAGAACTTTTGTATAGAACAAATGAAATGATAGTAGCACACATTAACGTAGCATTTACTATGTAACAGGTATGCTCCAAGCACTTTACATATTTTATGTAATCTGCACAAAAATCTTAATAGTAAGGATTTATCATCCCCAGGAAAATGAGATGCCAACAGGTTAAGTGATTTGCCCAAGTTTACTCAGCTTATAATTGAGAAAAGCTGGATTTGAACCCAATAGTTTGGCTAGAAGATCTCTGCTCTTTTTGTCTTCCCACATGTGTGGTAACATTTTATTAACTATAAGGCACTTCTCAAATAAAAGAACTTATTATTACCCTTTCTTTAAGAACAGACATGTTTCCCCTGCTTTGGACATTTAATACTTACTTTGATTCCTCTGCAAATCTCTGGATTCTGTTCTCTACAGTCACTAACCAGAATTTTGGTTATGAGAAAAGTAACAGACTTTTCCTCCTTTACTAAGCTCTCTGTTGATGCTGTTAGCTGGGTTAGGCTGTGTTTTCATTTTTCCCTCTGTCCACCCCAGCCTTGGTTGCATAGATCTAGGTTTTCATGAACAAAGGAATTCAGAGGCTGCCTGATTGCTTATTACCGGCTCTGCATCCTGAATTCAGCGATCCCTACAACTACCACTGTAGCCCCAGGAGCAGTGTGTTTAGAGCCTCATTGATTGAAACCAGCCAGATGTTTGCAAATTGAGATGCTTGCCCGCGCTGCCGCAAAGGAGCCCCCACAATGTGAATTCCTGATGGCAACAGGGAGGGGAAGGAGGGAGGATAGGGCCCCATAAAATGAACAAACAATAAAGAGATGATTATAGGTGTCTCACTTCAGCGCCCGGGTTGGTAACTGAGCATACCTGAATCGAGATTTAAGCATTAGTAATGAATTGAATTCCCCCATTTGACAAAGGTGGTATCAGCTTTCAGTATAACAGAGACAGTATTACTTTCAAAGGAAAATTTGGGAACTGGAGCAACAGAGGTGCTTGGCCATGAGAATGGGGCCATTTGTGAGAATGACGGCTTTTTGTTTTGTTTTGTTTTTATTGAGACGGAGTCTCACTCTGTCGCCAGGCTGGAGTGCAGTGGCGCGATCTCGGCTCACTGCAACCTCCGCCTCCCAGGCTCAAGATATTCTCCTGCCTCAGCCTCCCGAGTAGCTGGGACTACAGATGCATGCCACCACGCCCAGCTAATGTTTGTATTTTCAGTAGAGACAGGGTTTCACCATGTTGGCCAGGATGGTCACGATCTCGACCTCATGACCCGCCCTCCTCGGCTTCCCAAAGTGCTGGAATAAGGAAGCAGTACACTGCAGTGGAGAGTGCTGGAGTCACGATACAGATGCTAGTTCAGCCGCTGGCCAAGTGTCGACCCTGAGAAGTTCCTATTCTAGGTCTCAGTTTTCTCCTAGGCAACATAGGAATTATGTATCTATCTTAAATGGTTGTTGTGAGTATAGTAGAACTCTCTTTCTTTCCTTATTTCTACGGGTATATTCTAAAGCCAATATGAAGGATATGAAGGGGTGATGGTTCAGAGAAAAATATACATGAGGGAAGTTATTCAAGCTAGCAGTTACTAAAAATCAGTGATTTTACAAATACCTGTTTGTCTGAATGTGCTACCCTGACATTATTTCTGTATGTATTTTTTCATAGTTTCTGTACATTCTTTCCTAACATCCAGGTTCCCCAATTTTATTGCTTCCTTAACATTTCCAAACTAAAACACTCACGTTGACCCAGATTCAAACCCCAAATGCATTATTTATGAATTTTGTAACTGTAGGCAGTTTTCTTAACCATTCTAAGGCTCAATGATCTCATCTATAAAATAAAAATAATATTAAAATAATATTAATATTTATCTCATAAAGTTGATTAAGTGGGACCAAATATGTAAAGTATTAATTTCTGTGGCATATTGTAAATGCTTAAAAGATTATTGCTATTATAAATATCATGATTACTACCATTTCAAATATCTATACCTATTATATCATTTGAAATATCTACATGGTGAGATGCAGGTTTGTTGTTAATATTATATTTGGTGTCATGAGCAACATTTAATTAAGGATATATGTACTTCCATAGCACCTACAATCAGCAGATCCTCTTATCATTGAGTTCTGGGGCAACAAACCCATGAAGCAGCAGAGCATGTTACTGTTGGGCAGACTGAGTCTCAGAGTGCTTTAGTGGCCCATAGAACATGGAACATCAGGGGCAGCTCGAGAAGTTGAAATGCCAGGAGGCATTTCCAAGTTGTAGGCGCGACTTGAAAGATTTGACAACCAAAGCCATGGATCTGATTCTGCCACACTTTTTTCTGTCTTTTCTTCCTCCATGACTTGCACACATATCCTGAGCCCCAGCATTTGAAATACTTAGAGATCCCTCAACACACTATGCTACTCCATCCCTCCAAACCTTTGCATGGCTTTACCCTGCCTGGGATGCCTTTTCAAAAGCATTTGGCCCCAAGCTCATCTAGCCAGCTTTGCACCTGTGACTCCACTGGGTGGTTAGACATCCCTCTTCATCTATAGCTTTCATGTTACATGAATAATGATAATAATAAAGGATCACATTTCTTAACGTTTTCCTATAAGCCACATGCATTATATTACTTAAGCTCTAACAAGGCAGGTATCATTACCATTCTCATTCTGTTTATGGGGAAATAGAGGCTTATAGAGTTGGAAAATCTACTCAAGATCAAAGGTTGTTCTTAGCTCATTTATTTGTATAAACTGACCTCCAGAAGACGAAGGACCCTATGAGAGTCCTCTCTGAGGCTTTTGATGGTGACCACAATGGAGGGCTTTCATTCAATAAAGGCTATATGCAAAGACTTAGGCTCCTGATGATGTCTTTCCATCTGCCTGTGTCTAGACTCTGCCTGAGTTTCCCCCTCCCCATGCTGCCATGTACCCAGTATTCCCTACTCTCCATGTACAACAAGCAAAGCCTTTTCTAAAGAGAAGCTATATCTGCCCTTCACCAATGCAACCAGCTAAAAAGAGAAAACTTCCTCAACACAATCCACGCAATGTTCCCTGAGGGACAGCTGGTATTTAGTCATGGGTTTGAGAAATAAATCTGGGTTATAGTACCAGCTATGACCTTGACCACCATACTATGAGTGCTTATACTTAACATATACCACCTCTGATCCTCATACTAATAGTCTCAGATAGGTTTTATTCCTTAGGATCAGAGAGGTTAATGACTTGCTAAAGATCAGCTGGTAGGAAGGCATAGCTAAAATTCAAACCCAAGTCTGTGTGACTCTAAAGACCTCTCTCTTGACCACCATTGCCTCTGGGAAAACACTACAGCTCCAAGCACCAATAAACTCTATTAAAGAGTTTTGCAAAAGAGTGAGTTCTAGGAAATCATCCATAATCTTTAGTGGCTATTAGATCAATTTGGCAGAAACAGTAGAGGTCAAAACATTTATCAGCTTCAATTAGCACATGTTAAAATTGAAGTTCAGAAAGTAGACATGATTTACCCAAGGTCAAACAGTTTATTAGCTACAGATATATCAGAAGACCCAAATGCACTGAGCCTCTTTAAACTTGTTTACTTTTATGTCTTCCACTATTAAATAAATATTGTACAATTGCTGGACAGGCCAGCCAAAGGTGATAAATGGAATGGCAGAACTACTTTGTGGAGGAAGGCTGCATGGTTTACACAGATTTAGCCAATGATATAAATTTGTTAAATTTCTTTGGTAGTTCCTAGTGTTATGTTAAATGCTTTGGGAAATAAATAAATGCAAATCATAGCTCTTACCATCAAAAACCTTATGTTTTGTTGGGAAAAAAAGGATTCAAATCTGAAATATCAAGAATAGCACAATTCAAAATAGGACACAATTAGGTGCTATGGTAGTTGGAATCACTGTCTTGGATATGGCTATACAAAGTCTTATATAGATGCAGATGGAATTCAGAAGAGACAAAAATCAGAATATAGTAACCAGTGAAGGCCTTGTGGAGAAGGAGGGATAGAGATGAGCTCTGAAGTGTAAGGATCATTTCTTTTGACTAAAGAGGAAAAGATGTTCTAGGTAAGAGAGAGGGGGTGAAGTGGGGAGAGAATGAAGGAGAGGGAGAGGAAGACCATGCACTGGAAGAATGGGGAATCATTTTAGTGAAGACTTTGCTAATTGCAAAGAAGGGAAACCTATTCATGTCACCTCAGGAAAAGGAGGTTCATTGTAGGGATGCATATAAATATAATGAATAAAACAACACTGTCATAATAATGGCTATAAAATTATCAAGCAATTATTATGTGCCAGGGATTATGCTAAAACTCTGTCTACAATCCCTCAGGACATGATATTGTCTACTATAGCTTCATTATACTTGTAGGAAAACTGAGGCCCAGAAAGGCTAAATAACTTACCCAAGGTCACACAGGTGGAATCTAATTTCAGGCGGAATAATTTTAGAACCTGTACTCCTAAACTTGTGCTCCTCTTTGTTCTCCATATAGCTCCTCTATATCCTCCATATACAACAAGCAAAGCCTTTTCTAAAGAGAAGCTATATTAAATGGGCTAGAATTAGGCCCTGAAGCCTCTCTGTCTCTCTCTGTCTCTCTCTCTCTCTCTCTCTCTCTCTCTGTGTGTGTGTGTGTGTATGTGTGTGTATGTATGTATATGTGAGTCTCAAATATCTCAGAAAATCCCAATTATAACATCTCTATTGACTTCTGCCTGTCTGTTAGACCCTCGCAACCAGCCAGCCCTGTCATAACTTCAGCTTATCTGGGGACCACACTCTCTGTCCCAGTCCTGACTCGACCTAGGGGCCTCTGGGTTCAGCTTCCAAGTGGGTCAACCCTGACTATTATTTTACTAATCATGGACTCCCTATTGAGGATTCTCATTGCCTTGGTCCCTCGGTTAGTCTCAGGTCATGCCAGTCACAGCCTCCTAATCTATGGACCGCTTTTCAATCAGATGCTTAGCCTTGGTGTCCAGTCAGCTGTGGCTTGGTGCGAACGAGAGAATTCACATGTTCAACTGCTCATCCAGCTGGTGCTGTAGACACAACAGTGTCCTGTGAAGGATAAGATTAACAGAGCAGGCAATGACCTCGGGAAAAGCATTTTTTTCAATAACCCAATAGAGTTATTTCCTTTCTTTCTAAACAAAGGACTTTAGAGATAGAAGGGACTTCAGATTCATTCCCATTTTACACATGACCATATTAAAGCTGAGGGAGCCACACTGCAGCCTCAGGATCACCTCAGAAATGAATGGGAAAGCTGAGACCAGAATTCTAGTTTCTTGCTCCTACAATCCAGCTCTCTTTTCCTTATGGCACATTGGGATCTATAATGAACATTAAACTGCAAACACCTTGAAAAGCACTTCAGTCTCAAGACACTACTTACTTTTGTAGCCTCATGTGCCTTTGAAAGAACTGAGGGTCAAAAGAACTGTTTGCTTCTAATTGTCCCAATAAATTTTAAAAGTGTTATTACATTGTAGTGATTAAGAACTGGTAAGAGTAGACACAATATGATAAGATCAAGGCCATGAAGCTTAATAGTCCTTAGCTGATTGTCAGTCTTTTTTTTTTTTTTAAGAATAAATAATTCTACCCAGGACTCTAAAGCACCCAGATCCAGCACTTTATATTTCCTGTCATAAAATTCCTGAACTGGAGCAGCTGCCTGCTGGAGTGAGGGTTGCTCCAGTAAATACTGGGGTTCCGATCCCCACAGCATAGCCAGCCTGGCCTGTGAGCTGAGCCCCAAAGAAAGGCAGAACAGATTTCTATGCAAAGAGATGTGACTTTTCACACGCTGAAATACAGTCTCTTCTTATTGTTGTCTAACACCTTCCTCCTTTCTCTTTCTCTCTCCCTGCTTTTTTATTTCCTTCCTTCCTTCCTTTGGCACAGAGTTAAGAGAAAAATGTTGGATAGCAAAACTATCTCCTATAGTTAACAATGGAATTTTGTGAACCTAGGACTGATGAGTGAAGCATAATTATAAGTGTCATATTTTCATATCCGCTATATACGAGAACTAGATTTGTAACTTTACTGAACTCACCCCCTCGATTCTACTTTGCAAGGTGGTCGTTACTATTCCTATGTTATAGAGGAGAAAACAGTCAGCAAAGTTCTTTTTTTTTTTTTTTTTTGAGATGTGTTTCACTCTGTTGCCCAGGCTGGAGTGCATAGGCACAATCTCAGCTCACTGCAACCTTCACCTCCTGGGTTTAAGCAATTCTCCTACCTCAGCCTTCTGAGTAGCTGGGATTACAGGCCTGTGCCACCATACCTGGCTAATTTTTGTATTTTAAGTAGAGACAGGGCTTCACCATGTTGGCCAGGCTAGACTCGAACTCCTGACCTCAGGTGATCCTCCCTCCTTGGCCCCCCAAAGTGCTGGGATTGCAGGCATGAGCCACTTAGCAAAGTTCTTTAATTATTCCCATAGTATCACACAGTTTTGGAATGGTAGGATCAATTTAATAGTAAGAAGGTAGAATCCATTTAATGGTCCATTGATTGACTTGATTCGATTGATTGATTAAAATCTCCATAAAAGCAAATTTTAGTGTTGGCAAGAAACCACTTAAGTTAAAGAAGTTTCCATGAAGGACAGATCCATGATTGACCCAGATTTCCTCAAGGGCTACATTTAATATGAAATAGCAAATTTCCCTTCATTAATGTTAAACTGAATAAAATGTGTAGTAGGTTCTACCAAAATCTTATTATCTTTTTGTAACACATCACAAGTCAACATCTGCCATTCTTCCAAATTCCGTGCATTTTGCTGAGAATTGTATTGCTGTGTCTCTCAGCACCGTGACAATCCAAGTAGCAGTAAAGGTGGGAAGAAGGGTTTCTGATGTTATTTTGTCCATGGTCTAGTTCTCCTTTTACATTCATTCCAAGGATAATCACAAAAGAATATTGTGTTTGATGAATCAGGCTACCTAAATGTCACATGTCAGTGGAACTGTTTCTCATCAAGAAAATATGGAAAATACCGATTTCATTATGTAACAGTTTAAAGCAATGAGTAGTGACAAAATCCAAAACAAAGGAACTGCCTATTATGCAAACGCCTGGCCACTCAAAGCCATTCGAAACCATTATTGCTTAGACGAGATCAAGTAAAATCAAAGTGCAAGTAGTCTGAGTTCTCTGGACTCACATGATACTAGATTATATGTGTTTGTGGATATGTTTCTGTAGCCACAAGCCCTCACAAGCTTAAGGTATGGAATCCTCCTCAGGGGAAGTACAGACAAGACAAAGCTGAATACTCCGAGGGAAAGAAGAGTTAGGGGAAGACTGAAGTCTGATACAGGGAAGTAACAATATGCCACATCTGGAGTATAAACCCAAGGTGCCAATTTGCTGGAGTGCAAGCAAGGGAGAACAGAAGCTGATCTGTGTGGTCCTGCACAGATTCTGGGGCAGCAGAGCTTCATCTAAAGACCTAGAGTATGGGCAGTGCCACTGGTGTCTCAGTTCCTCTATCAGAGTATTTATCAATCTGCATTATTTTCTAATTAGCTATGTGTTTCCCCTCTAAAGGCTGCATTTCTATAAGATGGGAATTATTTCTTATTCAACCCTGTGTAGTCAGCACCCATAGAGCCCAGGAACTGTATAGCTGCTCAAAAGTGCTGGCAAAAGTGGAAGCTAAACATTGAGCACACATGGACATAAAGAGGGAAATGATAGACACTGTGGACTACTAGAGGGTGGGAGCGGGTTAATAACCTACCTGTCATGTGCTATACTCACTACTCAGGTGATGGGAGCCATACTCCAAACCTCAGCATCACACAGTAGTTCCATGTAACAAATCTGGACTTTTTGTTTTCAACAAATAAAAGTTGAAAACATAAAGTATATTGGCACTTGGGATTTCTTCCGCATGTACCATACTCGAAAATACTTGAGATCCAGAAAGAGACACTCTCTGCATCTCTCGGGTAGTTAATCTTAATGATAATATTTAATGCAATGTCTATCCCTGGGAGGATGATATCTTTGAGCAACTTTTTCCCCTGAGCATAATAACTTTTTCATTCCAACAATTTGTCTCTCCTCAAATATAAGGTACTACGCCTTATACGAGGTATTGTCTTGGAGAAATAGAGCCAATATTGACAGATTGTACTGTGTTCCCAAATTAGCAATCTAGCACCCCCACAAGAGCTGTGGAAGGCCCCCTTCAGATGGAAAAGCTGGGGGGAAGCAAAACGTGGCTGAAATAAAAGTGTCTACAAAACTTGCTGCAGTTGCACCAAGGAAATATATTTCATACTCTTTTCTCGATTAGCATTCTAATGGTTTCTGACTCAGGTCTAACAGCTTGGAGTGAATATTACAGGCAATTGTGTAAATAATACAGGTTTTTTTTCAGTGTGTCCAAATGTATAATTAAATGGATAATGTTACAGCTCCCCAAACCCACTAAGTCCTGCTGCCTAAATGGAGAGCTTTTGAAATTTCATCCCAGTACATGGTTATATGATACATTGCTTTTATGGCCCGCTGGGCAAATGACTAGTGGTTTGGAAAGGAGCTGAATGCATATTTATAATGGTGAGCGCAGTGATGTTCAAAGGGCCAGTAAAATCGCTCCAGTAAATAACATGAATTATACAAAAGCATCTCTTTATGTATCTGAACTTTTCTGATGCAGGATGTGTGTCAACACGAACACACTTCATCTCCTAAATGTTTGCAGGTAACTCTTGTTTTGAATTCTATGCAATCAGATGTCAGGGTTAACCAAACTCGAAGGAGAAATTCTATTTCTGAAATCCTTCTACTTTGTTCAATGTCTTCTCGATTTCTCAGGGAGTACAGTTTCCATTATCAATAAAATGGGCCCAGTTTTGAACCCAAGCTTTTATGTCTGTGTTCAGCCTTTTGCTCACATATTTAACAGAAACTTCCAAAAATGAGGACAAACCAGCAAGACTTGCATTTGCGACTTTAAGAGCCATGAGTGGGGATGGGACTGGATGGGCATCCCCTGTGCATGTGAACCGTGGTGTACTTAGAATCCTAAGCCTCGCTGCTTGCCCTTCACCAGACAGCTGTGCAACCTCAATAGAGCCTCCTCACACCTCTGAACCTCAGTTTCCTCATCTATAAGCAGTAAATAATCATATCTTCCCTCCCTCCCACCCATTTTGTTTATAATGGTTGAATGAGATAATACACATGAAAGCACGTGGCTCATACTATAAGCCCACAGTTAGCAATTTATAAAATAAGTATGTTTTACTCATGACTTCACTTATTCAACAAATATTTGGGATAGGATAATAGGCCAAGGGCTGTGCTAGGAATGGTGGATAAAACAATAACAAAGAGGCAGGTCCCTGCCCTACAGAAAAGTACAGTTTAGTGGAAAATAAAAATAACTAAACAGTTCAAATGTAATAGAAGATGTGTTACAATGGGGAAAGGAAGAAAGGATGCCATGGGTTGAGATGAAACATTTATTTCCGTTTTGGGAATAGGGGTTAAGGTTGGTGAGAAAAGTTTTGGGGAAAATAGGACACATCAATAGGAATTGGGTCTTTGACATTAAAAGGGAAATGAACCAAGAGAGGAAGGTTTTCAAGCTGAGACATGAGCACATGGAAAGGTTTGGGCAAAGGAGAGCTGCAGTCTGGTTGCCAGAGGAGGAGTTGATAAGATGAGGTTGGGTGGGGGAAAAACCAGCCTGTGAAAAGACCTGTGAGTCTTTCATATGATTTGGCTGTGTCCCCACCCAAATCTCATCTTTAATTGTAGCTCCCGTAATTCCCATGTGTTACGGGAGAGATGTATTGGGAGATAATTGAATCATGGGGGCAGTTTTCCCCATACTGTTCTCATGGTAGTAAATATGTCCTAAGAGATCTGATGGTTTTATAAGGGGAAACACCATTCACTTGATTCTCATTCTCTCTCTTGCCTGCTGCCATGTAAGACATGCGTTTTACCTTCCACCATGATTGTGAGGCCTCTCCAGCCACGTGAAACTGTGAGTCCATTAAACCTCTTTTTCTTTACAAATTACCCAGTCTCGGGTATGTCTTTATCAGCAGTGTGAAAACAGACTAATACAGTCTTGTTGAAGGGGATGCCCCCAGCAGTTCTCCTTGGCCCCAGAAGCATAGGCATGGCCTCCAAAACTGCTGGCCACTATCCTTAGACCTTTCTTCAAGGGAGCTGTGAGATCCCTTATATTCTTCCTTCTCCTAAGCTTGGAAGTCAGCAGCTGCCTCTCTTCAACCCAGGCAATATGACCCTTCCTAGGTAATGTGCTCCTTCATAGGCTTTTTGGAGGTTAGAGAAGGTTCCATTTCAAATACACTTGAAGTGTAATGTAAGAAGTACCTCCACCTGGGAAAAGGAGCGCTACAAACCTGGTGCATTTCCTAGCTTAATCCCTAGGTCTTTTTCAAACTGGGAGCACTTCCCATCACTGGGCTTGGAAATCACTGCAGTGGGCTTTGATCACCATTACTTTAGATAAGATTAGAATAGAAAATTAGAATAGGATAGGATAGGATAGGATAGCATAGCATAGCATAGCATAGCATAGCATAGCATAGCATAGCATAGCATAGCATAGCATAGCATAGCATAGAATAGAATAGAATAGAATAAAAAATCAACTGCCTGGCTTTAGAAGAGGATACTATACCATGAAGTACTTTATTTCGATTATATATATTTGTATGTATGTGTACACTAGATTGCAAGGTAAAATAAATTTCTTGCTGTGAGTTTCTGTCAAAAACTCACACCACAAAAAAAAGACACCACTTAAGCTGAAGCAGGATGTGAGGTTTGGCCAACTAGTTTCTGTGGAATATGCTGTTAATAGATGTTTCACAAAATAAAATTAACACTAGCAAGTTTTTCTTCTAATATATAATTATATTTTAAGAGCACAAGAACCTAAATACACATATATAATTATGTGACATTGTACTATAAGAAATAATGTGCTTTCCAAAGAATAAGTTGCCTGAGATCCCCTGCTGTGTGACAGAAGGAACTGCTGAAAGCACTGTGTACATGATCATCACAGGTCCCATAATGCATCCTTTCAACACGTCTCAACATATTTTAGTGTTTATTACTCATCGAAAATATATATCCTCAAGAATGACTGTTGATTCTATTAATACTTCATAGTTTTTAAAATATTCTGTGGTCAAATAAGTTTGGGCATTCTATCACACAGCAGGAGATCTAGTTGTTTTAGATTTAGGAAGGACATGAGTGAATATTGAATCACCTCATTTGGAAGTGAGATTACAGAAACCCTGGCCTGTGACACACCTTGCCTAAATAATCATAAAAGCAGGTATCATGTGTTGAGAACTTACCATATGCCTGTTCCTTAGCTAAGCAGTAATACACATTACTTTATTTAATTCTTAAATGGTGGAACAGGCACTCAAGTCCAGGTCTAGCAAATTCCAAGCTGAAGAATAGGGGGACTCTCATACCTCATTCTCCCAATGCCATAAAGAAGGGCACTTCTTTTCTTCTTCACCCCAGTCTCTCCCTCTGCCTCATACTCATTACTCTTTTCTACTTTATTCTACCAAAGACTATGGGCATGAGCCATGCCGGAGCCCCTCCATGCCTGTGGGTAACACACAGACTCTAGGTTGCACATCCAAATAGTCTCAAGTCAGATCCTGAAGTTTATATTTAGAGGAAAAACTAGGAAACCTAGTTTTGGGCTTGGTTTTCAGCCACAAGCTTTATTGAAGACCCTTGAACATTCAGAGTGATGGTGTCATTTTCATCAAGTGGATTGTTTTATTCCCTTTTGGTTTCTTGGGACTATGCTCTATCATTGAGAAGCCAGAAATAGAGGCACAGGTAAGGGCAAAAAACAGTTTTGACCATCATTCTGTGATTTCACAACCAGTCAGTTTCGAAAATACCACAAGTACACTTTGTTCCCTAATCTTAGTGAATTAGAGAAAATAATAATACTTTGAGCCAATGTCTTCAGGGATTTTAAATATCCCGGAGGTATTTATACCAGTCCTTTAAAAAGCAGACACACTAAATATATCTTAAATCATATTGCTTTTCTTGATGTATCATTATTTAAGATAAGTTGATTTATCATTATTTAAGAAATGTTGATTAAGATAAATCAACAAAAGGTGGAAACTGAGTGGAACCTGACAGAGCATATAACACAATCTGCTTATGTTAGAGTTGAAGAAATGGACACTGTAAGTGAGGTGTGATGAAAAGTGTTCCCAGGGCTTTGACATTTCAGTTCTTGGGTCTCTTTGATTCCATCAGTGTAGTGTCTGGCTTTGCCGTAAACTAGCTTGCATATCTTTCAGTTCTTGCAAAGTCCCGATCTCACTTCACATAAATGGGATAGGTGGCTTGGTAAAGCTATATATGTGTGGGTGTGTGTGTGTGTGTGTGTGCGCGCGCGTGCGTGTATGTCTGTGTGTATGGCCCTGAAGGCCAAGAAGAATAGTAAAATGACCTAAATATATTCCTTAGAAAAAAATAATTAAGAAAATATTTCTAGACATATTTTTGCAGCCTTTGTTTGCTTTCAAGGGAGCCCCAGGCAAGAATAGAAATAGAGACAAAGGTGGCTGAAGCTAGGATGAAGGCAGAAAATGCTATTTGAATGAATAGGCCTGGATTCTACTTCAATCCCCACAAGAGGACTGAAGCCAAATTCTGCAAGAGTAAAATGTCTCCTTCTGTTTAGCTAGCTTCTCCAAGGAAGCCAGGGGTGTTACATACGGCCCTCCTATGCTCATAGTGCTGAGGAGCAGGAAAGAGGAAAGAGGAGAAAGGCAGCATGGGGGAGCATTAGTATCTCTCCTAGACATCTTGTAGCCCAAAGAACTGTGCTACTCTCCAGGAGAAAGGGAAATAGTTAGGAGACAACTCTCTAAAACATAATGGATCTGGAAAATCGACAATTCTGTTTTATAATGTCCTAAGTACTGCATTTTGCAACTAGATAGTACTTAAGATAAAACCCATGCACTGTTCTGTGAACTCTCTCAATATGGTGCCCAAGTGCCACGGACTGACTATATTGTCCCCTCAAAATTCATATGTTGAAGTCCCGACCCCCAATGTGACGGTATTAGGAGGTGAGACCTTTGGGATGTGATTAGGTCATGAGGGTAGAGCCCTCATGAATGGGATTAGTGCCCTTATAAAAGATACCCTGGAGAGCTCTGTTTCCCCTTCTGACTTGTGAGTATGCAGCAAAAAGACTGCCATTTAGGAACCAGAAAACACCAGACACCAAATCTGCTGGCACTTTGATCTTGGACTTCCCAGCCTCCACAACTTAAGAAATAAATTTCTGTTGATTATAAGCCACCCAGGGTATGTTACTTTTGCTATAGCAGCCCAGATGGACCAAAGAACCAAGTATCTGCTGCCTAACATTGTTTTTTCTAAGATTACTTTCAATAATCTACATAGAGATCTTCATGAGAACCTTTTTCTGAAACACCAGAAAGCCCTTTAAACTCTAGTCCAGCCTTCCTATTTTACTGAACAGCAAAATGAACCCCAGAAAAGGGATGTGACTGGGCACATCCAGGGACAGAGCTGGGTAGAGACAACAGAGTCTATTCTTTTTTTTTTTTTTTTTTTTTTTTTTTTTTTGAGATGGAGTCTCGCTCTCGCTCTGTTGCCCAGGCTGGAGTGCAGTGGTGCGAGCTCGGCTCACTGAAAGCTCCGCCTCCCGGCTTCAAGCCATTCTCCTGCCTCAGCCTCCCAAGTAGCTGGGATTGTTACAGGCGCCCGCCACCACGCCCGGCTAATTTTTTTGTATTTTTAGTAGAGGTGGGGTTTCACCCTGTTAGCCAGGATGGTCTCGATCTCCTGACTTCATAATTCGCCCGCCTTGGCCTCCCAAAGTGCTGGGATTACAGGCGTGAGCCACCGCACCCGGCCAACAGAGCCTATTCTGCTGTGGTCCCTGGAACTTGCTACACAGCTGCTTGGTCATACTCCATCTTCCTGACATGGAGTTAAGACTTTGTTCTAAGTTGTATTTTTTATTTCTAGTGATCCCTAGTGTTCTAATAGTCCAACACTCTGAAAAACAGGAAAACATTTTTCCTTGTGGTTGCCATGGTTTTTACAGTGGAATAAACAAATTCAGCAGAGAATGTTTAAACAGAGGAGGCCTCTGAATGATGGAAACAATTGGCCATCTATTAATATTTACATTAAGAAAAAGCATATATCAGGTGTGTACTTGATAGAGGGAAACCCGTTTTTGTTAGAACAAAAGCTTAAGTGATACTGATTGACTGGTCAGGAGGAGGAAAGTTTCCTTGACAACTGGCAATAATCACTGTGCCTTCAAATAAAAAACTAGTCTCTTTTCTTTCATCATCTCTTTCTACTTCTTTTTTTAAAGAAATTAATTTAAAGATGATTAGTCCTGACTCAAAAAGTTGGAGAAACCTTTGAAAAGTGAGTAAATATTATTACAAATTTGTGGGTGATTTTTCTTATCTTTCCATTTGGTAATTCTAGGTGATCTGGTTTAGTCAGCATGACTATGTGTCTTCTCTCCTCAGGCCTTCCTAAAGCCAAAGAAAACAAAAATGGCATTGAATGCTATGCTCCAGAATTAAGCAAATTCACTTTCTGCATCCACCCTTCAATAAAGGGCCCAAAACTACTCATGTATGCAATTGTAGCAGGTGTTTTTCAGGACAAAAATACCCTAATATTTCAAAAGTGTTCAAAAATGGGAACCAGTGCTAGGGCAAACTCCAGAGAGATCCCCAGTACTTTTCTGTGGCTGAAGAAGTCTGTTCACAGAAGGCTCCATCTGGCTGTGGTAGACAGGTGCAAGAAGACACACATGCATACACACACGAGCACGGCTTGCCTAAGTTCTGTATATCTCACCTGGCTTGGGTTCCTCTACCATTGTAATTTCCGTTAATGATCAGAGGCCCCCTTCAAATATACTCTGAGAATTCACATGAGGGAGGCCAACAAACCCATCAGGCTCAGCTCTTTAGTTTCAAGTGTTTTTTCCATTTCACACATGTTTGAGACTTCACTGAATTTGCCATCAAAGGACATTGGCAAGAAATTTGCTAAAAGAACCATCCTGTTACCATCGGAAGGTGCATTAAGACTTGGATTATTAAACTGGAAAACATCAAGTCAATTTCTTTGGTGTCTTTCTGCATTAGATATATTTCTTACTTAGTAGACTTAATTTTTCCAAAAGAATCATAAACTCTAGATGTAAGATGCGGGTTCTCACTAAAGAATTTCACAGAATAATTAGGAAAAGAATGAAATAGAAATTGGCGACAGGTTACAAATGAACACATTCAAAACCTTAAGCCACATAACAAAATGTGACTTTCAATGTGAAATAATAAGAGCATTTTACTTAAATGATAGAATGCATTGCACTTCAAACGGATAGTTATGTTGTTAAAGATGCTGTTTCCTTTCATTATTTTTAAACCTATGCTCCCAATTCCATCCTACCAAAAAAATTCTTACTATTATGACCCTTGGGAAAAATGAACCAATTCATACAGCCAAGTTTTACACTTCCTTTAAGAACTGTGACTTTCAGTTACAAACTGTCTTATCCTAAATAAACTTAAGTTAAAAAAAAAAAACCATACAATATGTTCCTTGTTGCTTCACATTAACCACAATCTACCTTGTTTAAATATTAACTAGTTTTGTCTTATGTATAAACTGCTTATTAAATGTTGACTTGCTGATGGAATGAAGGAAGACCTAATCTATTGCTTGTTGTGTCTGAGAAGCAGGTACTCTAGGTACAGTATCTATAATCTTGGCGTAAGACATCTAGTTACTATTCCCATTTTCTTATTTATTTATTTTATTTATTTTTATTTATTTATTTATTCATTTTGAGATGCAATCTTGCTGTGCCACCCACGAGTGTAGTGGTACGAACTCATCTCACTGCAACCTCCACCTTTGCCTCCTGGGTTCAAGCAATGCTCCTACCTCAGCCTCCTGAGTAGCTGGGACTACAGGCATACACCACCACACCTGGCTATTGTTTTGCATTTTTGTTAGAAACAGGGTTTCACCATGTTGGCCAGCTGGTCTCGAACTCCTGGCCTCAAGTGATCCACCCTCCTCAGCCTCCCAAAGTGCTGGGATTACAGGAGTGAGCCACCACACCTGGCCTCTCATTTTCTTTTGAGTGAGCAGTCTCAAAGAGTGAGGTTATACAAGATCACAAAGCTTGTGGGTGATGGAGCCAGAATCTGGCTACCAGGATTGGCTCTTTCCATCACAAGGAAAGGGAAAGAGGGTGAAAGGAAGCAGGTTCAGTGGCTCAGGTGGGCTGCTCACTGTCGGCCATTGCAGGATGCCCAGGCCCAAGTCTTCTATGACTTGAAGAACTAAACTTGGCAGTGACTCTGAAATTCTTGTCCTCAGGACATGAATTTTTTTTTTATTCTCATCTTTTTCTAAAAAGTGACAGAAAATCTGGCCTTCTAAGTACTTGTAACTTTGCTCAAAATAAAGGCAAAGCATCCTATTCCAAGCAAAACCTAAGCAGTAATTTCTGCACTAAAGCACTATAGGTCTTAATATAGCAGCAGGATACTATGCACAACACACAAACATCTTCATTTTGCTTGTGAAATTTATTCAAGCAAGGGAAAGCATGAACACCAGTCACCATTGAAAAATATTTTACCAGGGTGATATGAGAAGGGAATATCCAAAAACTATATAATGTTTATGACATCTGTAAATCATAATAGCTGAACAATATTTTTATGTAATGTTGATTTAAAATGACATCAAACAAAAATAAATTGTGTAATAATTACCATATATAATTATGCCTAAAAGACTTCATCCACTTAATCAACTCGACAGAAAATGGAAAAAAATGTAACCTGTTCTAAGTGTTCTCAAAAGAGACTGTAGCGATGGTTGCAAATGCTGTAAATATACTAATATAAGCATTGAATTGTACACTTTAAGTGAGTGAATGATATGGATGTAAGTTATATCTCAATAAAGCTATTACCAAAAAACACAAAACAAACAACAACAACAACAAAAAAAACATTTAAGCTAGTCCTTTACCTACTGTGAATTCAAAACATAGGTTAAGTCTTTGGAAAAAAGGGACACCAAAGCTGAGCATGGTCAGAGGAAAAAGGGAGTTTGTTTGGCTTTTTTCTCCCAAATGGAAGGGATAGGGAAGAACGTGAGAGGGAAGAAGAAGAAAAGTACAGAGGAGCACCCAGGGTGGACAGAATGTCTTTGTGGTAGTAAGGATCATTTTAGGACCTGCCCACTGCAAAATTTAAGGAAGCCCCATATCATCAGCCTCAACTAGCTCTTCCCCATCATTTAAGGGAAGATCATGAAGCTCCTCAATTCACTGGCAAGTTCCCTCCTCCCTCACTGCAGCCTTTATTGCTTGCAGGTGAATGTAAGAGCAACCATAGCATTCTTTCTTCTTTTATCCACCACCCCTAAGAGGTCCTCAAGATTAACTCTTCCCTCTTTACATTCTGTTATCCTGAGCTCCCACAAAAAGTCCACAATTTCAGTCTTCTCTCATCACCTGACTCTTATCCCAAAACAGTTGCAGGTTCCCTAATCTGATTTTGTCTCTCACCTAGCCACATTTTCTACACTCTACCACTATGCTCTAGGACTCATAGTTTGACATCAGCAAAATCCTCTTTAATTTCAACCTCTTTTTGCCCTAACTGAAGACAGTGCTTCCCTGTTAGCCTCTGAGAAGGTGGCTAATTGCCTACTCATGCCCCTCATAGCACTGAGCCGGAGGTGGTGTAGGAGTCTGCCTTGCCCATTATTGACATTTTCAGATCAATGATCCTCCTTCCTTTCTATAAAATCTCAGTTCCACTGAGACGTATGTCTCAGGTTAAACTTCCCATCACTCCTCCTTGTTATAATTGCATACTACCCCTCTAGTCTCTTTCTCTCATCTGTGGAAGGTTTTAGCTCCTGGACTTCTTTCTCTCCACCACTAATTCTTCTGTTATAATTATTTATTAATACCACCCCCACCATCCACTTAACACCATGGCTTCTCAGTTTTGTATTTCTTTTCTATCTTCTCTTCCAAGGATATTTTCTTTTGTGGCATCTCAGCTCTCTGCTTCCATGCTCTGGGTCTTGTCATTGCTAATAACTGCATTAACTCAAAAATAGTGCCCTCAAGCATTCTAATCTCTGATCATTCCTTCTTTTCTGATTGCTTTCTCTAGTCCTCATTCCCATTTGAACCATTCTTGCTTCTTCCTGAAATCTGCAATTATTTGTACAAATTTTAAATGATCAATCAACTCTTTCCTGTCCTTTCTTCCCTTCTCCTAAATTTAGTGTCAGTGGCTAGGGTGATCAACCATCCCAGTTTTCCTGGGGCTGAGGAGTTTCCCAGGATGCAAGACTTTCAGTGTCAAAAATTTAAAGCCTTGGGCAACCTGGGACAAGTTGGTCACCATGTTAGTGATGCATGTTATAATCCCACTGGATACTACTTCAACACCTGTATTAAAGTAACACTAGCTATTGTAACATACACACCCTAAACGCTCTAACCTGCAAATAGAAATGGTGTCAAAAAGTTACACAACTATTAACTGCCTTGGCCCAGAAACATGTCACTTTTTCTCACATCCCAAGGGCCCAAACTAGAGCCAAACACCTTAGGAGGTGGTGTTTAGCTTGTGCACAGAAAGAAGATATGAGCCTCTACCACAATTCTATTATTTACCACAAAATTCCCACCAACTCTCCACTGTGCTTGTCTGGCAAAACCCCCAACCTGTTACCCTGTTATCCCACCTGACTTCATCCCTGCAATTGGGCAGCTGACTGGAAGGAAACATAACCCCACTGACTTGGCTAACCTTAAATTCAGGGCAAGGCTCACTGGACCCCTAACCCCTAAATACTGCCTGGCAAATCTAATATAGCTCTCTGTTAATTCACTCTCTAACTTACCCTCAGACTATTTAACAAGTTCTCCTCTCTTATCAAACATCCAAGTTCCTGTTACTCTTTGATCTTGGCTCATAACTGCCACTTATTTATGTGAACAATTTTCTCAGACAGTCTTTTTATCACTTTTCTTAGTGACAAAAGGAGAATATTCCTAGCACCCTGCCACTGAATCAACTAAAATATTGGCACAGGTACCCTGATGCTCTGACTTCCTACTGTTGCAAGGGAGGAATGAGCCCTGTTCCTATCCTCTTCCCCCTCTTGCAGAGTAACAATTTTCTTGCGTAGCAGGCCCCGTACCTCTCACCTTCTTAGAATCTTTCTCCTGCAATTGTCTTCTCTCTCTTTCCTCCTCTACTGAATCATTCTCATCAGCACACAATCATTCTGTAATTAATCGTTCTGTCACAAAAACATTACCTTCAACCTGTACCCCTCTACCTGCTATTGCATATATCTCTGATCCACTTTATAGAAAAATGACTCCAAATTTTGTCTATACTTGTTGGCTATACTCTCTTACTTGCAATTAACTTTTTAAACTACTCCAAAAAAATTCTATTCTCACCAATCTAATAAAGTTATTCCCAACAAAGTCACCAACAATCCCTTCATACCAAATCAGATGGACAATTCTCAGTCTTCATTTTACTTATCAGTAGATTTGGTGTGACTTATTACTGTTCCTTCTTAAAACACATTCTCCAGTTGGCTTCCAGACTCTGCAGCATCCTTTGGTTATCTCATAACTCACTGCCATGTGATCATTGTTCCTGATGGTTAATGTGGAAATGCCTCCAGACTCAGTCCTCTGCTCTCTCTCATCCCTTTCTACACTACGTGCTTAGGTGAAGTAAGCGATCCCATAGCTTTAACTTACCAAAAATAAATAAAAACATGTTACGTTTGCATTGTATGTGTGTGTGTGTGTGTGTGTGTGTGTACATATATAGTTCCATCCTCTCCCTTAAGCTGAAGATTTTTTTAACCAACTGCCTATACATCTCAATTTAATGTCTAATAGATACTGCAAAACATGTCCTTTTATTCCCGCTTCTCACCCCAATCTGGTTTCCTTTAAGTAACTAGCATCACCATTCATGAGGTTATTAGGCCAAAACCCCAAAGTTATCCTCGATTTCTCTCTTTCTATTCTACCCAATACTTAGGTATAAGATGTCTATGACTTCAAAACACACCCTAAATTTCTAACCACTTTCCACTACCTCCATAACCATACTCAAGTTCAAGACACTCTAATTTATTTATTAGATTGCAGTCATAATTTTCTAGAATATCCTCTATGTTTCCATCTCCATGACCAAAGCCTGCTTTCTGCAGTAAAAAACTTTAGCAGAATTTGAATCCACCAGAACAATGGTGTTTCTCTTACTCCAGCCCCCTCTAGCCTTCCTGTGTCACCTAAGGTGGGAAAAAGGAAGCTAAGAAACACTTGAAAGGTCACAGCCCAGGGATACAGGACCACTAAAAGACATAATTCATCATAAGCTTATAGAATGTCTACTTCCCCACACCTTACCACCAGACCAACAGGGATCCAGTATAGTAGTAGCAAATTACAGCTGAAGGAGCTCCAAGACACAGATTCTATCTGATGAGGAGTTCTTGAGGGAGCACAATGATAACAGGTATACAAAACAAGGACACTAAAGGACTTTTAAGTCTCCAACACTTTCAGCTTCAATGCTAACCTACCCAAATTAACATAAAAACTAATGCTAAAGGCCTACTTTGCCCAATATGTCATGTCCAGCTTCCAACAAAAAAATACAAGGCATACTAAAAGCAAGAAAAGAAATAGCTAATGGCAACCGTGTTGCCTTTTATGTATCTAATTTGACCTGTTAACTTTCAAAATTCAAAAACAATGTAACACAGCGCTTGTCAGACCATCTGTTTAAGTCAGCTAGTGGTCTTCACAATTTTCTATTGTTCTCCCTGTCAGCAAGAAACAAATTAAAAAGCACACTTCTCAAGAGATGTATTTATTTATAAATTTCATGCATCTTCTACTCTTTTAACAGATTATATTTATCATATATCACACACAAATTAAAATGAATAAGATAAATAGTCATTATAAATTGAGCTTCTAACATTTGTCCCCAACTCCTGATGGGTCACAGGTAACTTAAACACATACAGCTTGTTTTGAAATCCACTGGTATGGTAGGCAGAATTCTGAGATTTCTGTCCCCTAGCATCTACACTTTGTATAATTTCCTTCCTTTGTGAAGGAGGGCAGAACCTATGATTTGCTCCTCACTAGTTAGAATATAGCAAAGGGGGTAGAATTTTGCAAATGTAATTAACATCCCTAACCAATCATCCTTGAGTTCATCAAAAAGGCTATCTTGGGTGGGTTTTCTAGGACAGCCAGTGAGTTCTTTGAAGGGGGATTCAAGCCTTCTCTGAAAGAACAGACTCAAAGCAGGAAAGAGGCTCTCCTGCTGGCTTTGAAAAAGGTGTATTGAGAACCACCTATTGAGAGGAGTTTAGGAGCTGAGGATCTCACTCACAACCACAAGGAGCTCAATTCTGTCAACAACCTGCATATGCTTAGAGGAGGATCCCAAGATCCAAATGAGAACAAAGCCTAGCCAACACCTTGATTACAGCCTCAGGCATAACTGCTCAAACTCATAAGGTTACACTGCCAATTAAGCCATGCCTGGACCCCTGACCCAAAGAAACTGCAGATAATAAATGGGTGTTGTTTTAAGCCTATCGATGGGTGGTAGTTTGTTACACAACATGGTAAACGAATACAACTGATGCTAGTTAATTGGTAGACTCTAGGGTTCACAATTTATAGTAAAGAGAGGCTTATTGGTTTGGGAGATGCCAGCCCTGCATCCTGTTGGATGTATATCAAATGAGATTCGACCTGTGGAATGTCCCCCTCCTTTCAGATTTTCCCTGAGTCTTACATCTCAGTTTTGAGGATCAAAAAGTAACATCATGTTTACTCATTTTACCTCTCAAAGCCATACAAGTTCACTAAAGTTCTTCTGACTTAAAGGATCTCAGTTACAGCTCCTGAAATAAGTGGTCATTAAGATTTTATGAACAGGTAGTGGAGTGAGGGTGGGCAAGGCACAGACAATGTCTTAGAGTTCCTCCACTGGTAGCAAGAATTCTGCCACAAGTGGGAATCCAAACATCCCCGTGCCAACTCCTAGTTCCCAATCCCAACCTCATGCCCTGCAAAACACACACACACACAACTCCAGCATCACCCCAACACACACACAGGTGCATGAACACACACTTGTGTACACCACTTTCCTCTCTTTCCCTCACAACACACACTCTGCTGCTTCCGAGTTTTAGATGAGAATCAAGTGAGAATAGACTTAAACAGAGATTCACATTCCAAAGCTGAGTATTCATCATTAAGTAATGATCAGGAAGTGTTTGGATGTAGAAGCACTTTTTTACTAACATTTGACTCTGGCATGCTCTGCATTCTGAGTTTTACCTGGACAGGCATACGATCAGATTATCTGCAGGAAGACAGCCCCTCATTGCATGGGAACATGATTGAATGAGATCTCAATCTAAGTGCCCCCAAAAGTCAGAGCTTGTGGGGTTGTATCTTATCTTGTCTCTTACTAACCACATGAATGAAAGAAAACCAACACATTACCCTAATGCTCTACAAAAGAGACACTAACACCTGCCCCATAATATTGCTGTGAAGATTAAATGAAGTAAGGTGAAAGCTCACTGTCATAGCACATGATGGAATCTAAAGTGGGCGCCTGCTTCTTTCATTTGCCAACGTGTTTCTACACCTATGGTACCTTAGGATTAAATTTTGTACTTCAAAATGTAATGTGCAATTTCTCATCAAAATAGTTACTTGCTTCAATTTGTCTCTTCACTAGTGTGTACAATCCCCCTAATGAGTGCCATGTTTAAGGCACCAAATCAACACTAATTAAATGCCTAGCACATTAAGGTAATATTTTGAAGTTTCTTCCTCTTTCTGTTTCAATGTTGACAGTAATTCTTGATTGTTCTAAAACAAACAGCTTTATAACTGGGCAAAAATGAGGGAAAGATTTCCAGGGATCTATTCTGTATTCCTTCATATTACATTGAATAGAAACTCCATAATGACACATTCATTTGTTTGGTGTTTTTTTAAGTAAATATAAGTAGTTGATCTTGATCCTGTACATCAAATATGTATGAAAAATAACTAATATTGTAGAGCACTTTATATTTTACAAAATGTTGTAAACTTCACAAAAATCTGTAAGAAAAAAGGACTGAATTTTGTTGCACACTTACTAGAAGTCAGTCATCATTCCATCATTCTGGGCATCTTTCATACATTTTCTCATTAACCCTTGTATCCACTCTCTGAAGGATGCTTACTGTTACAGGTTTCCAGTGAGCAAAATAACACGGGAAAAATTAAACATGTTGCTATGGATTATACAGATATTAAGTAGTTTGTCCAAAACTTGAATTTAAGACGTGATTTCAAACTCTTGGCTCTGTTTTCTGGAGGAAATAGTTCAATTTCCTGCTTTTCATCTTCTCTGAGGTAGGATCAGGGGAAGAGGCTTTGTAGGAACCACTCTTCATAACTTATTATATTTTCTTTCTTATTAATTTTTTTATTATTATTATTTTCTTATCTGATCAGTGAGGCAAGGTTTATAGCTTCACCTTTACTGGATCCTCTAAAACACCTAGACAGGGACTGAATATTGTAATTTTTAAGTGAAGTCTCTCAGAATTTTCTAAAGTAAAAAAGTTTATTGAGATATAAATTTAATTTATATCATCAGTTAAGGTTAGCCCATCTCAAAGGACAAAGGCTTTTTCTCTGGCTGATAGCAAATGGAAAATAGCAGTAGCAGATGTGTAGATGATTCCCCAGCTCTTAAGTCAAATGGTCTCTACTGCCTTGGTTTTGTGAAATTACCTATATTTATCACGTTTGCAAAGAAACAACAGAAGACACTTTAATTACACATGAAACCACCTCATTCAGAAAAGACAGCGTGACAGCCCTAAAGCAGTTTCCATGCTGTTCTCTAGAATATCCTCTCAACGTGTGTTTGCGTTTGCCATTCTGGCAAGAGAATAAGAACAATCCGCTGGTGCCTTTCTGGGGGAAAACGGAAGGGAGGCTCACACTTTGTGACAGTTGCCACTAAGCCATTATCCTCCACAAGCATTTAATAGGCACTTACACATTCCAATCCTGACCTGGTCTCTGAACTTATTGAGCTAAATGAAACATGGTCTCTGCCAACAAGGAGTTTCAAGTCCAGGAAGGCCGACAGAGACACCTGCAACTAACTATAAAGTGATATCATAATAAGTAGAATATGCAAAGCAGAGGAAATGGTAACATTTTCACATGAAAATTCATATTTGGGTCTTGAAGGATGAAAATAATTTCAAGCTAAGGGAGAGGGTATTCCAAATCTAGGAATACGTAGAGCAAAAGCTCAGAGTCCTGAAAATGTTTCTTATGCTCAATGAATGAGCCTAAATTAGGCCAATTAATAACCCTACAATGGCTGCTAAGTGTTCAAGTGAAAGGAAGTCACAAGTCTTTCACTTTAAATCAAAAGCTAGAAATGATTAAGCTTAGAAAGGAAGGCATGTCGAAAGCCAAGATAAGCTGAAAACCAGGCCTCTTCCACCAAGCAGTTAACAAGTTGTGAATGCAAATGACAAATATTTTAAGAAAATTTAAATTGCTACTCCAGTGAACATACAGATAATAAGAAAGTGAAAGAGCCTTACTACTGATATGAAGAAAGTTATACTGGTCTGGATAGAAGATCAAACTAGCCACAGCATTCCCTTAAGCCTAGTCTAGAGCAAGGCCCTAGCTCTTCAATTCTATAAAGGCTGAGAGAGGTGAGGAAGCTTCAGAAGAAAAGTATGAAGCTGGCAGAGGTTGGTTCATTAGGTTTTAAGGAAAGAAGACATCTCTGTAACACAAAAGTGCAAAGTGGAACAACAAGTGCTGATGTAGAAGCTGCAGCAAGTTATCCAGAAGGTCTAGCTAGGATCATTGATTAAGGTGGCTACACTAAACAACACATTTGCAACACAAACAACACAGTATTCTATTGGAAGAAGATGCCACCTAGGATACACATAGCCAAAGAGGAGAAGAGGAGAATGCCTGGATTCAAAACTTCAAAGAACAGACTGACTCTTGTTTGGGGCTAATGCAGCTGGTGATTTTAAATTGAAGCCAATGCTTGTTTACCATTTCATAAATTCTAGAGCCATTAAGAATTATCTTAATTTAGTCTGCCTTTGCTCTATAAACGGATCAACAAAGCTTGGATGGCAACACATGTATTTACAGTATGGTTTACTGAATACTTTAAGCCCACTGTTGAGATCTACCACTTACAAAGAAGATTCCTTTTAAAATATTACTGCTCATTGGTGGTGGACCCAGTGTGTGTTTACTGTGTGGTATGTGTGTACTGCTCATTGGCAATGTATTGGTGTGTGTTGTGTACATGTGTTTGTGTGTGTGTGTATATGGTGTGAGTAGTGTGTGTAGTATGTGAGGTGGTATGTGTGGTGTGTGTGATGTGAGTGGTATGTGGGGTGGTGTGAGTGTTGTCTTCCCCAGAGTGTTACCATGCCTGGATTTGCAACTTATGATTGATTATGGTTGCTATAAAAGATTTTAGGTTCTAATCAGATTAGGCCAGGTGTGGTGGCTCACGCCTGTAATCCCAGCACTTTGGGAGGCCTAGTCGGGCGCATCATCAGGTCAGGAGATTGAGACCATCCTGGCTAACATGGTGAAACCCCATCTCTACTAAAAATACAAAAACTTAGCCGGGTGTGGTGGCGGGCGCCTGTAGTCCCAGCTACTCAGGAGGCTGAGGCAGGAGAATGGCGTGAACCCAGGAGGTGGAGCTTGCAGTGAGCCCAGATCATGCCACTGCACTCCAGCCTGGGTGACAGAGTGAGACTACATCTCAGAAAAAAAAAAAAAAGGAAAGATTTCTATAATCAATTACTGCTGTTTACATGATGCCAAGGGAAATGGCACGTCATATGCCTTGAATTTCCATCTTTTTTCAAAAGAGAAGAATCTTTAAAAATGCCCTACCAGGCCGGGCGCGGTGGCTCACGCCTGTAATCCCAGCACTTTGGGAGGCCGAGGCGGGTGGATCATGAGGTCAGGAGATCGAGACCATCCTGGCTAACAAGGTGAAACCCCGTCTCTACTAAAAATACAAAAAATTAGCCGGGCGCGGTGGCGGGCGCCTGTAGTCCCAGCTACTCGGGAGGCTGAGGCAGGAGAATGGCGTGAACCCGGGAAGCGGAGCTTGCAGTGAGCCGAGATTGCGCCACTGCAGTCCGCAGTCCGGCCTGGGCGACAGAGCGAGACTCCGTCTCAAAAAAAAAAAAAAAAAAAAAAAAAATGCCCTACCAAATCTTTGGAGTGGAAGGCAAAATGTGGAGAGGAATGGATGTGTGAGAAGGGCTATGAAATAAAAGAGGCTCAAGTTGAAGTCTCCTTTCTTAATCCTCTTGATTCACTGCTTTCTAGGTGGCATGAAGAAATAATTTTGAACTGACACAGGATCACCCAGTCAAGTTTCTTCTGAACTAAGTAATAAAAATCCATGCTGGGTTTCTCCTGACATTCTATACTATCTGCAGGCTTGCAGCTTCTTTTCATGATGTGCTGTTGATCCAAAAGAAGCCTCTTTTGATGGCACATATAAAACAGGCTAATAATGTAGATTAAAGTATAAGGAAGAGGTATACTTTTCTAAGTCTATTCAGTTTATTATAAAATTTAACTAAGATTGCACCAATCCCCTACTTTCTAGCCTCACCATTAGCAGCTGGAGAGATTTTCACAGGCAATCTCCAGTGAAAATATCCCAGTTACCAACTTATGAATTTTCTTCTTTTAGTTCAAATATAGATAATGATGATGATGTTGATGTAGATAGAGAGAGAGAGAAAGAGTATTAGATAGCCAGACTCATTACTAAGCAGTTGCCATGGCCAAGCGCTGTTCTTTGTAATGAAATGGATAACAAACGTGGATATGACATTGCCCCTAACTTCCAAGGCTTGTCATGAAGTGAAGAATCTAGAAAAAAATAAACTCTAGCTTTGAATTGATGCCAGGGCACAAAGCTGTATTGGGTACCATTAAGACTCAAGGAAATCCTCAGTTCTACCAGGAGAGTTGGAGCTGGGAAATGAAGCGACAGTTCATAAATGTCTTATAAGGGGACAAGAAATTTGAGTTCAGTTACGAGAGATGAGGAAGAAGTTCACCACGTTAATGACAGTGGTAAAACAGAGAAAGCATTTCAGTTAGAGGAAACTAAGTGGGTAGAGGATGGAGACATAAACCAGCCAGATCTGCCTGTGAATTCAAACTAAGCTAAGGCAGGAACAAAGGTCTTAAGGTTGAGGTTAGTACTGAAGATCATGCCACTATCACTGCCCACTTATTATCTTTTGCACCATTTCCTAACTGTTCACTGCCTCCAGTTTCACCAGCCCACTAATAACTTTCAAATGCTTCCTGTTACCTGCAGGATGAAGTATTAAGCAAATTCTTTAAAATGGCTAGTGGAACTCTTCAAAACCTGATGCCTGATCTTTCCTGGCTGCTTCTCCTACCATCACTTACTTCATTCAATCATCCATTCATTCAAGATTTAGTCAATAGCGACCATACTCAAGGCATGGTATGAGGTGGCTATGCAACAAAAGAGGCATGATCCCTGCCCTCAGGACCATTACTTATATATTTTTAAATGTGCCTTTTTATATAGCCACAATAAACTGCATGCAGTTCCTCAAGAGTGCTGTAAGACCCTGTATACAGTCTTTGCATAAACTATCTTTTCTCAGAATGTCCTTTCCTTCTTGACAAACTGATGAATCCCTTCCCATCCTCTAAAATCCTACTCTGCCTCATTTCCTCTGGAAACTTTCCCTGAGTTGAGCATCCTGCTCTCAGTTCGCACTGTCCTTACCTTTTTGGCAGTTATTACTATGTGGTTAGGTGACTATTGGCGGCTTATCTGCACATGGGATATTGGAAAGACTTAATAAATGGTGTAGCAGGGATTCTAACTAGCCTTAACTGATGTTGGCCAACACAGTCATACATACCACTGGGAACCAACTGAATTTCAATTCTTCGCCTCCCAACTAGGCTGTGATCATTGGGCTTTCGACTCACTCATATAGGCGTTCCCAGAGCCCAGCATATAGTAAGCCCCCAACAACTTTCCTAAATAAATGAAAAACTATTTTTTTCTAACACAGACAAATACTCTTCACTCTGACTTTTTGCCAGGTGGTTGCGGGGGTCAATTATTTGTGAAAGTGCCAGAAAAACATCTAGTGCTCTATTGACAAGTATTACTGCCCTGGGAATGATGAGTCTTAATTAAAACATTGGCCTGTTCTCCGTTGCCTCTACTCTCTGCAGCCTCAGGATGCATAAACAATTCTCAGAGTAAATGATGGGGCACATACTGAACAGCAGGAACAGCAAAGAGAAATAAAATTATAATGAGCACCCAGGTTACTTCCTATTACTACTTACAATAGCTGTTATATACAAGATGCCCTTTCCCCTCATACATTGGCTTAAAATGTCAAATTTTTAGCTAAGCATCTCTTTTGGAGAGACTACATTCTACTTTTTTGGATGTTTTGGCTTTACTTGTTTGGTTGGTTGGATTTGGTTCTGTGTTATATTGTGTTATTTGTTTTTATTAACAGCTGCTAGCTGTAGAAGTAATTTCTAAATTAGCTATTGGTGCTGTATGTCAGCTGGACCCAGATCAGGCATTTCAGCTGGTGGCAAACACCTTCCACTGGTCCCTAGTGGTGCTGCCAGCTACCTCCGCTCTGTCACTCTAATCTGGGACTTGAGTGGCATTTTGGAGAGGGTTCATCATCCTAGCAAAGCAGAGGTAAAGAGAATCAGAGCAATTATTCCTCACAAAGGCAACTCTTATTTTTCATGAGATTTTCAGGGTGCCACAGCAATCAGGAATCTTGGATAGGATCATCTCAGAAGCCATCTCTGATCAATTGGTAGTGGCTTCCTGGAAGAATTCTCAGTGGAACAGGACCCACACCAGTTAATAATGTCTACCCCAAGGACAAGGGAGAGGGGAATGAGGACATGGATGTCGCAGACTTGTAGATCCTAATCTAGTTCCACCCTTTTAACTAAGGCATGACTGAGTGGAAGTCCAGAGAAAGAGGTGACTGGTGCATGATCACATGGACAGCCACTAGGATATGTGAGCTTAGCACTCACATCTCTTGATTTCTAGGCCAGTTCTTCTCCCATGATACCCACTTTTATCATATAAGGTAAGAAATCCTGCTATGCGGGAAGAAATTCCTGATCAGAATTTCATTTTCCTTAACAACTTTTGGCAGAGGTTCAGGAATAATATCCAAGAAGCCTGTCTTTGTTCTTCCTCCTTCCTACCCCGGAAGCAATGTCACGTTACAAAAATCACTGCAGATCCCCACACATTAGTGCAGATTTTGACCCTGGAGTTCCCATTTGACCCCTTCTTCTGCATTGTAGCTGCCCCTCCAGCTCCACACATAGCTCTACTTCTCCTTCCAGCCCCTTCTAATTGAAGATTCCTTTGGGAAGACTGACCAGACTTGGATTAGCTTCTCACCAAGATGCTGCCATCCAAATAAAAGCTTCATTTAGCAAATATGCACTTGATCTAAGCTCCAAGGAGAGCCAACCTATCCAGGAAAATGAGTCTCTACACTCAGTCATTCATGTATTCATTAATTTTAAAAACATATTTTGTGCATCCAGTAGGTACCAACTAGTCTCCCAGGTTCTCGGCTTATAAGAATGAGTATGAGACAGTCCCTAATCTAATTTCAAGCTCCTTAACAGTGGGAGTATCAGAAGAAGCAGGAAAGAAGTAATAGCATGGTACCTTTCAGAAACCACAAAGAGCCCAGGAATCTGAGGAGAAGAGATTGAGTTGATTCTAGAGAGTCAAGAGATAGATATCAAACCTATGTTCTCTGCATTAAGTGTTTGGACTTCAGGTGGAGACAATGGGATTCTGAAAGTTTCAGTTTCATATGCAAGAGACATCCCTTTGGCGGCACTGTAGACCAGGGAGAGACTGGAGCCAGATAGACCAATTAGCTGCCTATTGCAATAGTCCATATGAGAGATGATAGACCTTCAATATGCAGTAGTGGCAGGGAATGAAGAAGTCAGTACATAATGAGGAATATATGTGTTAATGAGGAATATATTTTTTAATAAGGAAAATGAATTGCTCCAATCTTTTCATTTTCCAGGTAACAAAAAATGGCCAGAGCAACCAACAAATATACCCAAAGGACCTACAGCTTGGACCCAGTCCTGTGAGTTTATTTCACTTTGTGTTTAGAACACGTGTGACGATCTCTTATGTTACAAGGATCAAGGAGATCCCCACAGAGCTAAGGACCTATTGGTTCTCATGCCAGGCAATAGTTAGACCACTAACAACTTGAAGCAAGGATTTTATATCATGACTTCCTTTCTCCTGCCTTGGCTCCAGACTATGGGTCAGCATGAGTTACACCATAAATGCTCAACAGATTCTTTGGTGCAATCACAACTGGCTTCACTGGGGATCTGCTCTGTCAGTCTTTGTCCCTAGAGTTGTGAACCTAGAGGGAAGTGGTCCCCAACCACAGCAATCACCGACAGCACCTGGGGAAAGTGTGCAGTGGGCCAAATTGCCACAGAGCAGAACACCTGTCACTAGACGTTGCTCTGAAGTGGAATGCTGTTCGGCATCCTCTTGACAAAGTCTCTCAGAGAGTCTTCTGCCTCTGTTATTTCTACTCAGGCTAGAGAGAACCTTTCTTGATATTCTTGCATGTAACCTCTTTAGACCGACAACACTCTTATTTTACCTGCAACTTGCAGCTCTTCAAAGAGATTTTACTTGTGATGTTTTGTCTGTTACATGGAGGAAATAGAGCACTGAAGGTCATTAGGACAGGACTTAGGCTTCCCATTAGCTGGGTCAATGGGAGAGCTAAAGCCTGGCGAGATTAAGAATGTATCTCAAAGGGAAGGTTATTGTTTGAATGTGTTCCTCCAGGCTCGTGTGTTAAAACTTGACCCTCAGTGCAAAGGTGTTGAGAAGTGGGGACTTTAAGTGGTGATTATGTCATGAAGGCTCTGCTCTCAAGAATGAATTAACGCCATTATTGTGGGAGTGGATTCATTATTGGGGGAATGGTTTTCTTATAAAAAGATGAATTTGATCCACTTTGTCTATCTCCCACTCTCTCTTTGCTCTTCCATTATGAGATGATAAAGCAAGAAGGCCCTTATCATATGCTGGCCTCTTAATCTTGGACTACCCAGCCTCCAGAACTGTGAGAAATAAATTGCTGTTCATTGTAAACTACCCAGTCTTCGGTTTCTGTTACAATAGCACAAAACAGACTAAGACATTGTTGAAACATTTACAACTCCTGCCAAGAATAGTTTGGTTCTGTCCAGCAACATTGAGAATGTACAACCTCTATAAACTGGTAACTCCATTTCCAAGAATGTATTCTTTAAAAAATTCTCAAGTCCACAAGGTACCAGATTATTTCTTGCAATTTTTTTCATAGTGAAAAAGACAGAAACAATATAACTGTCAATTACATGGGGGAATGAATTTAAAATATGTTATATCAATATGGTGGAATATTATGCAGCCATTAAAAGAACTAAAGCAGAATGTATATATCCATAAGGACAGAATTCAAGAAATGTAGGGCTGAAAATTGAAACAAATTTTGGAATGATTACAGGATATGATACATTTTTATAGCTTAAAACAAAGCTAATATTATATATCAGATTTGGCAAACTTTTCTATAAAGGACAAAGAGTAAATATTATAGGTTTAGTAGGCCACATACAGACTCTGTAGTATATTATTTGTGTTTGTTTGTTTTACAGCTCTTTAAAGTGTGACAACCATTCTTAGCTTGGAATCCTTACAAAAGCAAGTCATGAATTGGATTTGTCTCACAGGCCATAATCTGCTGATTCCTGCTACGTACTGGTTGATACACGTATTTGTACATAAAAGTATAAGAAAAGATAAAATATATACAGAGAAGACTATATATACTGTATACCTCTATATAGAGTTAATAGTACTTACCTCTGAGGAGACATGGAAGACAACAGGAATGGGATGTAGGACATACAGTCACATTTATTTCATTTATTAAAGATCTAAAGCAGATATGAAGAAAAACCATTACCAATTCAGTTTTAGATAATGGGTGCAAGATACTTTGTTTTTATTATTCTTCATGATTTTCTGCTTAAAAATATTTTCCAAATAAAAGAATGCATAAGAAAAAAGCAGTCATTCAAGTCTTTTGTTCAATATCACAGCTCCTGCTTTGCTCGGATGCACAATGTTACTCAGATAACTCATTCATTCTTTTTTGCATGCAGCAAATATTCACAGAACATATACCCTGAATCAGGAGCTCTGCCTTGTGCTGTGAGAAGTATCAGATTCAGTCAGACATGCAGATGTGGACCCAGCCCTCAAGAGGCTGAAAGTCAGAAGACTCACACCCCCGTAGCACCACACACAGCAAGCAATGACATTTGCCAAGAGAAATGCTCAGGCCACGTCCTGTGGGCACTCATTGCTGCATCATGAGAGGCCCAAACTTCCGCACCTGGGATGCTAGGCCTGGCATCAAAGATAATGGAAAGACTCTGCATAGGTATGAGCAAGAACATGGTATGAGCAGGGAGGTTCTTTGTTCGTTAAATTTTATTTTTAAGTAGTATATTTGTGAATAAGAGAAAAGAGAGACACAAAGCAGAAAGACAAGCCAGACATGCAGAGCTTTTGAGAAGGGTGGAGTACTGGCTGCCTTGGGGAGGCAGCTGGAGGCTCTGAACACCCATTCCCAATAGCTATTGCCAACTGAGGCAGCTGAGCAGGGGCCCAAACTGGGAGAAATCCCACTTAAAGAAAAAGAAGCCACGGGAAGGGGAGGACACAGCAGTTGCTGGATGGGGACTGAGGTGCGGGGTGTGAGTGATCAGAGCAAGCAGGAGGGTCCATGTGCAGACCCCGGGGCTAAGGCCTGCCTCATGGCAGCTACCATCAAAGCCAGGCTTTGATTGTTAAAAACAATTCACCTTTCGAGAAGAATTTACAGGAGCATGGAAAGCACAGGAACGTGCCAGTAGCTCACTGGGCAATGCCATTTGTACATCTAAATCCTCATTTGTGCAGCCCATTGGCAAAGATTCTGACTCCACGTGCTTTGGCCAAGAGGATTTCTTTCTGAAGCTGATGCAACATGTGCAGAGCCTGGCCATTTGCCCAGCTTTCTTCCTTCTGTAAAGTCTGCTTTTGTTTTTATTGTTAATTTTGTTTTTTAATGTTTCTTTTGTCTTTTCTCAGTCTCCTTGTCTAGAGGCACTATGTGGCCTCTGTCAGTTGCTCTGATATTTCCAGCCAAGTCACAAAAGCACAGATGTAAGAGGAAAATCCAAAAAAATCACTGAAATGAGGTATTTACTCCACAGTAGTCTCCTTTTCAGGGGCTATTCAGAGATGAGAGAATGAGCATGAAAATAATTTATAAATTATAAAGGAATATCCCCCAAAGGTACTATTCTTTTATTAAGTGGCATAAAGGAAAAAATAGAGCATCTCTAAACTCTGAGATATAACCAAGTAAAATCAACATGTAGTGAATGAGATCAGATATCTTCAGAAGCCTATGTTCAACTGAACCATTTCTTCGGGAAAATGCAGAAGGAACAAGACCCTGGCAATCTACTCACACGTCCTCTTAACTGCAAGAAAAACTAAAAGAAAAAAGTCTTAAGTGCAAGAAAATCAGAGATGTGAATGTATCTGAGAAAAAAATACTGAAATAAAAATGGATTTTGTGTGAGAGGAAGCTTGGGAGAGAGAAGACAATGAACATTTACCTCTTCCAACAAGGTGGAATCAGGGGTACTCCCACTTAGTTGGACCATTTTAGGAAAGTTGGGTTCTTGGGGCTGAAATCAAGGTCAGAAAAATTATTAACTAAAATTGTACATCAGATACATAGTCCTAGAGAGAACCAAGGGAAGAGCTGAGAGATCCAAGATCAGTTCAGTGACTAATAGCAAACAAAATATAACTAAATTGGAGGTTGAAAAGCAACAGCCTAGAGGCAGGCAGACTTTGTAAGGTGTGAGATGCCAGAAGTAATTTAGGATTGTCCTATCTTGACTTTCCTTGCCAACTGAATCAGCTCAGTGTAAATACAAGGTCACAAAGCACCAATAGCAGTAATTGAGAGTCTTCAGCTCTGTCTGAAACAAAGTGCCTTTTGATTAGAAGGTTAAGTATAATTTAACCCCCCTTAACAGGTATCACTCCATTTTAAAGAGAGTTTATTCAATGTATGTTCGTTAAGGTACATACATTAAGGAATCCTCAGATTTATTTGCCTGTGGTTTCAGCAAGAAACATGTTCACCAGAGGACTCAAAAATCTTATGCTGTCAAGACATTTTTTTCTTTCTCATTTTAAATTAATAAATGGACATCTTGGTGTTTGCATTGTTCTCAATTGATTTCATTAGCATGGGATGCATGTTACAAATAAGCCGAATTTCCAAATGGGAAAACTCAAGGACCAGCTTCTGAAACAAGGAAATGATCAACATGGGGGTTCAGTCACCTTGTAAGTCAGGACCCTCAGGCAGAAGTTCTATGGATAATTCATAACAAATCAACTAGGATAAGATTTGTCTTCTGGCCATGCATAACCACTGTCGACCTATGTTTCATCTGAATGATCTCAGGCTAGTTTCTTCACCTTTCTATGCTATTCGAATGCATAGAAAATTCAGTTTCTTCAAATGCAACACAGGCTGATAATGCTTACATTTCTTTACAGAGTGCTCAGTAAAGATCTTGCAATATTATAGATGTTTAAAATATTCCAGTTTTCCTTGATTGAATTAAGAGATAACCTGTTAATTTGATGCCCAAACTGCCAAAGAGCAGCAAGATCTCAAAAATGCCACTGACTGTCTGGCTAACCATGCCTCAGATTGGCAGGTGCCATTAAATATTTTAATCAAGTCTTTATGTAAATTTTGACCTAATATAATGCAGCCAAACTTTTATTTTCATTTCATGACATTAACCAATATATCTTAGGGTGATTAAAATATGCAATCTGCTAACTAATTAAGGACTAATTAGTCAACTTGTATATTTATGAATGTTTCCAGTTTTTAAATTGCTGGCCTATGGAGTCCTGGGAAATATTTGTGCCTGTCAACAGATTGAAAAATATCAGAACACTGGATGACAGAGCAGTGATACTAGAGATTGGATGATAATAATCCTTTATGTCTAAATAGCTTGTCAAAGTATACATATAAGGCTGGGCATGGTGGCTCATGCCTGTAACCCCAGCACTTTGGGAGTCCAACGCTGGCAGATCACCTGAGGTCACGAGTTCAAGGACAGCCTGGCCAACATGGTGAAGCCCTGTCTCTACTAAAAATACAAAAAATTAGCTGGGTGTGGTTAGTGCACCTGTAATCCCAACTACTTGGGGGGCTGAGGCAGGAGAATTGCTTGAACCCAGGAGACAGAGGCTGCAGTGAGCCAAGATTGCATGCCATTGCACTCCAGCCTGGGTGACAGAGTGAGACTCCATCTCAAGGAAAAAAATGTATACATGTAGCCTTTCTATCTACATTATCTTATTTGGTTTTCACTATATCTTATGAGATAAGCATATATTGGGAATTTTTTTAACCTGGCATTGGTGCCTGACATATGTATGCTCTCAATAAGTGTTGACTGAAAGAATTAAATGAATGAATACTGAATGCTCAATAAATGTAGGAAAGATGGATGGATGGATGGATGAGTGGATAGGTATAATTTACTCAAGAGTAAAAGGCTATACACTTTGATCTTCTGAGGCTATCTTATCTCCCCGACTTGACTGATCTTGTAGAGACACGTTGAATTTTATAGCCACTGTATATGTCACAATGTGTAACCTTGTGTTTTGTTCTCAATGAACTGGTAATGCCAGTGTTAGTGGATTTGTACACCTACTTCCAAACATAGCAATATCCATAGAATATTGTTACTTATAATATTTTGTTCTCCCTTTTCCTAACACTTCTGGAAATTTGCAACTTCACTTTTATCCAAAATTATATGGTTAATCTTTGATATAATACAATACTAAAATAACAGCTAATATATGAAGTTGGAAACCCTATTTTTTTCCTTGCACTTCTAATTTCCTATGAGTAGATTCTGGCTGTGTGATGATGGTTGAACACGTAAAAAGGAGAAATTATTTTGGTCTTTCTTGATGTTATGGAACTCCTTGAAACATAGGTTACAATTAATTTCTGAGAGATTCTATTCCCCACTGGCATAAAATCCATTACCTTCCTTACTCCACGCCAGATGCCTCAGTGGCTCTCAGACTGTCTTCTTCTTGCTGCAAAACTGGCCTAGGGACAGGCACTCACTTTTTCTTTCTTCATTTGTGTCAGTCACATCATTATTTTTCCTTTTTCCTGGAATTTTTCTGATCTACTGCTTTTCTGCCAAGTGTATGGTTTATTTCACTGACTGCCTTTATCTCTGAAGAATCCAGACTTCTTTCCCTCTAGAGAAATAGTTCTCACTCCTGTCTTCATTATACAAACTCCTACAGAGCTTTTTAAGATGCCAATGCTTGGGGACTTACACCCTGAAATTCCAACTCATTTGGTCCTGAATGGAGCCAGAGGATTCACATTAAACAAAACAGACAGAACTTTCTTAGATTTTTCTAATGGATAGCCAAGGTTAAGAACCATTGCTATAGCATAGAGCATTCTGCAGTGCACAGTCACACATATTTGAAGAGTTGAAGTAATAACAAATGATTGTTCATTTCTGATTGAATAAAAGGAAAGCCATAGGCATAACCCACTGTATCAGTCAGCATTGTAGAAACCATGCGACTATAACAAATAAGCCCCCAAACATCTCAGTGGGTTAGAGCAATAAAGGTTTATTTCTGACCCATGTTATATGCCCATCACAGTGGACTGTCCTCTGATCCTCATTTTCTTCCTTCCAGAACAAAGGCTGAAGGAGCATCCCTTACCTGGGAATTGATGTTCTATGGGTAGAATGAATAAAGGCACAAAAGGATCATGCAATGGTTCTTAAAGCTTCTGCTCAGAACTGGTCTATATGACTTCTTACATTTTATTTTTATTTTATTTTATTTTATTTTCTTGCCCAAAGTAAGGCTAGACCCAGCCGAGAAAATGAGAAAGTACAATATTCTCCAAGAGAACTTCGGACACCAAGGCCATGGCACTGACTTGACTAAGTAAAAGGTATTGAATGAAGGTTTCGTTTTTCAAGAGAAAAGTGATCACTGCACTTTTAAAAGTAAAATCAGAGGGGAAGGTTTAGGAGTAAACTCTGTATCCATCACAGCCTCAAAGAGGCTATGAATAGACACTCAAGTTGTGTTTCATGATGGATTTTGAGGAAGATATCAAGAATATTGAGGTTGTGGTGAGAGATAAATAAGAGGCAGAAGGATAAATGTATTTACTCCCTTTTTCAGCCTTTTAAAAGTTACAAATCCTGAATGATTACCAGTCCATTTAAGGTGTACATCTCTCTATGGATGCTGCTTAAATGCAGCCCCAGAGTTCTGGCAACAGGTAACATATATTCCAGAACCAAACAACATGAAAAAGAAGAGGTCGTCCAAAGGAGTAAAACTTTTGAAAGTTCATCCTAGGAAATGAATGGAGCAAACGTTTGCTGCAAATACATGCCCTTTGAAGGGAGGCAGCTCTCCTATATCCAGAATTCCATCAGGCATGGGCTCTGAGCTTATCACCCAACTGACCAGCTCCTCCTCGATGTCCTTCAGCAAGCCACATACACCTTCAAGCCTCAATTTTCTCTTACAGAAAGCAGTATTTCACCTGCTTTATTGGATTGGTAAAATAATCATAGTAAGTGATAACAATGTGTGTGAAAGTCTAACACAGAAAAAGGTTTCAATGGTAGCAATCGATGGTTGTTGTTTTTATTTTTGTTGTTCACCCTCATAATCCTGAAAGGTAGACAAGGCAGATATTAGATTACAGTTGGCCCCACTTATCTGTGGGGGATACCTCCCAAGACCCCCAGTGGATGCCTAAAGCCATGACAGTACCAAACTTTATATATACTGTTTTTTCTCTATATACACATCTATAATAAAGTCTACTTTATAAATTATTCACAGTAAGAGATTAACAGCAATAACTCTAATAATAAAATAGAGCATTTATAACAATACTCAGAATGATGTGCAATTTAAAACCTAAGAGTTGTTTACTTCTGAAAATTTCCATCTAATATTTTCAGACTACAGGAAGTGAAACTGCAAATGAAGGGGAAGTACTAGATACATATTTTACAAAAGAAGAAACTATAATTTTAAGAAGAAAGTGACTTTCCCAAGGTCACACATCTTGGCACTCTGCAAAAGGAATGAAATGACCCGTCATCATTTTCTGTCCATAGAGTAATTATGGGTTTTTTTTTAATTTTCTTATTTCTGATGCAACTGCAACAAAAACGAAAATTGATAGATGGGACCTAATCAAACTAAAGAGTTTATGCACAGCAAATGAAACTATCAACAGAATAAACAGGCAACCTACAGAACGAGAAAAAATATTTGCAAACTATGCATCTAACAAAGGTCTAATATCTACAATCTATAAGGAATGTAAACAATTCAATGAGAAAAAAACAAATAACTCCATTAAAAAGTGGGCAAAAGACAGAACAGACCCTTTTCAAAAGAAGACACACGTGTGGCCAACAAACATATGAAAAAATGCTCAACATCACGAACCATCAGAGAAATGCAAATCAAAACCATCTCACACCAGTCAGAATAATTATTATTAAAAAGTCAAAAAAAAAAAAACAATCCATGCTGGCAAGGCTACGGAGAAAAGGAAACACACGCTTTTGGTGGGAATGTAAATTAGCTCAGCCACTGTGGAAACAGTTTGAAGATGTCTCAAAGAACTTCAGACAGAACTATCAATTGATCCAGAAATCCCATTACTGGGCATATAGCCAAAAGAAAAGAAATCATTTTACCGAAAAGACACAGGCACTCACATGTTTATTGCAACATGATTCACAATAGGAAAGCTATGGAATCAACCTATGTGCCCATCCATGGTGGATTGAATAAAGAAAATATGGGCCGGGTGCAGTGGCTCAGGCCTGTAATCCCAGTACTTTGGGAGGCCGAGGCGGGCAGATCACGAGATCAGGAGATGCATCACACAATACACCCTCGTAACAACCTGCACATGTACCCCTTGAATCTAAAATAAAAGTTGAAATTATAAAAAATAAAATAAAAACAAATTTAAAATAATTTCTTAATTTTGAAAAGTGCTGACAATATGATATTCAGTGGAACAAAAGCAAAGAACTACATATACATTAAAATCTTTACATTTATGCAAAATAAACCCATTTCTCTCTAATTATATTTGTCTGTCTAATGAGTGCAGTAATTCTTTTAAAGCAGTTAACGCAATCCCTAGCACATTAAAAACACTAAGTAAATCAGCTACTACCCTTATCAGTGTTATTGTTACTAGCTATGCATACAAAAAGATAAAAAAGAAATATGTCAACAGGTTAAAAATGCTTATTTCTCAATCGAGAAATTAGCAGTAATTATATTTTATGGTTTTCAATATTTTCCAACATTGCCATGATGTGTATGTCTTTTAGAATAAAAACAGAAATATATATTTGTTTGTCACACATAATTTGCTGAATTTGTTATATAAAACACAGAATGAACATAGATTAAATGAAAGATAAATATTTCATATTGAGGTAAGACAGAACTTTCTATCAGTGAGGTAGGTCCAGAAAGGAAAGAAATCGCTAAGAAGACAGTGAGCTACCCATCCTTAAAAATGAGCATTGAAAAACTGCTCTTGAAAAAATACTCTTGGGTATTATGCTGGTTATCTGGATGACAAAATTATCTGTACACCAAAACGCTATGATATGCAATTTACTCATGTAACAAACCTGCACATGTACCCCTTGAACTTAAAAGTTGGAAAGTAAATATATATATATTATATATATAATATAATATATAATAAGTGTAATAAAATATATATTTTTTTTTAAGAAAGAGAGCGAGAGGGAGGGAGGGAGGGAAAAAATGAGCCAGCAGTTACATGGCTACAGGCAAGGAATTTACAGAAGAAAACTTAAGCTGGAGAGCCCTGGGACTTCGTGATCCTACAAATTATATTTAAACATCATAATTTTACGCTTCAGATTAGGGCAATTTCATATTTTGGGGGCCTTGAGCAAACAAAATGAGACACTACGTTTAAAAAAGAAGTTTTAAGACAGAGACAACAGAAGGTTAAACCAGCTCAGAACACTTCTGAGAGCAGTGCCCTGCAATACCACACAGGTCCCATTCCCAAACATTGGCCTTGCCTCAGAGTCTTGTTTATTCAAGATGGCTTGGACAAATCAATTGGCTCCTAAAGGCTGATTTAGAGGGACAATTCAGCAATTCAGGAGGACAAAGAATCTAAAGCATTCCTGGCCTTCAAAAACCCCTTTGGATGATCTCTTTTGCATTAAAAGGTAAATCAAAAAAGTTATATTCCTGAGGGGGACTTCAGGTTAAAAATGATCAATAGACTACAAACATCCCTCATTTCTCACAAAACCCAGACAAAATGAAAGCAAAGGAACACAAGACAAATTGATCAAGAAAGGAATCAACAATATATCAGCAATTTCAGCTAAGATCTGGAAAAAGTGAAGGTGAGTAGAGGAGTCAGATACTATCTGACTCCGCAGATTAGAGAAAGTTACAACTTAACTGCATATAGACAGAAATACTACCAATAAGTGGGCCAGTTTGGCCTGTAAAATTCCTGGCTCAACATTTGCAAGCATCAGGAATGATAAAAGCCCTGGGTTTTTTAGTTCTATTCTAAATACAGGAAAACTGGAGGAAAGAGTGAATATAGTGTGGTAGAACCTTCAGGATCCCCCACCTTATGCTAAGGAAGACCAGAGGCTGATAACCGAACCAAAGAGGATCACTCTGGACTCCAGACCATCAGGCAAAACTAGGGCTGGGTAAGATTATTTAAATAGAGAATTAACTGAAAGTCTAAATACTGACCTCTGGTACTCTAATAGACTATCTGGAAAAAGATCATAGAATATATTGGTTCCTTGAAACAGGAACAGCTTGCCACTAAAAAGAAAACACTCAGAGAAAAATACAGAGCTCTTCAAAATTAATATCTAGTCATAATAAATAATTCAGGTCTTGGGGACCTGGGAATCGACCTGCCCCATTCACCACTGACAGTGCTTGCACATGCCCTCTGGGGACCTGAGGATAGATCCACCCCAACCACTGCCACCACCGCCTCCATTAGCATTCACACATGTCACCTGGGGTCCTGGGGACTCACCCTACCACTGCTAGCACCCACACATGCCTTCCAGGAACTGCAGGACAGGCCTGTTCTGCCCATGGCTACCACCTGCATGTGCTGTCCTACAGCCTAGAGATAGGTCCACCATGCCTGCTGCCACTGGCACATGCACATGCCATCCAGGGGCACAAGAACATACCTACTCTGCCCAACACTGGCACCCACATGCATCTTCTGGGAGGCCCTGAAACTGATCTTTCCAGCCCACCACCACCACCTGTGACTCAGACCCAAAGGTTGTCCTGCAGCCATTATTTCCACTGCCAACACTACACAGGCTGCCTGGGGGCCCAAGTACCTGCATGCCCAGCCTGCTGCTGGCACCCCACCATGCTGCCAGGAGGCCCAAGGGCTGGCCCATCCAGACCCACCACTGGCTCCCAAGTATGATGCCCAAGGACTCAAGGACCAGAAGGCTGGCCCTCTACCAACACCATTGGTGCCCGAGGACCATCCATCTGGTGTCCTCTTCCCCAGAAAAGACTCACCATAGCCTCCATTTACAACTGCAGCCTAAGCCACTGAGAAACTTACAGACACCACTGAAACTGATTACAGTGAATAAATCATACAGAGATGATACTACTGTGCCCACCCAGAATCAAAGCCAAAGCATCCTACCCCACCAATAATATAGATACATCTACAGGAAAAAGTCCCTACAAAAACCAATCCATAAAACTGGAAGAAGTAACTTTTACACTAAATGCACAGATATGAATGTAGGACACAAGAATCACTAAAAAAAAGAAGAGATGATGACTCCAAAGGGATAAAATAATTCTCCAGTAACAGATCCCAAAGGAAAAAAAAATGAAATGCCTAAAAAATAATTCAAAATAATTATGTTAAAGAAACTCAATGAGATGCAGGAGTACACAGGTAAACACAAGCAAGAAAAGAAAGATGTGGGATCCACAAAACAGGAGATCCCACATAAGTTGAAAGTGTAGAGAAATCTTAGGAAGATATCTCTGTAGCTAGCCTAAGAAGAAATAATCCAAATTCTACTGCGAAACAAGGGGCTTAGGGAGAGCGGTCTTGAAAATTTTTTTTAATTGATGTTTTGAGCTTATAAGTAGGCCTGTAGTACAGATGTTCTGGCCTTCAGAAAAGAAGTGTGTATATACACACACACACACACACATATAAATACACACACATATATACAAATGCATATATATAGTATATATATGTATATACACACATATATACATATATGATACATTATATATCATATGTGTATCATACTGGGACCAAAGGAAAACCAAGGCAATGTGGGAAGATGATACAGGATTAGAGAGAGTCAGTGACCAGGGAAGAATAAAAGGTTATACATAAGAATAAAAGGTTATGCGTACGGAGATAAGTTTATTGCGCACTTCTGCTTTAGCAGCAAAACCATTCGCATACTTACAATAGGAGAAAACACATGTTAGTATGATATGGGAAAGATAGATTGTGGAAGGGGATGAAAGATCTGAGTCCTCAACTATCAGAAAGTAATCTGTGGCACAAGAGATAATTATTTAAAATGTTTAATTATATTTGACCTCTATTACATCTATGCATTATTTTGATTAAAATTAAAATTGAGACATTAAGATATGAAAAATAACACAAAAGTCATTCTAATACTTGCAGCATGCTAACTTCTATAACAAACAATCTCTCAATTTTTGTTGTTTCAACACAGTGAAAGTTTATTTCTCATTCAAGTCACAGTCCCATGTAGTTTGGCTAGTGCTCTGCAATCTCCAGTTACTCAATGTATTAGTCTGTTCTCACGCTGCTAATAAAGACATACCCAAGACTAGATAATTTATAAAGAAAAAGAGGTTTAATGGACTCACAGTTCCACATGGCCAGGGAGGCCTTACAATCATGGCAGAAGGTGAAGAAGGAGCAAAGGCATGTCTTACATTGTGGCAAGCAAGAGAATGTGTGCAGGGAAATTGCCCCTTATAAAGCCATCAGATCTCATGAGACTTATTTACCATCATGAAAACAGCATGGGAAAAACCCACCTCCATAATTCAATTACCTTCCACAGGGTCCCTCCACAACATGTGGGGATTATGGGAGCTACAATTCAAGACGAGATTTGGGTGGGGACACAGCCACACCCTATCACCTAGGAACCCAGGCTTGTCTCATCTCTTGGCTCCTTGATCTCTAAGACATGATTTCCAAGTTTGCTGCAAAATAGAAAGGGAGAAAAAAGGATCACTCAGGGAAATAATGACCAGAGTGGAAGTGGTTGACTTTACGTCTCAAATTCCATAGGTCAGAACACATTATATGATCCTAATCTACTTCAATGAGGCTGGGGTCTGCCATCTTGCTTTGTGCTCAGGTTTGGTGAGCATTTCCTACTGTCTTTTTACATAGGCATTAAAAAAAAAAAAACTAATCAAAAAGCTTATCCACCATGATCAAGTTGGCTTCATCCTCAGGAATGGAAGGTTGATTCAACAAACACAAATCAATAAATGTGATTCATCACATAAACAGAACTAAAGACAAAAACCACATGATTATTTCAATAAATGCAGAAAAGGCCCTCAATAAAATTCAATATTCCTTCATGTTTAAAACTCTTAATAAACTAGGTATTAAAGGAACATACCTCAAAATAATAAGAGCCATATACAACAAACACATAGCCAATATCAAACTGAATAGGCAAAATGTGGAAGCATGCCTCTTAAAAACTGGCACAAGATAAGGATGCCCTCTCTCATCACTCCTATTCAACATAGTCTTGGAAGTCCTGGCCAGGGCAATCAAGCAAGAGGAAAAAATAAAGATATTCAAATAGGAAAAGAGGAAGTCAAATTATCTTTGTTTGCAGATGACATGATTCAATATCTAGAAACTCTCATCATCTCAATCCAAAAGTGTATTAAGCTAATAAGCAACTTCAGCAAAGTCTCAGGATATAAAATCCATGTGCAAAAATCACTAGCGTTCCTATACACCAACAATAGGCAACCAGAGAGCCAAATCATGAATGAACTCCCATTCAAAACTGCTACAAAAAGAATAAAATACCCCTAGGAATACAGCTAACAAGGGAAGTTGAGAACCTCTTCAAGGAGAACTACGAACCACTGCTCAGAGAAATCAGAGAGCATACAAACAACTGGAGAAACATTCCATGGTCATGGATAGGAAGAATCAATATTGTGAAAATGGCCATACTGCCCAAATTAATGTATAGATTCAATGCTATTCTCATTAAACTACCATTGAAATTCTTCACAGAATTAGAAAAAAACTATTTTAAAATTCATATGGAACCAAAAAAGAGCCTAAATAGCCAAGTCAATCTTAAGCAAGAAGAACAAAGCTGGAGGCATCAGGCTACCCCAATTCAAATAATACTACAAGTCTATGGTAATCAAACCAGCATGGTACTTGCACAAAAACAGACACATAGACCAATGCAACAGAATAGAGAATTCAGAAATAAGGCCACACACCTACAGCCATCTGATCTTCAATAAACCTGACAAAAACAAGCAATGGGGAAAGGATTTCCTATTTAATGAATGGTGCTGGGAGAACTGGCTAGCCATATGCAGAAAATTAAAACTGGAACATTTCCTTACACCATATACAAAAATTAATTCAAGAAGGATTAAAGACTTAAATGTAAAACCCAAAACTATAAAAACCCTAAAATAAAATCTAGGCAATGCTATTCAGGACATAGGCATGGGCAAAGATCTCATTACAAAAACACCAAAAGCAATTGCAACAAAAGCAAAAATTAACAAATGGGATCTAATTAAACTAAAGAACTTCTGCACAGCAAAAGAAATGATTATCAGAGTGAACAGACAACAACCTACAGAATACAAGAAAAATTTTGCAATCTATTTATCTGACAAAGGTCTAATATCCAGAATCTACAAGGAACTTAAACAAATTTACAAGAAAAAATACAACCCTATTAAAAAGTGGGCAAAGGACATGAACAGACACTTCTCAAAAGCAGACATACTTGCAGCCAACAAACATATGAAAGAAAGCTCAACATTACTCATCATTAGATAAATGCAAATCAAAACCACAAAAAGATACCATCTCATGCCAATCAGAATGGCTATTATTAAAAAGTTAAAAAAAAAAAAAACAGATGCTGGCAAGGTTGTGGAGAAAAAGGAAGGCTTTTACAATGTTGATGGGAATGTAAATTAGTTCAACCATTGTGGAAGACAGTGTGGTGATTCCTCAAAGACCTAGAGGCAGAAATACCATTTGACCAGGCAATCCCATTACTGGGTATATACCCAAAGGAATATAAATCATTCTATTATAAAGATACATGCACGTGTATGTTCATTGCAGCACTATTTACAAGCAAAGTCATGGAATCAACCTAAATGCCCATCAATGATAGATTGGATAAAGGAAATGTGGTACATATACACCATGGAAAACTATGCAGCAGTAAAATGGAACAAGATCATGTCCTTTGCAGGGACAGGGATGGAATTGGAAACCATTATATTCAGCAAACTAACGCAGGGACAGAAAACCAAACACCCACATGTTTGATCAATGAGAACACATGGACACATGGTGGGGAACAACACACACTGGGAACCTGTGAGGGGCTGGTGGGGAGGAAGAGCATCAGCAAAAATAGCTAATGGATGTTGGGCTTAATACCTGGGTAATGGGATGATCTGTGCAGTAAACCACCATGGCACACATTTACCTGTGTAACAAACCTGCACATCCTGCACATGTGCCCCTGAAATTAAAAGTTGAAAAAATTAAAAATAAATAAACTAAAATTATGTCAAGCAATGCTCTAAGGCAGGGTTTATGAACCATGAGTTGATTTTGCCCTCCAGGGACATTTGGCCATATCTAGTCACAATTTTGATTGTCACAACTTGGAAGATACTACTGACATCTAACAGGTACCCTCTTCTACAACAAAAAATCACTTGGCACAAAATATCAAAAATGCCAAGGCTGAGAGACCCTGCCCTAAATCCCCTATTCTCTGAGATTTCTGACACAAAGAGAATAGAGTATAACAAGTTCTAATCTAACAGTCAGAAGTTCTTGGTTCTCATTTCAGCTCTTCTGTGTGGCTTTGTCCAGGTCATCAATGCTATCCGAAACTCAGTTTCCTCCTTAATAATATAGGGATAGTAAAAGTTATCCAGTTTTCCTAATGATTCCTGGAAGGGTCAGCTGAAGGCTATTTAAAAGGTCAAGAGTTCATTAATGCTATAGTTTTAGAAGTCACACTTCCAAAGAAAAATATGCCTTTGATGAAATGGTTATCAACAATTATTATTCAGTGTTGTTACTAAAGAATAGATTTCTGGCTGGGCGCTGTGGCTCACGTCTGTAATCCCAGCACTTTGGGAGGCTTGAAGTGGGTGGATCACCTGAGGTCGGGAGTTCGAGACCAGCCTGACCAATATGGAGAAACCCCATCTCTACTAAAAATACAAAAATTAGCCAGGTGTGGTGGCACATGCCTGTAATCCCAGCTACTCAGGAGGCTGAGGCAGGAGAATCACTTGAACCTGGGAGGCAGAGGTTGCAGTGAGCCGAGATCTTGCCATTGCACTCCAGCCTGGGCAACAAGAGCGAAACTTCGTTTCAATGAGTAAATAAAAGATTCAATGGTAAATAAACAGAGAGAAAATTAGTTCCAGCTAATGTACAACATGATTACTATACCCAGATTTTTGGGGGCAGGCTCATGACTTATGGCAATCCTATGTGTCACTCATATGTTCTTAAAATTACAATAATTCAATTTACAAGCTAAATCTCCAATGGCCTTTTTATCAGACATGCCCTAGAAGTCTTTGGTCACACCCTGAGTCTCAACTTTTAGTTCAAATCAGGAATGATCATAGATACAAGTAAAATATGCCTGCCCTCAATTTTTATTCTACCCTGGTCTCAACTGGAGTAACTGGCCCAGAGTTAGTGTTTAATATGTGTTGGCTGGCAAGCTGAAAGAATATAGAAAGAAACACACACACATGCTACCATTTATCTCAGCCAGGCTGTGGTATCGCTGAGAGTAACCCATGTCCTCTTTTTGTATTTTCAAAGAATAGCACATAAATATTACTAAAATAAAATATGCTGGATTAACATTAAAATTACTAAAAATTAATTTATTGAGTAAAATTTATGCTAAGCATAGTTTATGATAAATATAGGAAGGTTATTTGTGAGAGAATTTTATGAGAAACATGGAAGTTGCAGACTTCCTCCAGGCTAAGAAACATGTTAGACAATTATTTAAACACTTCAAGCACTAAAGATGACAATGCATAGGCAAATACAAAATTTATCGCCATCAAGTCTTTGTTCAAAGGGGGTAAATACCACTGTGGCTCTCATAAAGGGATTTAATCAGAGCTGTCTGTGGTCATCCAGAAAGTTCCATGGAAGAGGTGGAACTTGACCTAGGACTTACGAGATTTGGAGAGGCCGTAGACAGGAGGGGGACTTAGCCAAGCAAGGTCTGAAATTTTTTTTTTTTTTTTTTTTTTTTTTTGAGACAGAGTCTCACTCTGTTGCCAGGCTGGAGTGCAGTGGCGTGATCTCGGCTCACTGCAACCTCCACCTCCTGGGTTCAAACAATTCTCTTTTGCCTCAGCCTCCCAAGTAGCCGGGATTACAAGCACCCGCCACCACACCTGACTAATTTTTGTATTTTTAGTAGAGATGGGGGTTTCTCCATGGTGGTGGCAGGCTGGTCTTGAACTCCCAACCGCAGGTGATCCACCCGCCTCTGCCTCCCAAAGTCCTGGGATTACAGGTGTGAGTCACCGCGACAGGGCAATTTTTGTATTTTTAGTAGAGGTGGGGTTTTACTGCGTTGGCCAGGATGGTCTCAATCTCTTGACCTTGTGATCTGCCCACCTTGGCCTCCCAAAGTGCTGGGATTACAGGCCTGAGCCACCATGCCTGGCCTCATTCTATTTTTTAATAAAATCTTTCAAACACAGAGAAAAAGCTTAAAGAAAAATAATAAACTCTTATATTCTTACAGATAGAGAACACTTTAACATTTTCCTATACTTGCTTCAGAATGGTAGTATGTTTAAGAACTAAAACATTATCAATACATTTGAAACCATGTCTCTCCCAACACCAGCCAATAATCCTTTCTACTTTTCCCAGTTAGTGTCTTGTGAAGTTAGTGTCCACCTTGAAGTCTGTGTTTGTATACTTTTACAATATTTGTGAGTATTCATTTAAAAATAAATAGAACTGTTGAGTTGAAAAAATAATTAATGGGATAATAATGATTTGTCCTTCTACAATTTGTATTGTTTCCTCAACGTTATGTTTCCCAGATTTTCCATATTGATATATATCTTTCCAATTCAACCATTTTTAGAGCTTTGTGGTATTTATGCCACAAATACACTAAAATTGCTTTATTCATTCTCCTAATAATGAGCATTAAGGCTGTTTCTAAGTTTTGTTAGTTAGCCTGTTTGCTTCACTTTAAAAAGTAATGTGAAGTACGAGAAAAATTCTCGTATATGTGTGACAAATACGTGTGGCAAATTCTTGGAAATATAATTGATGAATTGTAAAATATGCATATTCTGAAACTTAGCAGATATTGAGAAATGACTCTCCAAAATGGTGGAACCAAATAGCATCCCCACCAGTGAGTATGAAGTGTTTATGTTGCTTCATGTTTTTGCCAATGCTAATATTATTGGATGCTTTCATTTTGCCTGTGGAATGGATTCAAATATCATTTTTTCCTACCAAGATTAAAGATTGCTTATGTATGTGTTGGCCATTCCAGTTTCCTCCTCTGTGAACCAATGGACCACATCCTCCTTTTTTTACTGGCTTTTCCTTTCTTGTAGTTCTCTATATTGGACATAAATCTTTTATTATTTGCATGGTAAATAATTTTACAGAATTTGTGGCCTGCCTTTTTACTTTTTTAAAGTACCCTTTATTTACGTAGAATGTTTTAACTTTATTTTACAGTAACTTTTACACAGGCAAAATGAATCTAGTACAAAATGAAACAGTTGCTAGAGAAGAGGGTGGAAGGAGAGGGGAACTAGCAATCTTTGAGTAGCTGCCTTATGGCAGACACTTTACAAGCTGTCTCTGTCAAGTTCCCTAGAAGCAGAACCTGAGATGGGAATTCCAACTGATGTGGAAAGTGCTATCAGAAAATGTCAAGGGGAAAAGTCAGGCAAAGAGGTGTGTTCAGGGGAGGTATCACCTCAGCCTGACCTGATGGGAAGCTTTGAAGTAGGAATGACATCACAGAGTCGTCCCACCTAAAAGCAAGAGACTTGGCATTGTAGTAGTCCATTTTTGTGCTGCTGATAAAGACATACCCAAGACTGGGTAATTTATAAAGAAAAGAAAAAGAGGTTTAATGGACTCACAGTACCACGTGGCTGGCGAGGCCTCACAATCATGGTGGAAGGCAAAAGGCACATCTTACATGGCAGCAGGCAAGAGAGAATGAGAGCAAAGCAAAAAGGGAAACTCTTTATAAAATCATCGGATTTCATGAGCCTTATTCACTACCACGAGAACAGTATGGGGGAAACTGCCCCCGTGAGTCAATTATCTCCCACAACACCTGGGAATTATGGGAGCTACAATTCAGGATGAGATTTGGGTGGGGACACAGCCAAACCATATCAGGCATTTTGAACCCCCAAATCAGTTAGTTATTAGTTACAAGCTCCTGTAAACCTCCAAACCCAGGAAGAGTGAATTACATTTCGGAAATTTCCAGACAAGGTGGTTCACCTTAACAGAGTGCAGAGGTGTGTTCCTGTGAGCTGCTAGCAACCAGAAGTTATAAGAATTGCAGATGGGCACCTGCCCCTCCCCTAAAGGGGAGTTGGGCAGGGCACCAAGCAGCATCTATTACATAGGAGTTAAATTGGTTAATCTGACTACACCCTTAGAGCATAGGTAATATCATCTCTATTTATATGTAAGCAAAGGAAGATTCAGACATGCTGATAGACTTACTCAAAGACCACAGCTAATTATCAGAGAAACCCAAAATTCAAACCTAGCTTTTTCTGACTCCACAACTTGTGTTCTATATAATTTGTCATGGCAGCTTCTCTATGAAAGTTCCTGCTTGGCACCTTCACCAGTTAATAACAGATTAAGCCAGGGAAGCTTCCTATCTGCCCAGTGGTGGCTGTGGTTGCCTTCATTTGTTACCAAGAGAGGACAGAGTGAACAGATTGCCTGAGCCAGGTGGGTGGAAAGTGCTCCCTCAGGCACACCTTATTTGAGCACCTCATTAGCACCATAGAGAACATTCTTCTGGAAAATGGCAAAAAAATGCATATATATATCACCTCCCTGCACACAGTTGAGGTACCTAAAGGAATCCAGGATCACTTTAGGAAACTACATTGTGGAAAAGATAAATCAGTTTCGTGTCTTGATGTTAGAGAAAACTTCTCATTTCATATGTGACTCTTTTTCTAGTATCAGAAAAAGATGGCTGTGGAGAAATGGCACTAGCCCTCCTTATAAATTAAAGGTCAATAGACCTGAGGTTTTAACCCTGTCACCTTGCTGCAAATCGAAATTGTCACGGAACTTTGAGCACGTATCATTACAGGGAAGGTCTGTACGGTTCAGTGAGAAGCTGTTCATCTTTGTGCTTAATGTTATGAAGTTTCAAAGATGCCTCCCCATCCATCCCACTACTAATTCCACTCTCTGCTCTGCCAGGCTCTGTGCTAGGTACCTTCACATATGTTATCTCATTTAATAGAGCAAGTGATCTAGGAGCCTTTCGTGTTGTCAGCTGCTTTCCTCCAAGACAATTTGCTCACGAGCCAGCCTTCCATTTATGAAAGCAGTAGACAAAAGCCTTGCCAGATGGCTTGGGGATCTGAAAGAATAGGAGATGTTTTTACACAATATGTTCTGTTGGGTTACTGATGACAGAGGCTCTAGAGCAAAGTGACTGAGATGGGAGTACTTGCAGGGTTGCAGTGAGTTCCATTTGTTCCCTGCAAACAATGTCCCTCAAACAGTGAGGACGATGAGACTCTGAATTAACCCTCCTTTTCTAAATGACACTCTGTTCTCCGCATAGCACAGAAGGATGATGTTGAGGCTGTGTAGTATTTGTAAACAGCTGTTCCATTGTAAGCCTACATGCTGCAGTGATCAGTATTCAGAGCTCCAATAAAGCACTACAAAGTTAAGTGGTAGTAAAACTAAAGCAGAGCAGCGGAATGGAAAGGAATCACAAACCAGACACAATTATACTCATTTTTATATCCGTACCTTAAATTTTAATGTCTCGTACTGGCCCCTAAATAAATGAATTATACAAGGTTCACAACCACTGAAATGAATTTTGGCTTTCTCCAAAATTCTCTAATTTCACAGAGATGGTGCAATGGACAAGAGCAGAAAAGAATGAACTTAAAAAACATATCTGTAGCTATTGCATGGAAGAAACCCAAAGGTAATGCATGTATAGCAGATCTGTAAAAATCCAGGCTGATAAGGAAGATGTTGAATAAAATTTAACACATCAGTTTTTATCAACAACTTCATTTTTATTTCTGACACCTCCAGGAACATCTCTTCTTATGGAAATTTCCATCACTGAGTCCTCCTGTTATTAACTTGGGGACCATATATATTACATAACTCTTTATAACTGGTATTGTTTCAGTCAGCCCAAGCCACTTCATCTCCTCAATCAGTCTGTACCTGGTGTCACAAAGGAAATACATTCTTTTTTGTACAAATTTAAGGAGTACAAGTGTAATTTTGTTGCATGCATATATTGTGTAGTGGTGAAGTCTTGGCTTTTAGTGTACCAATTACCTGCACAATGTACATTGTACCCATTAACCAATTTCTCATCACCCTTCCCCTGCCTGTCCTCCCCAACCCTTCTGAATCTCCAGTGTCTACCTTTCCACACTCTACGTCCATGTGCACACATTATTTATCTTCCACTTGTAAGTGAGAACAGCCAGTATTTGACATTCCATTTCTGAGTTGCTTCACTTAAGATAATGACCTCCAGCTCCATTCATGTTGCTACAAAAGACATGATTTCATCGTTTTTATGGCTGAATGGGATTCCATTGTGTATATATACCACATTCTCTTTAATCATCCCTTGATGGACAGTTAGGTTGATTCCATATCTTTGCTATTGTGAATAGTGCTGCCATAAACATACACGTGCAGGTATCTTTTCAATGATATGATTTCTTTCCTTGTAGATTCTCAGTAGTAGGATTACTGAATCTAATGGTAGATCTCTTTTCAGTTCTTTGAGAAGTCTCTATACTGCTTTCCACAGAGGTTGTTTGTTCATTTATTCCTTTACTCCTTCATCCCTGGCTGAGCATGTGAACTCCCTGCCCTCCACTAACATCAAGTTATTCAACCTCTCTGTGCTTCAATTTCTTCAACTCTAAAAAGTAGTCACAGTCCTGTGAATTCTCTACTCATAAGATTATTGTGAGGGTTAAATATGATTATCTCTGTAAATCCATGTGTACAATGTCTGCTATATAATGACAATATAATGTGAGCCATCATTGCTATTCATTCCTTCAATAAATATTTTTTGAGCATCTACCACACATCAGGTACTACCCAGGGTGAAGAGTCATAAGGGTGCCCAGGACAGGCCGCATCTCTGATTTCAGAGCATTTACATTGATTCCAGCTTTCTTTCCTTTTCCTGCCTCTCGGAAATAGCCATCGGTAAGATGGCTAGGAAAGAGAAAAGGAAGGGGCTAATTTTTATGGACAGAGTTCATAACAAGTAAGCTGACAGAGCAGAGTATATGATCATGTGTTAATATTGTTAGTAGTAGTCCTAATAATTATATCTTTCTCTTAATGAGTACTTACAGAAAAATCTGTGACCTTTTTTACTCTTGACTTACATTTTAGAAGTGCTTCTTTCATTGTAGTTATTTTTGCTATCTTTACAATTTTACCTTTTCTTTCCTCATACTTGGTATCTCAGGTTCCAGAATGATGAAATGGGTATTTCCTAACTATAGAGGTAGATCTGTGTATCTACCTAGATATCTATAGATAGGTATATAGATATAGATAGATATAGATATTAATTGCATCTTAACTGTTTTATATCTGACAAGCTTCTTGAGGCAGCTTATAATAAAATCAGTCAAATTGAAAACTTTCAAATGAAGAAAAATAATATATTTTATAAAGGATAAGAGCAGAGAGAAAAACACTGTATTCAGAGAGTTAGTTGGCAAAGATACAATAGTTATGCACAATATTTAGGTCTGATATTCCTGAAAACCAGGGAAAACAGAGGAAAAAAAGATGGATCATATGACTTGTTGTCTAGAAATCATACTCATATGGATTCAGTGGGAGAAACAATTTCTTTTTTGTTGTTGTTTTATGGCTTTAAATTCTGAGATTAATTTATCAAACTGGATGGTTGTCATAGAAAGGGTCTGAGTGACATAGTAAATTGTGTCCTCCATAGTAACCCTCACTCTACCTCATAAAAGGGCATTCCCAATTGTCCTTATTATATCTCCCTTATTGGTCTGTCAAGGCAATTTCACTGGAACCCCAAGGAACATGGAGCGGGTGACTTAAATTAAAAATAACATGTCTAGAAAACATCAAGGAAACAAGCATGAATGAATCCCTCAGTTTCATTATCCAATGTCAACATTTTACCTGAATTTTTAACTAGAGCAGATGGCAGTCAAATCAAGACTGACGTCTCAGGGGAGAATCTGAAGTGCTTCCCTTCCATGCAGTCATTGTAAGAAGTGTGAACTAGTGTCCACAGGCCAAGCTTACAGAAGGCAAGGTGGTCACATACATGAGAGATACTTATTGCTGGCACTTTGCTAAAAAAGCTTCACATATCATCTTTCATTCATTCAATGCCACATTGTTTCTATGTTCTTTGTTGTTATAATTATTATTATTAACCCCCTGCAAGTGAGGAATTGGGAGCAGAGATAATTTAAGTAGCCTTCCTTGTGCCATACAGCGGATATAGGGCAGAGCTGTGATTTGAATTCTGCACCCCAACTCCATTATAAATATTTTTTCTACCTCTAAACTTTTCCCAGAATTTTATGGTGAATTTAAAAAAATAAATACGTTTGTAGTCATACCCCTGGTAAGAGAGTATAAGCACAAAGATGAGTTCAGACTTTGAGGACTTGACTTCAAGCTGTGGTATCTTCCCTGAACATAATTATCCTCCCTGAACATAATTTTCTTCATCCCTAAGGTGAACAAAATAATAACTAAGTGCCAATGATGTTATAAAAGTAAGAAATAATGACCATGAAGTATCTGGAATGTAGCAGGTACCCCAAAAATGAGAGCAACTAAGTTGGATTTAAGATAAGCTCTGGTCCTCATTGTCAAAGGCAGGAGTACTTGTAACAATGGGTCTACTGAAGGACTGAAAGAAATTCGAAAAGGTATGTAAAACATCTTGAATAAAGAGAAAAGGAAGAGAGTGTAAAGAATGAAGAGGGTGTTGATTAAACACCAACTATGAGCTAAATGATTTGCTTATATATCTAATTTAATCATTCCAATATCTCGATATAGAAGATGCTACATTTTTCCCAGAAAAGTAAATTGAGGCTTAGCAAACGTAATCAATTTTTTTTCAAATTCACCATGTGGTAAATTATAGAACTGAGATTTAAATTCAGGTTTCCCTGATCCCAAACCCATTGCACTGACCTATCCTATGCACCTCAGTTAATCAGAAAACATGCTCACAGGTATATGAATGAATGTTCCATATTTTTTAAATAGCACTAGAGATCCTGGACAACCAATTCTTCCCCTATCTCTGCCACTAACTAGATACACAACCACTTCCTTGCTCTTAGTCTCAGTTCCCCCATTTCTCAAATGAGGCAGGAGCCTACGTGATTTCTAAAACCCTCTTCAGCTCTAACATTTTATGATGATTCTTTCCCCCAAAGAACTCTGCTGGCAACACAGAGCGAAGACATAGCACATATGTATAAAAGTTCCTCCGTTTATATTAAATTCCACATTCCTGCAGGGATATGTAATGTCTGTTGCCCTTCATTCGACTCCATACTCCAATGTTTGTTTACAATCATCAGACCATGAACAGCTATTTTTAAACCTGGCTTTTCATGTAAGAAGGTTAAAACTCAAACTGAATTTGATTTGTTAGAGAATTCAAATCCTCAGGATTATGACAGGAAAAAAGAGAAATGTAAGTCACTTTAATTACCCTTTGACTCTTCTCTCCCCACTCCCACCCTCATAATTCCGCTAACAAAAATGCCATTGGTTAAGCTAACTGTATCCAGGACAGAAAATCCTGTTCATTGGTGGATGATGACCAAAGTCTTCGAGTTGTTTATTTTCCATTTTTCTTCGAAACAACAGGAAGTATTGTTTTAGGAGCTGGCTTGGGAGGCAGCAAATCCAAGGCTTTGCACAGCTGGCTGAAGTGAAATATCTAGTAGTCTAATTCAACTGAGTTTTTATCCATCATACTTTCTGTGTGTGTGTGTGTGTGTGTGTGTGTGTGTGTGTATGTATACTCTGAAATCAGGCAGATGCCAGTCCACTGCTTACTAGTGTGATCTGGCAGAAAGCCTGGCACATAGTAGGAATATAACTTGCCTGCTCCCTTCTGTCACTAACATGGATTTTGTTCTGCTTTGCTTTTAATTTGGGGCCCATCTGTAGACCCCGCTATGGAACATAATCTCCCTGAGAGCTGGGATTGTTTAGTTGTCTCCCTATCACTACAGCCTAGAAGAGTATTTGGCTCATAATAGTTTCAATAAATATCGAATGACGTGCTAAGAGATTACATTCCCGGAGTACTTTATAAAGGGATGCAAGAAGTATTTTTACAGAGTTATTGCATAAGACAGAGAGTGACAGCAGATGAGTGTGGGATTCCTTTGAGGACTTAAAAATGTTCTAAAATTGATTATAGTAATGACTGCACAACTCTGCGAATATGCCGAAACCCGTTGAGTTGTGCGCTAGTGAATTGTATGTTTTATGAATTATATATCTCTATAAAGGCTTGTTTGTTTGTTTGTTTTTTGTTTTCTTTTTGTTTTTGGTTTTGTTTTGAGACAGGATCTTGCTCTGCCACGCAGGCTGGAGTGCAGTGGTGCAATCATAGCTTACTGCAGATTCGAACTCCTGGGCTAAAGTGATCCTCCTGCCTCAGCCTCCTGAGTAGCTGGGACTACAGCTGTGTGCCACCACACCAAGGCTAATTGTTTGTTGTTTTTTGTAGTGGTGGGGTCTTGCCATATTGTCCAAGCTGGCCTATAAAGTTATTTTTTAAGGAAACTTTTTAACCCCCTTCAAACTGCGTGTTCCTTAACACTCATATTTATACTGGAAATTGACACCGATGATTTGAATAAATTGTTAGCAGCTGATAACAAAATGAACTGGGAGAAAAGGATTAGGAATGAGAAGAAACATTATATCATATTCAAGAAAGACATGTCCCCACTATTCCTTTTTAATTAAGACACTCTTTTTCCCTCCTTGAATTTAGACTCTTCTCAAAACAAGCCTGATAAATATAACAAAAATGGGTGAAACAGTGAATAAGTCAGAATAGCAAGCCTTTCTTTTCCATACAGACTCATTCCATGCCATCTTGTAATATGCTGTGATGTGAGAAACTCTTGGTCTCCAACATAGCTTCTGAACTCATGAGTTTTCCAGATTGCCAGAAACTTTGGAATCCTGATTATCTGACCAACTCTTTCATACCAGAAATCACATACTTCGTATAAGGCACATACACTCTGCAGGCATATTTTTAAATAACTCATTCAGACTCTCAACAAATATTTACTGTCTAGTACTCACCAGACATTGGGCTAAGTGCTGCAGACTGAAAGATAAAACTTAAGACTGAGAGTTAACATTTATTAAGCATGCCATGTGCTTCCTAGGTATTAACCTAGTTAATTATCCTAAAAACCATTTAAGGTAAAGATGCACGTCATCATCAACCCCATTTGAGAGATTAGAAAACTGAGACACAAAAAGGTCAAGTAACTTGCTTAAGGTCACACAGCTAGGAAGTGGAGGATCTAGCATTATGCCAAGGCAGCGTGGCTCAACAAAGTCTATCCTGAGAACCTCTTCTCTTAGTGCCTCCCATATCAAGGATAGGACATGCCCAATCAGGGAGCAAACACTTAGTTGCAGTACATGATGAGTGTCCTATCTGTGGGATGAACAAGTTGCAGTAGGAAGAAATATAGAGCTCACATATTAACTAAATCTCAGAATTTTAGAGCAGAGCAAAACAGCAGAGGCAGTTTTCTCAACTTTATTTTCTTTAAGATGAGGAAAATGAGGCTCAGAGAAAGGCTACAACGTGTTCAATGTCTCACAGGTTAGTAGTTATTGAACTTGATCCCATGTTTCTTAAGTTCCCCATACGACTCTTGCATGCATTCATACATTTATTCAAAAATATTTGTGCCTGGTACTATGCTCTTTTCACTATATCCTACTGCATGTATTAATTAGAAATGCTAAAAAAAAATTTAAGCAATATTAAAAAGCAGACATGATTTCATAGTTAATTATGCAAAGATCATACTGCCCAATCACAATTTTACAAATTCATTAAGTCACTCAAGAGGCATGGAAATGGGAAAAAGAGGAAAACAAGAGAGCAGAAAGCTAACTATTGTTTAGTTTTCTTACATTTGGAGCTAATTTGTCACCACTATTTCAGGTAGCCTTCCAAACAATCCCATTGGATGTTAGTGCTTGCCATTTTTTCTAGTGAGGCCACACGCTCAAAATACTTAAAATTTTTGCACAAAGTTACAAGACTAGTAAGTAGGAAAATAATTTACATTTGAGCCCTGCTTTTCCTGACTTTAAAGCTCAAATTCTTTTCACTTCTATGCTGATTTCCAAGCTCAGTATAAGTGGGAGAGTCAAGTATCTCTGAATAGAGTGGATTCTCTGATCGAAGCATTAATCATTTGGCAAATTATAGTTAGGTTCAAAGTTCCATAAAGACAGTAAAGTGGAAAAAATGAACTTTCTTCCTCCCAGGCCTACCTATCCACAAATATAAAATATCGTCTTCAAACTCTCTATTTTAGTTCTCTTTTTTTTCCTTAGACACACAGCTTTGAAATGTCTTATTTAGCACAGCCAGCTGCCATGGAAACGTGAAAGCAGATGACCTAGGCAAAAGATCTTGTCGAGTGATTTTAATGAAGGTTTCTTTCCTGAATGTCAAATATAGGAGGTGAGTCAAAAATGGGCATTTACAAATGTTAAAGAAAGCCACAGACATCCTAAGGCACTTAGATTTTTCAGTCTGCTCCTTCTTTGTCCATGTCAAAGGTTACCCTGAGAAAAGGCCCAATGACAGAAATTATCTTTCAGTGGCTCAAGACTTTTTGCATTTTCCTTATTTCCTTTCCAAAGAGTTTTCTTAAGTCAGTAGTCAGTGTATTTCTCCTGATATTATATACAAAGATGGTAAACATATATTCTCTTTTAAATTTTTGAACAATAATATCGTGATTAAAACTTGCAAAGAATTATTTATTTTTGTTTATTTCTGCTGTTGTTTATCTCAAAGGTTCCTTAGCTGGCCTACACATTGGAATCACTGGGGAGCTTTAAAAAAAATCTCACTTCCTGTGTCCTACTCCTATAAGATTGTAACTGAGATGGTCCAGGCATGGCCTCAGCTTTAGAATTTTTTAAAGATCCTCAGGTGATTCTAATGTACAGACAAGTTCAAGGACCCCATTAAATCTGGGTCTCATCATTAATTAATTAACCCTCTCTAGGGAGAGGGTAATCGAGCCTTCTGTACCCATGCCAGACTTCTTTCATAGCTCCCCAAAGCTTAATGTAGGGAAACAGAGAGAGCCAATAAACCATTACGGAGCCGGCCTCCATTTGGTGTGGAGTACAAATGATTGATTGATCTTTCGAGACTGTGCTAAGAGAGGCAGTATGAACAATTGCATCTCAGTACAGTGCACGGTAGGAAGGAAGAACTGATCCTTCAGCTCTGTGTTCCACAGAGCCTCAGAGTCAAAAGGGAACTCATGCAGGAGGCAAGAGGAACGGAGGTGAAGCATGAGCTGAGGTGCTGTTGAATTGTGCTGTGTGAAGTTGGTAGGAATCCACACAGAACTGGTTACCACAGCTGTGGTGTGGTTGAAATTAGTAACGAATGTCTCAAGACAAGCGAAGGTGAGAGGATCTTAAGTGGTTTGTTTAGAGGGATTCAGCACTGGTGAGAAAGTTTGGCTAATCTAAGCAGTTTAGGTCAGTTTAGCCACAGGTTGGTGTGCAGTTGTAGTCATGTGTAGTGACTGTTAAAATGACAGTGCTCAGGAGCTGCTTGTCTTTTAGGCTTCCTGTCTCAAACCTAAGGCAGTGCCGACTACTCATGGCTGGTTTGTTATTCTCTGCCCTCTCTTTCATCATTCCAGCTGGCCAGGTGGGTATTTGGATTCAGGGATTTTCATGGGGCCTGACTTTTTCCCTTTCTCTGTAGACACCTTATGAATGTCCCTTATAGTTGGATTGCGTGTGTGAGCACAGTGAGTGGATGGACTAGCAGGAGTATATGATACCATGTCAGCCCTGATTCTAAGTCATCTACTCCATTCCAGCTTTGACCAGAGGACCCTCCACTGAAGGTAATATAGCACTTATTCAGCTATGTTCAGTAATATTTCAATTACTATTTGGTCCTCATGCAGAATCTTATGGGTGAAATGATCATTGGTTCACATGATTTGGAAATAGCTGGGTCACTGACCATAATAGGACTGAAAGCTCACTCTCAAACTGTATTACAAATATGTAATAGCATCTACTATGTTTCCAGGAATGATGCTGGATGCCAATGATTTAATAAAAACCAGAGTTCTTCTTCTTAATGAAATTAGAAAGTAAGAAAGACATGAAAATAGATAATCAAAATTTGGAATTTGGTTGTTCTATTATAAGGGAGTATGAAGATTTGCAGAAACACAGAAAACAATTCAGTTTTCCTGGAAGAATCAAAGATGGTATCAAAGAGGCAACATTTGAACTGAGTCATAAAGGATGAGTTCTAATAACAGCTTTATTGTAGAACACTCTAGAAAACATAAAGTATTTCCAGATCCATCCTCTTAGCATGTAAGCAACTTAAAAGCAAAGACTGGTTTATCCTAGTCATGACTATATTTCCAAAGTATCTCTGTAATACTGAACCCATTATCAATCTTGATTCTCGTAGCCTCCTATGCACTGGGGAGATGGCAGAAGGGAAACATTCCAGACAGAGAAAATGAATGAACAAAGACAGAAAATTCATAACTCATGATCTCATGGAATTTTGACCTGTAGATATTCCAAGAAGAATCTCAGTAAACTCTGCCAGTGGCTATACTGGAAACACTAAGGAAAAAGACAACCGTCTGTCCTATATAACATCTCACAGTGTCGCATTTAGTACCTTAGTGAATTCATCAGGGCTCACAATCTGGTCCACATCTTTGTAGATTAATTTTTTAAAATGTTTATAGAAATCCAATCACTCAGGGCTGTAATTATCCTAGCCTGTGAGACTTGTAGAATGATAACTGATTAATTTGTAATGAGAAATTACCATTACAAAAACTATAGTATTAACTTTTCATGACCAGGCCATTCTACCTTTACCAATTTAGTAAATTACAGTTACAAATAATTGTCATGGTGACCAGAACATTCATATCTTCATCATAAGACTGTTTTCTCCCTGTGTGAGAGCAGAAATCGTAACAAGCAGACAGTTTAGTAAGCATAGAATCAGATGTAAAAGAGTTAAAGAGTTGAATGCTTAATAAATGTCAATTAAGATAGTCTGATGGCTTTTCCTTTCCATTGGGACAGTTGTACCCATGATATTGGAATATACAACATACTTTACCACCCTACCAATGGCCCCATATGAGGAGTTAGAGTAATCTAAGACTATTAACTAAGGCACTATCTCCTGGACAGTACTTCTTCCTCGTTTCCAATGTTCATTCAAACAAATTGCAATCACATTTTGCAAAACTGGAGGTCATTATATTCCTTCATGATGACTGTGGCAACACTGTTTGAGAACCTACTATGGGCTAAACATCTGCATTATCTCATTTAACCACAATCATGTGCAATATTATTTGTGCAGAAGAGTAAATCGTTCTTAGATCCATTAAATGACTTGCTCCAATAGAAACAGCATTAGATGGTAAAGTGAGGATTCTATCTAAGCCATTTGAAGTCCACTCAAGACTTCCACTAGACATTCATGTCCAAAGCCATTCACTTGCATAGAAAAGATATGCATACCTGACCAGATCACTAAAAAACATTAGGAAGCTATGATTGAATGGGTCAAATAGTACATACTGCAGGAGTTCAGAGAAGAGTGACATCATTGTGGGACAAGGTGGGAAATAGATAATATTTATTTGTGAAACATTTTCTTTCTTCTAGTGGTAGAACTTAAAAGGAAAATAAATGTAAGACATATCAGCCACCCTTCCCTCTTCCAACAACCATAGCAGAACTCTTTTTGCCTTAAGCCCAGATATATCACCTCAGAATCTTTCGAAAGACAGCAATCCACAACCATTAACAGTCAGTCACATTTAGCATACAACATAGAATCTATATGCACCATTTCTGAGTTGGAGGCTGAATCTACAAAGCACTAAAGGGGCTCAATGATTTTGTCTCTCTGGTAGAAAAATAATGATAAATTAAATGAAGTCAGGTAAAGCTTTTGTTTGATAAAATTTATGAGAACCCAATTTAAGCATTAACCTTTGTGTGTGTGTGTGTTTGTGTGTGTGTGTGTGTGCCTATCTATATATACTATCCAGAAATAGACAAGTAATTGCAAAATCATTACTTGATGGTCCTTGCAAACAACAGGAGGGGGTATCTTTTAAGACTCACCACACCTATAACTGATGCTCCACTCCTGACTAAAGCCTACATTATTTCCTAAAGAGGACCAACATCTATGGATAATATTGTTAGCAAATGAGATCTGCAAGGGCCTATTTAGAATTCTTTTAAAAAACAGATCCATGCTTGATTCAACCTCCATAAGAAAAAGTAGTTCCTGAGAAAAATGTGAAGGAGAAATTTTTGCTAAGTCATGTCTCTACCATATGATTAATCCCACAGAGAAAAAAGGAAGTCCAACAGAGGAACTGGGCCAGTTCATTCTACCCACTGGATGCCTAAACTCTGAACCTAGGGAAGAAGTAAGGTCTCTGCCTCATTTAGTCCTTCCATTTTGCGGTGTGAGCAACCCAATTGAGTCATAACTCTACATGTTCATTCATTCAACATCCAACAAAAATGCATGGCTTTATCTACGCATGTATTCATTCACACATTTAGCAATTGGTAATTCATTTAGGAAGCATTTGCCAAATACCTACACTTCAAGCATTCTGCTAACAACTAGGGATATGGAGAGAAGAAAACTCAATTTCTACCCTTTGGGAGCTCATTGTTTGGTTAAGCAAATTACCAAAAAAAAAAAAAAAAAAGATTGACAACTGAACAAATGATTGAAATATTGAAATATAGTACGGAAAATCTGATGAAAAAATTATGCAAAAGGTAGAGCAGGGAGCACAAATGAAAAAGCCCACAGCTCTTGCCAAAGGCATTCTGTGTACAGAACATTTTCAAGGTATCCAAGCTTCCCCACACTATGTAACAATTTATTCCCAGGTCTTGGGATATTGGAAGAAATGCCATGTCCTCCAGTTCTATGTGAATTCTACCTTCTGCATCACAACCTTCCTACACTTGAGTCAATTTGATACTACTCCAGCCCACGACTGCTAGCTCTATTCTGCCCCAATATTAAAAGACAAGACGGACAGGAAAAGAGGAATTTAAAAGCTCAAATTAAAAGAAGTGACAAGATTAGCATTGTTTATATGTATGACTTTGTATCTGGAAAACCCAAAAGAATCAACTAAAGTACCATTAAAGTTAGTAGAACAGTAAGGATGCTGAAGAGTTTCTGATGTACAAACGATAATCAGAAAATATTATGTAAAAATATAAGATAATCCCATTTAAAATATAGTAATAAATTAACAAAAAGTATCAAAATTTATATCATAAAAGTTTTGATGTTATCAAATATTTAAGGCAGTGCCTTAAAGACATTCTTAATAATAAAAATGGGCTTCTATGAATTATAAGAACATTGTCCCATAGAACCCAAGGTAGAAAGGACCAGTCTCAAAGAGATAGGTGGATGTGGTCTTTGTCTTTAAATAAATAAATAAATAAATAACATTTTTAAAGGAATTATTTCACCTGGGCCCAGAAAGGACCAAGATATTTCAAAATGAAAAGAGATCTTTGGAACCTCCTATAGAAACACAACAAATCTGCTTTGCAACAAACCCAGGTCATTTCTTGTGGAATAGAAAGGATTATTTATTATTCAACAATAAATATCCAAAAGAGTAAGCAAAGGAATATTTTCAAAGAATGTTGACTGCAACATTGTTAGTGATAACTAAAAAACTCAAACAACCCAATTTTTTTCATCAATAAGACAACAGTTAAATAAAATACAATACATAGATACAGTGGAATCCTATGTGGCTTTATACAACACAATTTTGACCTGTATGTTTTAACATGAAAATAGTTCTATGATTATGTAAGTATCATTTTTTAAATTTTATTTTCAAATTTGTACTTGTATGTTGCATTGTCTGGGAAGTAGACTCTGCGATGACAGGGACATTGTCTTTTTTTTTCACTGTTAAATTCCCAGCACTCAGAACAATACCTGAGACATAGTAGATGTACAGTAAGAACATCTTAATTGAATAAATTTCTTTAAAATGCTTAATAATCATTAGGCATAAAGCAAGTTCTTAATCAATGTTACCCATGATTGTTATTTTTCAGGGAAACCATGATTGTTGTTTGCAACTAGTGTTGCAAAACTGGTAAAGGAGTTACTACCCCATGAGCTATTACAACTGACAAGAGAAAGTTGCTTTCAAAACAGCTACTGAAATGTTTCAGGGCATGGGTTCAGGGAACTTCCTTACTTGAAAAGTTCTTTCCTGGAATATGGCTCTATTAAAAGACTGACCTACTCAGCACCACAGCTGACATTACATTTCCTTTCTATGTCCATTCTTCAGACTTTTTTTTGAGACAGTCAGGCCTCACTGACTTCCTGTTTCCTATCAATTTGTCACTGTTCCAATTTTCTTCCCCCATTGCCTCCTGCCCTTGCTGCCAGCTCTACAGCAGAGAAAAATCACATTGTCTGCCCCTCTGGAACACTATCAGAGAATTGCCTGGGCCCAAATAAATTTCTCTGGAGTGTGTGTTTATTTCTTTATTTGTAGGTAAATTGTTGGCTTGAACCTGCCATTGTACTACAAGACATCATACATTACCGCATTTATTACTTATAACAATCCTGAAAAGTGGGCAGTAAGGTTATTATGCCCTATTTCCAGATCCAGAAATCAAAGTCTAGAGAGTTCCAGGGAAGGGCCGGGCAGGAGTTGAACCCCAGCCCACCTGACTGCAAAGTTCATGCTTTAGATTAGTACCAGAGTTTATTCTATCATTTTAATTTCCATGCAAACTCTTCCTTGAGACTGATTATAATGCCCAACATTTCCTTTGTGGAGAGGGCAGGAGTGAGAAGAAACAGTACAAGAGGCAGTGAGTACAATTTGTCATATGTGACAAAGAAAAGAAAAACAATATCCTGGTTGAGACACACTTCTGAGGGAAGGGAATGCATGTCTAATTTTGCTTACTCAAGATATTAGAATCTTGACTGTCATTGAGTCAAATCCAGTCAGTCTAGGGGATAGTGAAAGATGCAGTTTCCTATATTGTTGATGGAAATGTAAACCAGTATAAGCCCTTTTGGAATGTAATTGTACAGAATGTGTTGAGAGCCTTATATTGTTCATACCTATTAACATAGTGATTCTAATCACTATAGCAAAAACTCGAAAATATGGGGAACATTTTTATTGTCTATTCACTTGTCCATTGTTGGCTGAGCATCTTTTATTGAGGCAGATGTATTCTACAGTACCAGGGAAGTAAAGCTGAGCAAGAGAGACAAGGACCCTGTCCTCATGAAAATTAATTTCTACGGAGAGTGATAGATAAGAAATGCAGAGTTAAATGCATAATAATGTCAACTACTGATAGATGCTAGAAAGAAAATAAGTCAGAGTAAAAAGAGAATGAAACGGGAGCCCTGGGTAGGCCCCCTGAAGGAGGTGACATTTGACAAAGAAATGAATGACACGAGGAAGCAAACTATGTATTATGTAGAGGCAGATGGTTTCAGCTGAAGAGACTGTAAGTGCAAAGCCCGAGAGGTAGGAGCCAAGTTTGAGGTGTTTGAGGGACAGTCAGAAAATAGTGTGGCAGGGAAGCGGTGATCAGAGGAGAGGTGAGTTTGTTCATTTATTTGTAGTAGAGTAAAAATAGAAGCTAGCTAAATGTTCAAAAGTCAAGGCCTGGATAAGTAAATTGTCTTATGTTGAAGAGGGCAGAGCAAGAAGGCCAAATAGAAGCCTATGTCATTCATTCCCCCAACAGGAAGACCAAATTTTAACAACTAACTACAGACAAAAAAGCACCATCAAAAGAACCAAAAATCAGGTGAGCAATCACAGAGTACCCAGTTTGTAACTTCATTTCACTGAAAGAGGCACTGAAGTGGGTAGAAGACTGTCTTGAATTAAGGACACCACCGCTCCCTCATCCCCAGGCAGTGGCCATGAGGCACAGAGAGTCTCTGCATTTGCAGGAGGGAGAGCGAAATGACTGGGAGACATTACACTGAACTCAGAGCTGCCCTATCACAATGGAGGACAAAGCCATGCTGAATGCAGCCAGTGCCCATGCATGGAAGGAGCATTTGGATAAGACCTGGCCAGAGGGGAATCATCCATCCCAGCAGCAGGAACTTGAGTTTCATGGCAGGCCTCACCACCATGGGCCAAAGTGCTATGGGGTCCTAAGTAAACTCGAAAGGCAGTCTAGGACACAGGACTGCAATTCTTAGGCAACTCCTAGTGCAGGCATTTAGAGCGAGGAGACTAGGGTAGCATGTGACTTACAGAGACATCCAACAGGGCTGCTAAGGGAGTGATTGCACCACCCCTGCCCCAACCCCAGCCAGCACAGCTGGCAGCAACCAAAGTGACTCCTTTCTTCTGCTTGAGGACAGGAGAGCAAAGAGTAAAGAGGACATCATCTTGCATCTTGGATGCCAGCTCAGCCACAGGATAGGGCACCAGTCAGAGGACCCTATTCCAGGCCCTAGCTCCTGGATGAGATTTCTAGACATATCATGGGCCAAAAGGGAATCCTCTGCCTTGAAGGGAAGGACCCAGTCCTGGCAAGATTCATCAGCTGATAACTAAAGAGCCTTTGGACCCTGAATAACCAACAGCAATATCCCAGGGAGTACACCATGTAACTCAGGCTCTGAGATGTGCTGGCATCAGGTGTGACCCAGCACATTCACAGCTGTGATGCATACGGTGAAAGACTTCTGTTTGAGACAGGCAGAAGAAAAAGTAAAGGAGACTTTGTCTTGCACCTTAGGTACCAGCTTAGCCACAGTGTGATAGAGCACCCCGTAGGCTCCTGGAGTCCCTGATTCCAGGCCTAGGCTCTTGGACAGTATTTCCAGACCTTCCCTGGGCCACAGGGGAGCCCACTGCCCTGAAAGGTAAGCCCCAGACCTTGCAGAATTTACCACAAGCTGACCATAGAGCCCTGGAGTTTTAAGAGAACATTGGCAGTGGCCTGACAGAACTCGCTGTGGGCCAATGATGGTGGTGGTGGTGGTGGTCACAGGAAGAGGCTCCTCTCCCTGTGAAAGGGGAGGGAAGATTGGGAAGGACTGTCTGGTGGCTTGAGTTCCAGCTTAGCCACAGAATAATAGAACATGAGATAAGTTTCTAAGATTTTTCACTCTAATCCCTGGCTTCTAGACAGCATCTCTGGACATGCCCAGGGCCTAAGGGAACTCAACACTGTGAAGAGACACAAACCTGGCTGGCTTCACCACCTGCTGATTGTAGAGCACTAGGCACTTGAGTGAATATAGGTGGTAGCCAGAGAGTGGTTACAGCGAGCTTTGGGTGAGACCCAATGCTGTGCAGGCTTCAGGTCAGAAACAGCTCATTCCCAGTGGTGATGGCCATAGGGGTGCTTGTGTCACCCTAACCCCCATTCCAGATGGCTCAGCACAGAGAGAGAGAGAGAGACTCTGTTTGTTTGGGAAAAAGTAAGGAAAAAGAAGAGTCTCTGCCTAGTAATCCAGAGACTTCTTCTGGATCTTATCCAAGACAATCAAGGCTGTACCTCTATGAGTCTCCAAGAACCACAGCATTGTTGGGCTGGGGGCCCAAATCCCTTTGAAGACCTGGAGAGCCTTCCAAAGAAGGACAGGCACAAACAAGCCCAGACTGTGAAGATTATGATAAATGTCAAACTCTTCAATTTGTAGACAGTAATGAACATTTACAAGCATCAGGGCCATTCAGGAAAACACGACCTCACTAAATGAACTAACTAAGGCATAAGGAAGCAATCCTGGAGAAAGCAGATAGAGAATTCAAAATAGCTGTTTTGAGAAAACTCAAAGAAATTCAAGACAGCACAGAGAACACAGAATAGTAGTCCCAGCTACTCAGGAGGCTGAGGTGGGAGGATCACCTGAGCCTGGGAGGTCAAGCCTGCCATGAGCCATGATCATGCCACTGCACTACAGCCTGGGTGATGGAGTGAGACTTTGTCTCTCAAAAATGAATAAATATTTTTTTAATTTTAAAAATAAAGAAAATAAAGCAGAAATTCTACAGCTGAAAAACAAAAAGCATATACTTAAGAATGCATCAAAATTAGTGAGTTTAAAGACGGGCCATTTGAATATACAGTCTGTGGAGACAAAAGAAAAAATTTTAAAAAATGAAGCACACGTACAAGATTTAGAAAATAGCCTCAAAAAGGCAAATCTAAGATTTATTGGCCATAAAGTGGTAATGAAAGAGATAGGAGAAGAAAGTTTATCCAAAGGAATAATATCAGATAACTACCCAAACCTAGAGAAAGAGATGAGCATTCAAGTACAGGAAGGTTATAAACCACCAGACAAATTTAACCCAAAGAAGACTATTTCAAGGCATTTAAAAGTGAAACCCCCAAAGATAAAGGGTAAAGAAATAATTCTTAAAAACAGCAATAAAAAGAAACAAATAACATACAATGAAGCTCCAGTACATTTGGCAGAAAACTTACTGGTGAAAACCTTACAGACAAGGAGAGAGTGGCATTACATATTTAAAGTGCTAAAGAAAAAAAGCTTTTACCCTAGAATAGTGTATCTGGTGAAAATATCCCTCAGGCACGAAGGAGAAATAAAGACTTTCAGAGAAACAAAAGCCAAAGGATTTCATCAACACCATACCTGTCCTACAAAAAATTCTAAAGGGTGTTCTTTAATTTGAAAGAAAAGGTCATTAATGAGCAATAAGAAATCATCTGAAGATACAAAACACACTGGTAATAGCACACAGAAAAACACAGACTGCTATAACATTGTAATTGTGCCATGTAAACTACTCTCAAATAGAAAGACTAACTGATGAACAAATACATAATAAAAACAACAACAACTTTACAAGACATAGGCAATACAATAAGATTCAAAAAACAACAAAAAAGTTAAAAACTGGATGGATGAAGTTAAAGTATAGAGGGTTTTTTCCTCTGTATTTTAATTTCAGCAGGTTTTGAGGGAATTCATGGTGTTTGGTTACATGGATAAGTTCTTTAGTTGTGATTTCTGAGACTTTGGTGCATTCATCACCCGAGAAGTGTACACTGTGGTGTTTTATCCCTCAACCCCCTCCTACCCTTTCCTCCAAGTCCCCAAAGTCCATTGTATCACTCTTATGCCTTTGAGTCCTCATAGTTTAGCCCCACTTATAAGTGAGAATACACAATGTTCAGTTTTCCATTCCTTAGTTACTTCACTTAGAATAATGGTCTCCAATTCCATCCAGGTTGCTGTGAACGCTGTTATTTTGTTCCTTGGCATTTCATGACATAGATATTCCACATTTTCTTTACCCACTCATGGATTGATGGGCATTTGGACTGGTTTCATATTTTTGCAATTATGAATTGTGCTGCTATAAACGTGTGTGTAGGTATCTTTTTTGTATAAGACTTCTTTTCCTCTGAGTAGATAGTCACAAGTGGGATTGCTGGATCAAATGGTAGATCTACTTTTAGTCCTTTAAAGAATCTCCACACTGTTTTCCATAGTGGTTGTACTAGTTTACATTCTCACCAGCAGTGTAAAACTGTTCTGTTTCCACCACATTCTTGCCAACATCTATTATTTTTTTATTTTTTGATTATGGCCATTCTTGCCAGGGTAAGGTGGTATTGCATTGTGGTTTTGATTTGCATTTCCCTGATTATTAGGGATGTTGAGTATTTTTCATATGTTTGTTGTCCATTTGTATAGCTTTTTCTTGATAATTGTCTATTCATGTCTTAGCCTACTTTTTGGTGGGATTATTTGATTTTTCTTGCTGATGTGTTTGAGTTCTTTGTAGATTCTGGATATTAGTCCTTTGTCAGATGTATAGATTGCAAAGATTTTCTCCCACTCTGTGAGTTGTCTGTTTACTCTGCTGATTATTTCTGTTACTGTGCAGAAGTTAGTTTAATTAAGTCCAACCTATTTATCTTTGTTTGTGTTGCATTTGCTTTGGGATACTTGGTATGAAATCTATGCCTAAGCCAATGTCTAGAAGGGTTTTTCCAATGTTATCTTCCAGAATTTTTATGGTTTCAAGTCTTAGATTTAATTCTTTGATCCTTCTTGAGTTGATCTCTGTATTAGAAGAGACAGGAGGATCCAGTTTCATTATTCTACACATGGATTGTCAATTATTTCAGCACCATTTGTTGAATAGGGTGTCCTTTCCCCACTTTATGTTTTTGTATATTTTGTCAAAGATCAGTTGGCTGTAAGTATTTGGCTTTATTTATGGGTTCTCTATTCTGTTTCATTGGTCTATGTACCTATTTTTATACCAGTCCCATGTTTTGGTGACTATAGCCTTATAGTATAGTTTGAAGTCAGGTAAAGTAATGCCTCCAGATATGTTCTTTTTGCTTAGGCTTGCTTTGGCTATGTGGGCTCTTTTTTATTTCCATATTAATTTTAGGATAGTTTTTTTTTCTTGTTCTGTGAAGAATAATGGTGGTATTTTGATGGAAATTGCATTGAATTTGTAGATTGCTTTTGGCAGTATGGTCATTTTCAAAATATTGATTCTACCCATCCATGAGCATGGGATGTGTTTCCGTTTGTTTGTATCATTTATGATTTCTTTCATCAGTATTTTCTAATTTTCCTTGTAGAGGTCTTTCACCTCCTTGGTTAAGTATATTCTAAGTTGTGGGGGTTTTTTGTGTTTTTTTGCAGGGGGCAGCTGTTGTAAAAGGGGTTGAGTTCTTGATTTGATTCTCAGCTTGGTCGCTGTTGGTGTATAGCAGGGCTACTGATTTGTGTACCTTATTTTTCAACCTAAAATTTCACTGAATTCATTTACCAGTTCTAGGAGCTTTTTGGATGAATCCTTAGGGTTTTCTAGGTATATGATCATATCATCAGCAAACAGCAGTTTGACTTCCTTTTTAGTGATTTGGATGCCCTTTATTTCTTTCTTTTGTCTGGCTGATTGCTCTGGCTAGGACTTCCATCACTATGTTGAGTAGAAATGGTGAAAATGGGCATTCTTATTTTGTTCCATTTCTCAGGGACAGTGCTTTCAACTTTTCCCCACTCAGTATTATGTTGGCTGTGGGTTTGTCATAGATGGCTGTTATCACCTTAAAGTATGTCCCTCCAATGCAAATTTTTGCTGAGGGTTTTAATCATGAAGCGATGCCGGATTTCATCAAATGCTTTTTCTGCATCTATTAAGATTATCACGTGATTTTTGTTTTTAACTCTGTTTATGTGGTGTATCACCTTTATTGACTCGTGTATGTTAAACCATCCCTGCATCCCTGGTATGAAACCCACTTGGTGGATTATCTTTCGGATATGCTCTTGGTTTGGTTAGCTAGTATTTTGCTCAGGATTTTTGCATCTATGTTCATCAGAGATATTGTAGTCTTCTTTTTTTGTTATGTCCTTTCCTAGTTTTGGTATTAGGGTGACACTGGCTTCATAGAATAATTTAGGGAAGATTTTCTCTTTCTCTATCTTTTGGAATAGTGTCAATCAGATTGGTACCAATTCTTATTTGAATATCTGATATAATTCAGCTGTGCATCCATCTGGTCCCGGACTTTTTTTGTTGGCAGATTTTTTATTACTATTTTAATCTCACTGTTGTTACTGTTCTGTTCAGTGTTTCCATTTTCTCCTGGTTTAATCTAGGAGGGTTGTATATTTCCAGGAATTTATCCAACTCCTCTAGGTTTTCTAGTTTTTGTGCATAAAGATGTTCACAGTAGCCTTGAATGATCTTTTGTATTTTTGTGGTACCAGTTGTAATATCTCTCATTTCATTTTTATTTGCGCTTATTAGGATCTTCTCTCTTCTTGGTTAATCTCACTAATAGTCTATCAATTTTACTTATCTTTTCAAAGAAACAGTTTTTTGTTTTATTTATCTTTTCTATTTATTTGTTTCAATTTCATTTAATTTTGTTCTGATCTTGGTTATTTCTTTCTTCTGCTGGGTTTGGGTTTGACTTGTTCTTGTTTCTGTAGTTCCTTGAGGTGTGATCTTAGATTGTCTATTTGTACTCTTTCAGACTTTTTCATATAGGCATTTAATGCTATGAACATTCCCTTTAGCACTGCTTTTGCTGTATCCCAGAGGTTTTGATAGGTTTTGTCACTATTGTCATTCAGTTCAAAGAATTTTTTAATTTACATCTTGATTTCATTGTTGACCCAATGATCACTCAGAACAGCTTATTTAATTTCCATGTGTTTGCACGGTTTTGAGGATTCCTTTTGGATTTGGTTTCCAATTTTATTCCACTGTGGTATGAGACAGCACATGATATAATTTTGATTTTCTTAAATTTATTGAGACTCGTTTTTGTGGCCTATCATGTGGTCTATCTTGGAGGATGTTCATGTGCTTATGAATAGAATGTATATTCTGCAGTTGTTGGGTAGAATGTTCTGTAAATATCTGTTAAGTAGGGTATAGTTTAAGTCCATGGCTTCTTTGTTGAATTTCTGTCTTGATAACCTGCCTAGTGCTGTCAGTGGAGTATTGAAGTCACTCACTATTATTATATTGCTGTCTATCTCATTTCTTCGGTCTAGTAGTAATTGTTTTATAAATTTGGGACCTCCAGTGTTAGCTGCATATACATTGTGATATTTCCCTTTGGACTAATCTTTTAATCATTATATAATGTCCCTCTTTGTGTTTTTTAACTGTTGCTGCTTTAAAGTCTGTTTTGTCTCATATAAGAATAACTACTCCTGCTTGCTTTTGGTGTCCATTTGCATAGAATATATTTTTCCACTCATTTACCTTAAGTTTATGTGAGTCCTTATGTGTCAGATGAGTCTCTTGAAGACAGCAGATACTTGGATAGTGAATTCTTATTCATTCTGCCATTCTGTATCTTTTAAATTAAGCTTTTAAGCCATTTACATTCAACATTAGTATTGTGATGTGAGGTGCTATTCTCTGCATCATGCTATTTGTTGCCTGAATACCTTGGTTTTTTTTATTGTGTTATTGTGTTATAGGTCCTGTGTGATTTATACTTTAAAGATGTTCTATTTTGGTGGATTTTGAGGATTTGCTCCAAGATTCAAAGATCTTTTTAGAGTTTTTGTAGTACTGGCTTGGTAGTAGCAAATTCTCTCAGCATTTGTTTGTCTGTAAAATACTATATGTTTCCTTCATTTAAGAAGCTTAGTTTTGCTGTGTTAAAGCAAATTAAATATGGCCTGAGAAAGACTCCATACTTATATATTTGAGTCCTTGTGGATGGACTGTAACCTAGCTTAATAGACAAAATTGAAAACCTAACTTAATAGTATGCACCTGTAACAATAGCTGAGTGCTGGCCAATCCCAGAGGCCATACTTCAACCACTCATAGACTGCTGAATGTTCAAACTGCATTCAAATAAGCCAAACACCAAGCTGTAACCAATCTCACTGTTTCTGTGCCTCACTTCTGATTCCTGTACGTCACTCTAACTTTTTTGGCTATAATTTTTTTCTGACAATGAGGCACCCCTGGAGTCTCTGTGAATCAGCTGTGATTCTGGGGGGCTGCCCAATTCACAAATTGTTCATTGCTCAATTAAATTCATTTAAATTTAATTCAGCTGAAGTCTTTATCAGCTGGATACAAAATTCTTGGCAGATAATTGTTTTGCTTAAGGAGGCTAAAGATAGGACCCCAATCCCTTCTAGATTGTAGGGTTTCTGTTGAGAGATCTGCTGCTAATCTGATAGATTTTCCTTTATAGGTCACCTGATGCTTTTGCCTCACAGCTCTTAAGATTCTTTCCTTCATCTTGACTTCAGATAACCTGATGACTACATGCCCAGGCAATGACCTTTTTGTGATCAATATCCCAGGTGTTCTTTGAGCTTCTTGTATTTCGATGTATAGATATCTAACAAGGCCAGGGAAGTTTTCTCACTTATTCTCTCAAATATGTTTTCCAAACTTATAGTTATCTTCTTCTTCAGGAACACCAATTATTCTTAGGTTTGGATGTGTAACATAATCCCAAATTTATTGGACACTTTGTTCATTTATTTATTTTTATTTATTTATTTATTTATTTTGGACAGAGTCTCACTCTGTCACCCAGGTTGGAGTGCAGTGGCGTGATCTCGGCTCACTGCAAGCTCCACCTCCTGGGTTCATGCCATTCTCCTGCCTCAGCCTCTGGAGTAGCTGGGACTACAGGCACCTGCTACCAGGCCCGGCTAATTTTTTGTATTTTTTTAGTAGAGACAGGGTTTCACCATGTTAGCTAGGATGGTCTCAATCGCCTGACCTCGTGATCCGCCCACCTCAGCCTCCCAAAGTGCTGGAATTACAGGCATAAGCCACCGTGCCTGGCCTATTCTTTTTTCTTTGTCTTTGTCAGATTAGGTTAACTTGAAAGCCTTGTCTTTGAGCTCTAAAGCTCTTTCTCTACTTGTTTGATTCTATTTTTGAGACTTTCCAGTGTATTCTGCATTTCTCTAAGTGTGTCCTTTATTTCTAGAGGTTGTGATTTTTTTTTAATTTATGCTGTCTATTTCTCTGGAGACATTTTCATCCATATCCTGTAACTTTTTTTAAAATTTCTTTAAGTTGATATTCACTTTTCTCTGGTGCCTCCTTGAGTAGCTTAATAATTGACCTTCTGAATTCCTTTTCTAGCAACTCAGAGATTTCTTCTTGGTTTGGATCCATTGTTGGTGAGCTAGTGTGAGCTTTTGGGGTTGTTAAAGAACAATGTTTTGTCATGTTACCAGAATTGCTTTTCTAGTTCCTTCTCAACTGGGTAGACTTTGTCAGAGGTAAGATCTAGGACTCAAGGGCTGCTGTTCAGATTCTTTTGTCTCATAGGCTGCTCCCTTGATGTGGTGCTCTTCCCCTTCCCCTAGGGATGGGGCTTCCTGAGAACTGAACTGCAGTGATTGTTATTTCTTTTCTGGGTCTAGCCACCCAGTGGAGCTACTGGGCTCTGGGCTGGTACTGGGGAGTGTCTGCAAAGAGTCCTGTGATGTGACCTGTCTTCAGGTCTCTCAGCTGTGGATACCAGCACCTGCTCCAGTGGAGGCAGCAGGAAAATGAAGTGGACAATGTGGGGGTCCTTAGTTGTATTTTTGTTTAGTGTGCTCGTTTTGTGCTGGTTTGCCTCCAGCCTGGAGGTGGTACTTTCAATAGACCATCAGCTGTGATTGTACAGGGAGGATACAAGTTTGTCCTAGTGTCACCTGGATAAGTATTTGAGTTTCTCAGGTGGTGAATGGGGCCATAGAGCTCCCAAGAAATTATGTCCTTTGTCTTCGGCTACCAGGGCAGGTAGAGAAAGACCATCAGTGGGGGCAAGGTTAGGCATGTCTGAGCTCAGACTCTCCTTTGGTAGGGCTTACTGCAGCTGCTATAGGGAATGGGGGTGTGGTTCTCAGGCCAGTGAAGTTATGTTCCCACCAGGATTATGGCTGCTTCTGCTGCATCATACAGGCTTCCAGGGAAGTGGGGGAAATCTGGCAGTGACAGGCCTCATCCAACTCCCATGCAGCCCAAAAGGCCAGTCTCACTCCCACCATGCCCCCCAACAGCACCAAGTTTATTTCCAGGCAGCCGGTGAGCAGGGCTAAGAACTTGCCCCAGGCTACGAGCTTCCCACTGAGAAAGCAAACAGGGCTTTCAGGTTTCCTACTTCCCTGCCTACTGTAGCTTCTGTGCTTGAACCTGTATTCCCTGTTTGTTTGCTCCCTCCCTTGACTATGTCCAGGAAACTTTGCATTTGGTCAAAATTGTTACAAAGTTCAGCTGGAAGTTTCCTTCTCCCCGTGGTCTTTCTCCAATTTCACTGGAAGCCCTCCCCAAGGACCCCTGTGAGACAAAATCAGAAATGGCTTCCCTGGAGACCGAGATGCTCATAGGGCTCTTCTCACTGCTTCCTCTACCCCTATATTTCACTAAGCTCTCTAACTTTTTTTCAGCTCTGGGTAAGGTCAAATTTTCTCCTGTGATCTGGACCTTCATGTTCCCCAGTAAGGATGTGTGTTCAGGGGTGGACATTCTTTCTCTCACACTTGGCAGTCCCAGTTTTTGAGCTGTATCACAGAGCCTGCAGTGGCAAGCCACTTCCTTCAAAGGGTCTGTGAATTCTCTTGGCTTTCCTGGTATGTTGCTGTGGTAGTTCTTAGAGCAAAAGTTCACAATGTGAGTGCCCACATGCTGCTCTGTCAATCTGAGTGGGAACTACAAATTAGTCCTGCCTCCTATCCACCATTTTTTCTCAACTACCAAAGTATAGAGTTTTATTTAGTTTTCCTTTTTTTGTTTGTTTTATTTTGCAATCAGTGTTATTGTCATCTGTTTAAAATAATGGGTTGTAAGATAATATTTGCAAGCCTCATAGTAATCTCAAATAAAAAATGTGCACCACAATGGATGTGCACCACAATGGATGCACAAAACATTAAAAAGTAAGAAATTAAATCATGCCACCAGAGAAAATCCCCATCACTAAAGGAAGACAAGAAGGAAGAAAACAATAAAGACCACAAAACAACCAGAAAAAAAAGTAACAAAATAGCAAGAGTAAGTCCTTATTTAGCAATAATAAGATTGAATGTAAATGGACTAAATTTTGTAATTAAAAGAAATAGAGTGGCTGAATGGATTAAAAAACAAGACCCAATGATCCATTGCCTACAATGCACTTCACCTAAAAAGATACAAATAGACTGAAAATACAACAATGGAAAATGATATTCCATGCCAATGGAAACAAAGAAGACCAGGAGTAGCTATATGTGTATCAGACAAAATCAGTTTCACCACAAAAACTCTAAAAAGAGTTAAAGAAGGTCATTATATAATGATAAAGGAGTTAATTCCACAAGAGGATATAACAATTGTAAATATATATGCACCCAATGCTGGGGCACCCAGATATGTAAAGCAAATATTATTAGAGCTAAAGAGAGAGAGAGAGACCCCAATAAAATAGAAGCTGGAGATGTCAACACCCCATTTACAGGACTGTACAGATCTTCCAAACAGAAAACGAGCAGAAAACTCTGAACTTAATCTACACTATAGACTAAATGGACCTAATAGATATAGGCAGAACATTTCATCCAACAGCTGAAGAATACACATTCGCCTCAGCACATGATTATTCCCAAGGATAAACCATATGTTAAGTCACAAAGCAAGTCTTAAAACATTCCAAAAAATTGAAATAATATCAAGGATCTTCTCTGACCACAATGGAATAAAACTTGTGATCAATAACAATAGGAAACTTGGAAACTATACACATGGAAAATAAACAATATGCCCCTGAATGACTAATGAGCCAATGAAGAAATTAAGAAGAAAATGTAAAAATTTCTTGAAAACAAAGTAATGCAAACACAACATATCCAAACCTATGGGATATAGTAAAAGTGGCACTAAAAGGGAAATTTATAGCTATAAGTGCCTACATCAAAAAATAAAAATATCAGATAAATAGCCTAATGATGCATCTTAAACGAATACAAAAGCATGAGCAAACCAAACTTAAAATTAGTAGACAAAAAGAATAAAGATCAGAGAGGAGATAAATGAAATTGAACCAAAGAAAATAACACAAAAGATCAACAAAACAGAAAGTTAGTTACCGGAAAAGATACACACACACACACACACACAAAAAAAAAACCAAATAACTGTGTATAGAAGGAGTATATCTCAACATAGTAAAAGCCATATATGACAGAGCAAAGCTAGTATTATACTAAATGGGTCAAAACTGAAAGCCTTTCCTCTAACATCAGGATATGACAGGAATGCCCACTTCCACCACTGTTACAAACAGAGTACTGGAAGTCCCAGCTAGAACAACCAGACAAGAGAAAGAAATGGAGGGCATTCAAATTGGAAAGGAAGAAGTCAAAATATTCTTGTTTGCAGACAATATGATCTTATATTTGAAAAAAACCTAAAGACTCCACCAAAAATCTATTAGAAGTGATAAACAAATTCAGTAAATGTATACGATACAAACATCAACATACAAAAATCAGTAGCATTTCTATATGCCAACAGTGAACACTCTAAAAAAGGAATCAAATAAGTAATCTCATTTACAATAGCCACAAGTAAAACTAAATACCTATGAATTAATTTAACCAAAGAAGTGAAAGATCCCTACAATGAAAAGTATAAAACACTGATGAACTAAATTGAAGAGGACACCCCCTAAATATGAAAAGATATTCTATGTTTATGGATTGGAAGAATCAATATTGTTAAAATGTTCATATGATCCAAAGCAATCTACAGATTCAATGCAATCCCTATCAAAATACCAAGGACATTCTTCACAGAAATAGAAAACATAATCCTCAAATTTATATGGAATCACAAAAGACCCAGAATAGCCAAAGCTATTCCCAGGAAAAAGAACAAAACTGAAGAAATCACATTACCTGACTTCAAATTACATTACTATGTTAGAATAAGCAAAACAGCGTGGTACTGGCATAGGAAAAGACACTTGGGCTGATGGAACAAAACAGAGAAACTAGAAACAAATTAGAGCTGAAGAGAGTGATGAACTTGGATATTTAGCTCGAAAGATTTCCAGGCAAAGTGCTTAAGTTGTGGCCTGGTTTCTTCTCATTGCTTATAGTAGAATGTGAGTGGGAAAATATAAGTTGACAGAAAAACTGTTTAACAAAAAGAAACCAGGACTTGATGTAGCCTATCCAGATTAAAAAAAAAAAAAAAATTGGAGCTTCACTGTCAGAAACGTGTACTCTGAAGAAAAAGTCAAGGGTGTGGGTGTGGCTAGACAATCTTTTGCCAGTGCCTTAGAAGGATCAAAAGGTTATAGTGTTCTATTGTGTTCAATCACACAAAAGGCTTTTTGAAGAAATTGGGTACGTGAATTGCTCAGGGGTTCCTTTAGCCATCTCAGCAGAAGCCAAAAATAGAGATTGGATTATCTAGGAAAGATTTGTGGAGGAGTTTCTTACCTAATAAAATGAATTCCAAGACATACATAGGAGACCCACAAGGTTTTTAAGAACTGTATACCAGCAAAAACACTGCCAGTTTGGATTGAAAGAAACAAATCAGGGATGAAATGAAAAAAATGCTATCAGAATCCCAAAATTCTACCAGAAGGAAACATGCTGATATAATTCCTTAGTTGCAAACACATACTACTTTTTATGAAAAAGGGATAACTGTAATAGTGGAGCTATGAGCCCAGTGGGCAGGGTCATGAGCCTCAGAGAATTATGCCTAGGCCTTAAAATCTAACTAAGTTTGCCAGGTTAGATTTTAAAATTGCTAGAACTGGTGACTCCTGTTTCCTTTTTATTTTCTCCATTTTTGTATGGCAATGTCTACAATTATTACCTTATGCCTACCCCATCATTGTCTTTTGAGCAGAGCACATATTTTCTAATTTCATAGGCCCACAAAAGATAAGATACTTTATTCCAGAATTGATTGAATCTAAGTGTCACCCATACACATTTTGATTATATAGATGATAAAACTTGGGACTTTGGAGTTAATGAGATTTAGCTGAAAAGGTAAACTTTGAGTTGATGCTGTAATGGATTGACATTGGGGGATATTGAGATAGAGTAAATGTATTCCATATGTGGAATGGTGTGCATCTTTGAGAGTCATACAGAAGACTATGATAGGTGTAACATGGCCCTCCATCCATGTCCACAGCTTAATTTCCAGAACCTGTGAAAATGTGACCCCTGTGGAAAAAAGAATTTTGCATATGCAATTAGATTAAGGTTCTTGAGATGAGGACATGACTATAAATTTTCCAGGAAGGTCCAGTATAATCAGAGTGGCCTTTAAGGTTAAAGAGAAGGCAGAAGAGTCAAAATTGGAGAAATGATGAAATGAAAGAAGCAGAGATTGCTTGAAGACGTTTCACTGCTGGCTTTAAAGATGGAAGAAGGAGTCACAAGCCAAGGAATGGAGGCAGCCTCTAGAATCTGGAAAAGGCAAGAAAATGGATTCTGCCCTAAAGTCTCCAGAAGAAAAGCAATCCTCCCAAAACCTTGTTTTTAGCTCAGTGAAACCTACTTCAGACTTCTGACATCCAGAAATATAAGATAAAACTTTTGTATTGTTTTAAGCAGCTAAGTTTGTGGTAATTTGTTATAGTAGCAATAGGAAATTAATGCAGTTCTGGAGCTCCACCTTTACACCCCGTTACTTCCATCTTTTTACTTTTTTTTGACAGAGTCTTGCTCTGTCGCCCAGGCTGGAGTGCAGTGGCGTGATCTCAGCTCACTGCAAGCTCCGCCTCCTGGGTTCATGTCATTCTCCTGCCTCAGCCTCCTGAGTAGCTGGGACTACAGGTGCCTGCCACCATGCCTGGCTAATTTTTTGTACTTTTAGTATAGACGGGGTTTCAGGGTGTTAGCCAGGATGGTCTCGATCTCCTGACCTCATGATCCACCCACCTCGGCCTCCCAAAGTGCTGGGATTACAGCCATGAGCCACTGCACCTGGCCCCATTACTTCCATCTTTAGGCATGTTCATACTGGGATCATAATAGGGATCTCACCTCACACTGAACCACTGAACTGAATCGGAGGCTTTGACATGATTCAGAGATACTGTAGGCTACAGACCCATGGAACAGCCATACTGAGCCTATAACAAGTGTCCTGGGTATCAACTGCCTTTGTGCTGTAGGCTAATTGTGAATGAGTCACCTCCTTGGGAGGGGAGAGGGTGAAACCATAACTGAGAGGAAAGAATCTAGAGGAGTCTCTTACATTCAAACCATGATGCAATAAGAAAAGGTTTTTATTCTCCTTCAGAGATATGATAACAAGATCCATTAATGAAATCCTAGTGAATGACAGAGGCAAGATTACAGAAGGAAGCACTACGAGACAAAGGGGATGGGAAGAAAGGAGTCCAGGAAGAAAGGCCCGGGAACATTGGCCCAGCCTTTGCAAATCGGAATGTAATTGCACTTGAAAAACAAAATTTATTTCTTATAATTGTATTTCCTATCATAATTTTAAAGTTATTTTAGAAAAAAAGTCTCCATTATATCTGGAGAAAAGTATTTACATTAATATAACTAACAAACGGTGGATAGGCTCTCTACATAAAAAGCAGGTAGAATCAATCAAGATAAACTCTAAAGTCTCAGTAAATAAGCATAAATTAAAGGCTTAGAAAATTTTGTATATAGTAATTCCAGTCGACTAATAATGAAAAATATATCCACATGTTTTGTAATCAGAGAAATACAAGTTAAAACTAGAGTGAGTTAATTTTTTTCTATTAAATTAGCTAGAAGGTGCTGTACAGACACACTATTATTCAAGGCAAAGTATTCATAAAACAGCTAATATTTATTGAGTATTATGCCTTAGGAGCTGTCATAAGTTCTTTGTGTGTGTTGTTTTATTTTAGTCTCATATCTTGTGATATAGCTACTATTTTAAATCTCAGTTTAAGATGAAGAAAAAACTGACTGAGGGCTGAGGATATAATAAATCACTTAGGGTCACAGAGCTGTAAGATGTCCAACACTATTACGGAGCAATAAGAAAATATGTACCAGAAGTTTTAAAATATAAGTGACATTTAACCCATTAATTCTAATTTCAGTGATTATTTTGTTGAATAATTAGATATATTTGTTAAACACAATATAAACGGTGGAAAAGACTAGTTTACCCTTAAATAGCACAGGTATGAACTGTCTGAATCCACTTATACAGGAATTTTCTTCCCACCTCTGCCACCCTGAAACAGCAAGACCAACCCCTCTATTCCTCTTCACCCTAAACCTACTCAACACGAAGATAACAAGGATGAAGACATTTATGATGATCCACTTCCACTTAATGAATAGTAAATATATTTATCTCTCTTATAATTTTCTTAATAACATTTTCTTTTCTCTAGCTTACTTTATTATAAGAACACAGTATATAATGTGAATAGCATATGAAATATGTGTTCATTGACTGTTTATCAGTAAGGATTCCAGTCAACAGTAGGCTATTAGTAGTTAAGTTTTGGGGGAGTCAAAAGTTATACACAGAGTTTCAACTGCACAAGAGATTGGTAACCCCTTAACCTCTGCATTGTTCAAGGGTCAACTGTACTTGCACAAAAATGTTCATTAAGGAGAAATTTAGAGAAATAAATGTTTGGAAATAAAGTATTAAAAATAGTTAAGTAAATTGTGTAATATTTATTCAATAAAAGTTTATTCAGCTTTCAAATTATTATTAATGAAGAGTTTTTAATAACATAAGAAAACATTTCTGTTATGAATTTAGGGAAAATACTGATACAAATTATATCTACATTGTGTTGAACATGCATATCAACTACTGTGCCATTTTATGTAAAATGCATGTATGTTAATATGTACTTGTGTCTATCAACATCAAATTTACAGTTCATTCTGCGAGTTGATAAAGGAATTAAGACTCTGAGGGGTTAAGAAAGTTGTCAATGCAAAACTATTAGTGTGAGTCTCAACCTAAATCTGTCTGACTCTACAGTCAAACTGTCCGACTCTACAGTCAAACTGTCCCTACTATTGAAAATTATTTTTAAAAAGGTCTAAAAAAAGTAAGTGGCTAAGAACTGACCAAAACTTAACAATGGTTGTCCTTAGCAGTGAGTGTAGATGAGGATGGGTGTAGATAAGTGTTTTTAAGGATGGCTTTATTTAGTTCACTTTTTAAGGTGTGAAATATTTCAAATAGTACCATGTATTCATCACCTGACTTTTACTAATTGTAACATTATGCTATATTTATCCTATTTTAAAATTAGGCACAATTAACACTCATATATCTTTCTATATCTCTTTTTACTCAATTTTATACTTTGGATACTTAACCAGGTTGATAGATATACCTCTATTTCATTTATTCTAAGTGCTGTGTAGTGATCCATCTGTACCACAATTTATGTATTCATTCTTTAATTGATTAACATTGTCTGCTTTTTTATCTCATTTATATATCCTTTTGCAAATATATGAAGTTTCCCCTTGGTTATGTACCTAGAAATGGAATTGTTGGGTTTTAAGGTACAAATACTCTTTATTTATTTGATAGCACATTTTCCCTCTATCTGTATTAGTGAGAATATACTAGCTGTAGTAATAAACAATCTCAGAATTACAGTGATTTAATACATCATATGCTTCTTCTCTTTCTGCTGATCATCTTTTTCTGCTTCTCAGTGCTCACAGAAGACGGCTGCCATTCAGCTTCTTATTTCAAGCAGCTAGCAGGGACTAACTGCTATTTTAACTCCCAAGGGAGTCAAATTCCCAAAGGAGAGACTAAGACAGGCCACCTCAGGTCAAGCATTTATCATTTATCTAATTAGCCAGAACAGCGGGAGGGGGTTTGCAGTTCATAAGGGACTATCATGGCCCATTCTTTGATGAAGGCTGGGGAATGGACAGTTCTCAGAACAGGGCAGCTGCAGCTCCAAAGGAAGTCACCCCTGGAAGGGCACAAACAGAAGTCTTCTCTGTCCCCATCTCTACTGAAAATTAACCAGCTTTCTCCTTTTGTTGATTTTCCAGAACTACAAATATAGAAATCTTTCACTTGGACGTTCTGCTTCTTGGTTATTACATGGTAAGTATTTTTTAAGCTTCCTTGGGATCATGAATTGTGACAAAGATCACTGAATTTCAGATCTCAAGAGGAAGGAAAAAAATAAAGTTCAAGTGGAATAAAAGTACTACATTTGACCTAAAAACCTCTTTCCCAAGCCTAAGCAATTTTAGACAGATGGCCTTTCCAGGGTGATATATAACTTAAAAGACTATCTTGGAATGGAGAAAAAGAGGAAGTTGTTGACACATGGCCTTTTCTAAGCCTAGTGGTCTATGTTCTAGTTTCAACAGGGGCATGTACCAATTACAGTACTTGTCATTTCCACTGCCAACCAGTCATGACCAGAAATCTCATTTGCTGAGTGTATTTCAAAATCCACCTTTCCAGTTGAATTTTCTTTTCTCCTGTGTGTGTGTGTGTCTGTGTGTGCACACACAAAAATTCACAGCCTCACTGTCTAGACTGGGTTTAGCCACCGACCAACTATATGACCTAAGGCAAGTTAATTTTTCATTTCTTGCTTTTTCTGTAAAATGAAAGGTTTGATTACATTATTTATAAAGCCCTATGCAGCTTAAACATTCTATAACTATACATGCTCATTAATACATATTTCAATTCAATAATGACAATGACCATAGATGATCATGATGATTATGATCAAAACAATGGTAACATATATTGTATATTCATTTCATCCCATATATTGTTATCATCTCTTTATATCATTTTCTCATTTGTTCAATTAACCATCATACAAGGTGAGTATTGTCTTCATTTAACCAATCAGGAAGCTGAGGCATAGAGTTAGTGATGGTGGAAGAAGAATCTGAAGCTTTTGATGAGACTGGTGAGCCAGTGGTCCTCCTCAGTCTACTGGGCTTCAGGGCAGTTTATAAAGCATTGTTTACATACCACTCTCTCATATAATCCTAGTGAAAACTCTGACATGGGTATTAATCACCCTTTTAAAACTGAGTAGAATGAGGCCTTTAGTAGTTACACAAATTTCCAGGTGGAGGTGATGAAGTCAGACCCCAAATCAGATAGATTATCTGTCTGTCCCTTGAGCCTGAGAAGAGTTCTCCAGCTGAGTAACCCAGGCCCTCCATCTGCTATGCCCAATGCCCATCCTCTACAAATAATCCCCCACAAATGGCTCAGTCTTACCTCTCATATCAGTTTCCTTAGGTAAAAGTTCCAAGCAGAAGCAGCACCTTCAGATTTCAACCCTGGACACTGCTCCATGGCTCACCTCCGTCCATTTCTGAGCCCCCTTCACATCTTTCTGCTCTGCCCTCTGGAATGCAGCTTCATCATCAGAAAACTCCTCCATAATGCGTACATATTCTATCATTCACTTTACCTTCTTGCCTGGACAGAAACCTGGCTCTCCTCTGAGGACATTGCTTCTCCTACAATTCTCTCAACAGCCACCTCTTTTCACAGTTGTGAAGCAAGTAAATACACTATTCTGTAATCCCCTTGGTGCTTCCCGATGCTTTTCTAATATTCCTGTTCCTTTAAGAATCAAGACATTTTCTTTGACCATTCCTGTCTACTAGTTTCTGTCTTCTATTAAACTCCTAGTTACTCCATTTCATTCACTAAAGATATGACACCTCACCCAGAGTGTTTCCCTAAAATTGCATTCTCCATCATTGTTGACCTCAGTGAGACCATAAATGAGTTATCCACCTGGCTGCTTAGCTCCTTGAACTTCCATCTCAAAGTGTGCTCTGTTCTACCCACCTCTGCTACTAACTACAGGGCCATCATCGCCTGACACTGCTCCACTTCTGAAGTCACAGGCTCACCACCCTGCTCTCTGATCACAAATTCCCTCCATCTTACTAGTCACCTCTTCACATCACTCATTTCTCAGTGGTGAAATCTAGTGTAAACTGACCCCACTCCCTAAGCCAGGAGCCATTTTCTCCACTTACTTCCTATCATAAGCAGTTTGTATGGCCTATCTTTTCAATAACTTTTGGACAAAAATATTCCAAATCTTCTGCCCCACCTTCTTCATCTGTCTCTTTATCATATTTAACTACAAAAATTCTATCCTTGGCCAGGTGTGATGGCTCACAGTCATAATCCCAACACTTTGGGAGGCCAAGACATGAAGATCATTTGAGGCCAGGAGTTCAAGACCAGCCTGGGCAACATAGCAAGAACCCAATTTTACAAAACAAATTAACTAACTGGGCATGGTGGCACATGCTTACAATCCCAGAACTTTGGGAGGCCAAGACAGGAGGGTTCCTTGAGGCCAGGAGCTAAGTCTGGGCAACATAGTGACAGTATATCTCTATAAAAATAATAATAATAGTTAGCTATGTGTGGTGGCATATGCCTGTAGTCCCAGGTACTCGGGGATTGCTGAGCCCAGGAGTTTGAGGATGCAGTGAGCCATGATTGTACTACTACCCTCCAACCTGGGTGACCGAACAAGACCCTGTCTAAAAAGTCCTTCAGCTCTTTTTTCTGTCTATGTATGGGCAGTTAAGCATTGCTGGAGAAAAAGATATAACAAGATGTATCAATCAAGGTCTTAGCAAGAAACATATAGCAAATTCAAAGTTGGCTAATTCAGGAAAAATTTAATAAGGCCACTATTCACAAAGCTGTGAACACTACTTTGGGAACCCCACAAAGGATCTTGCAGTACCAGGACTAGCAACAGCCAGGGTGAATTTATTACACCAAGGTTTGAGAGGGGATAGGGGAAAAACAGTTACCCACACCCAGAGACTTGGCAACCTGAGCAGATCCAGGACCTTCACTTGAAAGACACAACTAGACTCTGGCAGCCCCCACAATGAGGAAGCCAAGGCAATCAACACCATGACCTTATTTTCCTCCCTTCCTCTGATCTCCTGCTAGTTCTTCCCATTGACAAAGACTCCCAAAAAGCAAAAGAGATGGTCGACGTAGCAGTACAGTCAGCCTCTGGAGGGTTAGGAGGGGCAAACAAATTGTCAAGCACGGTGAGCACATTGGAGCCATCCCACAACCTCCACTGGACCTTGGGAATACTTAAATGTTTCTCTGGCTGATACTTTCTCCAACTTTTCACAATTGTTTCAATACTCCTCCATTTCTCTTTAGAACTCCACTTCCCACTCTTTTCCCCCATTTCACTATTAGCAGATGACCTGGCATGGGGTTTCTCAGAGAAAACAAAAACCATCCAGACACTCTCAATTTCCCTGCTACAAACCTACAAAAGCTACCTAAGCTGTTTTGTTTTTTTTTTTAACGCTACTCTTGTATTAATAGAAGAGTAGTTTCTCTTGTTCAAGACCCCTTTCTCCTCTTACACTTTGGGTCTCATTCCTTCTCTTCTTCTCAGAAGACATTACACCATCAACAATCAATTTTCTCCCTACATAAAATCTCATTCCACCAGATTCTTTCCCATCAACATTTGAATATACTCTGATATAACCCATCTTTTAAAAAATGTATCACAACCACACATACTCTTCTGGTAAGAACCAGTTACCAGTTCTCCCTCTCATAGCTGAGCTTTTCAAAAAATTTGTGTAGGCTTTGTATGGACACGGGTTATGAACACTAAGTTACCTTCTTGAAATGGACTAGTCTGGGCAGCAGCAGAAAGTGAAGCAGATGGATCAACCACATGGATTCAGCATCTCAGAATGGAGGGGGCGAATCACGGAGTGGAGAATTTGTAGTTCATTGACTATCTGAAGATCCCTTTTCCTGTATTCTTCTTGAGGTAATAACAAAGAAATGAGGTGTCCACTGCTTTCCACCATAACTATTAGCTTTGAAAGTTACTCAGTAACCCATATTTTCAATCACCTAGCCCAAGTCACTCTTCTCCTTCCCACAGGGACTGCTGCAGATTTTCTGTATTGGAAGGGTAGCAGTTTGGTGGTGGCTGTGGATATAGATTCCATTGGCACCTTACATTTCATTGAGGCCATATTGGTGGTCTATTTCTACAAGTGCCCTTCCACCACAAATAGTGAGGGTGGGCAGGGATGGGAGCCCCAGCTACAGTCTGCACTTTACTTTCTTCTCATTATTCCCTGCTCCTTTCCCTTGCCAAACCTAGGTTCACAAACTCTTACTCATTTTTCAAGAACCAACTCAATTCCCACCTAACTTTGAAGAACTCCCCAGCTTCCCCAGGACTCACTGGTAGTTCCCAAAGCCTCCTATTAACGTTGATTCTATGAGATCAATTGGAAAGTTGATTCTATTAGATCAATTTTATTAGATTCTATTAGATCTATTAGATCTATTAAATCATAATTACTAGATCATACGCTAGTAATTATGCTAGCATATATCATGTGGCCCAGTAATCTTCCCCCAGATTGTAAACATAAAAATCATACTGCCTCATTCATCTAGCACCCTGCACACGGCTAGGGTACGGAGATGCATGTTAAATAGTGAAAACATCAATTAATCAATTCATGGAGACAGCACTAATTCAAGATCCAATTCTTTTCTTTCCCTAGAAATCCTAAGCAACATATTTTTGTGTCCTTCATTAACTTATGTAAGCATCATCCAAGTATGCCCTTTTGGTTTATATTTTCCTTTTCTCTAAAAGATGTTAGAGGAAAAAAAAAAACTTAAAGCCAAATACCTCATTGGTATAAAAATTGAATAGGGGATCCAGTAGAGAAGGTAGAGAACCCAATGGGGCTATAGAATTCAATTCATTTGAAGAATGAAGACTAAAGATGAGAATGAAGACTAAAGATGAGCTCAAGGTCCCACAGCAAGTTTCAGGATTGAAATTAAATCTCATGATACTAGGCTCACCAGCCTGTGCTTCTTTTCCTGCATCAAATAACCTCCTTCATTTGACTCCCTCCAATAGTTGTAAATGTGTTCACATGTAGAATGTATTCCTGACTGTCATAAATTACATTTAATAGCTTATATAAAATGGAAAAAGAAGTCAAGAAAATGATCCAGGTGCCATAAATCTGGCCACATCTCATGTGCCAGGGGTGGAGGAGACAGGAGGGGCCAGGTGTGGGGGAGAGAACATAGACATCATTAAAGCTCAATTCATATTTTTTTGTTTGTTGTTGTTGTTTTGAGATGAAGTCTCACCCTGTCACCAGGCTAGACTGCAATGGTGTGATCTCGGCTCACTGAAACCTCTGCCTCCTGGGTTCAAGTGATTCTCCTGCCTCAGCCTCCCAAGTAGCTGGGATTACAGGCACGTGCCACCACACCCGGCTATTTTTTTTTTATTTTCAGTAGAGATGGGGTTTCACCATGTTGGCCAGGATGGCCTCAATCTCCTGACCTCATGACCCACCCACCCTGGCCTCCCAAAGTGCTGGGATTATAGACATGAGCCACCACGCCCAGCCTAAAGCTCAATTTTTAAAGGACAGCACCTGACTTCAAAAATCCTAAGGTTCTTCTCTCAGTGCCTTGAGATCTGCCATCATTTAAAACATTTGTGTTGAAGACTCTTCAATCTTATTAAAATATTTGGCTATATTAAAGTCACATGACATTAGCCGATGATAAATATTTCTCCTCCCCAGCCCTGATTTATGAGGACCAGCTAGTAAATAGTCTCTGATTCAAACAGTGATTAACCATTATTCATGAAGCAAAATGAGCCTGCCCTGTCATGTCATAAATTTAATGTAATCTCATCTTGTTTCACTTTTTTTATTCACAGTTTCCTTCCAAATTTCATCTTCTCCCATCTCCCTACAAACTTCAAAAGAGGTGTACAAAGGAACTTAAGAGCCATTTTCTGCTTACCCACCTCTTTAGAAGGTGGGGAGGATGACTCAGGAAAATGCAGTAACTGACTGATGCTAATATCAGAACACAATCAGAAGCGGTCTTTAGGGGAAGCCTCAAGATTTGCCATTGATCGCTGGTCTTGAATCAATTCAAGACTAGCCATTAAAAGGCAAACCCTGGCAATCCTTGGAAAGAAGAAATTTGACTGTAATACGGGCAGTATGTGTTTGGGAGACCAATGATCATTTGTAAGGCTTTCAACTGCGGCGACGGTAAATCCAGGAAGTGAATCATTCCTCCGAGTGATGGCTGTTAAGAGAGTCATATAGTAAATTTCTCCCTTTACCATGGATTTCCAATCACTGAAGTCATCAGGTTGGCCTGAAGACCCCTCAAAATAATGTGTTGCTATTGTGAAGGGCCACCTGTGCCTTACAACAAATCACATCTGATCAACATGTTCAGCCTTGTTCTCACCATCACCTGCTCTCTTGTGTTCAAAATTGCCACCACTCCTGTTTCTCTTACCACTGCTCTCTCTGCCTAGAAACTTATGCCCTCTCCTCCTGTTCCCCATCATTCTTCCTGGAGTGGGGTCCTAATCATCCTTGAAAATTCATCTTAGGTGCCATCCTTTATGGGAAAATGTCACTAAGTATATCCTTCCCATTGTCATTGATAGCAGCTCTTCCTCAAACTGTAATGTACAAATAAATTACCTGGGTATCTTGTTAATATGCAGATTCTCTTTCAATAGGGCTGAGATGGGGGTTTGCATTTCCAGCAAACTCCCAGGTGCTGTTGATGCTGCTGATCTACAGTCTACACTTTGGGTACTAGAATTTAATAGGTAAGGAACACTTCTGCTGAGCTCTTGTAGCATGCTATGCATTGAACTCTTCCCTAGAATTCTTTTGCAATGGTTCAATTATATATCTATCTCTCCCACTAGACAGTGCCTCTTGAGGTCAGAAACTATAAATCTTTCATTTGCAACTGATAAGAATACAACTGAATCTAGACTGAGGGAAAGGGAAAGGGAGGATGTTTTGGCTCAATTAACTGAAACAAAAAAATTCTAGACATAGCTGGATCCAGGGGCTCAACTGATGCTTTGTGTACGTGCTTCCTTCCCTCCTTGGCTCTGCTTTATGCAGTACGGAATTCATGGTAAAGGAAGTGAAAGTAGTGAGCTTAGCAACCTCAACAGGAAGAATATACTCCTTCTCAGGTGCTCACAGACTAATAGAGAAGATGGGTTAAATCTAATAACAGAAACATGTTCAGGGTCAAATGAGACCTGAGATGATTAGAAACCTACTCAACCTGGAGAATTCAGAGAGGGATACTGAGGGTTGAGGTAAAAGGATCAGGAGAAGCTTTCCAGAGTAGGTAATGTCAGACCTGGGTCTTAAAGAACGACTGTGAGTTTGCTAAGGAAGAATATCCAAGCAGAAGTCACCTTGTATGCCCGCTTAGACAGCAACTTCGTTAATAATGAAAATAAAAATTGGAAAAGTCAATTTGATATCTAGATAACTGAGTTTTGTAATGCCAAATATCAGGGTATTTGAAAATACCTAAATGGCCTGAGTAAGATCATAAAATCTTAATGCTGGTACGCTAAGTATCATCTAATCGGAATTTCTTATTTTACAGATGAGAAAATAAATTGAGACCCTGAAATTTTAAATAATCAAACATTTATTGACTCTTCTGAAGGCATTAATAATTCCTCTGCTTATTCTCAAATACCCAGGTGCATGCAGTGATACTAATAAAACCATAATTTCAGAGATCAATAAAGTAACACTTCCAAGGGAGACAAGTTTTTTTTCTAATCAAGATTTTCACAAGCAAACAAGGCTTCTAAGAAATATATCCATGCACTTTTTCAAAAAACTTCAAAAACAATAATAGAACAAACTGTTAGGAATAGAAAACCAAATACCACATGTTCTCACTTATAAGTGGGAGCTAAAGAGTGAGAACACATGGACACATAGAGGGGAACAACACACACTGGGGCCTTTCTGAGGGTGGAGGGTGGGAGGAGGGAGAGGATCAGGAAAAATAACTAATGAGTAACAGGCTTAAAACCTGGGTAATGACATAATCTGTACAACAAACCTCCATGACACAAGTCTATCTATGTAATAAACCTGCACTTGTACCCCTGAACTTAAAATGAAAGTTAAAAAAAAAAGAAAAAAGTATCAGGAATTCATTTAGCAAATATCTTATGCACAGATACTATGAGGCGGGCACAATGCTAAAGAAACTAAAAGGGTTGTGAAGATAAATAAGACGTCGCCTGTGCCCTGCAGTGGAAATCATGATTGAGAAATTACCTTCAGAGAGATTAAAATTTCTAAAACCTATAGCTTTAAAATAGAGGATAATAGGATTGAGAGTGAAGTTACATTGTGAGTATCTTAAATTTTTCTAATTCAAACATACCAGGAACAATTCAAACACAAATGCATGCACACAGGTGTACATTCAGATGAGGCAGTCAGCTTCAGAGGTGATGTTTGTTACCCCTGAATCTAAATTTTATGGATTCAGATTGAAGCCTCATCAAGTGCTAATTGTATGACATGTGACAAATCACCTAACGTCTTCTGCCTTAATCCCCACATGTGTAAAAAATGGGGACAATTAAGTACAAATATTTTAGAATTGCTGTGAAGGTCACATGAGATCATACATGTAAAGTGTTTGGGGCAGGAACTTGAACATAGTAAGCACTTCTAATGTTTCCTCTCACAACGGTAGATGGTTCTGCCCTGCATTCTACCCTAAGAACACGCCATTTTCCCTTGAGTGAGGATGAAGAGGGCTATGGGAATCTGTGGCTTTTTTTTTTTTTTTTTTTTTTTTTTGAGACGGAGTCTCGCTCTGTCGCCCAGGCTGGAGTGCAGTGGCGCAATCTCGGCTCACTGCAAGCTCCGCCTCCCGGGTTCGAGCCATTCTCCTGCCTCAGCCTCCGGAGTAGCTGGGACTACAGGCGCCAGTCATCACGACAGGCTAATTTTTTTTTTTTTTTTTTTTAGTAGAGAGGGGGTGTTTCATCGTTTTAGCCAGGATGGTCTCGATCTCCTGACCTCGTGATCCGCCCGCGTCAGCCTCCCAAAGTGCTGGGATTACAGGCGTGAGCCACCGCGCCCGGCCAGGAATCTGTGGTTCTTTAAGTCAGCCTCAACTTCAGCTTGTCTCCTTGTGTGAGGATGTCAAACTTCTGGGAATGTGAACCTGGGGTACAGAGATACACTGTGCCTTTAAATGGAAACCCACAGGGATCAGTATCACTTTGAGTATACACGATTTCCCAACGAGGGCTACCTTTAAAACTGTACTGTCCATAAGCTGTCACTCCATTGTCTAAGCAGTAGCATGATAGCCCCCAAGGGCCTTGGCCCAGCAGTCAGAGATTTACCTGCTTTTTCCAACTCTGCCATGACCATTTTCTGCGATCTGAGACAAATCATTCAATTCTGTGCTTCATTTTCCTCTCCTATAAAATGAGAATATTTCTCTCTCCTGGGGCTGCTGCAGGATCAAATTAAAGTGACTGTGCTTTCAAAATAAAAGAAGTGAGGAAGGAAGGAAGGAAGGAAGGAAGGAAGGAAGGAAGGGAGTGGGGGGGAGAGGGGAGGGGAGGAGAGGGGAGGAGAGGGGAGGAGAGGAGAGGAGAGGAGAGGGGGAGGGAGGAAGCAAAAGGAAAGCAAAATGTTGTCTAGGGCAGGATCACAAAGGTTGATTCTGCAGTGAGTTCTAACTGCCTATGAAATAAATTCCAAACATGGTAATTGTGATGTAAAGTGAAGAGCAATGATACTAAAATAATCCTGTTGGGGAAATTGCAAATCTTAGTTTCTCAGAAGGACATGTATTGATGTAATACCCCTGGCCTCTCTCTACCCTCTTATTCACTCCCTCCTCTTCCCACTCCCTGCCTCTCCCACCCAAGAAGAATGATGCATTTGGAAGGAGAAACAGAACTGACACAATCCAGCCTCTTCCACTTTTTCTTTGTGGAAGCATTGCTCTTCTCTGCTTCAAGGGCTTTGGAGAAAGACTTCTTCTGGTCCCAGGCTTCAGGGACTGTGTGAGTCAGTCAGCCTCAGTGTAAAGAGGCCCACTAGGCCCCCACAGGCAGGCCACATTCTCCAGCCCTCCCAGCTTTCTGTTTTGGAGTAAATTATCTGCAGCTAAAGTGCATTCTGCTGTGCTCCCCCTGGGGCCAGGGACACCTGCCTACAGAGGCTGCCCAGGAACAGTGAGTGGGTGAGGAAGCCTGCCTCTACTTTCCCCTCTCTCCTGTATCACAACTAATAACTAATATTAGTTAACACGAATGATTGCATTATTATTCTTGGTCATTGTTATTTAAAAAGCAATTAAGAATTGCCATATTATATATCCTCTGTGATATTAATAACAAAAACAACACTTGATTTTAGAATACTACTTTACAGCTATAAAATGGTTCTCATTTATTAAGTTATATAAATTTTAAAAAAGCCCTATTGGGCAGTCAGGGAAGTTATTCAGATCCTCATTGTTGATGAAGAAATTGAGGTCCAGAGAGGTGAAATGAACTTTTGAGAGATACTCAGCTAAAAAAATAAATTAATTAATTAAATTAAATTAAATAAAGCAGGACTAGAAGCCAGGTCTTCAGACTCCTTTTTAAATACTTTTTCTCAAATGACAAATTCATTGTCTTCTCCTGGATTGAACAAACTCCACCCCCATCATAAGACAGGAATGCCTGCTAAGCCCCCTTACACTATACCTTCCTAATTTGCTGGATTTTGGGAAGGATTAAGACACATGTATACATTTATAAATACATAAGGTATTTATAACTGAAAAGTGCTGGGCAAATGGAAGACATTATTGTCCTACTGCTATTGTTTCAGATGTGTCATGTTCCTAAGACACATCACAAGTCTTTACAATGCTGGTGGAGTTTGGGTTAACTGATCCATTGTTAGTCTGTGGACTTCACATTTGTCAAGTCTGAGAGAAGCCAGGCTTCACGGAGCAATTACACAATCACAAGCCAAGTCAGAGAAGATGTTTTGCTAGAAGCGATGGGAGCCAGACACATCCAGCTACATGGAAATTATATGTGTGCTTGCTGCAGAGATTGTATCACCACTCTTTGTCTGTTCGTTTTGACCCTAAACCCTTGGACTCGACTCCTCCTTGAGCCAATATCCCTCACTTGTATCTTCCACAGTTTTGGACAATATTGTAATTCATCGTGCCTTTTAAGCAGTCTGGTCAACTTGACCTGGGCCAAGCAAGTTATTGAAAGGTATTTATTTAAAGGTAGATCATTTGTTTTCTTCAATAAGCAAGTCTAATTTGTGGAACGCCTTCAACAAGAAGACGATTATACTCTACTAAGCTTGGTAAACTAAAACCACAGTTATCAACATTTAAGTCAGAAACTGTGAATAAGGTATTATAGAGGAAAGGGCATGGTTTTTTAAATCAAGGAGACCAAGTTTCCAATCTCAGCTCTGCACTTACAAACTTTCAGATGAAAGTATGTTGTAGAAGAGCTACATTTTATTTAAAGCTTACTCTGTCCTAGGATCTATACTATTCTTTTACCTAACTAATTTCACAATGCTTCTATTTATGCATTCATTCAGTAAATATTTACTGAGCAACTGCTATGTGATAAGCACAGGACCTATGGCACTGAGGCTGGAACTTACAATCCATTTGAGAATACACATGCTAAACAAGAAATTACAAGTGTGGTATTAGGAGAAAGGAGGTCAGAGTTCTGTAGGATCATACAATAGAGACACCTAATCCAGTTCGGCAATGAGGAAGTCTTTCCTGATAATTGAGTAGAAGTTATCCAGGCAAAGAAAATAGGCTGATGAAGGGACAGAATGAAAGTGTGGAGGTTATGTGATAGGGAAGGAGTGTACAGTACATTTGAGAAACTGAGAATAGCCCAGAATGGCTGAAATGTGGAAAAGAGGAAATATGGCAGGATGTGGGGCGAGAGACACAGGTACATGGCTTCTTAACCATGTGGGAAATTTTGGATTTTATCCTCACAGCAGTAGGATGCCATAAGAAGGGCATAAATGGAGGAGTTTTAGGATTAAATTTGAAGGTTAAAAAGTTCCCTCTGGCTGCATGTAGAGAATGGTGTTGAAGCAGGGTGAGCAGAAGATGGTGTCAGGGGATCAGAAGTGAGAAGAGAGATCATGGATTGGAGTGGTGGGGACAGAGCAAAGTGAACAGATTTGGAAAGTGTTTGGTGTAAAAGCAGCAGGACTTGTGATGGGATGGAGGAAGGAAGAGGCTCCAGGTAAAAGGCCCACATGAGATCCAAGGACCAGACTGGCGGTTCCATTTCTTGGCATAGGCTATACAAGAGAAGTAACAGGGTGCTTGTAAGGAGAGAATAGAGGACTGTTGGCATGAGGAAAGAAAACCGAAGCTAAGTGAAGGGCAAATCACCCAGGGATGTGCAGTTGGTGAGAGGCAGAACTAAGATCCCAACCAGCTATTGGAACTTCAAAGCCCCAGAGCTTGACCATGATGCACTATTTCTTCTAATCTCTCTGAGTTCCAGTTTCTGCACCTGTAGCACAGATAGGATAATGCCAGTCTTTAGATGGTTATTTATGTTAGTTGTTTTTATTATGTCGTTTTTCTAGGAGGGACTATGCAACTATCTGGAGCTGTTTTAATAACTTCTCAATTAATGCTTCCAACCTAAGTAAGATGCCTATGTAGATCTAAAAAATTGCAGTTCATGTGAGAACAGAGAGCAGAATTTGTTATGTACTCTGCCGCCTCAGGCCACTCTTTAATCTCTTGCATATATTTAATATTAATCTATTTAATCCTTTAATATTTCTTTAATATGTTTAATATTAATCTTTTAAATATTTCTCTGTGTATTTCCTGTAACTTTCCTCCACAGTGACACACGGAGAGGAAACATCAGATTGCTTTTTATCCGCATCTATAAGCCCGGGTCATAACTGGAGAAAAAGCCACCATCAACCCAGAAGGCCAACTTCCATAATTATATGAATCGTTTGTGAACATTTATGGATTAAAATGTTTGAGTAAAGCTGAAATCGGATATTACAGTCCATGAATAGTTCATGCCATGAGACAAAAAATTAAAGAAAAAAATTTCATTGATTAAACCATTTGATATCATTTGAGATGTTTCACAGGAACAAGAATCATTCATCAAAATGTTAGATAACTTAACGTTAGGAAATTTCCTCCAATTCCTGCCCACTCTTGGCCTATTCCAGCCAAGTGTTCCCACCAGCCTTTGGTTTTGTTTTGTTTTTGTTTTTGAGATGGAGTCTTGCTCCGTCACCCAGGCTGGAGTGCAGCGGCACAATCTCTGCTCACTGCAACCTCCGCACCTCCAGGTTTAAGCAATTCTCTGCCTCAGCCTCTGGAGTAGCTGGGATTACAGGCATGTGCCACCATGCCCAGCTAATTTTTTGTGTTTTTAGTAGAGATGTGGTTTCACCATCTTGGCCAGGCTGGTCTTGAACTCCTGACCTCATGATCCACCCACCTCGGCCTCCCAAAGTGCTGGGATTACAGGCATGAGCCACCGCGCCTGGCCTCCCACCAGCCTTTTAGCCAAGAGATGAGCTCCTTTCCTATCCTCCTGGGAAGGACATGAGAAGGAAATGTTCCCTTGGAATCAGGTCCTAGAGATACTGACACTGGAGTCTCCTGTCTAATTTTTAGGTGACTGCTCTGGACTCCTTTTATCGCATGTTCTCTTACTTTTGTGATCTCTGGTCCCTGACTAGTTTCTTGCCAGTCCTTTACCTTGCCCTTGTGTCCCTTCTTCCTCTCTTTTCCTTGGTTGTAGTGCCTGAGCACACCTGGACTCCACACTTCCACCCAGCTGCCTGTTCATCAGTTTTCCAGTTTCTTTCTTCTGCCTGTGTATGCTTCATATTTTCTCCCACAGCCTTACTTTGCCCTAGCCCAGCATCCTGCCCTATCCTCAGTGCATCACTGTCCACAAGTCCAATATTAAAGCAATACATAGATAGCATTTTCCCACAAAGGCTTCAGATGATGACAGCTGCCATTTACAAGATCTGGAGTTACCTCCTCTGGGAGTCTTCCCTGACTGTCCAGGCTCCATCAGTCTCCCTTGTACTCTCATGGACCCCAGGTCTATGGAGTTGAAAAGCTCACTTTACAAGTCTGTCACCCCTCCAGGGCTTCACTGTCTACTCGAGAGCAGAGGGTACAAAAGTCTTGTACCCTTCTGTATTCCCCAAGGCCTTCTGTACAGTAGCGGGCAAATAGGAGATACCTAAGATGACTTTGTTGCCTAAACCCCTCACTTGTATGAGCCCCAGAATCTCTTCGAACCACAGTGTCCCTGTTGTATCATATCATATTGTATAGCATGCTGTCATATAATATTGAATTGTATTTTACAGAAGGTAAAGAGTGTATGTTAATTAATGCAAATTGAGTTATTTGTCCTTTACACATTATTCAAATTTTTAGACCACAATATATTTCATTTAGGCCTAAAGGCGTCAGTATAAAGCTGCTAGAAGTACCATAGTCTCAAAAAGCAGAAGAATAGATTGTTTTCAGAATCCAATTCCTATCTCTCCACTTCCTCCCGAAGACAACCACTTCCATGATGACAGTCAATGGAACAAATAATTGGTTTATATTTTTAAACAGATAAATCATTCTTCAACTTTCCAAGTTCTAGGACCGTGGTTTCCAGATCTGATTTCGTGAGAAGGGGAGGAACAGAGAGATAAGGGAACCACATGCCACTTTTAACATGGTAGGTTCTTAGTAATTGAGTATTCAACATATGAATTATTAGATAATTGAAAAGTTTCTTTCAACTCTAGGGTCATTGTGATCAGGGGGATCCCATCAGAACCCCGGACTGATACCCACTTTGGACAAGAAGCTCTGGGTTAGGGTCTGGGTATGTCATGGCCCACACCTTTCTTTGGAGTCTAAGATCAGCCAAGACCTAACTTCCCAGTTTAGTTCTGATTCTTGACCATTTCTCTCTGCATTTCAACTTCTCTAATTTCCTTAAACACCAATCTATAAAGAGCCATGGACCTTTTTCCCTTTCACTCTATATCCTGGTTAGTTTAATTCTTGTTTTCTCACCTAGTGTTGAAGGAAGGTACGTAGTATAATAAAGATTGCATTCTAGTGAAAGATACAAGTCCTTTTTCAGTCACGTGTGGCCTAGGACAGGTTTGATAATTCCCTTAAGCCTCAGTTTGTCCAAGGATAATAGGAATGTAATGATCATTCCCCTGTCTGCCTCACATGGTTATGATGAAAGTCATGTGAGACCACATTTAGTTCCACAAATATTATTACTACATATTTAAACACTCTGAGGTGTTACAATGTTAATGTGTTAGAAATATTTATATATTGGGAGGAATAATAGTATAGATCAAAAGTCAGAAACTGGTGACTCATGGGAACCACCCAGCCAGTAGATGTGTTTTATTTGGCCTACATGGTATTTTTATGTATTGGGGCCAGCCTTGAAAATAAAGAGATTTCATACTTTAAAAGAAAGAAAGAAAAAATAAAAACAAAATTCCAGTTATTCTTGAAAACTGGAGATCTGGCAAGGCAAGGTTTGTTTTTCCATGCAGCAACATTTGGATGGAGCCAAGCAGCACCTGCCCTTTTTGGAAGAGTCATGAGTTCTGCAATTTGCTACAGTCCCATCCCTCATGCAGGTACATGTGCATGTGCATGCACCTGTTTCACTCATTTCAATTACTCAATCTAGCACCAGCAGCCATTTTTCTTGTGAACCTCCTGTTGTGGCTGAAATTGTTGGAGTAAGAAAATCCTAGGTTCAAATTCTGCCTTTGCCCTTCAATACTTACGGAAATGAGGACAAATAATAACTGAACTAAGATACTCAGTCTTCTCACTTTTGATATGTACATAAAATTATCTAACATGTAGATTTTTGTGAGAGTTAGATATGGTGTTTATACAGTTTCAGACACATACATACAATCATTAAAAGATGTCATATTACTTGAAATAGGATCCATATAAGAAGAAAACTGTGGCAAAAGGAAGGGCTGTAGAAATTTAGGCAGTGGGGAAAAGACATTTACAAATACAGTGTTTTAATACATATGGCCTGAGCTGTATGGGAGACCACTTAGCTGCCACTAAAATTTCAGTGATTAAAACAAATAAATAATAGTGTATCAAAATAGCCAGGCTATCTTTGGCAATACTCAACTTTCCGTCTGTGATTACAGTAGCCTCTGTCTCTTTCTCTCTCTCTCTCTCTCTCTCTCTGTGTGTGTGTGTGTGTGTGTGTGTGTGTGTGTGTGTTTATTCCTTCTTCCCATCTCTTTGTGCTTTCTCAATATATTGTGCTCTTCTGAACCTCGCCAAGATTGAGAAGATAAATGCTGTCCGCCTCACATGGTTATGATGAAAGTCATCAGGACCCAGCCTGGATGTCCATTTCTGAGAAGTCTTCTCTGACACTCTCAGGTTAGATTAGCTGCCCCCTTCCTTGTGCCCCACAGTTCCTGGAATTTCCCTCTATCATTAACGACAATTACACAGAACAGTAAATCTTTTCACATACATGTATCTCTCAATGTTGCAAGGCCCTTGGGAGCAAGGATGATACCTATGATGGTTAATTTTATCTATGATGGCCAAATTGACTAGACCACAGTATCCAAATAGTCAGTCAAACATTATTCTAGATGTTTCTGTGAAGATATTTTTTAGGTGACATTAACATATAAATCAGTAGGTTTGGGCCAGGCATGGTGGCTCACACCTGTAATCCCAGCACTTTGGGAGGCCAAGGCGGGTGGATCTCTTGAGGCCAAGTGTTCAAGACCAGCCTGGCCAACATGATGGAAGCCCATCTGTACTAAAAATACAAAAATTAGCCGGGTCTGTTGGCACATACCTGTAACTCTAGCTACTTGGGAGGCTGAGGCACGAGAATTGCTTGAACCCAGGAGACAGAGATTGCAGTAAGCCATGATTGTATCACCGCACTCCAGCCTGGTGGACAGAGCAAGACCCTGTCTCAAAATAAATTTAAAAAAAATAAAAATAAATCAGTAGACTTGGACTAAAACAGATGACCCTTCATCATGCAGGTGGGCCTCATACAATCATCTGAAGGCCTTAAGAGAAAAAAACTGATCTCCCAAGGCAAAAAGAAACACTAATATCATGTCCTATTAACCTTTGTTGGTCCTACATCTATGTATACAGCAGGCACTCACTCAGGAATTACAGAATGAGCAAGCAAATAAATTGACACATGAATGAATGCTGTTGTGGAAAACATTCTAATTGCATGAAAGGTTAGGTAAGATCATCACTAAATTCTCTTCTGACTTTAAAAACCTGTGATTATATTCTGATTCACTTAGTGGGATATCTTTCTTCTCTGAAATCACAGAGAATTTAGGTCCCCTCATATCTTGCCTTGTATTATACTCACATGTTATTATCTGATCCTTTTCTTAAATTGAGAATGATTTGAGGGCAGAGAAATTTAAATGTTAACCTCTCCTGTGCTAGCACACTGCCTGATACCTAGTAGATACTTAGTAAATATTTCAAGTGAATTGAATTAGATAGCATTGAATTATTCCTGGAGTCTAAGTGCTTCAAAAGGGCCTCTCATATCTCTCAGGCCTACTCATAAATAATAATCTGTTTTGCTCATTTGTCATATTTTCGTAATTGTTTTAATGAATTATATTGATTTTGCATAACATTTTTAATAAAAATCTTCTCTGAAGTCTCTCAATACAAACCACCAGTAATAAATACAAAAATACATGGGGCCTATTTAGGGGTTATTTTTCTTTTAATAAATTGGATAATGATTAAATGAGAGAAAATAATCAGACAGTCTAAAGAGGATGGTTCAAACTTTAAAAAATCACATGGCCTAAATTACTTTCCATTTGCTTGGTATGTTACAATTCACAAAAGACAGCACTATTTCATGGCTTTTAAACAGCCTGAGCTGCATATCATCTCATGAGTCAGAAAACTGAGATCCAGAGTTAGTAATAACTAACACTTATATCATGTTTACTATGCACTAGACACTGTGACATGTTTTAAATATAAGAACTCATTAATCTTCTTAACAATCCCAAGAGGTAGATACTATTACTTTCCTCATTAAAGATGTGGAAGACAAGAAAGGTGAGGCAACCTGTTCAGATTCAGATGGTCCAAAGTCTCGTAGCTAGCCAGAACTCAAACAAGACTCGTTGAGTTCAAAATCTGTTTCCCCTGAAGCAAGCTGTCTCTAGATCATTCAATTGCATGTAAAACCCTAACACAAAGGTCTGTGACTGTTAATGGGCTTGACTGGCGTTTTCTCTTAGTCTAAAGATTCCCTTCACTATTAGGTCATCTTACATAGATGAAATACAAAATCTGTCTTTAGCCTTTCATCTGCCAGGCTTTTGTAGGAATTATCATTTTGGCAGCCACAGGTTAAGAGTCCTGAGCCCTAGTTAGCGCAGCAACGCTGAAAATGCAGGGAAAGTGAGGGGAGGTCAGGCCAGCCTCCTAGCAAGAAGACGCCAATGTGTGGGCTTCAGTGCTCCATGCATTCAGGGCCTCGGTTCCCCTGGCATTCCAAAAGCTTACCTTCAAATGATTCAACAATTTTAATCAAAAGGCATTTAGTCTTTTTTGTAAAAATACCAAAAGAAAAAAAAGGGTTTTAGGTTCAAGAAATATTCTATCTCCGTGAGACCATTGAAAATCCAACGTATTTCCCAGCAAGATCCATTTGTTCAGCTATTAATATACTTTATTATTTTTCCACTATGTCAAGAACCTAGCTATTCCTCTAGTTGATATTTCTTTTAGATGGGAAAAAGAAATCATTATTATTTCAGGCATCAAAAATTCTATTTTCCCTCAAATGAACAGAAAATGGGAGCAAAGCAGGCTTTGCTTTGTGAAAAATTCAAACTGAGTATGTAGGTTAACTCATGGATCTGTTGTTCCCATCTATAAATTGAATTAAAAATCAGAAAAGACAAATTTATAAAACTACCCATTCAACTGCCCCTGAATAACACTGATAAAAAAGTACTTAGGGTTAGGGATGTCTGTTTAATTTAAAACTTTCATTTTGACATTAAAACAAAGAGCGAAATCTTATATAATTAGTATCTTAAAAATATATATATTCCTAGCACTCAACACCTGAGAAGTGATTTTTTTATTACCATTCTCCCCCTGCAAGGATGCAAGTTCCATGACATCACTGAAATGATTATTGGTTCCCCAGAGTGTAGAAGTCTAGCATAGTAGACCATCAAATTAAATGAATGAAGGAAGGAAGAAAGGAATGATCTCCTTCTCTTAGAAGGCTTTTCTGCCCTCTGCCTCTCCTCATTTATCCAAGATACTTTCAACAACAGAGGAATGGTATGTTGTTATCTCAGAAGTCTACCTCCAGATAAATCTGGCCCGGCTTATGTTAAGTATCACTTTTTTCTACTCCTCATTATAGACCAAACACTCAGGGGACTTGATGATATCTTGATGAGATATATTGTCTTTCTGACAAAATTTTCAGTGAATGAGGGAGATCATTGGGTTCCTGGGAAGGAGTGGGGTAAGGGTTAGGATGGAGGGGAAGGCAGAGGAGAATAAGGAAAAAGAGGACCAATATCCTTGCCCCCAGCTAAAAAGCCTAAGTTTATACCATTGTTGTGACTTTCCTTAGCAGGATGAGTTCAGCTTTGCCTTCTAACATTTATATCCACCTGCACATCCCTGCTACACTGCAGAATCCTTGGTCAGAGCCTGCTGACAGATGACCACCCAGAGTTAACATAACTTTCCAGGGCCTGCTACCAGCCCCATCCCCAGAAACAGGTCCTTGGAGTAAGGGATCTCAGGGTCTTGTCAGATTCAGACACAGGGAGCTTGCAAAACTCTGTTCCAAGTGTCATTTTCTGGAATCATCCACCCTTTCTCTGGGCCCCCCATGACTCCATTTGCCCTTTGATATGTGGGCCTTGGCTGGGCCTTCAGCTAGCTCATGTGTCAGGGCGTCCTGACATATCACTGTGGCATCCCAGGAACTCTGCCTGACCCATCTGGGAGTGTCCTGAAACAGCAGACATCTAACTCTCTATGGGCCACAGGAGAAATCTGACCACAAACAAAGCTTCAGGACAATGGGACGGTGTGACCCCACTCACACTGGGGCCCCTCACCCAGCTGGAGACACTCAGCTTCAATACACACCTCTGCCCTGGCTCCTCTGGAGAAAGCACTCTTTATAGGCCAGTAACAGGGTTAATGCAGCTGCAAGTGTTGGTGGGGGCAGTAACTCAGAGACAAGACAGAAGTGAAACAAACTGGAGAAAGAGATCGAATATTTTTTGAAGAAAATAAAGTAAAAAGGAAGAGAGGAAAAGAGAGGCCCTGTAGCTTCCAAGTTCTACTGCCTGATTCTAATCCCAGGTCTCCTATCTTGTCAGTGCCCTCCTAGAGCACAGTACCCCCCTCTCATCTCCCCTGCCCCACAGCTTATCCCCTTTCCACTGCCAAGTGGCATCTCTCTCCCAACACACCCAGCATAAGACATCATCTCTACATGACAGCTCCATGCTGCTGCCAGGCCTGGGCCTCAGGAGCTCTGGCTCCTAATAAGACCTGTTAGCAGGCAAAGGCACTTGTTCAATTAAGGGGTGGCTTTTGTACCAAGAAAGCCACCCTGGCAAAGTCCCAGGTGCTCCAAATTCTCCAACCCCCACCCCCTACCCAGCTTTGATGCTCTGATTATCCTATTGTCAGATCAATAGCCCATCTGGCTCTTTGGAGTAGTCTAAGCCATCTTGTGCTAAATTAAAACAGATAGGATCAATCTGCAGTTAATTTCTCCCAACCAAACAATTTATCTCTCTTTTGGATTCTTTTGGAGGGTGAATTATACAATCCTAACACACCATTAGGGCTCTCTGACCAAAGAAAGCCCTGCTACAATGCCAGCCTGCTCTCTTTATTAGCAGTTCAACAGTGTGACAAAGGGAGAGATTTATCTGAGAGTGTTGTGCAGACCTAGCCTGAACCTTGCAAAGTTTCTGCCAGGACACCAGGGAGGGGGAAAAGGATCTGGAATATCAGTGCATGTTAATTATCTTGGAGGAGGGGTTGAACCCAAATTTGGTAAGTTGAGCCTACACCCCTACTTCTGAAGAATCAATTGCCATCATTCAGGAATTTTTTTAATCTCTTTAAGGTAGAATTTTGGTATACTAAAATGTCAAAGGAAACATAGGATTTAAGTCCAAATGGAAACAAAGTAGGAGTAGAGAATGGGGGAATATATTATTACAGTTGAAACTTGAAAAATGTGGAGGTTAAGGACACCAGTTCTCCTGCAGCAAAAAAAAAAAAATCTGTATAACTTTTGATTCCCAAAAACTTAACTACCAGCAGCCTATTGTTGATGGAACCCTTACTGATAACATAAACGGTAGATTATTCACAGTGGTTTTATGAATTTTCTTTTCTTTTTTTACAATGGCCCTTATGATAGATTCATCTGTCTTGAAATGGTAGACAGCCACAGCTGCAAACCTCAATCTAAGGTACATATCAAGCAATTCAAATTTTTCTTGTCATGTCAGGACTTTTCTCTGCTTCTTGGGAGCACTTCTGGCATCACTAGTGGTACTTCGTATGGGCCTTATGGTGTTATTCAAAGTTTATGGTATTGCACTAAATATGATGAAAAATATGCAAGAACTGTGAGAGATCACTCTTCACTGCACTGTGCAATTTACTTGAGAGGCAAACTGCTCACAGAGATGATTAGCATAACACAGTGTTTTAAGGGGACACTCACAACCTTTGAGCTCACCTCCAATAGTAACAGGAGGTCTGTACAAAATTATTACAGCAACACAAGTAGGTACTACCATTAACTTCATGCAGTTATGATTTAATATTGCATCTTTGCATTTGTTTACAGTTCTCTAAACTATGAATGGCACCATATACTGTGTTTCTGCAAGTTTTGATAAGTTTTAACTTTTTATAATAGATTCGTGTATATATTATAGTATTAAATGACAAAGTAGACTAGATTCTACATACGCTTTATGTGTTTATGACATACCAAACTTTTTTTAGTTTTCTCGATATTTCCAGTCTGTGTGGTTCATCTGCGACTTTTTTCAAGTTGTTGCACATCTCAAAAAAAATTCTAACATTTTCTTTAAAAATCCACATATAAGTAAAGCTGCTGAGTTCAAACCTGTGTTGTTCCAGGGTCTACTCTAAAATTAATATTTATTAGGCATTTACCATATGATAGCCCATTTAATGTTGAACACTGTGAAAACTGAGGCTGAAAAAGGCTACGTGACCCTCCAGGATCATGGAATGAGTAAGCGGAACAGTCAGGACTAATGACCATGAGGCATGCAGAGAGAGAATATAGGAGGACTTTCATACCAGTCTGCAAAAAGCAGCTTCCCCAGGCTCCTGAGTGTTGTCCTCATGAAAATCCATGAGAACAACATATAATTAGTTTTTTATTTAAAAAAAAAATTAGCAAATACGAAGCTTTATTTATAAATAGAGAAAAGTTACAGCCTCAATATTCAAAGGTCTATTAACTAAACCATAATGCATTCATACGGGCAATATTGTGCAGCTATTAGAAGCTGTAGAGAAGTACAGGTACCCCTTTCTACCAGAACTCATGCTCCCTGACTCAGAAACCAATAGATTCAGATAGCAAAACTAGTTTTTATAAACCAGGATACCTGGCCATCTCTGTGACATGGTAACTCAAGGGTTAACATCTGATACATCAAAGAGTCTACAGCGTGCTGCCTCAGGGCTAGGACCAACATCCATAATAGCTGTGAAATATTTGGACTATTACTTCCGGGAAGGCCAGGATATATTCCAGGAGGTGCCTGACTGCCAGACTCATACCCTTACAGAGAATGCTCTCATTTCCAAGAGGGAAGACGACCAATGGGACAAAGTCTGGAGGATGCCAGGGAAGAAAGGAGGACAGATCTGGTAAAACATTTATGAGACCAGTCTGGCTTACCAGTGGTTCAGCCCTCTGGAAATGGTTTTTGCAGTAGGGGGAGAATGATAATACCTACTGATTACTTACCATTTATGGCACTGTTTGAGCACTTACAATTTCATTCGATCCTCATGGGAAAGATACTATTGTAGTATTTGATGAAGAAAGGTAGATAAAGAAAGACATACAGATGAAGAAAGGTCCTATTATCCAGATGCACAATAGAGTAACTTGCCCAAAGTCACAGGGTTGACAGATTGGTACCAAGATTCAAACCCAAGCAATTTAGTTTCAGAGCCCAGCTTATCAACCAATTCACTACACTGATTGCCAGGAGGAAGGAAAAGGGAAAGAAAGACCCTCACAGAGGAAAACAGGCAAGTGAGTCATCTCAGGGATTTGCTCCTTGTATCCAACATCAAGGCTGATTGCTCTAGACACAATGACACACATGGAGCAGTGAGCATCCTGGAGGGAGTGAAGCACCCCATCTTAACAGGCAAAATCTCCAAGCTGCAGTGCTGATACCCACATTCTTTGGACAACTGTATCAATAGCATCGTAGGCAACATTTGCTGTATTTGCCTGCCTGGAATCCATTTCTCCTCGTTCTGAAGACAAAACTCTGATTTTGATTAGATGCACTGTCCTTCTTACATTTTCATTATTATTGCCCGTCAATCAGAGTGTTCCTTTTCCTACTTAGTTTAGGGTGTGTACACAGGAGATAGATTCCTGGAGGTATCATTTGCCGCATCTGGATCCAGCTATGCCTGAAACATGCCCTGAATTTTTCGGTTAAGAAAGTCTCTCTTTTTCTTAAGAGAGACTGAGTTGAGTTTTTGTGACGTAAGACAGAAAGAAGCCTATATTATACAACTACGTAATTCACAGATGGAAATTAATAACAGCTAAGACCATCTGCTGCAACCTGGAAGCCAAGCTCAAAACCACCTGGTGAGGAACACTGCTCAGGAGACAGTCCAAGGAATAGTGGTTTTATTCTTATTTATCTTCTAGACAACCTACCAGGTTGATCTAGCACAAGAAATAACTCTTACAATCATCTGAAATTGTTTTTAAAAATAGCTTTAAATCATCAACTTTAAAAAAAACTTTAGCGGTAAAAATGGCATAAACTGTCTTATGGGTAGAAAGGAAGGGAGGCCAGTGGAGACAGACCTCATAGATTAGGACCAAAAAACAAACAAAAAAATGCCATAACCTGTTTAATGAGAAAATTCAAAGGTGCTTTCTAGCTTTGCAGTGTTACTCTGATCAGTCAGGTCACTCAGGA